>NC_000001.11:185684587-186309587 GCF_000001405.40 Homo sapiens | reverse complement strand
AATTATTATGAATTGGAATGGACCAGGTTACCTTGATTTTCATGTAAACTAGACATTTTTTGGATGTATGAACTCAATGTGAAATTGCATCTTTCAGTTCTGATTGCCCTCCCTTTGGGTTAGTTTGGAAAATGATACTACAGATTTTTGCTTTGCATTGTACTTTTAAGAATAGACTCCGAACTAAATTTTTTTGACTTTCTATATACCATCTCTGCTGCTCACAGACACACATATGCTAAATTCCCAGGCTTAATTTTCTAGAGAATGAAAAAGCTTACTGTAATTACACCTCTGCTTACCTACAGGGAAGCTGTAAAACTTCACAAGCTAACAAGGTCAGGTAATATATCTCAGTTGAGTGATACTAAACTAAGGCATTCTGGTTCAGATAGATGTAAACTAACATTACCAGCTTTAAAAATGAAAATAACTGATTCTTAATACCGGAAAGCATGGGATTGATGATAATGCCTTGATTGGGTACTCTCGGTAAGTAATCCATGTCGGGAGTAACTTCAGGCATGAACACATGGGGCCTGAGAAGCATATGAGGTGTTTCTCCTTCAGCACCACCTGCATCTTCACTCTTTGGATTTACTTCAACTAGTTTGGAGTTTGGAGTTTGGTTAGGTCTGGTGGTGGTTTGGAGCATGGCTTCTGCTATTCTTGAGGTAGGGTTCAATTCTGGCATTGTTGATGTCATCTTGCGGGGAGTTGGTGTCGTCTTTGGTTTTCTCACTCTAGGCATTGTTTTTGGCTTTTTGGTAGAAGTGGGTTTTTTGGGTGCTTTGGTTGGCTTTTGAGGTTTAGGAGTTGTCGCTTTAGAATTAGTAGCTCTGTCTTTTGGTTTAGCTGTTTCTTCAGGTTTGTTCATAATCTCAGTGGTAGTAATTGTCTTTTTTGTTGTAGTTACTTTGGGTGCAAGAGTAGTTGTTTTAAGAGTAGTAATTTTGAATGGTGTGGTATCTTGAGTTGTGGTAGATGTTACTTGTGTGGTTGTAGCTGTTATTTTGGATTCGGTAGTTTTTTCTGTTGTAGTTGCTGTCTCTTTTGTCATCTTAGGTGCAGCAGTTGTAGTTTCAGGTGTAGTACGTAAGTCTCTTTCTGTTGTCTTGTCTTTAGCTGTTGTAGTCATTTCAGGTTTAGTCGCTGCAGGAGTCTTAGTTGTAGGTACACCAGGTTCCTTGGGACTGTTTTCAAGAGCTTTTGGTGTGGGTTCTGCAGAAAGCTCAGGAGTTGATTCATCAGGGCTTTTGTGGATAGTGGTAGGCTCCTTGGTGGTAGTTGGAGTAGAGACCTCTGAAGTGGTTGGAGGAGGTGTCTCAGGAGTAGTTGGAGCAGGCTTCTTGGGGGTAGTGGGTGCAGGCTCCTTGGGGGTAGTTGGAGCAGTCTCCTTAGGTGTAGTTGGAGCAGGCTTGTCAGAGGTGGTGGATGTGGGCCCCTTGGTGGTGGTGGGTGCAAGCTCCTTGGGGGCAGGCTTCTTGGGAGTAGTGGGTGCAGGTTCCTTGAGGGTAGTTGGAGCAGTCCCCTTAGGGGTAGTTGGAGCAGGCTCCTTAGGGGTAGTTGGAGCAGGCTCCTTAGGGGTAGTTGGAGCAGTCCCCTTAGGGGTAGTTGGAGCGGGCTTGTCAGAGGTGGTGGATGTGGGCTCCTTGGTGGTGGTGGGTGCAAGCTCCTTGGGGGCAGGCTTCTTGGGAGTAGTGGGTGCAGGTTCCTTGAGGGTAGTTGGAGCAGTCCCTTTAGGGGTAGTTGGAGCAGTCTCCTTAGGGGTAGTTGGAGCAGGCTCCTTAGGGGTAGTTGGAGCAGGCTCCTTAGGGGTAGTTGGAGCAGGCTCCTTAGGGGTGTTGGGAGCCGCTGCCTTGGGAGTGGTGGGAGCAGGCTCCTCAGGGGTGGTGGGTGTGGGCTCCTCAGGGGTGGTGGGTGCGAGCTCCTCAGGGGTGGTGGGTGCGGGCTTCTCAGGGGTGGTGGGTGCGAGCTTCTCGGGGGTGGTGGGCGTGAGCTTCTTGGGGGTGGTGGGTGCAGTCTCCTTGGGGGTAGTTGGGGCAGGCTCTTTGGGAGTGGTGGGTGCAGGCTTCTTGGTGGTGGTGGGTGCAGGTTCCTTGGGAGTGGTGGGTGCAGGCTCCTTGGGGGTAGTTGGGGCAGGCTTCTTGGGGGTGGTGGGTGCAGGCTCCTTGGGAGTGGTGGGTGCAGGCTCCTTGGTGGTGGTGGGTGAAGGCTCCTTGGGAGTGGTGGGTGCAGACTTGGTAGTGGTGGGTGCAGGCTCCTTGGTAGTGGTGGGTGCAGACTTGGTGGTGGTGGGTGCAGGCTCCTTGGGAGTGGTGGGTGAAGGCTCCTTGGTGGTGGTGGGTGCAGGCTCCTTGGGAGTGGTGGGTGCAGGCTCCTTGGGGGTAGTTGGGGCAGGCTTCTTGGGGGCAGTGGGTGCAGGCTCTTTGGGAGTGGTGGGTGCAGGCTCCTTGGTGGTGGGTGCAGGCTCCTTGGGAGTGGTGGGTGTAGGCTCCTTGGGAGTGGTGGGTGCAGGCTCCTTGGGGGTAGTTGGGGCAGGCTTCTTGGGGGTGGTGGGTGCAGGCTCCTTGGGAGTGGTGGGTGCAGACTTGGTGGTGGTGGGTGCAGGCTCCTTGGTGGTGGTGGGTGCAGGCTCCTTGGGAGTGGTGGGTGCAGGCTCCTTGGTGGTGGTGGGTGCAGGCTCCTTGGGAGTGGTGGGTGCAGACTTGGTGGTGGTGGGTGCAGGCTCCTTGGGGGTGGTGGGTGCAGACTTGATGGTGGTAGGTGTGGGCTCTTTGGGTGTGGTAGATGCAGGCTCCTTGGGAGTGGTGGGCGTGGGCTCCTTGGGAGTGGTGAGAGCAGGGCCTTTGGTTGTAGTTTCAGCTTTGGGTGTAGGTTTAGCCAGCACTTTAGATGTGGGTGCTAAATCTTTAGCAGATGTTTTCTCTATACTTTGTGTCTCTTTAGCGGAAGTAGTCTTCTCTTTTCCATCAGTTGAAGTCTGTTTATTTGTTGTAGTAGTTTCTTTAGTTTCAACTGTTGTCTCTTTATTCACTGTCAAAGACGTCTCTTTAGATGTATCAGAATTAGGTGGAAGACTGGGTCTGGGATTTATTGGTTTTGCTGTTGTGATCTTGGGAGATGTGCTGACTTTATTGTGTTGGGTGGTAGACGTGTCAGGAGTTGTGACCTTGAAGTCACCATTGTCCAATCCACTTCCAGCTTCATCTACAACTGGTGGTTTGGGGGTAGGTTTCTTTTTAGTTCTGTTCTTCTTGTTATCTTTTACTGGAGAAAAAATATACATCTTGTTATTTTAGAATATTTTTTTTTCTTTAATAGTGACATAAAGATCCCATCTTTATCATTGACTAGTTGTGTGTTTCTAAGCAAATTGCTAATCTCTACTATGTCCTTTAATTTGTTGTAAAATGGCAAATACTCAACCTATCTTATTGGGCTGTTTTAGGGAATAAATGAGATGAGGGATGAAAAAGCACAAATAAAACTCTATACAATTAATACATGGAAGTCAGTGGCAAGTTCAAAATTACCAACACGATAAATAACACTAATTCATCTGTTTATATTAATGTTCTTTACCCCCTACTTTTTGTACTCTTATTCTTCAGTGCCCAGTGTCCCTTCCTTCCTCCTGGAAACCTAGTACTACCATCTTGCTGCACCAATTATCTCAGAGGCCTCTACAGCTACCTCTGAGCAATCTGCCCCAGTCACCCCCACAGTCCCTGCTGAGCCTTGTTCCCATACATAGGGCTATTAGCCACTCCTTTTCTTCTGCGCAGCTAACCTTGCAGGTCCCAGGGGACATAAGGAGGAGCTTAGGGTGTGATGGGCAGCAAAAAGACAGTATTTATCAAGGCTTTCCCATAGCAGCTGCCCCACATGTGGACTACAAAGCCCAAGGGTGGCTTCCTGCACGATTTTCTGGGTGACTAAAAGATTAAATGCCTGGCTATTTATTTAGAGCGAATGCTTCGGAGGAAATCACAACCTCTTAGAGTTCTTTAAAACTCCCTTATCCAAAAATCCAGTATTTCCTGGAGAAAGAGAATATATATTTAGAACCAGAACTTCAGGAAATAATAAACAGCAAAGGAAATCTCTTTTCAGGCAATAATAGCCTATTCTGTAGCACAGTCTCTACTAGAGGAAAAGTCAGCCAGATATAATATATAAGTTACTAGGAAAATAAAGAGGATTTGTAAAATATGGATAATATTTTTTCCATAGAGGTTTGTAAGAATTTAATGAGTTAATACTTGTAAAACACTTAGAACAATAGTATATAAATGTTTGTTAAAATAAAGCTGGGGAAGGGAAAATGAAAATGCAAGGAAGATGAAGGAGAAGAAGCAAAATGATGTCAAGTAAACAAGAATGACAGTAGAAAGCCATCAATAATCATCTCTGGTGCCATCTTGTGGTTCCACAGTCCTGCTACAGCATCTTCTTATCCTTTGCTTTTAGAGTGGCTTCTTAGCCGCTTGGCACTAATTTCCTGTAGGAAGTATTCATTTGGTACTTTCTAAGATAATATTCATAAAGTTATATTCCCCCCCATATTAAGATGTCCTCATTCTGCCAACACGCATTACTTTTAAATATAATCATTGTTAATATGGCATTGATACAGTCTTTGATCTTTATCAATGCTCAAACCTTTGAGTTTCTTCTGTAATTCTCTATTAGCAGCTGAATTTTTGGAAGACTTGATTTTCCGAATTGTTGAAGAAGAAGAGGAAGAGGAGGAGGAGGAGGAGGACTCTTGATTTTCAGAAACAGAATGTTCTATAAATCAAATAGAAAGTTTGATCACACCAACTGTGATTTAAAACAAAAAAGAACCACCAGTCTAAACACAGCAAGAAGTGCTATTTACTAGTCTACAAGTATCTGGATTTTGCTTTTATTAGTAATATGACCAACTGCCTTTTAATCTGTCAGTTAAAAGCAAGGCACCTGGGCTTATCACAGATACTAGCAGTATTACTAGTATCTCTCAACTTTCCCATATCCTCCAAAACACAGAATCAAATTATTCTACAAAGAAAATCATGGGGTGGTTTTTGTTTTTTATAGTAAGATTTGTCCCTTCTGATTTGTTTTAACCCAGACTCATGCTGGGTTTGGTAAATACAGAAAGAGCTGAGAGTTTATACTTTGTCTTAAACTTTACTTAAAAGCAAAGTCTAAAACCTTCGAGTGTAATGAGGCTCATGATTCCTAAGATTACCCTGTTCTCTGAGAATGGGCTTAGATAAGCAGTCACCTACAAGTTACTTCATCTAAGAAAGCTCCTTTGATTATATCTGTCATCTTCCTACCTTCTGTTATTTCCTCTGATTCTATAACTTTCTTAGTCTTCTTCTTGTTTGGTGGTTTGGGTGAACGTTTGGTTGTTGATTTGATGGTTTGAGATGCTCCTGAAGGTGGAGGTGCTTTCTTTGAAGATGGTGGTGATGTGGGATTATGCACTGAGGCCAAGTAAGACAAGTCAGTTAACATCTTGTTTATGTTCATCAGCAGCTCTAACTGTGAAAAGCACAGATGCATCTAGCTTCAAGAGTAGATGCTGGTGACAGCCAGTGCAGGCAGGCTCCAGCTCAACACGAATGACTCCATTTAAGTCTAAGGATGCATTGCTATAAAATACTGGTTCTCAAATTGTTGTAAGTTATGACAGGGAGCAAAGTCTCAGGAATCAGAAGACCTAAATTCCAGTCCTAGGCCTGCGAGCCTCTACCATTGTGACCTTAGGCAAATAATTATCTTGAACTTCATCTTCTTGTCTACAAACTAAGATGTTTATTCAAGATGATTTCTGAAGGTCTTTGCCTTCAGAATTTTTTTCTGTTTTAGTATTCATTTTTTTCTGTTTTAATATTCATTTAAATTAAATGATGCCAATTTGCCTTTTGTTCTTTTTTTAATTACAAAAGTTCTACATGAATATTCTTGTGAAAAGTTCACACCTTCACATTGTGCTTTTCCTCAAAATGCCCTGCCCTTCCCAAAGATACAACTTAATGGTTTGGTGTGTATCTTTTTAACCTTTTAGTCCCCTTCCCTTTTCCGCTTCTCAGTCTAGAAGAGAAAACATGGAACTTCTTTTTTTTTTTTTTTTTTAGGAACAAGAAGAGGGACTAATGAAGGATAAGAAAACAGCACTGGGGACTCTCTGGGTACAGAAGGGTTGTGATAAATCATGCTGCTCCCCGCAACATCGCCCCAGAACCCTACTGCTATAGTCTCCGTGAACTGGCCACTGTCCCTCTTGTTTCTCCTCCTACCCAGCAAAAACATCAAGTATCTCAATTTGAGAAACAGATCTGCCATGTACTAGCTAATGTTCTTGGCCAAAATGGTTAACCTCTTGGACTCTGTTTTCTCTTTCACATTCAGAGGCACTTGGATGGCTGGGATTCCTTCAATTCTTGAAATGTTATGATTTTTAGATATATAGACACCTGTAAGTAGTATCTATACTGAAACAACTAAGTAGTGAATCTCAAGATAGTTTGGTTATTACACTTAAAAAATGAAGTATTGAGGTTCTGAGTGGTTTTATTATTTTAAGTTGGGACGCTGACTGTCTTATGAATTCTGTAAAGAAAGTTGGCCAGCATCGCCTTCATCATTTTTTTTTCAGAGTTCTACCTAAACTTTAGGTAATCTGACCAAATATTTCATAACATAAAGTATTATCTTTATCAAAATGTTCTCTCAATGTCTCATCACTTTCTAACCATCTTCACTCCCTAGACATCCTCTGCCCAAAACAAATTCTTAGCTTTCTTGTCTCACAGCCAAAACAATTAGGGTAATGAGTAAATATGTGTCACTCATCATGGGGCCTGCTAAAATCTGCAGGAAGGGTGAGCTCTAAGGTTTTTATTACAAGGGTGTTGTCTTCATCATTTTTGGAATGTTTTCCCATGAAAACATTGAACGGTTAAGAAACATCTCTCAATTCTGCTGATTAGCAGTTTTCCGATCTTTCTTCACTGTTCTAAAGAAGCAGGAAGCGCAGGCTTGTTTAAATAAAATGATAAGATTGATTATGCAAGCAAAGCTTATTTTCACTTTTACCTCCACAAATATTCTTGTTTTAACAAAGTAGAATTTAAGAACAACCATTTGGTAAAGGAAAGTAATCCAGTATTCAAGTATATTTTTAAAATCTTTTTCTGTAAAATCTGGAGCCTTTTGTTATACTCTAGAGGAGTCCTTCAAGACCTATAAATAGAGAATTTGATTTTAAGATGGGAATATCCCTTGTTATTGACTTTACCATGCACATGTATTGGAATAGAGACTGCTGAGGAGACTGCAGAAATGGGAAGGAACATGACAGTTAACAACGTGTTAGGTAGATTTGCCTATAAATTTAATGGCTTAAACTAATTCATAAATTTACTGGTTTAGGGAAGCTGAAAGTGTTGCTTATGTCCTTAAATATATACTCAAACACTGAGGCCAAAAGCACAGATAGCTCAAAGGATAGTTGACTTCGTGAAGTCAGCAAGGGTGAGACAAGAAATCATCAAGTGATTTGATTACTGTTGATTTAACCTGAAATTGAACCATATCTGAAGAAAAAAAAGACATATACATTCAGCCTCATCCTCTATGTTCCCCCTCTGGCAACATCTTGTACTCTTGGAGCCTGGCTGAGCCTGGGGGTTCTGCTGTTGGAAGGCGCTTTTCTTCTTTAATTCATCTCCACAAAACAAAATTATTATGAAATAGCTTATATGTTAGTAAAATCAAGGCCTAAGATGGACTGCGTGTTAGACATTATCAGTGATGCTAAGGTAGGTGCACAGATCTGGCTGTACTGAGAAGCATTGGTTGGTACTGTGATGCTTACCTTCTGCACAGAAACTCTCATAATCGGGACAGCACTTGTCATACTTCTTACATTGGGCGTCGCAGTCACACTCCCTCCCTCTCTCGAAGGACTCAAAGCAGCGGCCTTTACAGGAAAGCTCTACCCAGAGCAAAACAAGAAGTTACAGATTATTCATTGTGAAGCCAGGCCCACGTATTTGACAGCCATTTCCCACCTTAGACTTGACTAGGTTTCCAAAAGTTCATTTCTAAGTCTTTTATTTGAAATTTGGAGTACATCATCCAGGAAAAATTAGATGGTATCCCAGATGGAGACAGCCCAAGTCAAAAAAGAAATATGGTGACTGAGGGCAACTCCTCTTGCCCTTCCAGACTCCAAGAGACATCCTGATGCTGCCCGAGTTATTTACATGTATGGACAAAGAAAAATCGGGAAATGTCTAGATAGTGAGATAGCCTTCATATGAAATCTCTTCATCCTTCTCCTCTTCACACACTGCTTTGTAATAGATTCACAGTAATTGAATGTACAGATCTCAGCAATATATTCCATATAAATATATATGTATATATATTCCACGTAAATGGGTCATTTTTGAGGCTTAAAAATCATTTGTAATGCAGAGGCCCTTATTATGACAAACTGGGGAAGGTGTATAGTTGAAAGCTTTCAGCCTAATCTTACAGTGTGGACTATGTTAGGGAGGACTACTCATTTAAAAAATGAAAATTTAAAAAGCCTTTGTTAGAGTTAACAGGGACTTACCAAGGCTTATTTGAAATAATTACCTATCCAATACATAAATTGCACAATATATTCCTCAACTTCACATTCAAATTCTAAAGCAAATACACCTTTCAAATAACTTTAATTACAATTTTCTTAAATTGAATAGGAAATGTTTCTGTGTTAATAATAAAATGGCCCAAAATATATTCAAGTGAAACACCACTCATAATTTAAAATTCAGACCTTCAGATTTTAACTGAAATTCATCATTAAACACTAGCACTTTATCTTTAAAGTGTCTTTTCCAGGTAATTTACAAACGTGTTAACATCAGAAAGTCCAATGGTAGACAAGATTATTCCATGCTCATGTATTCTTTTGATGAAACTATTGAAAGTCCTCATTACTAGTCGAGGACATCTCTGATTGTAAATAATTACTCCTTACTATTTACTTAATGACTCCTGACTCACAGTATCTTCTCTATTTAAAATAAGACATTTACTTGGAACTAGACAATAACCTTGTGCAAGTGACAGACTTCCAGGCTCCCCTTACCCTCCCCAATAATCACAAGCTTTGACACCATCCTTAGGTACAATGCGCTGCAACATTTATGCAAGTGAAGGAAAGTCACTTAAGCAAAGGAAGTGATACAGTGGGAAAACAGCACTGCAAGTGGGTGCAAGGGGAGGCTCAGTCTCACAGCACTGCACGAGGGTGCAAGGGGGGACTCACAGACTCGCAGTGTTGCTTGACAGAGGAGACACCCGCTCTCAGGACTTACCCGCAGTGCAGACTCTCTTGAAATCAGGGCAGCACTCCATGTAGTGTTGACAGTTATAATCACAGTTGCAGGTGGCATCTCTAGAATACCCTTCCCCACATCTCCCTGCACAGCTTGATAAATCTAAAATTATACAATACTGGCGTAAATATGGCCAAACCACTTTATAGAAAGGGAGCAATCTAACGAGGGGGACAAAGCCACTTGGTGAGAGAGAATTTTATTGATCGAGAAGGTGTTGGAATGATGTCAGCAATAGGCCCAGCTGATATTTGGCTGATGTCTTAGGTGATCTCAATTATGTCACTTTATTCTTCACTAGACTGAGATGATAAACACATTTTTGAAAACCAGGCAAAGTAATGGCTTTGCCTAAAGAGGGTGATACTCCTAAGGAAGAGGTGGCAGCTACAGCTACTACCGATCTGTGGTTTTGATGATTAGCAGTTGCCATTTATTGAGCTTCTCTATGCCAGGTGCTGAGTCATACATTATCACTAATGCTTATGAAAATGTTTCCAGGATTTAGTAGCCCTTTTTTAGAGCTAAGAAAGCTGAAACACAGAAATTTTGACAACTTGCTCATTATCACACGACTAGTTAATAGTTCCAGTATATTGGCATCATAGGTTAATTAATACCTCCCAATTATTTGTAGTGAACTCTTTTACCCTTATAATTGTCCTAATTTAGATAATACATTTTATGGTCACCTTAAGTAAACAATCCATCCAGAATTTGAACTCTGATATATCTTATTTTAAGCCTGAGATGTTTCCACCTGTCGCTTTGCCTCCCATTCCTGAGGATAAGTTTAAAGCACGCTGGTTGCACCAGCATAAACTTTACTGAGCTTTTTCTTCCTTAATTGGTGGGGATAACTGGATTTTTAAAATGTCAGGGGAGGCAGATGCTTACAACCACTGCTGAAGTGAGAACCCTTAAAATAACTGGGCATAACTATAAAGGTCATGAACAGAGGTTTTCCAGGCAACAAATAAGCAAACAATAACAAAAGCATACTCATTCTCAAATATTTTTTAAAAGTCATTTGGAAAACACCACCTTAAAACCCTCCCTGAGAAATGACTGCAGAAATGTGACAATGGAATCCATCCCTGGAATAGAAATTGGCAGGTGTACTGTCCTAAATCCACAAAGGAATGTTGAAACACACTGAAAACAAATCTTAAAAGAATAGAGTCCAGGAATGCCAAAGTCTGAATATGCAAATAAAACAGTAAATTGTAGGACAACTTTCAGAACTTTTTGCGTACATGAGTGCATAATGCATACAAAAATGTATATATAGTGTATGTATATAAATACATATATTATATATAAAGAAAAAAGAGAATGAGAAGAGGTTGAGAAAGCAAGAGAAGCAGACAAGACAGTATCAAGAGATTGCTCTTTTATAGTTGGCAGATTTCTGAAATAAGAAATCATCTGTAATTCCAGCACTTTGGGAGGCTGAGGCGGGCGGATCACCTGAGGTCAGGTGAGACCAGCCTGGCCAACATGGTGAAAACCTGTCTTTACTAAAAATACAAAAATTAACCGGGCATGGTGGCAGGGGCCTGTAATCCCAGCTACTCGGGAGGCTGAGACAGGAGAATCGCTTGAACCCCGTAGGTGGAGGTTGCAGTGAGCCAAGATTGTGCCACTGCACTCCAGACTGGGAGACAAAGCAAGACCCTGTCTCAAAAGAAAAAAAAAAAAGAGGAAATCATCCTTACAGGAAAAGCTTACTTTCATAGATTAGGTGTCTGTCCTACTTTTATTGCTATTAATTGTAACCATTAATTTTATTTATTTATTTATTTATTTTTGAGACAGAGTCTCACTCTGTTGCCCAGGCTGGAGTGCCATGATGCAAGCTCAGCTTAATGCAACCTCCACCTCCTGGATTCAAGATATCCTCTTGCCTCAGCCTCCGAATAGCTGGGATTACAGGCACACACTACCACACCTGGCTAATTTTTTTGTATTTTGTATAGAGACAAGATTTTGCCATGTTGCCCAGGCTGCTCTTGAACTCCAGACCTCAGGTGATCTGTCTCCCTAGGCCTCCCAGAATGCTGGGATTACAGGTGTGAGCCACCACACCCAGCCCCATTAATTTTAATTTGATTTATTTAATCACAATTAAAATGAAAGTAACACTGTTTTAGTGAACAACCAATTGTATCACAGAGGAAAAGGCAGTTTAGAAAGTGCCCCCAGTGTTGTGAACCTTGTCATAGTGTTACGAGAAAGCCGAAGGGTCTGGAGATACTGGAGTAGTCATCATTCTTATTGAATATTCACATTTGCTTTCATGTGTTTTCCTGTCTTTTCTTATCTAAACAATTCTGCAACTTATGCCTATGCAGACAGTTACCACTCATGTTCAGGTTTCATAAGAATCTCGTATTTTACTGGAAATGTTTACTTTAGAAACATAATTTCATCATAACTGTCATGAATCTTGATTTTTATTCTCTCAGATTTTGCTTATCAAAGGGGAACAAAAGGAAAAGAAAAGAAAAGAAAAATCCAAAGCTTGGCATTGTTACTATTAATCCCCCTAGATGGCATGCTAGCATCTTTTACTAATGTGATTTCACTGAATGTACTTTAACAGTCTCTAAAAATGAGTAACAAGAACTATTCATCCAGGACCTGTTTTGGGAGAACTGTGAAAAGTTTAATGTTATAACACAAAATGACAGTCACATCTGTATATGTCCATACCTGGATAAATAGTTCTTGTAAGAAAAAGAGAACATTTTCAAGACTAATAAAATGCCATTTGAAACACTATAGTTTATTATAATATGGTATCTATGTCTAAATGATGCCAAAATAAGTTATTTATCAATAATTTATTTGATTTTAAAAAACAAATTGTTCAACATATAGGCAAAAATTACATGTTATCTAAATATTGTTCTTTTTTAGTTATTTTTATGATACTATATAGCTCCAGCATAATTTTATGATGAACTGTCTGCACTTTTTAAACTTTCGAGAGAACCATAGAAATAACAAGTACCAAAATTATTCTTTATACAAGCTCAAAACTCTCAAAAGGAGAAAAAGATGAGAATTCCAAAGCACTTACAAACAGGCTACATGTTATATATTATTTTAAGGTTGTACAGTATATTAAACTCAAGCAAATATAAATTTTTAGAAATATATTTCCGTTGTTATAAAAATCAAGACTGAATGATTAGCAATAGTTGTTAAATAAAAGTATGTTCGATGGTTAAGCTACCTTGAGATGAAACTTGCTGAATCACGAAAACAGACAGCAGCAACAACAGGTAAATGGGAAGTGTTTTCCATGCCATCGTTGTTTTCAGGTACCGTAGGTACCCTTGCTGAAAATAAAATAAAAGTATCAGAAAACAGCTCTTTCATCTCACCACTAACTTAGGCTTGCATTATACACATTTCAGTAACTTTAAAAATGTAACAATAATAAAACCATCCCATTCTTGAAACAAGACTTTAAATCAGCTTTAATTTTATAGAAAATATTTGGCCATTAGACTTAATCTTATGCAGAACAAATCAAGTCACCCTCAGCCACGTTATTGACAGTTTTAATTCTTAAGAAATCTCCAATATAGAATAGACTTATCTTAAAACTCTAGCCAAAGTATGGCATGTACTTAACAGTGCAAGGTTAAAATTTTATCTTAAGGAAAATAATAACCTGTGTCACAGAAATGTAATTTAATAAGCATCATGGAGTTACTGTTCCAACTTTTTCTTAATTCTCAATATAAATTCAAAGGCTTCCAACAGGTGTATTGCATAAACATAATCCTTTTCAAAAATTTCCAACTACTATCTTTACACATTTTTTTTCAAACACCTCTAATGAAAACACATTTAATTCTATGAAGCAAGTTAACTTTGACACTTACCCGTAAAGGATAGATGAGTTTATCCCACGTCCTGGGAGTCTTATATATCAGTGCAAATACAGTGGGATGAACCAATTAGTCCAAAGGTTAGACAAAATCAACAGTGACAACCTATGAAATCAAACTTTCCTCATTTATTGGAAAAGGGCCCAGACGACTAGACTTAGGCAACATCTGGAAAACACTTCCATTAAGCAAAATGACTACCACAAAATAAATTTAGATGTATTGGCCAGAGCACATTTCTAATTTCTAAGTGAAGTGAACAAATTGTCCTGAGATGGTAAATAGCTCTGGCAGACTTTGACTAGTATATTGAAGCAGCAACTTTAAAATATTCACATACTGGTATCATTTATTTCTTCTGCTTTCCAGTTAAATCTAGCAAAGGTAGCTTTGAAATTTACCTAGTGTTAGCTTGTGGCATACATTTTATATACTTATACCATTATATCAAATATACATTTCTTGAGTAGTTTCATTTTCTCTGAGCACAGAAAACATGCTCTCAGTTACCTACAGGTAGATTATTGACACTGGATTTTCTAGCTTCCTTTATTATTTTAAAAATCTGCTTAAAAAATGTATTGATATTTTCCTTAGATCCTTCCTTTAAGATAAGCATGTTTGGAAAAGGTCTTTTAAATTACTAATTTTGTTTCCTTCCCACAATGAAAATGTGAACCATCACCATTGCAGAGCTAAGTCAGCTCAGCCCAAGGCTTTACCCCACTTTCATACGGAATGTATCGGTGTAAAATCTTACCCACCAACATAAGGCTTCGCTCATGTCCTAGCACCTCCCTGAAACCTTTCCAGATCAAATTCCAATCACATCTAGAATTATAGTAAACAATTGTACTACGTTTTACTAAAATATCTCTTCATCTGTCTCACACCCCCAACAGACTATGATTTCCCTAAGGACAACCAACACCTATATGTTAGTCTATTGCCAACATACAGCCCAGTTGTTTCACCAATGTTATATGTTTAAAACATGCTCACGCCGGGTGCAGTGGCTCACCCCTGCAATCCCAGCACTTTGGGAGGCTGAGGTGGGCAGATCACCTGAGGTCAGGAGTTTGAGACCAGCCTGACCAACATGGTGAAACTCCCTCTCTACTAAAAATACAAAAAATTAGCCGGGTGTGGTGGCAGGCGCCTGTAATTCCAGTTACTCGGGAGGCTAAGGCAGGAGAATCACTTGAACCTGAGAGGCAGAGGTTGCAGTGAGCTGAGATCACGCCACCGCACACCAGCTTGGGCAACAAGAGCAAAACTCAGTCTCAAAAAAAAAAAAAGAAAAGAAAAAAAAGAAAACATGTTCAGTGAACCACATGGTTGTAGGCTGGATTCTGCTGTCTACTACTCATTTGGTAGGTACTGCATTTAATTCTCACAAAATGTCTTAAAGTTAAATATAATCATCCACATTTACAAATAAGAAGATGAAGACCCACAAATGAAGAATGTGTGACCCATCCAAGGATCTATAAAGACTAGAGGCCAGAACCAAGATTTGAACCCATGTCTTTGCATTTTAAGTTCCGTCATGTTTCCACTACATCCAGCTCCCTTTTGATCAAAACCATCACTTAATTTGTAATCATTATACTAAATTTTACTCCTTTACTCTACATGTATACATAGGTTTGTGAGATTGTGACTTTTTTAAGACTAGAATTATAAGCATCTATTTTCTTTCTACAGTGCTTATTTCACAGGACTAAATATGTAAAGACAATTTCGAGGCTATCTGCTCATCTCTAAATAATCCCCCTTTTCTGGGAACTACTTCTCTTTCTATCGGGCTATTTTCCTTTTAGCTCTGGTTATATATGTTATCTTCCCACATCAGCCACAGCTGATAGGATTAGGAATTGGAACTTGAACAACCCGAGCCAATATGTTTTCTTCTCCTGGAAATTTGAAATTATAGTTCAGAGATTACAAATTTGTCTGTCTACGTAGACCAATAATGTGTACATTTCTGCCCATGGTCTAAAGGAGTAGAGAAAGTCCTTCAGAGTAAAAAGATCCATAAATATGAAGCAACCACGCAGAGAGAGAAATTTCTGATAACTTTCTAAGTCTTGGTTACTCTGTTTTTTAGACCCAACTTCTTGCTCTGTATCTTTATGGCAAGTTCCCCTTTTGGAGCTGAAGCTGGCTAAAGATGCATTTTGCTACTTGAAATCAATACACAATAGACACACAAAAGATCGTGTATGGAGTTGAACATTAGACAGAATTCTGTTAATTCTTAGCTCTACTGAGGCCAACAGCGGGGAAGCTACAAGCTTTGTAAGTTTTCCAAGTAAGACCTCTACAGTGTTGCTTTATTATTTCTTTGGACTATTGGGAATGTCCAAATCAGATACAAATATACCCAGAGATACATATTTTTAAATAAGATATAAATTGTTTTCTAATCATTGCCTTTTGAACTATATGCACTATCATTTTCCTACTTTGTATTAATCTCATAATGGTGATGGCAAATAAAATTCTTGAATTGATTAATATCCACTTGTTCTTTTTTTTTTTTTGAGATGGAGTTTCATTCTTGTCACCCAGGCTGGAATGCAGTGGCGTGATATGGGCTCATTGCAACCTCTGCCTCCTGGGTTCAAGCAATTCTCCTGCCTCAGCCTCCCGAGTAGCTGGGATTCCAGGTGTGAGCCACCATGCCTGGCCTATTAAATAGATTTTTATAAACTGTGCTGCATACTCCATTCTGTGAATATTGATCCACTTAACCTTCCTTGTTGATCACACACTGCAATCATCCCATTTGTTTATAGGTTCCTCCTTTAAGATTTCCCTTCTGTTAAAGGTATTTTCTTAATGTTCACTTAAATCTCATTTAATTGGGATAAAAGTTATTCCAGAATTGGTTTTTGATGTGTGGGAAATGCGGAGAGTAAAGAGACATGGAGAGGACATATACAATATTGAATCCTAGAGACCTCTTCTAGGGATGATTTTCACAGGGTTCAACCTCATGAACATCAGTTTTATGCTTGGCAGCAGTACAGTGATGCCTTAGAGAACACTCAAGCAAGTTTAGGGACATTTTCCCTGTGCTAGATTATCCTAGACTGTGGTGCTTTTATACTTTGTCTCCATGCCTGCCCATTAGCTGTCACTTTGCCCTGTAGCCAGAGTGTCTGCACCTAGTGGCACCCCTCCACCTTTCCACATCTTTGATATGTTTCATTTCCTCCAGCAGCAGCCTAGGAAAAACTGAAGCACGCCAGGGGAAAACCATAGATGTGAGCTTGTTCTTTATTGCCTTAATGTTGCTCACAATGCTAAGTTAGTGTGCTCTAGATGTGAAATAACTCCCCTCCTCTCACATGAACTAGAGAGTAGGACTTAGGGACTACTCCTGCCCATTCTGTTCAGGCATTTTCACATATTAGAAAGTAATGTGGCTTTTTTATTTTCTGCAGGTTTGCTCAAAAGTATGACTATTAGATCAGTGAAAGTATTATTAGATTTGCTTTTGGAGATTGTGGCAGGATGATCATTGATCCCAATCTTTTCTAACTTTTTCTAGCTGCCCAGCTAGAGATTATATTTCCCACCTTCTCCTTCAGGTAGTTGTGACCATACAACTGTGTTCTCTCTGGTAAAATAGGAATAGAAGTAATATGGGCAACTCACATTCATTTTTCTAACAGGAAATTGCTTGGTCTGGACTTTCTCTTTTTCCTGCTTCTTGCAGAATGGAAAGGGGTCATCAGAGACAAGCTTTGATCATGCAGACAAGGCTAGCAGCCTAGGGAATAGTATTCTTGGTGGAATCCAGATGCTCTCTCACTCTCTGCACTAGTCAGAAACTTTCAGAAAAATAAATACATTTCTATTTTATTTGAACAACACTAATTTTAGGTCTTTTTAGACATTATCCTAACATAGAGATCATAGGAAATTTCTAAACATTTAAAGGAATTATTCTAAAATTTGATTTGTATTCTCTGCAACAATAAACAAAATGAGCTAAATGACCTATCAGTAATAAATTACTGGCATTCGAGAGGGAGAGGTAAACTATCTTTATTTGCAGATGACATAATTGTGTATGTAGCTTTAAAATCCTAAAGAATCTAAAAGCTGTAAAAACTACTGAGTGAATTTAGCAAGACAGCTTGATATAAGATCAATAATCTTATATCCAGATTCATACTAAGGCCATTTTAATGCATAAACCCGGATGTGCATGAATAAAGAATTTTCTCTACTGAATTTTCTAAGAATAAAAGTTCATCCAATTTGTTCATTCATTCTATTGAGGTGAAATTATCAAATAGTGGTCACTACACACCAAACCTAGTATCAATTTCTAGTGATACATATATGTGCAAGAAAGAATCTCTGGTCCCTAGCATTTCTTGGACCATTCAGGTAGCCAGAAACAAATAGTTCAAATGTCATGTGCAAGGAGTAGGCAGTGTGGTGAGCAGCTAGAGCTGGGCTTTGGAGTGGGTCAGAACATTGTTCAAATCTCCGCTACAAAGTTGTCTACCTGATGGCTTAATACAATTCTCTTGAATTATCTAGGCCTCAGTCTCCTTATCTGGAAAGTGGGAGCAATAATTCCAATTATTTGGCATTGTAGAGATGCATAAAAAATCAGAGAATTATATTGAACATTAGTGACATATACAGAATAAATTACAGGTGTTATTGTTATGGTTGATTATGATTCTAAAGCTGCACACAAACTGTTATGGAAACATAGATGAGGAACTGCCAACTCTACCCAAGGAATTCTTTGCAGATGAATGACATATAATCTGGAATCTAAAGGCTCCTACGGCTAAAAACTGGGACAGTAGCCAAAGGTGACAATAAGAGAAAAAATAATATAGCTCCACTTTTTCATTCTTCTTACCTACTTGTTCTTTAGTTCCTGATAACGTGGCTTTTTCTTCCTCCAAAACAGGGCTTTGTGAGATAAAAAGTAACCTTAAAATCATTCTAGTATAGCCTTTTACTAATGGGCCATTTTAGTAACCTAATAATAATAGAAAACATGTGTTGAGTGTTTATTTTGTTACATGGCATAAATGTATGACTTTATTGGGCCTCACAGTAATTTTTTTTTTGTTGTTGTTGAGACGGAGTCTCACTCTGTCACCAGGGTGGAGTGCAGTGGCGTGATCTTGGCTCACTGCGACCTCTGCCTCCCGGGTTCAAGCAATTGTCCTGCCTCAGCCTCCGGAGCAGCTGGGACTACAGCCGCCCGCCACCACGCCCAGCTAATTTTTGTATTTTTAGTAGAGATGGGGTTTCACTATGTTGACCTTGTAATCCACCTTCCTTGGCCTCCCAAAGTGCTGAGATTACAGGCGTGAGCCACCGTGCCCGGCTGAGCCTCACAGTAATCTTATGACATAATAGTTATTATTATTCATCCCATTTGACATTTGAGATTATCTGAGGCATAGAAAAGATAAATAATATGTTCAAGATTAAAAAGCTAAAAAGCCAATAAATGATAAATTTAGTATCTTAACCCAACCCTTGTCTGACTCCAAAGCCCATGATTTTAACCAACTCAATGACCCACGTGCTATAATATCCACGGTTAGTAATTTCCTTCTTTGTGCTCCTATGTAACTATTTGCATCTCTAAAACGGCATCTCACTCTTATCAATATCCATCTTTCTCACTATGCTGTAAGCTTCTTAAGATTTCAGAATGATTACATTTTGTAGCTTTTTCACAGCTAGCATGGCTTCTTCTCATACGTGATAAACTTAGGTTTACTGTCTTTCTTCTAACGGCCACTTTGCCATCATATGTCTGATTTCTAATCCAAATTGCTGCAGTATTGTGATCATTCAAGTCCGCATCACTTGGGTTCCAGATGTCAAGGAAGCATACTATGTGACAGCTCAGACAGGAACATTACTGACTTATTTTCCAGTAGCCAACAACATGAGTAATTTCCAACATGAGTGAGTGAAAGTGAATTGGGGTGCTATAACTCAGTATGACAAATACTTCATAATTGGGAAATTCAGAGAGTGGGAGCAAAGCCTGGGTGTGGTTGAAGGACCCATAGATAGGTGGGATAAGAGGGAAGTATCCCAAGAGACATTGTAGAAGACATTTCATTGAGTCATTCCAAAGCAGGAACACCAGGCTCTTTAAAGATATTGAGTATAATGCAGTATTGGCTGATTGCATAGTATTGCATAATAATCCATTTAAAATCCCTTTCCCCGTGATGGCAGCTAATTTCTATCAAAAGGATTAAGAAGCAGGACATTTGCAACAATTGTCTCCATGGAGCTTATGTTAAGCTTGATACAGAAAACTCAATCAGAAGATTAAAATTCAACATTTCCTCCTTTCTTTTGGTTGATTGCTTATGAAACAAGACTCCAGAGTATCTCTATATCTCTGGTAGCTCAATAAATGTTCTTGAATGAATTAACGAATAAATGTCACTGCTAATATTAGCACTTGCTCTGCCTGTCCCTTGGACTGGGGAAAAGGGCTTTGGTATTGACAAGCACTTGGGTTCATTGTATGTGTAACTTAGACCTCAAGATTCTTGAGGGGATGGAGAGCAGACACAGCATAAACGGCTACCTATTTATCCTTTTATTTGTATTCTGCTGTTTGTGCAAAGAAAATATTTATGGGAGGGGCACTGATAGAGACCAGACCCTTTGTTCCTCCAAGTCCTCCTCAGAGTAATATAGTAGAAAGCTTTGTTCTTTACAGAGGCAAACTCAGAGTCACAGCTATGCCTTGAGGAGTCCTATACCAGGCTTTGGACAACACCTCCACAAACCATCAACATTTATTAAGTATCAGCTAGGTGCCAGACATTTATTCTGATTAAAGCAAAACAAACATAAACAAAATAAAAATAAGGATAAATTCCTTTTTTTCATGCAGCTTGTATTGTATTTTACCTTTAAAATAAATTCTTAGGAGTGGGAACATCTTCATAATTCTTGATAAATATCAACAAATTATCTTGCAGTTTAGATTGTAAATTCATCAAAGGCAAGGATATGTTGTATCCCCAGCACTTAGTAGAGGACTTGGCACATAAGTGTTTGATAATATATCAGATTGAATTTAATGAAACTGTAGGATTGCCATTAAAAATTCTTTTTCTCCTAAAAATGAATTTGGTGCTTAGAGACACATACTGCTTCTTCTTTGGGACAGCATGCATTAATAGGCACGAGACTGAACTGATGGATGTGGCCTGTGTAGGCTGAAAAACCCAGCAAGGTAAGAAACAGTGCTGGGAAACAAATGACTTCTCAGAACTGAGAAAAGTTATGATCAGCCCGCCAAAGCACTGAAAACAGGAACTGCTCTTTACTTTGATCGTTTTTTCTGTTTTTTTTTTTTTTTTTCGAGACAGAGTCTCGCTCTGTCTCCCAGGCTGGAGAGCAGTGGCGCCATCTCGGCTCACTGCAAGCTCCGCCTCCCGGGTTCAAGCCATTCTCCTGCCTCAGCCTCCCGAGTAGCTGGGACTACAGGCGCCCGCCACCACGCCCGGCTAATTTTTTGTATTTTTAGTAGAGACAGGGTTTCACCGTGTTATCCGGGATGGTCAGGAGACCTCGTGATTCGCCCGTCTAGGCCTCCCAAAGTGCTGGGATCACAGGCGTGGGTTCACCGCACCTGGCCCTCTAGTTTGTTTTTTTAATCTTAAAGCACATTGCTATAGATATGAATGCTAGCAGAAGAACACAGGAGGTCAAAGTTTAGGAGAGTAGCCAAAAACTAATTTTTTTCCCAACACCCTTTATCTCTTCCATGCTTCTTGCAGAAGAGGAATGTGGAGGCCTTAAGGAGAAGATAAATGAAAGGCCAAAAAAAATAAGTCGTGATGTAAATAGATGACACAGCTTGCACATAACCAACTATCTTATACCTGGTAGAGGCAGGCAGGAATGTCAGAAAGGAAAAAAGTAGAGTAATTTATATTGATGTAAGACTATAATTGGGATTGTCTAAGGTGTTTTGGAAATCAATTGAACTACTTTGTGGTTCTGCTTTTGGATCTAAAAAATTAGTTTAACACAGGAAAGTAAAGAAACTATGTATTACGCAATGTAATGATCTAGATAAAATGTTATTTTTTTGAAAGCAACAATTCATTTTGCCCTCATCTTGCCTTTCAAGAGAAAGACTGATTTTAGTGAAACAAGATTTTAATAATTTCTCAGTTAAGTAGAAGGTGGCCAGCACCCAGAGATTCTGCACAATAAAGAAAGGTAGCAGGAAGCAGAGGGAGGGAGTGGTGGGCTGGAAGGAAAGGAGAGAGAGGGAGGAAGGGATCTTGGATAGAATGATGGTAAGCCTGAAGAGGGAACTTAGGTAAACAGCAATGGAGATTTATTAAGATATGTGCTGTGTGGTGTGAAATATAACTCCTTTCCCTGTTCTTTACACAATCTTTAGTAAATCCTATAAATTTACAAAAGCTTTTGATTTCAATGGCTTTGTTATGGTGGTTATAGAAATTAAAAAGAAGATTCTTTTTGCTATATGCATATTGGGTCATGATTGACACTGGGCAAAACTAGAAACTACATATGGGTGACTCTAATCCTTTATCGCTAAGGATACTAAATAATGACATTACATCTTATGTGTAAAATATAGAAACAGGAATATTGTCAGAGCTGCTTTCAGAGGCTGACAGTCACAAGGAGGGTATGGGCTGAAAGTATAAGTGTCCCTAATAAATTAAGGAATAACCGGAGGTAATCAAAATGTTTGACAGTTGACAGAACATCTCTGACTGGGAAACTGACACGGAGGCCTATGGGGCAGATCCCTGCCATCTCTCCAGGGCCTCTGTCAGGTGCAATCTGTCTGGGCTGATTCTTGGTCTGTCCCATGAGGCAATTCTAGAATGCTGGGTTGAGGTATCTAAGGACAGGAGAGATAGCATTTGGTTTTTTGCTTATATTTTGCTTTGTCATTGAATAAAGCAATATTTAGGCATAATATAAAGAAAACAATTCTAACAGCAAGTGAAAGTTTTAAAATATAGGAAAGCTGTTTACAAGGGGAAAAAAGATGAAGATGGCTATTTGTTGTTCATGGATTATAGCCAGTTCTTCCTTCCTTGATGGTGATTCTTATAAGTGATGCGCTGTTATAAACTGGAATAACATCTAATGGCCGGAGTGACTCACTGATGGGAAATTAGTCAACAAAGCACAACAACTTTTAAGTAAAAGGTCAATTTCTATCTTCTGACTTGAGCCACTCTCCCTCTCCCTTTGCTCCTAGAATTTCACCTGGACATCTCTTTTCTGCTTTATTGCATCAAGGAAAGTTAGGCTCAACACTGATTTTTTCAAGCCTCTTACAGGAAGCAAACCTATGAATCAAAGACTAATCGAGTGACCTAATGGCTAGTCCAGGCTTCCTGCCACTGGCAACCCACCAACCCATTCCCTCCTTCGGAAGATTTCTTTATAGAAGTTGTGAGTGCTAATTATTTGCAGCTGTTGCTGACCGTGCTGTAACAACCTGATGGGCTCGCCCTAGGAGTCTGGCGGACTGACCAACCTATGTGAGGTTATTGACCAAATCCTACTAAAACCAAAGACAGTGGGAGTATGGAAATTATATGGGGGAACCCTAAGGAGAATCTCAGAAAAATACCTGTAGAAATGTATATTTTGCCTAAAAGCAGCCAATTCCAGAACTCTTAGCTTTAGAAGGAAAGTACCAACAAGGAATTGTAGAACAGAAGAAAAAGGAAAGATCGGTGAGGGAGGATTAAGGAAGGAAAGAAGGAATCAGCACTCGGAGACTTGGATCTAGGAAGGCAATTCCTCCCCAGGGTGGCAGGTTGGAGTAAAGGGGACAATCCCGCCCCTTTTATAGTCCAGGATTAACAGTCATGAATGGAAATGTTAAATCTGGTAGTTACCTTGGGATAGAAATGGGACCAAAGGGTACAGGACAAGGAAGTGAGCACACACCAAGGCCTGACCAGGTGGCGCGCCATCTACAAGACGTTCAATCCGACACCCTGCAAGGGCCACCCTTCCAGCTTAGGAGGAACAGCTGGCTAATCACGTCAGTTCTAAAACTTCTGCCCCAGCTCAGGACTGGGGCTATTTTTTCTCATATGTAATCTGAATTTTTTAATACTTTTCCTTTTCTTTTTTAGATATTAAAAAAATTATCTGATTAAGGATGAGAAAAATATATTTAAAAAAACAGCATGGAAACTCATAACTGCAATTGCATCAACCTTTATCATAGCTTCAACCTTTATCATGAAGCCTAAGCTAGGCTTCACATCTTGATTTTAAACTCTGGGAAAGGGAGCCATGCCTTGCTTTGGACCAATTCAACATTAAGCAGAGATTTAGTAGATGTGAGTAGTTTCTTGACTACTAGACTATTACTTATATCATCATAAAATAGGGCACAGGAATATAAAGTTTGGAGGCAAATCCAGATACAATAGAACAGTGTATAAATTTAAATATACTGTATGATACCTAATATTTCAGCATATTTAGTAAAAATCAACAGAATAACACGAGGCATTTGTCTTGTTCCACACAAGCTTTAAAAAGGCATTTTGATATACCATGGACTAATGGGAAAATGTGTATTCATAATCTAATTGGTGTACTATCATAAACTTTGAAAGCTGTTGAAAAATTCTCCTGTGGGTAAAAAGACTATTATATGGAAAATCATATAACAAAGTAACTCAAGTGTAGGCTTTGTCAATCACTAGCTATGTGAACCTAGGTAAATTATGTAGCCACTCTGGCCAAGAATACCTATTGTGGAAGGATGTTGTAATGATCCACACAGGTTAATGCATCTAAAGCACTTAGAAGAATACTAGCTGCATAATATATACTCAGCAAAAGTTAGCTTTTATTATTGGTGTTCTTTTAATTACATGAGTTGAAGAGTTATTTGGTGTGCCGTCAAATTTCATGGTAAAATGACTATCTTCAGAGACTTAACAGATTATCATATGGAAGAGTATGGCATTCTGTCATAGAAAATGGTAGAGAAGGAAAGATCCAGGTTGGAATCACAACAGTTCACTGGTATATCATAAAATATCACAGAATCTCAATCTCAACTAGATTCTCTCTACTTGCCCCTCTACCCCATCCAACCCCCAGATCAAACCTTGATGTGAATAAAGCTGAGCACCTTCAATGTTTTTAAACAATAATTATAATCTGTAAATACAGCATTTTTATGTTTTTTAACTTTTGTGACAATTTCTGAAGAAGTACAAAGGGGATTTTTGTTGTTGTTTTTCAGGAACACCTGCTAACTCACTGGTTCTCTCCTCCATTCTCCATAGCTGACCCAAATATTTTATGACAGTGATTATAATGATAAATAATTAGGATGTATATATGATAAAATAACACTTAACTATTCATATTGGCCACTATAAAGTTTAAAACTCAATTTATGGCTTAGATCTAATAAGAGTCTCTTGAGTCACATAATTGTTCTATAAAGTAGTGTGTAATTCAAATGCTTCAATAAAATAAATTCTCTGGGAGGAAATAAAATAGACGTAGGAGATATGTTCAGATACGTTTTATTAATACCATTCATCTTCTTGTCTGTCATATAAAATTTGTACCAACAGTGGTTTTTGAGAAAGCAAATATAATGGATTCAATGTTCATGTCCCCCCTCCAAATTCATATGCTGAAATCCTAACTCCCAGTATAATGGTATTGGGAGCTGGGGCCTTTGGAGGTAATTTAGGTTGTGATGGTGGAGCTCTTATGAATGGGATTAGTGTGCCCACTAATGGAAAAGAGACCTCAGAGAGTTCTCTACCCCTGCTCCCACCATCTAAAGATACAAAAAGAAGTCAGTAGTCTGCAGCTTGGAAGAGGTCCCTCACCAGAGGCCAACTCTACTGGCACCCTCATTGGAAACTTCCAGCTTCCAGAGCTGTGAGAAATAAATTTCTATCGTTTATATGCCACCCAATATACAGTACTTTGTTATAACATCTCAAATTGACTAAGACAGCAAGTAGATTAAACATGTTAATGATATGAATGTAAAAATTAGGACAATCTCCAATCAATATCCAAATGATAGCCTACAAACAAACCTGGGGAGGAAAGAGTAAGGAAACAACTGTCACAGAAACATCACTGAAATAAATTTAAAATGTAGCATCTGTTAGTTTAAGTTTTAGCATGGAAATTGAGGAAGAGAAAGCTTGTGTTCTCTTTGTCCTGGGCACACAGTTGGATTGCATTTACCAGCATTCTATATAATTGGGGCGGGGGCCACATGATTGTGTAATGGATTGTGGGCAGAAGTGATGTACACCTCTTTTATTTTGGATGAAGTGGAGGACTCCAGTGCCCTAGATGATGGCAGAGCCACTTCATGGGAGAAGTCTGGATCCATGGATGACCATCAACCAGAGGCTCCCCTCTCCTCTTCCCTGCATTGGACTGTGCCATGAAGCATAAATAAACTTTAATTGTGTATTAAAAATATGAGAGGAGTTATTTTTTTCTTAAATGGCAGTTAGCATAGCCTGACTAAAACAGAAATCTTACAAAACTAGTAAAACATAAATTGAATTTTCTTCTGGAGTACACCCTTGAGATAAAATAGAAAAACACTCCCATCTCTGGTGAGTAATTTTATGAAGTGCCTGTGGCACTTGGTAAAAAGAGGCTGCTGAGTGGAAAATCCCCTTACATCAAGCTGTGAGTAGCTTAGTTATCCGAAACTGATCCTCAACTTCCCCGTTTTGGAAACCTTAAAATGTGATGAGCAGTTTCAATGATACTATTCCACGTGGTATTACATTTTTTTAAAGTACCATTTCCATCATTATTTTTGTAAAGATATAGAGGATATTTACTTGTCACAATCCCTGGACACAGAAGCAGAGCCCATTTCCAACAGGAGGGGAAAGAAACCTGAAGACAGTCTTCAAGTGCTGGTATTCCAAGCAGAAGAATCTTCTGCAAGCAAGTCTCCTCTGCACTCCATCTTGGGACAGATCTGATCATCTCAGGTTTCTGTAGGATTCAGCAAGCTTGGGATGATCTCTATTATCCTTAGGGCAGCGTAGTGAGAAGGCAGTTGCTGTGATAGAGAGCCCAAAAACTAAACTGCAAACCACTAAAGATTCATACACTGAATAAAAATTATCTATAAGGAGTCATGCCCCTTTGTGCTCAAAATAATATCTAATGTCTCAGTACAGAACATAAGATCCTTCATGTTCTGGCATTTGTTTACCCTACAGCTTCACCTTTTTCCACTCTCCCTTCCCAATTTATACTGGCTATGCTGAACCTTTTAAAGTTTCTTCAATTGTCCCTGCTCTTTCTCAATTGGAATTTTCTTTGTACATATTGTTTCCCTTCTCACAGCTGCTAAAGATCTGCCCTACTTACTCCACCGCTTGTTAACTGAACAGAGATTCAAGGAGGCAACTGATTGGCATGAAGGAAGTGGTGCTCTGAGAGGATTCAAAGAAATACGTTTAGCAGTTTTGACCTTCCCGGCCTCTGCCTAGATATCCTTTCCACCTGGAAGCCATCTGGTTAGTTGCTTCATCTATGTCCTCCTCCAAGTGTCCCTATGCCAATGTATTCCAGTCATTGCACTTTATTCCTAGTGTACCCCTACCCTCCACCACTCCCAGCACACGCACGCACACACACACACACACCCCGAAGAGCTTCACGAGAACAATGCTCAAGCCTTGTCTGCTCCTGTTATCTCTCAGGCCTCAGTGCTTAGGCGTTTGTTGAATGATTAAATGAATGCATCTGCCACCATCATCAAACTAAGTAGCTGAAACAGCCCCATCCACCTGCTTTTCTGCTCCAGTCTAAATGTTACTTCTTTTTAATGACATCTTGTCTCTTTGATGCTGCCATTGACTTTCACTTAAAATTTATATCTTATGTATTAAAATACATAAGTAAATGGAATATATGCTGTATTTTACCCACAGAATTCTGTTCTGGCTTAGAGGATGCTCATTAACTATAATAATGGCAAACTTTTTTCTTTCCTTTTTTTTTTTTTGGCATGTGGATGCAATATAGAAAAAAATTAAAGTGATTATGATTTACACTTTTGGATTAAAAATGAAAAGTTCTATTTAGGAAAAAATGTATATTCATATAACTCAAAGAGCATATGGAAAGAGGAGTATAAATTAAAAGGGAACTACTATAAAAATATCATTTTAACTTTTCACTGAAAATAATTTCAGACTTACCAAAAGTTACAAAAAGGTACAAAGATTTCAAATATATCTTTCACCCAGATTTCCTAAATGCTAACATCTTACACCACTACACTTTTCAAAATCAAGAAATTATTATTGTTATAATATAGCACTGTATGTATTTTAGAGACTTTATTTCAAATTTCATTAATGGCTTGGCTAATGTCCTTTTTCTGGCCCGGGATCAAATCCAGTAACATATATTGCATTTAGACATTAGATTTACTTATCCTCCTTTTTAGAAAAGCTCTTCAATTATTTTGTCTTTAATGACATTGACAGTTTTGAAGATTATTGGCCAGTTATTTTGTAGAATTTTCCTATGTTTGGGTTTGTCTGATTTTTCCTTGTGATCAAATTCAGGCTATGCATTTTTGATAAAAATACTACAGAAATGATGTTGTATTCTTCTCAGTATATCATATCAGGAGGCACGTTTTACCAATTTGATCACTTGGCTAACGTGGTATCTGCCAGGTTTCTTCACTGTAAAGTTACTATTTATTTTCCTCTGCAACTAGTAAATATCTTTTGGGGAGATAATTTAAGACTATACAAATATTTTGTTTCTCATCACACTTTCATCCTCTAATGGCAGCATCCATTGGTGATCTCCACCTAACACAATTATTATTATGGTGCTTGAAAGACAGTAGCTTTTAATTTTCTTCTTCTTTTTTATTTTTCCGAGATGGAGTCTTGCTCTGTCATGCAGGCTGGAGTGCAGTGGCGCAATCTCAGCTCACTGCAACCTCTGCCTCCCAGGTTCAAGCAATTTTCCTGCCTCAGCCTCCCAAGTAGCTGGGATTACAGGTGCCCACTGTCACGTCTGGCTACTTTTTTTGTATTTTTAGTAGAGACAGGGTTTCACCATGTTGGCCAGGCTGGTCTTGAACTCCTGACCTCGTGATCAACCTGCCTAGACCTCCCAAAGTACTAGGATTACAGGCATGAGCCACCACGCCTGGCCCAGTAGCATTTAATTTTCTTATTCTTTCTACATCTGTCAGGTGGAATTCTACTGAGGAGTTTTCTTATTTACTTATTTATTTATTCATGGACTCTTATTTTAATAAATAGGTTACAATTCATGACTTTCATTATTTACTTCTTGTTCAAACTGTTCCAGATTTGAGGAGGTTAAAGTGATATAATTTTATATATCCATGGCACCTTCCATAGGGCAGACATAGTGGATGCTCAAAAAATATTTGCTAAGTCATGAAGGATGCTAAAGGAAAAAAACCAGAATGTATTATTTATATATAAGAATGAAGAAGAGAATATGAATTAATTTTATTTATAGATTGTTTCTATAAAATTCATAGCAACATGGTAAGAAACTCAAAATTAAAAGTATAACGTAAATTAGAATAAGAGAGAAGGTTGGTGCAAAGAAGAAACTAAGTAGAAATATATGATGGAAATAAGAATAAGGGGAGTGCTCAAAATGTATAACTTGATCTACACAATTGCTGAGAATAGACAGTAGAATTGTTTGCTTAATTTAGTGCACTTATGGTGACAATAATGAACATGATTGCTGACTTCTTCAAGGTCAATTTGAGACTGAGGTTTCAAGCCTGGGGTGAAGGAGTAAATTTGTTTGTTTGTTTTTAGAAAAGGCGGTATAATGATCATCATAATCTTCTATCTTAAATTGCTTTCTTCACTTAAACAGATGTTTAAAGGGCAAAAGGTGAATCTAATATACAACAAGAAGAGAATATCATACAAAGAATGGGAGAGAACAAGAGAGAGAATGGGCCGGGCGCGGTGGCTCACGCCTGTAATCCCAGCACTTTGGGAGGCCGAGGCGGGTGGATCATGAGGTCAGGAGATCGAGACCATCCTGGCTAACAAGGTGAAACCCCGTCTCTACTAAAAAAAAATACAAAAAATTAGCCGGGCGCGGTGGCGGGCGCCTGTAGTCCCAGCTACTCGGGAGGCTGAGGCAGGAGAATGGCGTGAACCCGGGAAGCGGAGCTTGCAGTGAGCCGAGATTGCGCCACTGCAGTCCGCAGTCCGGCCTGGGCGACAGAGCGAGACTCCGTCTCAAAAAAAAAAAAGAGAGAGAATGTTCTATTCTTGGCTTCTTTTGGCTCTTTAAGAATATTGCTAATGAGCCCCATCTGTGTCAGCTTCTGAGTCTTTACAACTTGTTTCTGGTTGGACTCACATCCCTGATTTTTCTTTTATGGAAAACAGCAGTCTAAAATCATGCCCTCCCACAGGAAAAGGTTGCCAAGCCATCTGGGGTCCCTCTGGGGACAAGAACAGTTTACCATACCCCATTAGAGGCAGGCACATATGCCCTACATAAAGACCAATAGCTGCCTAGCAAATCAAAAAGAGAACACAAACAATCATTAAAAACAATTTTTACTGCACTGCTTAAAGGAAAAACAAATTTGGTCTCTGCATACTGAAGTTACTATATCTCTAGGAAAGCAACAAACTGCCCTGGGGGCACTGTAATGTCCTGCTTTCGTTCTTCCAAATTCCTACGCTTTCATCAGTTTCCTTTACTGCAGATCTACTCGGAGCCTTTAATATGAGTTAACGTATAGCATGACTTTCTGAATGGGGAGTGTTACGTAAAATATTTTCCAAATGTGTCTTGTAATATGTTGGGACATTTGCACAGGCCAGTAGTTCTCAAACATTAGCAGGCATCAGAATCACTTGCAAGGCTTGTTTAAAGAGGAATTGCTGTTCTACCCCACTCTGTAGTTTCCAATTCAGCAGGTTTGTGATGGGGCCCAGAATTTGCATTTCTAACAAGTACTCAGATGATGCTGATGCTGCTGGTCCAGGGACTATTTTGGGGACCACCAGCCTAGGTACAGGGTACCCAAACCATTTTGGTTTAAATATGTCTTTAGGGGTCTTTTATATCTTTCAATTTCCAGTAAGAGGCAAATTAAAAATAGGTCTCAGCTCACTGGAATTTTTTGCTGTTGTTAAACCTCCATCTAGTATTTTCAGAATTCAAAGAATTACTAATGATCTATTGCAATTCTGCCAGGGACCTACAGGTTGTGTTATTATACCATTGTGTCTATAATATGACAACATCTGGGTTTCCAACAAATAAGAAACATTGACTTACAGTATTTTACAATTTCAGATTCCATCCCATTGGTGATTCATTAAGAGAAGCGGTCTTCTTACAGATTATGGCAGGGATTCTTTGCATTAGAAGGTACTCGCTCTACAGGTGTTTGGATTTGTTTTTTGTTTTTCATTAAAATTTTTGGTCCTGGGGAAAAAAACTAACTTCTAGGCACTTCTTAGAGGTGCTAAATTTCTCTGTGGCCATGAAGATAAGAGATGGTGGAAATATCAATAAAGAGCTCTGAGGGCCGGGCGCGGTGGCTCATGCCTGTAATCCTAGCACTTTGGGAGGCCAAGGCGGGTGGATCACCTGAGGTCAGGAGTTCGAGACCAACCTGGCCAAGATGGTGAAACCCTGTCTTTACTAAAGATACAAAAATTAGCCAGCCGTGATGGCAGGTGCCTGTAATCCTAGCTATCTGGGAGGCTGAGGCAAGAGAATCGCTTGAACCCGGGAGGCAGAGGTTGCAGTGAGGCGAGATTGCGCCACTGCACTCCAGCCTGGGCAACAGAGTGAGACTCTGTCTCAAAAAAAAAAAAAAAAAAGAAAGAAAGAAGAAAGAAAGAAAAAGAGAAAGAAAGAAAGAAAAAGAAGAAGAAAAAAAAGAGCTCTGAGAGCTGTGAATCCAGTGAATTAAGTACCAAACCTGGTTTACAAACCAATTTTAAATCAAATATATGTGTATAAATATTCTCTATTTGCTATAAATATCTAAGGAGTGCTTTCAGGCCAACTAATATCAAACTTGCCTTTTCATTAAACATGGATCTGTTCTCCTTGGTCTTGGGGCACAAGAAGGAAACCAAAATTGAAGTTCAGCATTTAGTATTATGCTAGTGATTATCAGTAACAATCCTGGTACATATCTGTTATTCAAAAACTCCTGGAACCAGATGTGTTTCAAAATTAAGAATTCAGAATTTCTACCATTTTGGAATGATAAACAGTAAACACATTTTGCAATATATATAACATTTCCAGCAGGGTCCAGGATAGCACCTGATAAAGAAATGAATTAACGTTTCTACAGAAAAAGATACACGTAGTCACACTAAGTGGCATAAATAAAGACAATCAACAGTTTTATAATGGTCACATTTTGCTACCAAATAAGTTCAAGTCATATTTTTTCTTTAATGTTTAGAAATAGCTTTATTGAGATTTAACTCATATTCCATAAAATCACTCTTTTAAAATGTACAATTCAGAAGTCTTTAGTATACTCACAGAACCGTGCAACCATCACCACTATCTAATTTTAGATTGTATCCATTGTGCTCTATTTCTCTTTCCTCCTGGCTCCTGGTAGCCACTAATCTTTCTGTCTCTGTGGATTCACCTATTTTGGACACTTCATATAAATGGAATCATACAATATTGGCCCTTTGTGTCTGCCGCCTTTTGCTTAGCATAATGTTTTCCAGGTTCATCTATGTAGTAATACATATCCGTATTTCATTATTCTATGTTGCTGGATAATATTCCATTTTATGGCTATATTACATTTTGTTTATCCTTTCATCAATCAATGAACATTTGGGTTCTTCACCTTTTAGTTATCAGGAATAATGCTGCTATGAACCAGTAGGTACAAGTCGTTTGTTTGTTTGCTTGTCTGTTTGCTTTTGAGACGGAGTCTTGCTCTGTCACCAGGCTGGCGTGCAGTGGTGCGATCTCGGCTCACTGCAACCTCCAACTCCCTGGTTCAAGCAATTCTCCTGCCTCAGCCTCCTGAGTAGCTGGGATTACAGGCATGCACCACCACACCCAGCTAATTTTTGTATTTTTAGTAGAGACAGGTTTCACCATGTTGGGCAGGATGGTCTTGATCTCCTGACCTTGTGATCTGCCCGCTTTGGCCTCCCAAAGTGCTGGGATTACAGGCGTGAGCCACCGCGCCCAGCCACAAGTTTCTGTGTAAACACGTAGCTATACACATAAGAGTGGACAAGTTTTGTGTGAACATATAGAGTGGACAAGTATATATATCACACAAGTGGAATTATACCTAAGATATATATACCTAATAGTGGAATATACCTAAGAGTGGAATTTCTGGGTCTTGTGGCAACCCTGTTTAAGTATTTTTTAGGAACTGGAAAACTTTTTTTCCAAAACAGCTGCACCACTTTCCATTCCCACCAGCATGATGGTTCCAATTTCTTCTCATCCTTGCTAATACTTGTCCTTGTTCATCTTTTTTATTATAACCATCCTTGTGACTTTGAAGTAGTGTTTAATTGTGGTCTTTTTATTTCCCTGATGGCTAGTGATGTTGATTTTTTTTCATTATTAGTCATTTCTATATCTTCTTTGGAGAAATATTTATTCAAACCATTCACTCATTTAGAAAATTGAGTTATTTCTCTTTTTGTCGTGGAGGTATAACAATTCTTCGTAAGTGCCCCTTGTATTGTTGCAAGCCTTTGGTTAATTTGTAGAGTTCTGAAAGTTAGATTTTTAACATTTTTTTTAACATTTTTTGCCAATATTTTCATAACTTTTGTGGAGGGTCTGATTTGCAGAGCTTCTTATCCTGCCATTCCAGAAGTACTTCCCAGGTCATATCTTATAGATTTTTTAAAAAAGCCTTTAATTTTTCAAAACTTTTCTGGGCTGTAGAATTGTGAATCACGTTTTGCTCTGAGTATAAATTAGGCCCTCATTTCACCTTTTTGGTGTACATATGTTTTGAATAAAGGAGACGGCAAAATCTTATGACTGAAAATATAACTTTTCAATGTACAGTACAATCTAGTCATGAGGATGTGAAAAGAAAATTGAAAATGGAGATGATTATGTCAGAGTTGCTAAAATGGAGCTGGGAGGGCATGAGGAGTTGGATCTCAGTCACATACACACCCAGATGGAATTTGACCTGTTTAAATGGGCCAAATTATAAAACCAGCTGCATTTGATTTGAGCTATTTCTACTGGGCCCAATCACTGACATCCTGGAGAAACAGCTACACAAAACTAAATCGATCTTCAACTAGAGACATCCTAAGCTGATAACCAGCCATCATCAATCATAGACCCTCCAGATGTATGAACTTACAATAGTTGTTAAAAGCCCTGCCTTACCTTGCCTGGGTAGAACACGATTTAGCTGCTTGCTAGATTTGTGTCTCTCAAATTGCAATTCCTATGGCCCTGATTAGAATGCCTATCTTCTGCTTGCTGCTCTACAGTGTTGGCTGTATTTCTGGTATTTTTTTTTTTTTTTTTGAGACAGAGTCTCACTCTGTCACCAGGCTGGAGTGCAGTGGTGTGATCTGGGCTCACTGCAACCTCCATCTCCTGGGTTCGAGTGATTCTCCTGCCTCAGCCTCTTGAGTAGCTGGGACTATAGGCGAGCGCCACCATGCCTGGCCAAATTTTTTTTTGTATTTTTAGTAGAGATGGGGTTTCACCATGTTGGCCAGGACAGTCTCCATTACTTGACCTCTTGATCTGCCCACCTTGGCCTCCCAAAGTGCTGGGATTACAGGCTGTATTTCTTACTCATTGACAAGGAAGAGGTAAATATAAATCCTATATTTTTATGTTGATATCGTGGAACAACTTTGTTATAACTCTACCTACATGATAAGAAACCATAATATTAGTGTTAATTTATACTTATTTTATGTTAAAAAAAAGACTTGTTTTCATAAGAACAGGCCAAAACCCAGATGTTTTGGTTTTTACTGGCAGAAAGTAAAGGCGATATAAAAATTTAATTAAGGTTGTAACTCTTCCATAAATTTATAAATTTCACTGACAACCACCCTGTGTTTTGATACGTTCTGCCCTTTAAAAATATGAGAATTATAAAAATTAGTCTAATTATACAAATTTATTGAAAAGCCATCAAAATTTTAATATTAAGCTGCTAAGGGTTTCAAAGAGTCATGTTTTGCTTAGAGATTTTAGACACCAGCAGAGGATAACAGAAACTGGCCTGCTAGTGTAGGAGAGAAAAATGTCTTCCCTCCACCTTTCTAGGTTCTTTGGCTGGGCTGTAAATTAAATTGCCACTACACAAATTAGCAGGAGAAAAAGCTACAAAAATTAGCAGGAGAAAAAGCTACACAAATTAGCAGGAGAAAAACTCCTGTGTGTATGCATGTTTAATTAAATGCATACACACAGCAGTCCTGTGAAAATAGACGATTTAAGCTTATATAGCATCCTGAATTACATACAGAAAGGCACTGGGACTTGGGGCTTCTGGTGGGCAGTGGAAATAAGTTTCAGAAGGATGAGGTAAGGAAATGCATGGTGAATAAATGTTGTCTTGTTATGCAGATTAAAAATCAGGTAATAAAGTTGTCTCAGAGCAGCCCTCTTCCTGATACAGATACTTTTACTGATGTAGATTTCCTTTATAGATGTAAATTTCTTGTATAAAAGGATGGGTTTTCAGAGCTACTTCTGTGTCTGCAGTGTCTCCGACTAAGCAGCTCAAAACATGCTCAAAAGGCATATTTTGTGGTGGAGTATTCTGGTGTCCTATAGTCATATTTTGGGATGTCCTCAGTCTCCACACCAGACTTGGGAGTCTTAGAACTGGTATTTATTGAGCATGTACTATATGCCTGGAAACATGTGATTGTGTTTGGAGATAGGGCCTTTAAAGAGGTAATTAAAGTAAAATTAGGTCATGTGGGTAAGCCCTGATTTAATATGACTGGTGTCCTTGTAAGAAGAGGAGATTAGGACACAGAAAACACACACTGAAGTTTGGCCATGTAAGGCCGCGGAATGTGGTCATTTACAAGCCAAAAGAGAAGCTTCCCAAGAAACTAAACCTGACAACACCTTGATCTTGGGCTTCCAGACTTCAGAAGTGTGAGAAAATAAACTTCTGTTGTTTAAGCCACTCAGTGTGTTGCTTTTTTTTTTTTTTTTGAGACAGAGTCTCACTGTTGTCAAGCCAGGCTGGAGTACAATGGCTGGATTTCGGCTCACTGCAACCTCCGCCTCCCGGGTTCCAGCAACTCTCCTGCCTCAGCCTCCCAGGTAGCTGGGATTACAGGAATACGCCACCACACCTGGCTAATTTTTGTATTTTTTAGTACAGATGGGGTTTCACCATGTTGGCCAGGCTGGTCTTGAACTCCTGACCTCAGGTGATTCACCTGCCTCAGCCTCCCAAAGTGCTGGGAATACAGGCGTGAGCCACTGCACCTGGCTGCATTTTTTCAATGCAAACTAATATAATGGGGCAAAAAGATAATAAAATAAGAAAAAATGTGTGACAATGTGATACAAGCACTAGGAAGAAAGGAGGGATGAAGGGGCTGCTATATATGATAGTGTGGCTCAGGGAAGACATCTCTAGTGACATTTGGGAGACTTGCATAAAGTGAGGAAGTAGATGTTATAGACATCTGAGAAGAGATGGAAAAGGTAACAAGTGCAAAATTTCTGAGGTTGAAATGCATTTATCACCTCATCATGTAGGGCCACTTGGCCCGAAAGCACTCTGAGACACATAGGGTTTGGGGCTGTAGGAGTGGTCTCTAATTGCCTGGTACCCAAGATTGGTTGGTTTGCGTTTGAAAGACACGCCCAGTGAGTCCTTTGCTGTCTCTGAAAACTGGCTTTCGCTGGATGGGACAGTCTCTCTGGTCAGCAAGCTTTTAAGATGTCAAAACATTGTAAAATACTGAAAAAAATGTAAAAAATGATCAGTACAAGCAAATAGTGAAGATCCGTGCAGATACATTTGATCTAAAGTTAATTTGTAACTAGGTTTGGTACTTAACTAAGGATTCATAGCTCAGCTTGCTCTCAGAGTTCTTTAGTGATAATACCACCATTCCCCATCTTCTATCATAGCAATAAAGAAAACTTAGCACCTGCAAGGTAGTATCTGATCTCACTAAAAAAAGTTAGAGGATTTTTCTTAAAAATGGTTTTTAGTGAGATCGATAAATGCATGCGTGCACACCCACACACCCCTATAAGTTCTTAGACATAGTTAAAGTGAGGCTTAGGACAGTTAAATATTATTTCTAATATCAATAGAGAGTAAAATTTTGTCTGATTATAAATCTCATATTTTACATTTTTTAAAATCACATTTTTGAAAACAATAGAGGCTTAAGTAAATTTCAGATGTTTAGGGAATAGTCTGGTGGTTTATTTATGCAATCAATGGTGTCATCTAGTGGCAATTCATTCAAATTTCAATCAAATCCCCCAGAGGGCTATGCTAAAGTCATTAGAGAGTATGACTAACTTCTCCAACTTAAATGACTGTCAAATTATAGTCATCACTTTTTTGCAATAATTACATTCAGAGGAAGTTACAAAGATAGTACAACGAGGCCTGTGCACCCTTCATCTAATTTTCCTTCATCTAACTTTCCCCTGTGCACCCTTCATCTAATGTACTATAGTTACTTTTAATGTAACTGATAGTTATATAACTATAGTACATTATCAAAACCAGGAAATTAACATTGGAACAATGTGTCTATAGTTCCATGTCTTTTTATCATACATGTAGATTTTGCATAACCACCGTCACAATCAAGATACATAAATATTTCATAATCCCAAATACAGTCAGCCCTCTACAACTATGGGTTCTGCATTCATGGATTCAACCAACTGCTGATAAAAAATATTTGGAAAATAGGTAGAATGAAGAAGACCTAGGATTTCATAGCACAACAAGGTGACTGCAGTCAATAAAAATTTAATTGTACATTTAAAAATAAGAGTATAAATGGATTGTAACACAAAGGATAAATGCTTGAGGGAATGGATACCCCATTTTTCATGATGTGATTATTACTTATTACATGCCTGTATCGAAAACTCTCAAGTATCCCATAAATATATATACCTATAATGTACCCACAAATTTAAAAAATAAAAATTAAATTAAAAAGACTTAAAAATCTAAAAAAAGTTTGAAAAAATGTGTATTAAACATGCAGAGACTTTTTTCCTTGTCATTATTCCCTAAACAATATAGTATAAAAACTATTTACATTTAGCATTTATATTGTATTAGGTATTATAAGTAACCTAGAGATGATTTAGAGTATACAGGTAGATGTACATAGGTTATATGCAAATAGTAGGTCATTTTATATAAGGGGCTTGAATATTACAAATTTTGATATCCACAGGGGTCCTGGAACCAGTCCTCCACAGAAATCAAGGGACAACTGTAACTCTCTCCTGCTACACCTTCTTATAGTCCACCCATCTTCCTCTTCCCTACCATTACTTACCACTAATTTGATCTCCACCCTATAATTTTGTCATTTTATTTTTATTTTTTATTTTTGAGATGGAGTCTCGCTTTCTCACCCAGGCTGAAGTGCAGTGGCGCGATCTTGGTTCACCGCAAGCTCCACCTCCCAGGTTCACACCATTCTCCTGCCTCACCCTCCTGAGTAGCTGGGACTACAGGCGCCCACCACCACGCCCAGCTAATTTTTTTGTATTTTTAGTAGAGACGGGGTTTCACCGTGTTAGCCAAGATGGTCTCGATCTCCTGACCTCGTGATCTGCGCACCTCAGCCTCCCAAAGTGCTGGGATTACAGGCCACTGCGCCTGGCCCCTACAATTTTGTCATTTTAAGGATGTTGTCTAAATGAATCATGTAGTGTGTGACTCTTTGAGATTGACTTTTTTTCCTACTCAGCATAATTCCCTGGAGAGCCAGAGAGGTTGCTCTGCATGTCAATAGTTCATTCATTTTTATTGCTGCATAGTATTCCATAGTATGGCTGTACCACAGTTTATTTGACCATTCACCTATGGAAGTACATCTGAGTTATCTGAATTTTTGATGATTACAAATAAATATGCAATAAAGGTTTTGTGTGATCATGTTTCAATTTCTCTGGAATAAATATCCAGAAGCATGATTGCTGAGTTACATGGTAAGTGTATGTTCAGTTTTTTAAAGAAACTGCCAAACTATTTTTCAGAGTGGTGGCACCATTTAGATTCCCACCAATAACGTATGAGTGATCTGGTTTCTCTGCATTTTTATGAACATTTGGTGTTGTCACTATTTTTTTTATATTGATTTTTATGATAGGTGTATACTAATAACTCATTGTGGTCATAATTTATACTTCTCTAATGAGTAATAAGGTTGAACATCTTTCCATGTGCTTGTTATATGTATATACTCTTCAATAAGTTGTGTCTTCACGTATTTTGTCTACTTTCTAATAATTTTTTTTGCTGTTGCATTTTAAGTTCATTTATATTCTAAATACAAGTCTTTTGTAGGATACATGTTTTACAGATTTTTTTCCTAGTCTGTAGCTTGTCTTTTCATCATCTTAATAGGATCTTTCAAAGAGTAAACATTTAAAATTTTGATGAAATCCAATTTATCAAATTATTTATTTTATGAAACATGCTTTTGGTTTCAAGTCTAATAACTCTTCACCAAGATCTAGGTGCTGAAGAGGTTCTACTATGTTATCTTTGTTATCCTCTTTGGGGTTCACTCAGATTCTTGAATCTGAGGGTTTCTGTCTGTCTTCAAATTTGGGAAAATTTCAGGCACTATTTCCTTAAATAACTTTTCAGGCCCTTCCTCTTTCTTCTCTCCTTCTTGAACTCCGTGACATAAATGTTAGATCTTTTGTTATAGAACCGCAGGTCCCTAAGACCCTGTTCACTTTTGTCAGTGTATTTTCTCTATTAAGATTGGGTCATTTCTATTGTTCTATTTTCAACTTTGCCGGTTCTTTTCTCTACTCCTTCCATTCTGTTGTTGAGCTCATCCATTAGGTTTTTGTCTTGTTTTGTTTTGTTTTTGTTTGTTTTGCTTTGAGGATCTTGTATTTTACAGTTCTAAAATTTTCATTTGGTTCTTTATTTGACCACCACAAAAACCTTCTCAGAAAATCCTAACCTAACATCAATGTCATCTTGGTTTTGGTGTCTATTGACTCAAGTCAAGATTTTCCTGGTTCTTTAAATGACAGGTGATTTTTGTTTGAAGCCTGGACGTTTTGATATTCTATTCAGAGACTCTAGAGCTTACTGAAATCATTTTTCTTTTCTCTCTCTCTCTCGTTTTTTTTACACGGAATTTCGCTCTTTCACCCAGGCTGGAGGGAAGTGGTGCGATTTCGGCTCACTGCGACCTCCGCCGAGATCGAGCCATTCACTCTGGCCTGGGCGAAAGAGCGAAACTATCTCTTCCATCTATTATTCCATCTATTATTCTATCATCTCAGCATAATAAATCCTCCTGCCTCAGCCTCCCGAGTAGTTGGGATCACAGGCGCACGCCACCACGCCTGGCTAATTTTTGTATTTTTAGTAGAGATGGGGTTTCACCACGTTGGCCAGGCTGGTCCCGAACTCTTGACCTCAGGTGATACACCCGCCTCGGCCTCCCAAAGTGCTAGAGTGCTAAGATTACAGACACAAGCCACCGCGCCTGGCCGTTTTTTTTTTTTTTTTGAGACGGAGTCTCGCTCTTTCACCCAGGCCGGAGTGCAGTGGCGCGATCTCGGCTCACTGCAAGCTCCACCTCCCGGGTTCACGCCATTCTCCTGCCTCAGCCTCCCGAGTAGCTGGGACTACAGGCGCCCGCCACCACGCCCAGCTAATTTTTTATATTTTTAGTATAGACGGAGTTTTCACCATGTTAGCCAGGATGGTCTGGATCTCCTGACCTCATGATCTGCCCGCCTCGGCCTCCCAAAGTGCTGGGATTACAGGTGTGAGCCCCTGCGCCCGGCCTTTTTTTTTTTTTTTTTTTTTTTTAAAGCAAGTATTATTTGATGCTGCTTTAGTGGAGGGAAGGGAATGCTATTTCATCATTGCTAGATGGAGGTGGAAGTACAGATTCCCCACTCAGTCTCCACTGACATACAGGGTGGGAAGGTGCTCCTCCTCTCAGCTTAGTGGGGTTGGGTGTTCCAGCCCAACTAGGCTTTTACTGACATTACCTGGCTGAGAAGGACAGGACTATCTCATCCCTGCACCCCACATGGTCTCCACTGACAAAGCACAGTAGTGGAAGTCCTGACCCTGTACTAGTCCTCCTCTGATACCACAGCAACATGGAGAGGAGGGATCTGTCTTTACTGCTGGTTGCGGGTGGAATCTAGATTCCCTGTTCAGCCTTTGTTGACATGGGTGGGGTGGGGTTGCATTTTTTTCTTTCCATCATGTTTGGCAGGTGTAGGGCAATTATCGTCAAATAGTTTGTCTTTCTAGGCTTCCCCTTTCCTAATCCTTTGGCTAGAGAGAGAAAGCTGTTTTATTGTTGTTGTTGTTGTTGTTGTTGTTGTTGTCTGTAGCTGTTGGGATTTCCAAGTTGCTGGCATCTCCATCTCTATCACCCCATCCAAGATGTATGAAGCAAAATGAAAACTTAGGAAATATACTCCCGTGTTGCTTCTCACGCCCTAATGTCCCTAGACAGTCTGACTTTCTTCTTCCACCATTTGGAGACTTCTCATGTTTGTTTAATAAGTAACTTCCAGGGTTGTTAGCTGTATATTTAATGGGAGGAAAGGGGAAATTATGTCTACTCCATCTTGTCCAGAAATGAAAGTAGAAGTCAGTCACCAGGTAAATTTTGTTTATTAAAGTAAAATTCACATAACGTAAAATTAAACAATTAAAGTGAGCAATTAAGTGGCATTTAGTACATTAACAATGTTGTGTGACCAACACCTCTATTTAGTTCCAGAACATTTCGATTAGTCCAAAGCAAAAGCTCTTACCAATTAAGCAGTTTCTTCTCACTCCCGCTTTCCTCAGCTCCTGGCAACCACCAATCTGCACTGTCTCCGTGGATGTCTCTATGCTAGATATTTCATAGGACTGAAGTTATACAATATGTGATCTTTTGTGTCTGATTCCTTTCACTTAACATGGTTTTGAAGTTTATCCACATTGGAGCATGTATCAGTACTTCATTTTTGAATGATCTTCCATTGTATATTACAATTTGTTTATTCATTTATCCCTTGATGGAATTTGAGTCATTTTGTTATTCCTACATTTTGCATATTGTGAGTAGTGCTGCTATGAACATGTGTGTGCATGTACTTGTTTGAACACTGGATTTCATTGTTTGGGAGGATATATACTAAGGAGTGGAATTGCAGGGTCATATAGTAATTATATGTTTAACTTTTAAAAAACTGCCAAACTGTTTTGTACAGAGTCTGAACCATTTTGCATTCCCACCATCTATGTATGTGTTCCAATTTCCTACATCCTCATCAACACTCGTTATTTTCTGTTTTTAAATCATAGTCATCCTAGTGGATGTGAAGTGGGGCTTATTGTGGTTTCAATTTTTGTTTTCCTAACAACTAGTGCTCCTGAGCATCTTTTTATGTGTTTATTGGCCACTTGTATATCTTTTATGGAGAAATGTTTATTCAAGCCCTATGCTCATTTTAAAAATTGGGTTGTTTGGCTTTTTGTTGTTGAAATGTAAGAGTTCTTTATATATTCTGGATACTAGGCCTTCATCAGATATGATTTGCAAACATATATATATATATATATATACATATATACATATATATATATACATATATATATATATAGTAGGTTTTCTTTTAACTTTCTTGATAATATCCTTTGATGCGTGAAAGTTTTTGAGTTTGGTGAATTCCAATTTATCTTTTTTTCTTTTTTTGCTCATGCTTTTGGTATCATGTCTAAGAATTTATAACCAAATCCAAGTTAGTGAAGATTTATTCCTATGTTTTCCTTTAAGAGTTTTATATTTTTAGCTCTTATATTAAGGTGGCTGTTCCATTTAGAGTTAATTTTTGTATATTTTTATATATTGTGTGAAGTATAAAACATTCCCAGAATTAAAGAAAAACATGATTTAACACATGAAAAAGGTCAACTAGTTGCTAAAAAATTCTACTAATTAAAACACCACACATATAAATTATGGGGAAAAACCTTACTTAAAGTTTTGAGAGAGGTAAAAACAGATTTACTACAAAGGAATGAAAAAGAAAATTAAATCAGAACTATCTAAGATGACAGTGGATAATCTCAAAAGTTTTTGGGGAATATCCCTCAAGATAAAATTCTAACCAATTATCCTTCAACTGTGAGTGCAAAATTATCCTTCAACTGTGAGTGCAAAATAAAGAGGTTTTCATTTAAGCAAAGACTCAGACATTTAGGATACTGTCTCTAAATCAATTACTATGAGATATGCCGTATTAAAGAAATCCAAATTCAAAAATTGTAGAGGAATAAGTAAGTTGCAAAGAACAATGTAAGCAAAGAAATCAATAAACATAATATTAGTTGTAAACAAACCCTAAGTATAAACACATTTTTAAGTAAAAATTTGCGAAAAATTGAAATACCAATATGAGAGGTTGGTGGCTTTGAAGTGTTTGTGAATGGAGGAAAGTATTAAGATTTCTATATTGCTTAAAGGCAAGATATGCCTCTTTAGAAATAAACTTTAGGTTGAATAATGACTGCTTAAAGATGTCTACATCTGAATCCCACAAACCCATAAATATATTACCTTATATGGCAAAAATATTTTTTAAGGTGTGATTAATTTAAGAATATTGACATTGAAAGGTTTTCCTGTATTATCCAGGTAAGCACAATGCTATCCAAAGGTTCCATATAAGAAGGATTAATAAAGAAAGGAAAGAGAGGAGATGTGACAACAGATGCAGAGAAGTCAGAGTGACGTGGGACCATGCGCTAAAGAACGTGGGAAGCTAATAGGAAGTTAGAAAAAGCAGGAACATGCATTATGTTCTCCAGAAGTAAAACAGCCTTGCCAAGGCATTTTGGACTTCTGACCTCCAGAACTATAATAGTGCTCTGTTGTTTTAAGCTGTAAAGTTTTCGGTAATTTGTTATAGCAACAGTAGGAAACTAATACAATAGCTTTAAGTATTTGTGTTAAAATTTAAGGTTGACTTATGGAAGAATAAAGATAGAATGTATGAATTCTAAACCATACACATGTGTTTACTGTGGCACTATTCACAATAGCAAAGACTTGGAACCAACCCAAATGCCCATCAATAATAGACTGTATTAAGAAAATGTGGCATATATACACCATGGAATACTATGCAGCAATAAAAAAGGATGAGTTCATGTCCTTTGCAGGGACATGGATGAAGCTGGAAACCATCATTCTCAGCAAACTGACACAAGAGCAGAAAACCAAACACCACATGTTCTCACTCATAAGTGGGAGTTGAACAATGAGAACACATGGACACAGGGAGGGGAACATCACACACTGGGGCCTGTCAGGGGAGTGGGGGGCTAGGGGAGGGATAACATTAGGAAAAATACCTAATGTAGGTGACGGGTTGATGGGTGCAGCAAACCACCATGGCATTTGTATACCTATGTAACTAACCTGCACGTTCTGCACTTGTACCCCAGAACCTAAAAGTATAATAATAATAAAAAAAGGAAAGAAAAAAAAGAAAATGGAACAAAGAAAATCTGAACAATTCAACAAATGACAGGAGATAGGTAAACAGGAAAAAAAAATTGTAGTCAGTAGAAAGCCAAATATTAAAATGTCAAGACCAAATCCAAATATAGCAATAAAAATGGTAAGTATAAATGAGTTACACTCACCCATTGTAAAACAGAGAGATTCTTAGGTGATTATTAAAAAACAAACAAAATAAAAGCTAAATTTTTCTATGTGCTATATAAAAAGATACTCCTGAAACAAAATAATAGTGAGACGTCTGCTTTCCGGCAGAAGGGAATATTTGATGCTGAACTAGCCCTCTAACTCTCAAAACTAGACAATTAGACACAATATAGGAAATAACTTTTCAGATTTTGTACAATAGGCAATGCAAGACTGATTCTTGAAGTTTTATATAATTCTTTTTGACTTCATCATTTTTAGGTAGTAATTTAGCAACTTTAGCTTAAGACAAATTTTGCCTTTATTACTGCTTTATAATGTATTGAATACTGAAAGGTAACATTACTTTCTATTTTCTGTTAATTTTGAAGTCTTGTCCAATTGAGTGCTGAGGGTAACATTTTCATCAGTAGCTGGGCTGATAAAATCAGAATCTCTGAGGATGATGCAGCCCAGGCACTGGAATATTTTAAAGCTTCAGGTGATTCTAAAGTTCATCAGGGCTGCGCGTGGTGGCTCACGCCTGTAATCCCAGTACTTGTGGGATGTTGAGGTGGGCGGATCACCTGAGGCCAGGACTTCGAGACCAGTCTGGTCAAAAAGGCAAAACCCCATTTCTACTAAAAGTACAAAAATTAGCCAGGCATGGTGGTGGGTGCCTGTAACCCCAGCTACTCTGGAGGCTGAGGCAGGAGAATCACTTGAACCCAGGAGGCGGAGGTTACAGTGAGCCGAGATTGTGACACTGCACTCTGGCCTGGGCTGAGCAAACTCCCTCTCAGAAAAAAAAGAAAAAAATTCATTAGGCTTGAAAAATCACTATTATATCTGAAAACAAAATCAAACAGAAACCTGTTTAGGATAATGAATAATAGAGGACATTTTTTGCAGATTAAATTATTTTGTCATATGAATTAACTGTATAATTGAAGCCAGGTGTGAGTTATAATGATGAGTCCTTTTAATAATCAATAGAAGGATGCCATGTAGATCAGACTTTCTAATATATTTTTTCATTCTACTAAAACATACTGAATGCCTACTGTAATCTAGGCTTTGTGCACTGGAAACCAAAGTGAACGAAAAAGTCATGGTCCCTTAAGAACTTTATGAACTGGAGGAGCCAGACATTAAATACATAGTCATACAAGTCCGTGTTTAAAAATGCTCTGTGGCAAATGCTATGACAAAACAGTACAGGTGCTCAAAGAGTATGCATGTGAGGCTCCTGTTATAGTCTAAAATGTCAGGGAAGTTTGAGTTTTAGTTGAAATATTTGAGTTGAGAAATTAATAAGGTGAAGGGAGGTGGACAAGATAACTGTTTCCTAGAAAAGGAAAGAGCATTTGCAATGTTCCTAAGATGCAGAGTTGTGCAGGGTAGCGCTTCTCACACTTTAGTGTGCATAAGAATTGTCTGGGGGGATCTTATTAACAGGCAATGAATCTGAAGTGGAATCTGCTTACAAGTGATACTGATGTCGCTGGTTCACATTCCACACTTTAAGTATCAAGAGAAGGACATTCAAGAAAATGAATGATTTTTGGTGTGGTTTGGCCCCCAGAGTTGGAAAGAAATGAAGCAGGAGCCACATGGTACTGTAGGGCCACTTATGTCATTTAGTCCTAATAGTTTGTCACTTAAATCTTGCATTGTTTAAATTGATGGTAATTATCATCTAGAATTTACAGCTTTTTCTCTCTCTCTCTTCCCACCTATCCCTTATGGAGAAAAATTATTGTGACTCTTTCACTGAATTGGGTCAAAACCCCTAACAAAAGACCACAAGAAATGCGCTTGTAGTTAAAATTAGGCTTATTTGTTTAGTTTGCTGCCAGAAAGAGGGAATGAACCTGGAAGGAATCATAGAGCTTTTAGCCTGGGGTAGAAGGGAGGGGCTTCCTCTAATGTTTGGGTTTATGCCGAGTGGTTCTAAAGAGGGACTAGGGAAGAGGAGACATGTTCTGGGTTGGCTTGTATCTAGAAGCAGCAGTTTGATATTCCAGTAATCCTGTCCCTTTCTCACCTGCATAGCTCCAGAGATCAAAGTCTTTTGTTTCTTTTTCAGCACGTACTGAGTCCGTGTCTGATAATGCCACTATCTGAGTCCCCTGTAGGACTGTTTTTTTTTTTTTTTTTCTGCTAGTTTTCATTCATGTTGGGCGGTCCTTTCATGGAACTGTTTATTATTATTATTATTATTATTATTATTATTATTATTATTATTATTATGCCAGACTTTGAATTTGCAAAATTACAGAAACAATTGGAGTTCCAGGAAGATGTAATCTTCTAGAGTGGATTTACATTTACTTTCGTCTGGCTTCTTCATATTGTTCCAACTTTACGCATTGAACTAATTTGAAGCTGAGCTTTAGTTTCTGTGAGGGCCATCCACTTCCAGTTCACTCTGCTCCTAGGAGGGAACACTGTCTGGAACCAAAGAAAGAAGGTTCATTAGACACTCTTTTAGCAAGTTCTGGATCTCATTTCCATTCTTCAAACCCTGTGACTCTTTTAAAAGCACTGTTCACCAAGATGGCCGAATAGGAACAGCTCCAGTCTACAGCTCCCCGTGTGAGCAACGCAGAAGATGGGTGATTTCTGCCTTTCCAACTGAGGTATCAGGTTCATCTCACTGGGGCTTGTCAGACAGTGGGTGCAGGACAGTGGGTGCAGCACACTGAGCGTGAGCTGAAGCAGGGCGAGGCATCGCCTCACCTGGGAAGTGCAAGGGGTCAGGGAATTCTCTTTCATAGCCAAGCAAAGCTGTGACAGACGGCACCTAGAAAATCAGGTAACTCCCACCCTAATACTGTGCTTTTCCAATGGTCTTAGCAAATGGCACACCAGGAGATTATATCCCGTGCCTGGCTTGGAGGGTCCCATGCCCACAGAGCCTCGCTCATTGCTAGCACAGCAGTCTGAGATCGAACTGCAAGGTGGCAGTGAGGCTGGGGGAGGGGCGTCCTCCATTGCTGAGGCTTGAGTAGATAAACAAAGCAGCCAGGAAGCTTGAACTGGGTGGAGCCCACCACAGCTCAAGGAGGCCTGCCTGCCTCTGTAGACTCCACCTCTGGGGGCAGGGCATAGCTGAACAAAAGGCAGCAGAAACCTCTGCAGACTTAAATGTCCCTGTCTGACAGCTTTGAAGAGAGTAGTGGCTCTCCCAGCATGGAGTTTGAGATCTGAGAACGGACAGACTGCCTCCTCAAGTGGGTCCCTGACCCCCAAGTAACCTAACAGGGAGGCACCCCCTAGTAGGGGCAGACTGACACCTCACACGGCCGGGTACCCCTCTGAGAGGAAACCTCCAGAGGAACGATCAGACAGCAACATTTGCTGTTCACCAATATTCACTGTTCTCCAGCCTCTGCTGCTGATACCCAGGAAAACAGGGTCCGGAGTGGACCTCCAGCAAACTCCAACAGACCTGCAGTTGAGGGTCCTGACTGTTAGAAGGAAAACTAACAAACAGAAAGGACATCCACACCAAAACCCCATCTGTATGTCACCATCATCAAAGACCAAAGGTAGATAAAACCACAAAGATGGGGAAAAAACAGAACAGAAGAACTGAAAATTCTAAAAATCAGACCGCCTCTCCTCCTCCAAAGGAACGCAGCTCCTCACCAGCAACAGAACAAAGCTGGGTAGAGAATGACTTTGACAAGTTGAGAGAAGAAGGCTTCAGACAATCAAACTTCTCCGAGCTAAAGGAGGAAGTTCAAACTCATCGCAAAGAAGTTAAAAATCTTGAAAAAAAGATTAGATGAATAGCTAACTAGAATAACCAATGTAGAGAAATCCTTAAATGACCTGATGGAGCTGAAAACCATGGCATGAGAACTACGTGACAAATGCACGTAGCCGATTCGATCAACTGGAAGAAAGGGTATCAGTGATTGAAGAACAAATGAATGAAATGAAGTGAGAAGAGAAGTTTAGAGAAAAAAGAACAAAAAGAAATGAACAAAGCCTCCAAGAAATATGGGACTATGTGAAAAGACCAAATCTACGTCTGATTGGTGTACCTGAAAATGATGGGGAGAATGGAACCAAGTTGGAAAACACTCTTTAGGATATTATCCAGGAGAACTTCCCCAACCTAGCAAGGCAGGCCAACATTCAAATTCAGGAAATACAGAGAACGCCACAAAGATACTCCTTGAGAAGAGCAATTCCAAGACACATAATTGTCAGATTCACCAAAGTTGAAATGAAAGAGAAAATGTTAAGGGCAGCCATAGAGAAAGGTCGGGTTACCCACAAAGGGAAGCCCAACAGACTAACAGCTGATCTCTCGGCAGAAACTCTACAAGACAGAAGAGAGTGGGGGCCAATATTCAAAGTTCTTAAAGAAAAGAATTTTGAATCCAGAATTTCATATCCAGCCAAACTAAGCTTCATAAGTGAAGGAGAAATAAAATCCTTTACCGACAAGCAAATGCTGAGAGATTTTGTCACCACCAGGCCTGCCCTAAAAGAGCTCCTGAAGGAAGCACTAAACATGGAAAGGAACAACCAGTACCAGCCACTGCAAAAACATGCGAAATTGTAAAGACCATTGATGCTAGGAAGCAACCACATCAATGAACAAGCAAAATAACCAGCTAACATCACAATGACAGGATCAAAGTCACACAAAACAATATTAACCTGAAATGTAAATGGGCTAAATGCTCCAACTGAAAGACACAGACTGGCAAATTGGATAAAGAGTCAAGACCCAGCAGTGTGCTGTATTCAGGAAACCCATCTCATGTACAGAGACACACATAGGCTCAAAATAAAGGGATGGAGGAAGATCTACCAAGCAAATGGAAAACAAAAAAAGGCAGGGGTTGCAATCCTAGTCTCTGATGAAACAGACTTTAAACCAACAATGATCAAAAGAGACAAAGAAGGCCATTTCATAATGGTAAAGGGATCAATTCAACAAGAAGAGCTAACTATCCTAAATATATATGCACCCAATACATGAGCACCCAGATTCATAAAGCAAGTCCTTAGAGACCTACAAAGAGACTTAGACTCCCACACAATAATAATGGGAGACTTTAACACCCCACTGTCAACATTAGACAGATAAACGAGACAGAAAGTTAACAAGGATATCCAGGAATTGAATTCATCTCTGCACCAAGTGGACCTAATGGACATCTACAGAACTCTCCACCCCAAATCAACAGAATATACATTCTTCTCAGCACCAAAACACACCTATTCCAAAACTGACCACATAGTTGGAAGTAAAGCACTCCCCGGCAAATGTAAAAGAACAGAAATTATAACAAACTGTCTCTCAGACCACAGTGCAATCAAACTAGAACTCAGGATTAAGAAGCTCACTCAAAATGGCTCAACTACATGGAAACTGAACAACCTGCTCCTGAATGACCACTGGGTACATAATGAAATGAAGGCAGAAATAAAGATGTTCTTTGAAACCAACGAGAACAAAGACACAACATACCAGAATCTCTGGGACACATTCAAAGCAGTGTGTAGACGGAAATTTATAGCGCTAAATGCCCACAAGAGAAAGCAGGAAAGACCTAAATTGACACCCTAACATCACAATTAAAAGAACTAGAGAAGCAAGAGCAAACACATTCAAAAGCCAGCAGGAGGCAAGAAATAACTAAGATCAGAGCAGAACTGAAGGAGATAGAGACACAAAAAACCCTTCAAAAAATCAATGACTCCAGGAGCTGGTTTTCTGAAAAGATCGACAAAATTCATAGACTGCGAGCAAGACTAATAAAGAAGAAAAGAGGGAAGAATCAAATAGATGCAATAAAAGATGATAAAGGTGATATCACCACTGATCCCACAGAAATACAAACTACCATCAGAGAATACTATAAACACCTCTATGCAAATAAACTAGAAAATCTAGAAGAAATGGATAAATTCCTGGACACATACACCCTCCCAAGACTAAACCAGGAAGAAGTTGAATCTCTTAATAGACCAATAACAGGCTCTGAAATTGAGGCAATAATTAATAGCTTACCAACCAAAAAAGGTCCAGGACCAGACAGATTCACAGCTGAATTCTATCAGAGGTACAAGGAGGAGCTGGTACCATTCCTTCTGAAACTATTCCATCAATAGAAAAAGAGGGAATCCTCCCTAACTCATTTTATGAGGTCAGCATCATCCTGATACCAAAGCCTGGCAGAGGCACAAAAATAAAAGAGAATTTTAGACCAATATCCCTGATGAACATCGATGCAAAAATCCTCAATAAAATATTGGCAAACTGAATCCAGCAGCACATCAAAAAGCTTATCCACCATGATCGAGTGGGCTTCATCCCTGGGATGCAAGGCTGGTTCAACATACACAAATCAATAAAGGTAATCCAGCATATAAACAGAACCAAAGACAAAAACCACATGATTATCTCAATAGATGCAGAAAAGTCCTTTGACAAAATTCAATGGCCCTTCATGCTAAAAACTTTCAATAAGTTAGGTATTGATGGGACGTATCTCAAAATAATAAGAGCTATTTATGACAAACCCACAGCCAATACCATACTGAATGGGCAAAAACTGGAAGCATTCCCTTTGAAAACTGGCACAAGACAGGGATGCCCTCTCTCACCACTCCTATTCAACATAGTGTTGGAAGTTCTGGCCAGGGCAATCAGGCAGGAGAAGGAAATAAAGGGTATGCAATTAGGAAAAGAGGAAGTCAAATTGTCCCTGTTTGCAGATGACATGATTGTATATCTAGAAAACCCCATCGTCTCAGCCCAAAATCTCCTTAAGCTGATAAGCAACTTCAGCAAAGTCTCAGGATACAAAATCAATGTGCAAAAATCACAAGCATTCTTATACACCAATAACAGACAAACAGAGCCAAATCATGAGTGAACTCCCATTCACAATTGCTTCAAAGAGAATAAAATACCTAGGAATCCAACTTACAAGGGATGTGAAGGACCTCTTCAAGGAGAACAACAAACCACTGCTCAACAAAATAAAAAGAGGATACAAACAAAAGGAAGAACATTCCATGCTTATGGGTAGGAAGAATCAATATCGTGAAAATGGCCATACTGCCCAAGGTAATTTATAGATTCAATGCCATCCCCATTAAGCTACCAATGCAATGACTTTCTTCACAGAATTGGAAAAAACTACTTTAAAGTTCATATGGAACCAAAAAAGAGCCTGCATTGCCAAGTCAACCCTAAGCCAAAAGAACAAAGCTGAAGGCATCATGCTACCTGACTTCAAACTATACTACAATGCTACAGTAACCAAAACAGCATGGTACTGGTACCAAAACAGAGATATAGACCAATGGAACAGAACAGAGCCCTCAGAAATAATGCCGCATATCTACAACCATCTGATCTTTGACAAAGCTGACAAAAACAAGAAATGGGGAAATGATTCCCTCTTTACTAAATGGTGCTGGGAAAACTGGCTAGCCATATGTAGAAAGCTGAAACTGGATCCCTTCCTTATACCTTATACAAAAATTAATTCAAGATGGATTAAAGACATACATGTTAGACCTAAAACCATAAAAACCCTAGAAGAAAACCTAGGCAATACCATTCAGGATACAGGCATGGGCAAGGACTTCATGTCCAAAACACAAAAAGCAATGGCAACAAAAGCCAAAATTGACAAATGGGATCTAATTCAACTAAAGAGCTTCTGCACAGCAAAAGAAACTACCATCAGAGTGAACAGGCAACCTACAGAATGGGAGAAAATTTTTGCAATCTACTCATCTGACAAAGGGCTAATATCCAGAATCTACAATGAACTCAAACAAATTTATGAGAAAAAAACAACCCCATCAAAAAGTGGGTGAAGGATATGAACAGACACTTCTCAAAAGAAGACATTTGTGCAACAAAAAGACACATGAAAAAATGCTCATCATTACTGGCCATCAGAGAAATGCAAATCAAAACCACAATGAGATACCATCTCACACCAGTTAGAATGGCGATCGTTAAAAAGTCAGGAAACAACCAGTGCTGGAGAGGATGTGGAGAAATAGGAACACTTTTACACTGTTGGTGGGACCGTAAACTAGTTCAACCATTGTGGAAGTCAGTGTGGCAATTCCTCAGGGATCTAGAACTAGAAATACCATTTGATCCAGCCATCCCATTACTGGGTATATACCCAAAGGATTATAAATCATGCTGTTATAAAGACACATGCACACGTATGTTTATTGCGGCACTATTCACAATAGCAAAGACTTGGAACCAACCCAAATGTCCAACAATGATAGATTGGATTAAGAAAATGTGGCACATATACACCATGGAATACTATGCAGCCATAAGAAATGATGAGTTCATGTCCTTTGTAGGGACATGGATGAACCTGGAAACCATCATTCTCAGCAAACTATCGCAAGGACAAAAAACCAAACACTGCACGTTCTCACTCATAGGTGGGAAATGAACAATGAGAACACATGGACACAGGAAGGGGAACATCACACACCGGGGTCTGTTGTGGGGTTGGGGGAGGGGGGAGGGACAGCATTTGGAGATATACCTAATGTTAAATGACGAGTTACTGGGTGCAGCACACCAACATGGCACATGTATACATATGTAACAAACCTGCACGTTGTGCACATGTACCCGAGAACTTAAAGTATAATAAATAAATATATATATATTAAAAGCACTGTTCAACCCCTCAGACTCCTCCTCTGGGATTGACATGGGAACCGTCCAGGATTGGCAAACATCTCCAAGGGAAAAGTGGTCCTCTCTGGGCTTTTGGCTCAGTACTTCCTCATATATTTTTAGCTCTGTGATTCCATCAAGAAGTTTAAAAAAAAAACTGTCCAGCTTTTCTAGTTGTCTTCAGTGGGAAACTTGGTCTGCCATTTCTACAAGCACAAGTCCATACCATATATAATTTTTATAAATTAATTATATTTTATTACCTTTAAAGTTCTTGCATAAAATTAGCTATCTGGATATGGCATATTTATACATTCTTTATTAGTGGAAATAAGTTGTTAGCCAATACCTCACTCTTCCAAACCATGATGGATAACCAAACTAATTTTCCTTTCTAGAAGAATAGTTTGCATTTCTTTAAAGGCAGAGTTTATTAGAAACTTACTGTTGCAGCTCAATGCTTCACAATTAAGTTGTCCAGTTCTGTTTTCTCCTACTGGGTCTTTAATTAATCAAAGATTAAGACACTCATAAGGGGAAATACCGGTTATAACCCTCCACACACTGAAGTAATAGATTTATTCATTTAGCCTTTGCTTTTGTGAGACTTGTCATCAAAGAAGGTAGAGTGTCAATGGTAATTTGGAGACATTACTTCATTACCAATGGATCTGAGACCGTAATTGGTTTCCTTTCCTAAACCATGTGTATCATGCACATCTGTTAAAAAGGAGAGTTGTTTGCAGAGTCAATACAATTTTGCCATTACAAAATCTGCAAAGGGACATAACAACAGAGTCTCTTCCAAACTTGCAGTTTAAACATAATATTTTTCTTTACCTGCTTTCCCACTGAAATTAATTTAAATTTAAACTAAGCTAAAGGATGTTTATAGTTAGAAGGAAAATGCCCAGTTGAAGCTGTGAAGCCAACGTAGCAGAAATGGAATCTTTCCAACCTGAAATCATTTCATAGTATGATTTAATGGTGACAAAACATGAGTTCCCAGAAAAATATAATTTCCATTTCCCTTACTGCAAGTGTTCATGCAGTTTGAATTGTTAATATCCCTGAACCTAGACCAACATCAGGAAGTGCCCTGAATATAAGTGATTTTCCAGTTATTTCCTTAGATGTGGAAGGCAAAAATGCAGCAGAATACAAATGGGCCCAATCTGATTATATTAAGTGTGCCTCAGGGAAACGGCTTTGTGAGAAACCGGTATTACTATTAGAGATTATAAAGTATACAGTTAAGGACATTAGAGAAATATCATATTAACGGGAATGTTAAGAGCCATCTTAATGACTGGGGAAGCTTGGAACAGAGGCATATTTTACATAATATTAAGAAAGACATTAACTATGGGAAGCTATCAAAACAGTAAGTTAAAAAATAGGAAAGAAACTGGGGTGAAATTGGTTATATTTTTGCCTCTTGGGATTAAAGACAAAGAAACAACAATAAAAAGCAGTTTGAAATTGAACCATCTTTAGTCACTCTAAACTCCAGAGAGAGAAACTTAATTTACCAAATAGAAATCACATCTGGTCTCCACATAGAGGCAACATGTAATTGCTGACCTCTACCTGCCCGATTTCTACACTGTTTCTGGGAGAATAGCCCATCATTGTTTCCCTTCGGGGTAAGCACACCAAGCAAATATGAGCAAATTTTTGAAGGTTTCATAAGAAGCTGGTAGTGGTTTTACAGTAGGTAATTGTGTTATTCTGTTCCTATGAGCAGAGCTAATTGAGTGCATTATCCTATAGCCAAAATTTTTCCTTTAAAAACTGTGAAATGAATGAAGTTCAGTAAAGATGAATAAGGCTGGTTAAAAGTGCTGTGGAAAGTGATCATGATTTAACACTTTTAAATGCTTGGCAAGAAGGTCTACTCAGTCTTTTGTAAGGGCTCTAGCATTTGATGTGTATTACACGTTCCCAAAGAAAGGTATTTGATTTTGAATCATGGATCTGCTCGAAGACATATTCTTTTTAAAAAAAGTTGATGCCACTCCGCTACATGTTCATGGTCTTCCATGGTCACCAAAGTCCAATTTAATCTTATCTTGTGGGTGGTTATATGATATTTTTGTTGAGCTAATCATGTAGCATGGGTGGTGTGTTAGTTTCCTATTGCTGTTGTAACAAATTACCACAAATTTATTGGCTTAAAATAATGCAAATTTATTATCTTAGTAAATTGACGTTTTGAAGGTCAGAGGTCAGAAATGGATCTTCTAGGGCGAACATCAAGGTGTCTGCAGGGTTGAGTTCCCTCTTCAGGCTCTGGGGGAGAAAAGTTTCCATGCCTTTTCCAGTTTCTAGAGCTGCCTACATTCCTCACCTCCTGGCTGCATCCACTCTGACCTCTGCTTCAGTCATCACATCTGTTCTTTGACCTTCCTGCCTCACTGTTCTTGTAAGGACCCTCATGATTTTTATATTGAACCACTGTCAAAAATAAACACAGCTGGACATTAAAGCAGTGAATACAGATTTTATTCAATAACCACTGAGTGTTGGGGAAAGAGCCCAGCTCCATTCCGATGTATGCAGGGGTGATTGGGTATTTTAAAGAAAGAATGAGGGAATAGGGAGAGGGAATGTCAGGGGTTTAGCAGAATTAGGGAAGTGAACAATTACAGTAAGTGGGAAGGGGGGTTGGTGCATGTGAAACCCATCTGGGTTTGCTAACTGGCACTTGTTGAAATGTGGCTCCTGCTCTCCCACAGAGATGGGGAAACAGAGGCCAAATCTCCAGGTATTGGCTAGAACAAACAGTAAGTGATTCTGGCAGTCTTATAATCACCAAAGTTCAGTTTTTACGAGTAACTCTGTGATTATAGTGATTCTATTTAGTTTCCAAATAAATGTATTTATTCATGTAATTAAAAAACATTGAGTATTAGCTATAAAAGCTTTAATTCCTCAAGGGGTCTTCAGATAGAGACTATTTTCTTTATCCCTGACTCTCCTGTCCCTACCACAGTGCCTTGAATATCAATAATCAATAATTCTTTGACATAGGTAAGTAAACATGTTTGATGCAGCTATGAGAGAAGGAAGCACAGGGAACACTCCTATGGATATGACAACATACGGTGTGCGATTTGGGAATCAAAATATTTTGGGTCTTGGTATTGTAGCAGACGTATATACTAGGCAGTTGAGAAAATAGGATTATAAAGGGCATTGAGGAAAAACAATTTCAAGGTTGATATTGTAGAAGACAGAAGGTGAAACCCTGTCTCTACTAAAAATACAAAAATTAGCCGGGCATGGTGGCGGGTGCATGTAATCCCAGCTACTCAGGAGGGTGAGGCAGGAGAATCGCTTGAACCCGGGAGATAGAGGTTGCAGTGAGCTGGTTGCACTCCAGTGTGGGTGAAAAAGCAAGACCCTGTCTCAAAAAAAAAAAATAAAATAAAATAAAAATAAAAAAATTTAAAAAAAGAATAAACCAGGTGGAGATGGGGAAAGGCATCAGAAGAAGAGGGGAGAAGATAACAGGAAGCACACTGTAGACAGCCTCTTATGACTTTGCCACATAAAATGTTATTTAAAATGTTCTCTACTTGAATTTAAGGAGTGCAGGTTGTTTCCTCAGGTATATGAGTGTATAAATATACTTTGCCTTCTTGATATTGATAAGCCATAATACTATAGATTGTCATTCAATAGCATTATATGAATCTACAAATAACTAACAAAGAAAAGTTTGAGCTGTGTGAGATTAAAACATTTGAAGATGACCTCTTATTTCCTAGATTGAAGTATTCTCTCATTCATCTTCAAAGGAAAATGTCGATTTTTGACGGTTAATCCATCATCCAGGTATAGTCAATGATTGTAATCAGAAGAGGCTTGGAACCCTTTTTAAAATTGTATACAAATAGGCCGGGCGCGGTGGCTCACGCCTGTAATCCCAGCACTTTGGGAGGCCGAGGCGGGCGGATCACGAGGTCAGGAGATCGAGACCATCCTGGCTAACAAGGTGAAACCCCGTCTCTACTAAAAATACAAAAAATTAGCCGGGCGTAGTGGCGGGCGCCTGTAGTCCCAGCTACTCGGGAGGCTGAGGCAGGAGAATGGCGTGAACCCGGGAGGCGGAGCTTGCAGTGAGCCGAGATCGCGCCACTGCACTCCAGCCTGGGCGACAGAGCGAGACTCCGTCTCAAAAAAAAAAAAAAAAATTGTATACAAATAGTGAAATGAATTTAAGAGATAGTATAAGATGTTTTGCAAAAGCTTCCACACCTATTTCAGCATCTCTGGCAAGTTAATAAATTCAAACCTGAAGCTGCAAAGAACTATAGGATCAGGAAATCCTTCACTATTAAAAGATCTTTTCTCTGGTAAATAATGCTTAACACATTAAACCAAAAATTTCATAATGAACATTTTCCTTTTTTCATGGCTTGGAGATAAATGGTGAGTTGACTTTTCACAGTGTATTTTAGCCATATATCAGTTCCTCTGACACTTTCCCTTCATACATGTATTTTACCTGTATTACTTGCCCCATACCCTCTCAATGCATTTGACACACTTAAACACTCTCGTCTTCAGTAAATGACATCATAGCCTCAGTAGCTCAGATCATCTTGAATCCTGTCTTCCTGTCACAGCCCCACATTCAAACCAGCAGGGCTTTTCTTGTTTATTTTCTGTCTGCTCTCCTTAAATGTAAGCTCTGAGGGAGTGGGGATATTTTCAGTCCTGATTATAAACAAATCCTCAGGACTAGACAGAGTCTAGACAGAGTAGGTATTAAACGCATATTTATCGAATGATTTAATAAAAACTTTAATAATATTTTAAATATTTTTGTATAAAATATTCATTGTCTTTGGTGATATTTTCTTTCAATATACTATTTTTAGGGGCAGTTCTAGGTTCCCAGCAAAATTGTAAAGAAAGTACAGAGACTTCTTCTATACTTACACTCCCTTCCTCCACAGATGCATAGCATCCCCACCAATATCAAATCCCCACCATTAGCTACAACTGATGAACACTGATACATCATTATCACCAAGAGTCCACAATTTACATTCCAGTTTCATCTTGGGTTTGCGCATGTATCCACCATTAGAGTATCATACAGAGGAGTTTCACTGCCTTAAGAATCGTCTGTGCTCCTCCTAATCATTCCTTCCTCTCCTGTAACCCCTGGCAACCACTAATCTTTTCACTGTCTCCATAGTTTTGCCTTTTCCAGAATGTCATATAGCTAGAATCATACATTATATAACCTTTTCAGATTGGTTTATTTCACTTAGTAATATTACTTCTTTCAGGGTTCCTCTACTTCTTTTTATGGCTTGATACTTCATTTCTTTTCATTGCTTAGTTTTGAAAGAAACTCTCATACTGTCTTTTAAAGTGACTCTACCATTTTGTATTCCCACTAGCAATGAAAGAGAGTTCCTGTTATTCTATGGCCTTGTCAGCATCTGGTGTTGTCAATTTTGGCCATTCTAATAGATGTGTAGTGGTATCTTGTTTTAATTTGCATTTCTCTGATAGCTATAATGTACAGTATTTGTTCATATGCTTATTTGCTATCTGCATATCTTCTTTGGTAAAGTATCTGTTAAGGTCTTTGGCCCATTTTTAAGTTGGATTGTTTTCTTATTGTTTGATATGGTTTGGCTGTGTTCCTCACCCAAATCTATCTTGAATTCCCATGTGTTGTGGGGAGGGACCTGGTGGGAGGTAATTGAATCATGTGGGCAAGTCTTTCGCTTGCTGTTCTCATGATAGTGAATAAGTCTCATGAGGTCTGATGGGTTTAAAAAGAGGAATTCACCTGCACAAGCTCTCTCTCTCTGCCTGCTGCCATCCATGTAAGATGTGACTTGCTCCTCCTTGCTTTCCACAATGATTGTGAAGCTTCCCCCACCATGTGGAACTGTAAGTTCAATTAAACCTCTTCCTTTTGTAAATTGCCCAGTCTCTGGTATGTCTTTATCAGCAGCATGAAAACAGACTAATACTGTAAATTTGTACCAGGAGTGTGTTGCTGCTGAAAAGATACCCAAAAATGTAGAAGCAACTTTGGAACTGGATAACAGGCAGAGGTCAGAACAGCTTGGAGGGCTCAGAAGAAGACAGAATAATGTGTCAAAGTTTCGAACTTCCTAGAGACTTGTTAAATGGCTTTGAACAAAATGCTGATAGTGATATGAACAATGAAATCCAGGCTGAAGTGGTGTCATATGGAGATGAGGAAATTGTTGGGAACTGGAGCAAAGGTGATGCTTGTTATGTTTTAGCAAAGAGACTGGCAGTATTTTGCTCCTGTCCTAGAGATTTGTGGAATTTTGAACTTGAGAGAGATGATTTAGGGAAGCTGGTGGAAGAAATTTCTAAGCAGCAAAGCATTCAGGATGTGACTTGGGTGCTGTTAAAGGCATTCAGTTTTAAAAAGGAAACAGAGCATAAGAGTTTGAAAAATTAGCAGCCTGACAATGCAATAAAAAAGAAAATCCCATTTTCTGAGGAGAAATCCTAGCTGGCTGCAGAAATTTGCATAAGTAACGAGGAGCTGAATGTTAATCACCAAGACAATGGGGAAAATGTCTCCAGGACATGCCAGAGGTCTTCACAACAGCCCCTCCCATCACAGGCCTGGAGGCCTCTGAGAAAAAAGTGGTTTCATGGGCTGAGCCCAGAGTCCCTCTGCTGTGTGCAGTCTAGGGACTTGGTGCCCTGCATCCCAGCTGCTCCAGCCATGACTAAAAGGGTCCAAGGTACAACTCAGGCTGTTGCTTCAGAGGGTAGAAGACCCAAGCCTTGGCAGCTTCCATGTGGTGTTGAGCCTGAGGGTGCACAGAAGTCAAGAATTGAGCTTATGGAACCTTAGTCTAAATTTCAGAAGATGTATGGAAATGCCTGGATGCCCAGGCAGAAGTTTGCTGCAGGGGTGGGACCCTCATGGAGAACCTCTGCTAGGGCAGTGCAGAAGGGAAATGTGGGTTTGGTGCTCCCATACAGAGTCCCTACTGGGGCACAACCTAGTGGAGCTGTGAGAAGAGGGCTGCCATCCTCCAGACCTCAGAATGGTAAATTCACCAGCAGCTTGCACTGTGCTCCTGGAAAAGCCACAGACACTCAATGCCAGCCCATGAAAGCAGCCAGGAGGGACAGCTGTACTCTGCAAAGCCACAGGAGTGGAGCTGCCCAAAACAATGGAAACCCAGCTCTTGCATCAGCATGACCTGGATGTGAGACATGGAGTCAAAGGAGATAATTTTGGAGTTTTAAGATTTGACTGACCTGCTGGATTTTGAACTTGCATGGGGCCTGTAGCCCCTTTGTTTTGGCCAATTTCTCCCATTTCCGATGGCTGTATTTATCCAATGCCTGTACCCCCATTGTGTCTGAGAAATAACTAACTTGCTTTTGATTTTACAAGCTCATAGGCAAAAAGGACTTGCCTTGTCTCAGATAAGATTTTGGACTCTTGACTTTTGAGTAAATTTTGCAATGAGTTAAGATTGGGGGACTGTTGGGAAGACATGATTGGTTTTGAAATATGAGGACATGAGATTTGGGAGGGGCCAGGGGCAGTATGATATGGTTTGGCTGTGTCCCCACCCACATCTCATCTTGAACTCACATCTGTTGTGGGAAGGACCCAATGGGAGGTAATTGAATTATGGGGGCAAGTCTTTCCCTTGTTGTTCTCATGATAGTGAATAAGTCTCACAAGATCTGATGGTATTAAAAAGAAGAATTCCCCTGCACAAGCTCTCTCTCTTTGCCTGCTGCCATCCATGTAAGATGTGACTTGCTCCTCCTTGCCTTCCACCATGATTGTGAGGATTCCCTAACCACTTGGAACTGTAAGTTCAATTAAACCAATTTGTTTTGTAAGTTGCCCAGTCTCAAGTATGTCTTTATCAGCAGTGCGAAAATGGACTAATACATTATTGATTAGGTGAGATTTTGAAATGTACAGAAAAGTGCAAAGAATGAAATGGTGGTCTCTGTAATGTTTGTATCCAGAGATAATCACTATTAATAATTTGATATATTTCTTCTAGAAATCTAAAAGTGAATGTTATATGCTTTCCAATAGATCCTTAAAAGATGAATTAGCACTGAAGGAGATTAATTTTTAAGGCTTTTAAGACACATTGAGATATTAATGTTTATAGAATTTTCTTTTTCCCTCACATAAAATTATATAATAAGTGTTTTCTCATCTGGCTAAAATTTGAAGATATCTTTTAAACAGGAACCCATTTGTTAAGGTGCAAATGGAATTTGCTGGTGAGTGTGCCACCCTGCATCTGCCACACATCACTGGCAAGGAATTGGCTTCCTTGGAGCCCAGCCAAACTTGTTGAAAGATGACCACTGAGTCTTTTGCACATCATTGACAACCACACTGTAGGAAAAGAATGAAGGCACACCAAAAACAGGAAGAGAAGCTCTTTCTTCTGTTGTGCCTTGCAGTGTCCCACTAGTGTCCAATACTGACAAATTCTAACATTATTCTAGCTGGCAAAGAAGAAATATTTACATACTCCATATCCAGAATTATAATGCAAGACAAAAAAGGGTAGAGATGGCATACCATTGTGAGAAACACGCTCACCCATTCAAACCCAAAGAATGGACTTAGAGGCACGAAGAACAGTGAAAGTGAGACTTTTAATAGCGGTCTTGCAAGATTGGGTGTTTGGTAGGCAGGCACACCCAGGGCAGTCACAACAGGTAATTTATCTCCTAGCATGCAAGTCCCTCCCCCAGTTCCTCATTGGTTGAGTACTATGGGGTTACAATCTTCCCGGATGTCTCCTAAGTTTCTTTATCCCCCTTATAAAGTTATACCCCAGCCTCCTTCCATGCTGAAATTTCAATTTCCCAACAACAAAACTTTCTTCCCTTTTATGGGCTGATCCCTACTCTACATTCTGTTCACTTATTGTGATCTTCTAGCTGCATGAGCCATGTGGTTTGTTACATTTGCAGGCTGGCTGCCAGTACTTAGATTTATCATGCCTTGAAAATGGACCATTTAAAATGTTTCATCACACCATCACACATAGTACTTTTTTAATGAATGTTCTTATTATGACTAGTGCATAGAATTTCCATGAAATTTTGCCTATCGATATCATATTTAGCAACTTTGATAAACTTTCTTATTAATTCTAGTTTGTATATCCTTCTGGTTTTCTATGCTATCGTATCACCTGTGAATAATAACAGGTGATATGTCTGTCTTTTGTTTTCTTCTTTATAATCCTTACACAGTTTTTTTCCTTTTAATTGCCTTCTTGAGCTGAACAGAACTTACAATACAATGTTAAATAGATGTGATAATAGTGGCATTCTTGACATATTCCTGAATTTGAAAGGAATGCTTGTAACGTTTCACTACTGAATATAATATTTGTTGAACTTTTTGTTCATATACGCTCTAGGTTTAATAAATGATATGGTTAGGCTTTGTGTCCCCACCCAAATCTCATCTTGAATTATAATCTCCATAATCTCCACATGTCAAGGGAGAGACCAGGTGGAGATAATTGGATCATGGAGGCCATTTCTTTCATGCTGTTATCATGATAGTAAGTGAGTTCTCATGAGAGCTGAAGGTTTTACAAATGTTTGGTAGTTCCTCCTGCATTCATTTCTCTCTCCTGCTGCCTTGAGAAGAAGGTGCCTGCCTCCCTTTCACCTTTTGTCATGATTGTAAGTTTCCTGAGGCCTCCCCAGCCATGTGGAACTATGAGTCAAACCTTTTTTCTTTATAAATTACCCAGTCTTAGATAGTATCTTTATAGCACTGTGAAAATGGACTAACACAGTTAATTGGTATCATGGAGAGTGGGGTACTGCTATAAAGATACCCTAAAATGTGGAAGCGACTTTGGAACTGGGTAACAGTCAGAAGTTGGAACAGTTTGGAGGGCTCAGAAGAAGATAGGAAAATGTGGGAAAGTTTGGAACTTCCTAGATACTTGTTGAATGGCTATGAATAAAATCCTGATAGAGATATGGTCAATGAAATCCAGGCTGAGGTGGTCTCAGATGGAGATGAGGAATTTCTTGGGAACTGGAGTAAAGGTCACCCTTACTATGTTTTAGCAAAGAAACTGGCAGCATTTTGCCCTGCCCTAGAGATCTGTGGAACTTTGATCTTGAGAGAGATGATTTAGGGTGTCTCACAGAAGAAATTTCTAAGCAGCAAAGTGTTCAACAGGTGACAGAATGTAAAAGTTTGGAAAATTTGCAGCCTGATCATGTCATAGAAAAGAAAAGCTATTTTCTAAGGAGAATTCAAGCTGGATGCAGAAATTTGCATAAGTAACCAGGAATCAAGACAATGGAGAAAATGTCTCCAGGGCGTGTCAGAGACCTTCATGGCAGCCCCTCCCACCGCAGGCCCAAAGGCCTAGGAGGGAAAAACGATTTTGTAGGCCAGGCCCAGGGCCCCCTGCTGTGTGCAGCCTCAGGACTTGGTGCCCTGCATCCAAGCTTGGTGGCCAGCTCCAACTGTGGCTAAAAAGGGCCAACGTATAGCTCAGGCCATTGCTTCAGGGGGTGCAAGCCCCAAGCCTTGACAGCTTCCATGTGGTGTTGGGCCTGCCAGTGCCCAGAAGTCACGAATTAAGGTTTTGGAACCTCTACCTAGATTTCAGAGGATGTATGGAATTGTCTGAATGACCAGGCAAAGTTTGCTGCAGGAGTAGAGACCTCATGGAGAACCTCTGCTAGTGTTACCGGTGGAGGGTCTTGACAACATGTTGTCCAGGTCCTTGGCATTTTGAACAAAGAATTGAACAAAATGCACAAAGTAACAAAGGAGTGAAACACAGGAATGAAACAGCAAAAACAGGAATTTACTAAAGTGAGAAAGCACTCCACAGGATGGGAACGGGCCTGATCAAGCAGCTCAAGGGCCCAGTTACAAAGTTTTCTGGGCTTTAAGTACTCTGAGGTTCTTGTCAGCTTCCCCCTATCTGGATGAAGGCTTTGGTCTGTGGCTAATTAAAGGCTGAGATGAATTTCACCTGTGGCCAATCCAAGGCACTTTCCCTTTCCATCTGAGACTTGGTGGAAGGGGAGGGCTGTAGGGAGAGTAGCCTTTGATCCTTTGTTACTCAGGTGTGGGGAGATGGGTTTTTCCTTTTGGTTTAACCTTAGGAAGTTTGTGTTAATTGGCTTTAGATTCCCTGCCGCCAGACCCAGGTGTTTTCCTTTTGATCCAGCTTTGGGAAGTCAGCAAAAATTGGAACGAGATTCCCTGCCCCCAGACCTTGGTGTTTTTCCTTGATTCAGCAAGTATTGGCCTTAAGTTCCCTTCCTTCAAACCCTATTCTCTTGCCTCACTAGGGCAGTGCAGAAGGGAAATGTGGGGTCAGAACCCCCACACAGAGGCCCCACTGGGGCACTGCCAAGTGGAGCTGTGAGAAGAGGGCCACTGTCCTCCAGACCCCAGATTGGTAGATCCACAGACAGCTTGCACTGTGTGCCTGGAAAAGCCACAGACGCTCAACGCCAGCCGGTGAAAGCAGCGGGGAGTGGAGCTGTACCCTGCAAAGCCACAGGGTGGAGCTGCCCAAAGCTGTAGGAGCCCATCTCTTGCATCAACGTGACCTGGATGTGAGACATGGAGTCAAAAGGGATATTTTGGAACTTTAAGATTTAATGACTGCCCAGACGGATTTTGGACTTACATGGGACTTGTAGCCCCTTTGTTTTGGCTAATTTCTCCCATTTGGAATGGTAACATTTACCCAATGCCTGTGTCCCCATTGTATCTAGGAAGTAACTAACTTGCTTTTGATTTTACAGGCTCCTACATAGAAGGGACTTGCCTTGTCTCAGATGAGACTTTGTACTTGGACTTTGGGGTTAATGCTGGAGTGAATTAAGACTTTGGGGGCTGTTGGGATGGCATGATTGATTTCTGAAATGTGAAAGGGACATGAAATTTGGGAGGGCCCAGGAGCGTATTGATATGGTTTGGCTTTGTATTCCCACCCGAATCTCATCTTGAATTATAATCCCCATAATCCCCACGTGTCAAGGGAGAGACCAGGTGGAGGTGATTGAATCATGCAGCGGGTTTCCCCCATGCTGCTCTCTTGATAGTGAGTTCCCACGAGATCTGATGGTTTTATAAGTGTTTGGTATTTCCTCCTGCATTCATTTCTCTCTCCTGCCACTTGTAAAGAAGGTGCTTGCCTCCCTTTCACCTTCCACCATTATGTCAAGTTTCCTGAGGCTTCCCCGGCCATGTGGAACTGTGAGTAAGTTAAACTTTTTTCCTTTATAAACCACCCACTCTCGGGTAGTATTTTTATAGCAGTGTGAAAATGGACTAATACAAGAAAGTTCTTCTCTATGAAATTCTCATTATTGGAGTGATTTTTTTAAGGCATACTTTCAAGAAGAACTTTATCAAAATTATAGTAAGCCTTTATTTAAGTTTTCTAAATTTGTGTTTATTAGAAGCAGAGCAGTTAATATTTCACATTCAATAATTTACAGTTTATGAAAATTTGAGCTATACAATAACCATTTGAGGTAGGAGAAGCCGTGGTAGAAATTGCTACTTGCTTTCTCTCGTTTTTCCATAATTAATTTTTTAAGCTGGAACATGGTCAAAGTAAAGATACGTTTTTCTTTGCAGTGAGTGTGGCTATGGTACTTTGTTCTGGTCAGTGGGATAGATGTTGAAGCGTCATGTAGCATTTGCACAGAAATCTTTAAGAGGTTGTTGATGTGTACTCTTTGACACTTCAATTTTTCATCTACTTTGCTGCTTGGAACATGGATAATACCATCTTAGGCCATGAGCATAAGAACTCCCCGTAGTAGAATGTCACAGCAATGAGCTTGAAAAAGCTGGTTCCCTGAGGACTCTGTGGAACAGAGTAACTGTGCCAGGTCATTTATGCACTTTTACATGAGAGAAAACTTCCTGTCTTCTTTAAGCCATTTTTGCTTGTACTTTCTCATTTTTGCTTATTTTTCTTTCCAAAAATGAACTATGAAAACATATATGTGATTTATATGTAGTCTATATATGTGGTGTATATATTACGTTAACACTTTATGTGACTACTTTGTTGAGTAGATTTACACTTAGACATAAATATTTTATATACTTATTAACATAAATTAAAAATTCCTAAATATGAAAGCAAATTAAAACAATTGAATATTGTATATTGAGTAAGTGGTATAACCAAACTGGGAAAGAATATTTCAGATAACTTCATAGCACAGCAGTTTGTCTGTGGATACACTGTGTGTTATACTCTGAGAACAAAAATAATTGCAAGGATATCTTAAAACATGTTCAGTAATCGGCCAGGTGCAGTGGCCCATGCCTGTAATCCCAGCACTTTAGGAGGCCAAGATGGGCAGATCACTTGAGGCCAGGTGTTTGAGACAAACTTGGCCAACATGGTGAAACCCTGTCTCTACTAAAAATACAAAAATTAGTCAGGTGTGATGGTGCACGTCTGTAATTGCAGCTACTCAGGAGGCTGAGGCACTAAAATTGCTTGAACCCAGGAGGCCGAGGTTGCAGTGAGCCGAGATCATGCCACTGCACTCCAGCCTGGGTGATACAGACTCTGTCACCAAAAAAACAAAAAAAAAAATCAATAATCTATTGTTGGTCATGTTGGTATTGTTATAGATGGGGGTGTATGTAATTGCGGGATAAACTTAATGGGTTATATATTTTGGTATTGATTAGAATGAGAATTTTTCTTTCCATGGAATAATAAAACATAAGATTTAAGTGAAATACCTTGTAGTCCTAACTTGACTGGAGTTAAAAATATAAATTCATGATGTGCTTTATGTTAAAGAGAAGTGTCATGTAGTTCTGTTCACTGAAAAGTCCTGAAAGAGTAACTAACACAGTAATATTGAACACCTGTAGTGCTAAAAGGCTTCTAAATTTACTTTTCCTTTAAAAGTTACCAAAGTTTCTTGAAAAATGGTTGATTCCAGCTCTGGGGCAGAAAATATACAAGATAAGATGTCTTATGACTTTGGAAAGCAAGATAGTACTACTATCAAATACTACTAGGGTCATATCAAAAAGAAGCCCAAACCGACCTGAAGATGGTACATCTGGCCAAAATGGTGCAATCAATAGAATTATAGTTGCAATATATTAAAGCACGTAAAATGTTTATGTCCTAAAGCTCATAATACCAAAAGACAAAACGAAACTTAAAGATCACCTTTAGAAGTAGTTTGCAGAATAACTTTATTTGAAGAGAGCGAATAAAGGGAAAGGAGTATTGATCTACTTATATTGCCCTTTCTGTATGAAATATTCCTCAAGGTAACCACACAGTTAATAAAGAGAAATGTTTCTTTATAAAAGTATCCCAGCTAATGATTGTGGAAGAAACTAGATAATTAGCATCTTACCATTTTGCCAGCCCAGGTGAATTAGTAGATCTAGGTAACGGTTATTAGTAGCTAGCATCACACAAAGAGATATCCAGACATATATGCACCATCACCTATGAAATATCCTTGTAGAGGCTTAAAGTTTAATCTAAATCAAGTTATTTATCTAATTTCTGATGTATAGAAAGGAAATATAGGGGACAGAGAAACATGTTGAATATCATAGGGATGTAGTCAGCAAAATCCAGACTGGGAAACTCTGCAGGACAACCATCTGGTTTTTTCAAAAAAGAATTAAAAGATAGAATGATAACAGGAGAACCTATAAATTAAAAGCACCTGAAAAAATATATCCACCAATCACAAGGTATAGACCTTATTTAGATCTTTCCCTAAAAAATTAGCTAATCAGGGAAATTTGAACACTGATTGGACATCTTGGAATATTAAGAAATTAAGGTTAATATTTTTAGGTGTGATAATGATATTGTGGTTTAGTTTTTTAACAGACCTACTTTTTAGAGATTCATACTATTTACAGATGAAATAATATGATGTCTGGAATTTGCTTAAAAATCATCTGAAAGTAGGAGAAGGAGTAAGCTGGGGTAGAGATAAAGCAAGACTGTCCAAGAGTTAATAGTTGAGGAAATGGGATGATCCTTTACGATTAAATGTTAAACTACATTCTACTTCTGAAGAACTTTTCTTTAAAAATGTAAAAAAACAAAAAATACTGATGGACCCCTCCCTAAATTCCAGTTTTAAAAGCCTGAGGTGGTGGTAGATGCTTGATGAAACCAAATCTCATTTAGTTGAAATTAAGCAGGAAAACAAGAGGTACAGTTTCAGATGGGCAGAGCAGATTGAAAAGTACTTGTGTGATAACCAGAGAAAGAGAACTGGAAGGAGGTCAGGAGAAAGGGATGCTAGACCCGGCCTTGCTTCTAGGGAGTGGATGAAACTAGACAAGTCACTTCATCTCTATGGGCCTGTATTTCGTCTGTAAACTGAGGGTGTAGAATATTTAATTTCTAACATTCTTTCCAGGTTTTACAGTGAGTGAGAGAGGGGCAATTGTTAAGTACATTGAGGTACCCAATATTACACCATTATAGCATTTTCTTAATTTTTTCCAACCAAATAATTCATTTGGCCTTTAGAATAAATGTATTTGCTTCTCGGTGGAACCTGACTCAACTCCCTTATTCCCATGGTTGTTCCCCTGTAGCTGCTCACACTGTGGGGTCCAGCTAGCAGGATCTGACTGGTCCTTCAGCACGGTCCTTCTGCTCTTTTATTGCACAAACACCTAACAAGTCATATTATAGTTCACAAAAATAAAAAAATTTATTATGTGGAGTTATACAAACATAAATTCCATACAATGAGGTAAATGTGTAAAATGTATAAGGCATGGACATTTGGAACAGTGGGAGGTATCGGAGGTCTGTCCACAGAGATGTGACAAGATCATTTTGGTATTTTTGAAATCTCTTTGTGGCAATAGTGTAAAGTGATACAAGTTCAGACAGGTAGCCCAGCTTGGTGATAAGAGAATGGGTCCCTGAGTGCTACTGTGTTTGAAAACTGACTCTGCTGCTTATTAGCTGTGTGACTGGTGTGTGTTGTTATGTAACTCCTCTGTGCCTCAAGCCCCCCATCTGAAAAGGGGAGATCATTGTAGTAGCCTTTCCACAGGGCTCTTTTGAGTATTAAATAAACTGATAAAAAGCACTTAGAATAGTGCCAGAGTAGGACATGGTGGCTCATGCCTGTAATCCCAGCACTTTGGGAGGCTGAAGCAGGTAGGTCACTTGACTCCAGCAGTTCAAAACCAACCTGTGCCAACATAATGAGACCCACACTTGACCCATCTACCAAAACAAACAAACAAAAAAACCCCACCAAATTAGCTAGGCATGATGGTGCACACTTGTAGTCCCAGCTACTTGGGAGAGAGGCTGAGGTGGGAGGATCACTTGAGCCCATGAGTTCAAGGCTGTAGTAAGCCATAATGGTGCCACTGCACTCCAATCTGGGTGACAGACCCCATATCCCAAAACAAAAAAAACAAAAAAAAAAAACCAACAAATAGTGCCTGTCTCAGAGGAAGCACTATATTATTATATAGTGTATAATAATTATTATTCATGGCAAAAAATACTTCTAGTGTAATTTTGAGGATGATAATTTTGTTATGATTCTGCTACATATAACACAAGAATTATAGGAGGAGAGCATACAATATACCTTCCTCATTTATGAAAAGGTATAAAATAGAATGCAAGGCAAAGAAAACAATTCTGAGGAAACTTTTTTTAAATGGAGACAATTATAAAAATATGCCTGGAGGGAATTCACATTAGGATGAAAATTATGAGTTATTTAATTTGACACATTTTTATCAAATGTCTTGAACTAGAAGTCATAGTTAAATGTACCCATGATGAAATCTTGTCATCTGAAAATACACAGAAATATAATAGTAAAAAATACATTTTTTCATTTTCAAAAACAGATGTCCTGAGTTTTGAAATTATTTGTACCAATATATTACTTGAGAATATTAACATTGTCCACTCCTTACATGAAGAGAAATCTGTTTCACTAAAAGAATTGTGGCTTCCTTGGTTTGTATGTGTGAGGGCACTCTCAGATGGCCAGATCTTAAAAACATGAGACACATCTTCTCTGAGGAGGTTCAATCTTGCCCTAATTAAATAGTGGTCACCACAGGCTCAGCCAATCATAACAAACACATGTGGCAAAATACTTGGCTATGGAGAAAAAACATATTTCTGGGAGACCCTGTGGACCTCTTGGGATCATAGAAGAGGCATTTTAGAGGAAAGCAAATATTCTTTGGCTCTTACTGGGTAACTGAAGCCTTAATTATATTAAATAAATCAGTGGTTGGATTGTTGGTGGTGAAAACTGTTAGTGTCTTTGGCCCTACACTTGAAGAATGTTTTTTATTTTTCTTTTAGAGTAACAGCTCACAGACATATATAATTCACTTCTTATAGGATGATAACAAAAACATATAGCCACCTATTCATGAAGGCAAATATGAAGGAAAAAGCCATTCCCCTCATCTGTACTTAGATAACTTACACTTTCTGTTTTTTCTTTTTTTAAAATCAAATTGTAAAAAAAATTTCATAAAGCATAGGGAAAATAAGGTTAGCATTTTATTGAATATTTGAAACAAGGACTTCCATCAAGAAGGCGTCCCTTATCCCTGTATGATTTCTTAGCTTAACAACCTTAATGAATTTTAATGAATTTTAATTTTGTGGAAAATTCAAGCTCCCTCTTCCACTCCTTCCATGATCTCCATGGTCATCTAGAGGATGTCAGCACATTGAGGAACATTTTGTACTTTATTACTGAAGAGGAAGATGATTTAAAAATTACACATGAGCTTGTATCCTGTGATTTTTGTTTTGCCAAACAAGACTCTTGCAGGAGCTCATAGAGCGTGGTGTAATTTGTAGATGCTGGGGAAAGTCTCTGGGTCATGAAGGATGTTATTCCTTTAATAACATTCCTTATTACAATACATATATCACACAAAGAATGGGTAGAGTTATTGACTTGCCTTGTATTTAGGATGAGTCTAACAGCAAAGTAGTTATGAAAATATTTAATAGGACCCTGAGAAGGAGTCGCAGGAGGAAAATGCTGGAAGTCAATGGATGGTGATGATGATATATAGTCGCTGATAGGGAATGAGGACTTACCATATGTTAAAAATATCAGTGGAATATCACAGTTGAGTCCAGAGCCCAGATGAGTTTCTGTGTTCCTTTCTACTTCTTGCCTGCCTCTTGTTTTGCTGTCTACCCTTCCCCCCTCCACTTCTCCATTTGTATCACAACTCATTTTGTTCCCTCCTGCCACACACATTGACTCACCTGTGTGTCAGTCACACATTGCCTGTGAATGAGATGAATGTCCTGCCTGCCATTGCTGCTAATCTAAGTGTTCACGTCTTCCTCGCGCTGTGGTTGTACAGGCCCATGTTAAGGATGACCTGAGTTTGTGAGCCGTCTTCTAGGTCTCAATCAATTCATCTTGTTTCCTTTTTTTTTTTTTTTTTTTTTTTTTGAGACGGAGTCTCACTCTGTTGCCCAGGCTGGAGTGCCGTGGTGCGATCTCGGCTCACTGCAAGCTCCACCTCCTGGGTTCATGCCATTCTCCTGCCTCAGCCTCTCAAGTAGCTGGGACTACAGGCACCTGCCACCACGCCCAGCTAATTTTTTGTATTTTTAGTAGAGACGGGGTTTCATCGTGTTAGCCAGGATGGTCTCGATCTCCTGACCTGGTGATCCACCTGCCTCGGCCTCCCAAAGTGCTGGGATTACAGGCTTGAGCACTTGTTTCCTTTTAAGCTGTGTAAACTTCCTGGCCCAGAAAGCTGGGAAATAGATGCCATTGCTCATAGTGGCCTCATGATGATGATGATGATGATATAGTAGCTGATAAGGTAATGAGGACTTACTATGTGTCATGAACTCTAAGTTATTTGAATGTACTACGTTTTAACCCTCAAAATTGGTCTTATGAGTTTAGGAACTATTATTCTCATTTTATAGATGAAGGAATTAAGATTCCTTCTACATGAAGATCAAGGAACTTGCCCAGAGCACAGAGGAGGTAAGGGATGGGCTGGAATTTGAGCCCAGTCTGTGCGGTTCTGGAGCTCATGCTTTCAAATGATTCCCTCTATTTGACTTTCACCTCCAGGTACTCAGCTCAAATGTCTGAAGAATATCAGAAGTTATAGACTTTTCTACGCAACTTGGTTGAAGATAGTCTTGTTTCTGCCTTTTTCTATCTGCCCTTCTTAAGGAACCCTCAACATCACTTGCAGATTATTGGGGTCCATTGTTGCTTTCTGTTGACCTTAGCCACTCATAGGTTCTGTTGCTCTGGAGGACATCTGGGACCTGAGGAGTCATTCCATGGAGGCTTCTTCTGGGAGTTGCTTGTATATCTCCTCATTGGGAATGACTCACCCAACCCTAGGGTGAGAGGGTGTCAGGAATAAGAGATGTGATGCCTGCCCAATGAGTCACACACTTTTCTCCTCCGGAACTCCTCTTGTCTTGCTTCTGCCTAGACCTCACACACTCTGCTTCTTCGCTTAGAGTGATTCAATTCTGTTGTTCTTTCAACCCTGCTCAAAAGTAGGTAGATGTCTCAATGGAACTGTTTGTCTTGAATTTTCACTTTCACGAAAGGTCGAGGTGCTTCATACAAACCAAGAACCCATATACAAAACAAACAGTGCCTTTTCTAATAATCATCATGCATTCTCAACACTTCTTATATGTTTTCTGTCCAAGCAGACAGATCATGTTCATGTTTCTATATTCTCTATATGTAGTTGTAGGTGGTGGGACTAGAGGTCTCCACTAGAGTAGAGCAGGACAGAAGTCACCTTGGAATCGCTGAGCATAGCTCCCTTAGTTCTGAGGGCTCTTGTGTTTTGAGGATTTATTAAAATTTGGTAGTTCAACTCTGAGGGGTAGCAAACGTTACATCTAATGCCAACCAATTCTCCTGGAGTGTTACGTTCAGGCATGTGACTGTGTAGGTGAACTGTCTAAGTGAACTCATTGATAGCGGCTATATCAAGAGTGAGTACTCAGATCCAATAATGAGAAAAGGTCCATAATGCTGGAGATATTCTTTTCCTAAAGCATCATGGGAAGAGAGCTCTGTCCTGGTACTCATAGCAGCAGCTGAGGCATAGGATTCTGTCTTTACCATTGGGCTCCAGACTCAAAATATGTGAACAGCTTTGCTGGTGAGTAAAATATTTTTCTTTCCGGCATCTTCCTTCCATGCTGGATTGCCTTATGTGTTATGAAAAGGCAACTCCATTGCTGTCATATATCCTAGATCTACCACAGCCAGAGTTTCCACAACTTTATAGGGAAACTGGAAATAAAGAACTTTCAACATAGGATCCTGGCCAGCTTGGCTGGGAGCCCCTCCACTGAGCATAACACTGGGCTGTAGGTAGCCTACCATAAAGAGATTGGCTTCTGTAGATGACTATGCTATTCCAATGGCTGTGGCTTTTATCAGGGTTGGGGGCTTTGCATGGCTTTCTAAACTTTAAGATGTGATTCACAAAGGCTAATTTCTAATAAAAACCGGTGACCCTCTGCCGTCATTGTGTATATCAAGAGAGATCTAAGAAGGACTGATTTCTGTCTTTCACACTCTTTTAAGCATTTGTGGAATCTCTGGAGATAGGAGCCTAGAGCGTGATGGACTGGCTTTGTAGAAAACCTGCTGTTGCCACAGGTATAGGCTCAAGCATTTGCATTTTGTGAATAGATAAGAAGCAGCTAGGATGAACAGACACCCCAGATACTATATGTTTACAGCCGTATGTATGCATGTGACTGTGCACATATTTATGTATATGTTGGGAGGGGGAGAAAGGATACTTGGAATATTAACATATCCTAGATATGAAAAATAGAGTAGATATCAGGCTAAGGTTTAAAAGTATATATATAACTGATTTTCTATAAATACAGAACAGCTATTAGAATAAATTCAAAGTCCTAGTTAAAACTCTAACTCATGAACACCCTGTGTTGGCACAACATCAGAATCATGATTCAGCAAAAACACAAAGTGCATCAAAATTTCAGACATGAAATCTCATAAGTATGTTACATATCTTCTTTCCTTTGTTTCAAATTGCTAAATGTGAAACACTGCCCTACATGCGGACATGTTGGTACTAGTCAAAGGAACACTAGCTGCTGTAACAAATGAGTCCCCAAATCTCAGTGGCTTATAATAAAACTTATTTCTAGCTTATGAACACACTATTGCAATTCCTGGTAGATGAAGTAACCAACCATCCTGGGTTGCCCAGAATGGAGGGGTATCCTGGAATACAAGATTTTCAGTGTTAAGACTGGAGAAGTTCTGGGTAAACCAGGACAACTTGGTCATCCTACTGGTCAAACAACATTTTTTGAAACTGGGACCCAGGTACTTGGCTTTTTCCCATCTTATGACTTCAACCACTTTATCACTTGACTTCCAAGGCTCCCCTGAGGGCTGTATTCGTTCCCATCCAGCTAGAAACAGAAAAGAACATGGAAGATATCATGGAAGCTTTTCTGGCCAGTGCTGGAAGTGGCATATATCACTTCTTCCCTTATTCAATTGGCTAGAGTCAGACACATGGAAACGCTTAGCTACAAGAGTGACTAGGAATGGCAGTCTTCTTTTCAGAAAGGCCTTATTTAATGATCAGTGAGTAGTCTTTGGTATATCAACATATATAGATTGTGTTGAATATACAGAAATAGATGGCAAACAGTGATTTGGTAACATGCAATCTAATATTTTCCCCAAAGATTTTTGTTCTCTGATCATTCCTTTCAAAATTGCTTGCACATTCTTAGGAATTATTTTTATAGCCATTTAGCAGTTTATTTCTTCCACTGAGTCTTTCCCAACAGGAACTATTTCTTAAAAATCAGGGAGTACTCAGTCTTCATCAGGAAGATGTGGAATGGGGTTGTTCTTACCCACTGCTTGGCAGAGAAGACATTCCGCTTAACTGTGCTATCTGCTTGCCAAGGTTACCACATCAGGAAGGTCAGAGAGCCTGTTCCAGGGATGTGTGCTGAAGTTTGTAGCAGTTGGGTAGGCATCAGCCTTTCAACCCAGACAAGAGCAGGAAAATGGAGTGCTCCTGAGAGTTATTTTTCAGAAAAGGAGCAGGTTCGAATACCTGATATGATGAAACATTTGAGAAAATTGAGCATTATTATCAGGAACATATTACAAGACACAAAAGGCCTTCTCAAAAAAGGCTCTATAAGAAAGTATGTGTAATCATAATAAACTTCTTGGCTTTTAGGTGAACGACGTATAAGTAAAATAACAACATAAACACAAATGATAAAATTACATTGGATACATGGCAAAAGGAGTTTGGGCCTGATGTAAAAAACAAAAAGGTCATATCCTTATAACAGAAATACAGATAGTGTCTAAAACTGATAAATCAGGGAATAGAAGTGTAGGCATGTTTATTTGAGATAATTACTATAAAACTTAGAAAAAGTTAAAAGTAGTTTGAAGGGGAGATGAACCAAGGGATGAGGAAAGTGGGGCTGGAAACAATTGTTCTTATAACCCATTCAATGCTGTTTTATAAAAAGTGACTAAGTGTATTGTTAAAAATAAATGTTTATATACATGGACATAAAGATGGAAACAATAGACACTGAGGATTCCAAAACAAGAGAGGTGGAGCATGGGCTGAAAAACTTCCTATTGGGTACTATGTTTACTATCTTGGTGATGGGATCAATAGAGGCCCAAAGCTCAGCATCATGCAGTATATCCTTATAACAATGTACCCCTTAAATCTAAAATTTAAATTAAAAAACAGGTGTTTATTTTTAGAAGGGTAGTGCATCCTTTGGATTTCCATAAACATATACCAATAAATAGAAAATATTGTTGAGGTTCCACAAAATTCCACAATATTTGCAAGGAAGCAAAAACAATAAAGATAAACAAGATCATGTGTGAATGCTACATAGAGTAAGACTGGGTGGCTTAGTATCAGGGCGTATATGAAATTGTACACATTACACCAACAGTAAGTACAGAGTGAAATTTATGGATTTTCAGCTAAAGCATTTTTTTTTCTGGATTGGGAACTACTGAGATAAAGGAGAGATACTACAGGAATATACCTCAGGCATGTAATTAAACAAAAAGTAGAAAACAGAATTAATGTGGAAAAACTCAAGATGGTGCAGCGAGAGAAAAATTAAAAGATGAAGTCATGATTCCTGGCATGTTAGTTAAGATAATGCTAGCTGCTGTAACAAACGCTTAATGTAAAATGAGTCGAACATCATCATAGGAGTTTGTTCTTAGCATCTAAGATGTCCAGAGAGTGGTGATTTGGGGGCTCTAGGCTCTTTCCATCCCATGGATGTAGTGTCTTCAACACATACCTAACAAAGCAGCATACCCACCTGCATCCAGCCAGTAGGTGGGTTAAGAGCATGGAGGGTCATATGGGGATTTCTACCAGCCAAGCCTGAAACTGCTATGTCTCACTTTTACCTACATTGCATTGGCTGGAATTCAGTTATATGGTATGATGATTAATTTTATGTGTCAACTTGACTGGGCCACAGGATGCCTAGGTATCTGGTCAAACATCATTCTGGATGTTTCTATGAAGATGGTTTGGATGAGATTAACATTTAAGTGGGTAGACTTAGTAAAGCAGATTGTCCTCCATGGAGTGTGTGTGTGTGTGTGTGTGTGTGTGTGTGTGTGTGTGTCTTTCAGTCAGCTGAAGGCCTGAATAGAATGAATGACTGACCCTCCCCTTACTGAGAGAGAATTCTCCTGCCTGCCAGCCTTTGAACTGAAACATTGGCTCTCCCAGACTTGTGGTTTTTGACCTGGGATGTTGACTCTTCCTGGTTCTACAGCAGTTTGTTGGCCTACCAGTCTTCATAATTATGTGAGTCAATTCCTTACAATAAATCTCCTTAGGCATAGTCTTCTATTGGTCTGTTTCTCTGGAGAACCCTAATACATATGGTTACATGTAACTCTAACAGAGGCTGTGGAGAATAGTCTTTGTGTCCAGGAAGAAGAGGAATGGGATTAGAGAATAGCTAGCCTATCTCTGCTGTTCCTAGGGAAGCCAGACCCTGGGAGTCAGGCTTTCAACCTTAAAAAAGATTCTAGTATACAAATTTGGCATTGGAGCAGTGAAGTCATCTGCCATTGGGGACCATGCTTTCATGAAAAATTATTTACCAGCAGTGACATATGTAGACTGATCACCAAAGGGACTTCCCTAATGCTCTGGACATGACATATAAAACTCCTAAGAGCTTTGCAAAGGTAATAGCAATAATGACTCAGTTTGACTTTTCCTGACTCAGAGGGAAGGAAGATTAAATCTGATTTAGAGAATGTTTTAGCTTCTGCTTCCCAGCAAACAACCACAAAATGTCAGTGGCATGTCACACTGACTTTTCTCTATTCCACGTTGACAGGTAGGCTGAAAGGGGTTGTCTGATCCAGGCTGGGCTTGGCTCTGTGCTACAGGTTGGATATGGATCTGCTGTTTGTGTATCTCATCATTCTTGGACCAGTAGCATGTTCTTCTCATGGCTAAAGGCAGGAGTAAGGCAAGATAGGGAAGGCAGAACAGCTTGGGTAAATTGGTAGATGGCGATGTCATTCCCTAAAATAGGGAGAAAAGGAGGTAGATATGGGAAAGGTAGGAAACAGATGATAAGCTAAATTTTGAATCTGTTTGAGGTTTGAGACATCCAAATAGAGACATGCCTTGTAATGAAAACACAGAGAGCACACTATATTCTTGTAAGTTACAAAACCAGTCTGTTCTCCACGCATTTCAGTTCTAGTTTCCCTCTCCCATGTACACTTCACACCAGAAAGTGTTTTCCTGGAAGGCCAAGAGATAGGCCATGATCAAAGGATCAGGTGTTAGGCACCAGGTGTTTTCCATGTGGATATAATTGGAAATTTATTATTAAAACATGGAAAAAACATACAACCCAAGCCTATAGTAACTAGGTAAGATGAAGTTTGGCTTTTTAAATATTCACATGATAGTTCTAGGTGAATTGAAATCTCAAAACTTGAAAAAAGTAGGCTTAAGACAGAAAAGTATTCTTTCCCCAGAAGATGGTTGATTTACAGACCTGAAGTTGCAAGATAAAATACAGGATGCTCAGTTAAATGAACTATAGGTTTAATAATGATTACATTTTTAGTATGTTGCAAATATTGCCTGGTCCATAGTAAATATTTCTTACTTATCTCAAATTTATTTATTCTATTTATTTGTTTCTTTTACTTTTTAGAGACAGAGTCTCACTCTATAACCTAAGATAGAGTGCAGTGGCCTGATCATGACCCAACCTTCTGGGCTCAAACCATTCTCCTGCCTCAGCCTCTTGAGTAGCTGGGAGTACAGGCATGTGCCACTATGCCCAGCTAATTTTTATTTTTTGTAGAGGTAGGGTCTCACTGTATTACACAGGCTGGTCTCAAACTCCTGGCCTTAAGCAATTCTCCTGCCTTGGCCTCCCAAAGTGCTGGGATTACAGACATGAGCCACCACACCCAGGCTGCTTATCTGAAATTTGAACTGAGTGCCTGACATTTCTATTTTTTATGTTTGGCAACCCTATATAGACATCATTACTTCAAAACAAATATTAAGCTGAAAATATAAAATTTAGTGGCTGCATTAGTTTCCTTTGGTGCTGCAACAAATTACCACAAACTTAGTGCCTTAAAACAATACAAATTTATTGTATTACAGTTCTGGAGGTAAGAAGTCTGAAATGGGTTTCACCTGGGTAAAATCAAGGTGTTACCAGGTGTGCACACCTTCTGAAGGCTCTAGGGGAGCATCTGTCCCTTGTCTTTTCCAGCTTCTAGAAGCCCTCTGCATTCCTTTGCTCACAGCCCCTCTATCTTCTAAGCCACCAATATTTCATCTTCCAGTTCCTGCTTCTGACCCATCTCCCTCATAAGAACCTTGTGATTACAGTGAACCCACCTGAATCACCCAGGGTAATCTCTCAATCTCATGATCCTTAATCACCTCTGCAAAGTTCCTTTTGCCACATAAAGAACATATTCACAGGTTCCAGGGATTAGGACATGAGCATCTTTGCAGGGCCATTGCTCTGCCTACCACAGCAGCTTTCCAAAAATATTAGACTCATGGATGTGAAATCTGTAACGAGCTAACTTTTGCTATCCTGTGTGATATGTCACTCTCAGTTTTCTGAGACTTTTCATCAGTTCTTTTTTTTTCTGCGAGGCTGAAAACAGGATTCTGTAAAGTAGCTGGTATACTAGCTCTGCAGTAACATACTTCAATCCTGTCAAGGCTGTGAGGAAATACAGCTATACCAGGGTACGAGACTGTCTTGAGTTATAACTTGGCAACAAAGGGGATGGGATGGAAGATGGGGTTGTTAAACAGCACCTTACTTTAAAGATGTCCAGAAGCTCCCTCTAGGATGTGGCCAAAGCCATGGGTGTTAAAAAGTACAGAAATGTGTCTAGAAGGAATTTTGAAGAATAATTCTTATTTTTAATTAACCTCTAAAGCAGCAGCATTGAGGAAAACTGTGGACAGAGTGATTAAAAGGCTGAGTTGATTTTGAAGAATAATTATCTTAGTTTTACTTAACCTTTAAAGAAGAAGCATCAAGGAAGAATGTAGACAAAGTAAAAGACTGAGTCAGAATGATGCCAAAGCAACTGCTGAATCTCATCATTTCAAACAACTGGACAATTTCTCCAGTTGGCTGAAAATACATCAAATTAATGGTGTCAGAAAAAGAAAAACATGATTACTTGCTTTTACTTTTCAATTGATTATGAGCATATAAAAGTTTTTAGAAATTATCTGGCACAGTACCTATTATGTTCTTGGATCTGTGCCTGACAATTTTACCTAATTATTTTTTTACTCCTTCATAAAAATCCTCACAGCAGGTATCCTATTCACTATTTTACACGAGCAGAAACCGAGGAGCAGAGAGATGAGCTTGTCTGTCCAAGGGGCAACAGCTTAATGTCAGAGTCAGAATTTAGATGCTGGTTTGTCCTAAACCCAAGACATTTTCATTCTCTGTGTCAAGTTTCTAAGATTTTGTCTTAGACATTGTTTGAAAAGCTATAAAAAGAGAATGTTGAAATGCCGATTAGAGAGGTTTTAATCGTTCTTTATTCCTCTATGGGGGAAGAGTCCTGTTGGTCATGTATAAATTTTCTTTAGCTGTATGGAAACAACCAGGTAGCAATTATTTAATAAGGATAATTATGTCCCTCTTTAGAGAAGTACATCCACCTTGTTTTCCATCCCCTCATTGCCCCATGTAGCTTAATGTTTGTTTTGTAAGGCTATAGTGAGGTAATACATTCTGAATGTTGAGGCATATTTTGGTTTTCTTTGGAGGAGACATTAATTTCTGGCCCTTCTTAATGTTCCTCTTTTGTTCTTTGTACAGTGAAGCACCAAGAGAGTTTCTATTTTTTTCCACAGAATTTTTACTGTCTTGAGGCATTCAGGGATTGGAAACCCAAAACACTGGTGAGCCAGTGACAGGCGTCGGCCCATGGTCGGACCCAACCCAATGACATAAGCTGAGACAATCTCACTCAGCCAGATTTGGTTTCTTTACTACGCTCTGCTGCAAATGTTTTTCTGAACACACCCAAATCCCAAGGATTTTCATCTTCTCTGGGCTCCGCAACATCCGCTGTGTCAAACAACAAGTTATTACAGAACAAACCCAGTCTAGGTTTCCAGTAGGATTCTTACTGGGGACACCATTCTTCCTTGCAACAGAATACCTAGAGGCAATGAGCTTCAAAGTCGTCCTTGATGAGCTTACTGGTCAAAGATGTTTGAAATCATTAGTTTCTGTTGAAGCATCCAGAGAAATGGAAACAGACCCAATGTTCTCTGACTTTGACCACTGCAAGGATCCTTTAGCAGCAAATGACTTAATGGAAATACATGGAGTGTTTTAAAAGCAAACTCAGTGATTTCTTTCACATTCTTGACTGCATTTTCTTTGATAAATAGCTGCATAATTTGTTGGCAAGGAGGGAATGCACGTTTGCAATGTAAGCATCTATTGACATGGAAAGAAGCATGATGTGGGCAAGTCAGGCAAACCTGAGTTTCAGTCTTAGCTCACCACTTACTAGCGGTGTCACCTAGGTAAATGTAACTGCCAGAGTCTTAGCTTTCTCAGTGGTAGAATGGTTAGTAATACCCATAGGATGCTACTATGAGTATTACAGGAAAGGGGTCTCGATCCAGTTCCCAAAAGAGGGTTCTTGGATCTCACATAAGAAAGAATTCAGGGCGAGTCCATAGAGTAAAGGGAAAGCAAGTTTATTAAGAAGGTAGAGGAATAAAAGAATGGCTACTCCATAGACAGAGCTGCTGGTTGCCCATTTTTATGGTTATTTCTTGATGCTATGCTAAACAAGGGGGGAATTATTCATGCCTCCCCTTTTTAGACCATATAGAGTAACTTCCTGATGTTGCCATGGCACTTGTAAACTGTCATGGCACTGGTGGGAGTGTAGCAAAACTATCATCACCATCTTGGTTTTGTTGGGTTTTAGCGGCTTCTTTACTGCAACCTGTTTTATCAGCAAGGTCTTTATGACCTGTATCTTGTGCTGACCTCCTATCTTATCCTGTGACTTAGAAGGTTTTAGCCATTTGGGAATGCAGCCTAGCAGATCTCAGCCTCATTTTACCTAGCCCCTATTCAAGACGGAGTTGCTCTGTTCACACGCTTCTGACATTTCCCCCTCCCTTTTTATAAAAGAACCCTTAATCCTAAGAATTGCAGAAGGATGAAGATTCATCTTCTGTAACTTCTTCAGGCTGAATAGGAGCGATGATATTCCTGCCGAACTATGAGGGTTTCTTGTGTTCAGGGTAGAGAGAAGCTCAGTCAGAAAGCATCTGTATGGTGAGGGCCATTCATAACTCCAAGTTTCAGCAAAGGCTGATATCTGGAAGAATAATAAGTGTTCAGTTTAAGAAAACAGTAAGCTTATCCTGCATTGCTACACAAAGAGTACAATACAACAGCAATATATTCCACAACAGTAAAGCAAAATAAGTAAACTTATTCCAAGTAAACTAAATTAGAAAGCTTTCCATGAACTGGGCAACTGTGGGAACCAAGCTGATAATGGGGTCACTAGCTGATTGCAGTGTGTCCAGAATTAGAATATTGATGCAGATTTTTACATTACCCATTTCTCTTGTTTCTTCTAAGCAGCAGTCAGAGATCATGGTTAGTTCACAGGAAGAAGCAAGGCTAGTCTAAAATGCAGAAACAAACTTAAAAAACAACTGAGACTAGAATTTAATAATAAGTGTGCCATAGTTCTTGAAACATGTTTCTCCAGTTTTCCATTTATACTAAAGAAAAATTATGGTAAGACCAATTTGCTTTATTGTACTTTGCCTAATTATTTGTATAAAGTGCAGCAAGAATAATTATTTGCCATGTAAGCTTTTTAAATTGGTTTTGGTGTGGAACTCTGTTCCATAAGGAATCTCAAATAAGACTTTTTTTTAAAGCTGAGCCCAGCCTTGGGTTTGTACCCTCAAATATCTGAGTTGAGCAAATTCTTCTCCTCTTGAGGTTCCAAGACAACTTGGGGCTTCTGGGCCTGATAGAAAGTGGCATTATTTACTTACTACAGGTCAGAAACCTTATACACAGACTGTGTAGACAAGGTATGAGGCATTTCCCAAGGGGCTTTTATTGGCTTTACGAGTCAAGTTTGATTTCTTAAAGGAAAACTTTAAGTTTTCCAGTCAAAGCCTTGGTAAAATACCCAGTTTTTCCAATTGTGTCCTGTTACAAAAAAAAAAAAAAAAAATACTGCACTTATGCAAATAACTATATTGCTATAAGTTAATACAAATAGTTCCCAAATTCTAGTGAAATTGGGTAGGGAGAAACAAATATGCTCCAAAATTTGTTTACAGGAGTATACTTAATTGCTACAAGCTGTAAATAGCTTAAAAGTTTTCTTAACGCCGAAAAACAAAACAAAGGATCAGGAACGTTTTAAGCAAAGTTAAAAAGATTACTTTAGACTTCTTTGGTTTAGTCCATGCAGTTAACTTCCGTTTGATATTCATAAACATTACAGCTCTCTCTGAGAGTTCTGAAAGTGGCTTCCTCTAGTCTGATGTCACAGTCTCCAAAGTTATCAGAAATCTATATTTAAGAACACCTGTTCAAGTCCTATAGCTGATTATAAACCACCTTTCAAAATGGATTAAAACAAGACAAAAATGGTCTGTGGATGACAAAACATCTTAGGACAACCACAGTCAAAAACACGATTGACAAAGAAATTTAGTTACCTCTGTGGCACACAATAATTTAACACAACAATTATAATTATTACTGATGACATATACTGAGGCATATCAGAACTATCAGAGTTTTTATAATTTTGGAACACATACCAATAACACATTTATACAAATACAGCCCAAAGAAAAACACCATTTCATATTTGACAATGCTCCATGTATGATTTTTATGCCAAATAAGCCAAATGTCACTGCCGCACTTGTGCACTATTAATGTTATAAACCCAATTCTTAAACCCTATAGACAAATATATTTAGTCTTAATCAGTTTGACCATAAGGTAAGATTCTTATAAACCTTTATAACCCTTTACAATTTTTTGTTAAAGAGCAGATCATAAGCAGGTTTTTGCTGTAAGAAAAGCCTGTTGTACTTTTATTCCAGTGTGTACTTTAGAAAAAAAACTGAATAATGTCCATTTAACTTTAGCCAATATGTTATGGGCAGAATTTCTTTTACAAAAATTTTTTTTAGAAACTTTCCACAACTTGCTTAAACCTTCAGCTTTATTCTATTTAACTTAATCCTTTAAATCTCTACACTTAGGCAAGAAATCCGCATTCCCAATTCCCATGCTTTCTTATCTTTTACCAAAAGCACATTCTACTGTCCTTACATGCCTTGTGCCTTGTGTGTAAAACTTTTTTTCTTTTTTTTTTTAATAGTCTCAAACACATGTTACACTGTTAACTCTTACTAAGGTTTTCACCAAAAGTAAAGGTTGCTAAGTTCAGGATTTTAATTATGTACTAGGTATGGAGCTTACAACCAGACAGAAATGCAGATAAGGTCTAACTCTTTCCAATGTCTAACTCCACATGTCCCAGGCCTTAGCTGTAAAGCAGGCAAGTTGTACAGTAAGAGTTATAGTGGCATTTTATGAAGCATTTAGGAGGCCTAATCATCTTTAAATCGTACATTTCTTGCATAACTTCCCTGTCATAAATTCTTTCACAACTTACATAGACCATGCTTGGACTTTCTGACTTCTCCTAAACATCCCCCCCCTTTTTTTTTTTTTTTTTTTTTATGAACAACCAGTCATTTTACTTTAGGACAAGAATCTATCATAGAAGATCCTTTCTTATATAAAATCTCTTTAAAACCTTCTTTACATAGCTAGGGGGTAGGGCTAATTCCATATGTCCCCCAGCCTTATCTAGGATCTAATGCTCCAAAGTAGGTAAGCTGAACAATTTTCAAATATCAAGGAAGCAGTTTATGACCTTAAAGCATTTAGCAAACTTAATCTGACCTGCATAATTTAGAACAAATGTTTACATTTTTGAAACAATTTTCATTTTACCAATAATCTTTTAAACTGTCTTTATTTCCTAAAGATTACTTAAGTCACATGAACTAAAGAAAAGGCATTATACTTTTTACTTTTCTGACGAAGTATTTGATTTATTATTAAGCCAATTAAGTAAAGGCCTTTCGTATGTAAACATCACACACACAACACATATAAATACATAGAAGATAAAGGACTTATTTTCTAAGCCAGGAATTGTACCCTGAACCTGGGCTGCCATTGTGAAAAGAGAAAGCACAGCCATGAGGCTACAAGGTTAAGCTCCCAAGGACATACAACACAAGAAGGAAACCTCATCCAGTTTTTTTAGGGACCTGCAGTAAAATTTATAACTGACCAGTTTGCTTGGCCATCTTGAACAGCAGGTCTATGGGGTCCTAGGCATTCATTTTATCCTGAGGTACTCCTCATTATGACAGAACAATACATGAAGACACACAGCACACTAGATTTGCTACAGCTTAAGAAGACTAGCCTCACAAATCCTTTTTCCCACTAATCAAAACTTCACAGAGGAGATAAACAGTGATTTTTACCATTTGTTCAACCAGTCTGCTGAGAGAGAGAGAGAGAGAGAGAGAGACAGAGAGAGAGAGAGAGGCATTGCCTGAGGCAGGGTGGGGAAGGCAAGTCGCTCAGGGAGGCCAGAGAAAGACCCATCCATTGCAGTGACACTGAAACGTTCAGGCGGCTGCTTGTAGGTACCGAAGGGATCTTTTCCAGTAGTCTCATTAGCTCTCAAGTTTCGCTTTTTGGGGAGGAAAAAGCTCGCCATGTCCCACGATCCTGTACTTGCTTAATCCTGTAACCCGTAGCCATCAGCAAAGAGTGCAAGGCAGATTATTCCAAAGAGAATAGCAGTTAACATCCCATAGTGCCAAACCTGGAGAATAGCAGTTAACATCCCATAGTGCCACACCCATTTTTAGCTGAAAGAGACTTTACTGAGAGGGGCTTCTAATCCCCTAAATCTTAGAAGGGACTCTAACCCTTCTAAGTTGGGCCTCTAATCCAAGGTCGGTCAAGCGTCCTTGCCTTTTAGTAAGGGGCCTTTAACCCACCCTGTCGTAGGAGAGACTCTGACTCCCCTAAATTGGGCCTCTAACCCAATCCCATCCTTTACCTGAGTACCTCACCACTTACCCAAAGTTGGCCAATCAGTGCTGGAGTCTATTTCCTTTGGATTGGGGGGTTTCTTCAGTATTGTCCCTTCAGGGTTCACCAGAAAGATGTTACTGGACCACACCACTTACCCAAAGTTAGCCTTTGGATTGGGGTTTTCCATACTATAGTGGCTTCTGTGATCTCCAGAAAGATGTTACAGGACAGAGGTCCCTCGTTCTCTATCTTTTGGAATAGTGTCAATAGGATTGGTATCAATTCTTCTTTGAAGGTCTGATAGAATTCAGCTGTGAATCTGTCTGGTCCTAGACTCCTAGGCATTTTTTTTGGTTAGCAATTTTTTTAAAATTACCATTTCAATCTTGTTGCTTGTTATTGGTGTGTTCAGAGTTTCTATATCTTCCTGGTTTAATCTAGGAGGCTTGTATATTTCTAGGAATTTATCCATCCCGTCTAGGTTTTCTAGTTTTTGCACATAAAGATGTTCATAGTAGCCTTGAATAATCTTTGTGTTTCTGTGAAATCAGTTGTAATGTCTCCCATTTCATTTCTAATTGAGCTTATTTGGATCTTCTCTTCCTCTTTTCTTGGTTAGTCTTGCCAATGGTCTATCAATTTTATTTATCTTTTCAAAGAACTAGCTTTTGGTTTCATTTATCTTTCTTTTTTTTTTTTTGGTTCCAATTTCATTTAGTTCTGTCTGATCTTTTGTTTTTTTTCTTCTGCCGGGTTTGGGTTTGGATTGTCCTTATTTCTCCAATTCTGTAAGGTGTGACCTTAGATTTTCTATTTGTGCTCTTTCAAACTTTTCGATGTAGGCATTTAATGCTATGAACTTTCCCCTTCAGTGAAATAGATAGCATAAATAAAAAACAATCACAACTTCTGGAAATTCAAGGACCCAATTACAGAAATGCAAAATGCACTGGAAAGTCTCAACAATAGAATCGAAGAATCGAACAAGCAGAAGAAAGAACTTCAGAGCTTGAAGACAAGGCTTTCAAATTAACCCAATCTATTCAAGACAAAAAATTTTAAAAAATGAACAAAGCCTCTAAGAAATTTGGGACTGTTAAACGTCCAAACATAAGAATAATTGGTGTTCCTGAGAAGAGAAATCTCTCCCAGCAGGGCTACTGGGCTCTGGGGTGGCACTAGGGAGTATTTGCGAAGAGTGCTCTGATGTGATCTGTCTTCAGATCTTTCAGCTGTGGATACCAACACCTACTCTGGTGGAGGTAGCAGAGGAGTGAACTGGACTCCCTTAGGGTCCTTGGTTGTGTTTTTGTTTAATGCACTGGTTTTGTGTTGGTTGGCCTCCAGCCAGGAGGTGGTGCTTTCAAGAGCTCATCAGCTGTGGTACCATAGGGAGAATGCAAACTTGCCCTAGGGTCACCTGGTTAAGTATTCAGATTTCTCAGGTGTGGTGAGCAGGGCCATAGAGCTCCCAAGAGATGATGACCTTTGTCTTTGGCTACCAAGGCGGGTAGAGAAAGAACTCCAGGTTGGGTGCAGGGATGGGTATTTCTGGGCTCAGCCTCTCCTTGAGTGGGGCTTGCTGGGGCTGCTGTCGGGGATGGGAGTGTGGTTCCCAGGCCGACGGAATTATGTTCCCAGGGGCATTATGGCTGCCTCTGCTGAGTCATACAGGTCCCCATGGAAGTGAAGGAAAGCCAGCAGTCATAGGCCTCACCCTACTCCCATGCAGCCTGCAGTCCTAAAGGCCAGTGTTACTCCCACTGTGCCCCCACCAACAGCACCGACTCTATTTCCAGGCCGCTGGTGACCAGGGCTGAGAAGTTGCCCCAGACCATGAGCCTCCCCACTGATAAAGCAAGCCGACTCAGTTTTTCAGCCTCTCAGGGAGCCTGCAGTGGTGATCAAGTTTCTTCAAAGGGTCTGTGGATTCTCTCAGATTTTCTGATATGTTCCTGGCATAGTCCTTGGAACAAAAGTTCATAATGTAAGTCTCCACGCTGCTCTGTCTGTCTCAGTGGGAGCTGCAAGCCAGTCCTGCCTCCTATCTGCCATCTTAATCCCAAGGGGTTATTCCCTTTTTACTGTTGTGCTTCAAGCTAGCCCCAGGGAGCCAGAACTGACTCCTGCAGAGGCACAAATGGTGCTAGAAGTTCTGCTGTCAATGCTTGCATCTTAAAAGTGGTTTAGACTCTAAAAAATTGAGTTCAATAGCCCAAGTTGTAGTCAAATTACAATGCACGTTGACTACCCTGAGACTTACAAGACTGGGCCAGCCAGGCTTAGGCAAGGAGGTAAAGTTGGTGAAATCGCTCTGGTGTGCTCTACCTGCCTTTTTTATGTCCTTTCCAGTTGGCGATGATTAGACTGACCTGCAATCAGATTGCAGTTCTGCCCTTAGTAGCTGTGTGACCCTGAGAAGTCCACAAAGCCTTTCTGAATCTCAGGTTTTTCTCCCCATAGGTAAAAATGGGTAATTGTGAAGATTAAAAGACATGACAGAAATACAGAAAAAAAGAGAAAAAATGCTTTTGTTCTAATTCTGTCTCTCTTTCCCCATTTCCCTATGGGGCTCTGCTCTAGCCATACTGGTCTTCTCTCTCTCCCTCAAATTGCTCAGCTGCTTGGTGCCTCAGGGCCTTTGCACATGCCCACTGCTTTGCGTGGAATATTACTCCTTATGTCTTTGCATGGCTTCCTCTTTTCCTCCCATTTAGGTGTCTGTTAAATTTCTCCTTGCAGTGGCCTTCTTGGACTTTGCTTTACAAAACAAGGAACACTCACCCTTCACTATCTCTTTAGCCTAATTTCTGTTTTCTTCATAGCCTTCATTATGGAAAGAAATTATACAATGTATGTATTATGTACTCGTTTAACTACCTCCCCCACTAGGCTGATGGATCCAAGAGGGTAGGATTTTTCTGTTGTTTGTTTTGTGGCTGAATCCTTATGGTGCAGGAGAGCACCTGGCACACGATTGAGGGTCATTAAATATTTTTGCATGAATGAAAAAACAAATGAATACAATTAATGTGCTTAGCTCAAAGTGGATATTGTGAAAACATTAGCTTTTTTTCCTTTCTGGTGTCCCATTAAAGCTATCAACAGTTTTTTGTTCATTTTCCAAAAATATGTGCATTTAAGAGAGGCTATCTGAAAAGGCAATGGCATAACCCGTAGGACTGTCCAATGCTGGCAGTTCAGAGCCCAGGCCTAAGAGCCTATGTGTAATTCTTGAGCCAGGGTATTTACCCTTGTACTCAGACCCCAACTAACTGCTTTGATGGGTTAGCAGCCAGCCTGAGAAAAGACGAAGTTAACTGATCCTGAAAAGCAGTGAAGATGAGGAAATATCCTCTCACCCCACATGTTAGGGAAAAAGGCTTACTGCAGAAACCACCCTTCCTCATATGACCTAGATAAGACTCGGGGACACTTTCCTTGTTTACCCATGACAAGGCCAGACACAGATTTTCCAAACCCTCATTCTTTCCCTCATAATTAGCCAAACTGCTTGTCATTACTGGTCAATGAGATCAAAATGACTGTTAACCACACTTTGGTTTATTCTTTCTCTCCTCCTCCCGGTTTCCTGAACATTGTCCCACTCAGCCCAGCATATCACCCCTGCTAAGAATAAGTCAGCCTTAAGGTAAACATTCTCTGGTCCACTGTCTGACCATGCCCCCATTTATCCCACTTCCCCACACCCAGTTGTTTTCTAGTCTGTGTACAACTCCCTGTGAAAGAAAACCCCCTCATCTAATTCTTGAGACTCTTGCAGATCTGTGATAACAGCTCTCTCCTTATTCAAAAATCCCCCATCCCTTCTAGCAATAGCCTCTTCCCCTTGAAGAATCCTTCTTGAATAAATCTCTTCTTACTAAGTCTGGATTCTTTTTTAAATTCACAAAGAACAAGAATATTGCTTTTCAATGGCTGGTATGGGAGAACGGCTTTGGAAAACTTTAATTCATGTTAAATATGTCTTTAGGTTTTACCTTTTGAGTATACTTGCTGTTTTTCCACCTCCAGTGCTGCTGTTCATTATAACCTTATAAGCAGTTGCCATCTATCTGCTCTCACCTGGATTACTGCAAGGACCTGCTGGCTGACTTCCTTGTATTTGTTTTGTACCCACCCTAGTCTCCATCCTGTAGCTAAAGTGATTGTCCTAAATAGCAAAGTTGAGCAGGTCACTGCACTTGTTGAACTGCAAAATTCAACACTTTGGTGGCAAGCTAGACTTTTTTCTTAGTATTTTTCCCTTTCCTTTGCTCCCTTTGAAGAGGGAGCCAGCTGCAGTCTTCCTTATCTCTGGGGGAAGTGTGTGACATGGCTCCTTGTATTTTTGTTTTTATTTTTTTAAAAGTACCATAGAAGAGATTCTGTGAGGTATTCTAGCAGCTTTGAGAACAGAAGGAGTGTTTATGAGGGAAACTTGGCATGAAATCCCCCCACCCCCTGGATTAAAAAATAATAATAATAAAAGGCTCTGGGCAACGTGACAGAGTTCTGGGGATTCCACAGTCTCCAGGGGACTTGAGCTAGGTTCCACAGCAGACAGCTGGCATCAAAGGGCTCTGGCCAAGTGAACACCTGGGCAGAGTCAAGGCCAGTGGGTGGTACAGTGTTGCTATTAAGAGCAAAATGGTGCCCCGCAGAGAGTATGTAGGTCTAGAGTCAGAAAGATGTGGGTTCCAGGCCAGCTCTTCCATACATCAGCTCTAAGACAGTTCAGCTCTTTGAATTTCAACTTCCTAACAAGTAAATAGAGATAATGATAAATAGAACTTATTATAAGAAAGTTATGAGAAATATAAAACTGGGCACTTGGCTTAGACTAGGCACTCAATGAGTATCACTTCCTCTTTCAAGAATATAAATTGTGATCTAAATGTGAACATGGCTGTATCCTGTTGAGCACGTCAGAGGAAAGTCCTGTTGGTACAGATCTTTCCCGGTAGATACAAGGAATAAGACTGTGCTCAGCTCTGTGCTATTTGTGAACCATTTTGTATTCAACCTCTCAAGGTTGAATAAGGCACCTACCAGTTAAATACATCTACAAAGACCCCTATAACGTATGTATATTACCTCTTTTTAATGTTGAATCTTCCACAATATCATTTTTTTAAATTTTATTATTATTATACTTTAAGTTTTAGGGTACATGTGCACAACGTGCAGGTTTGTTACATATGTATACATGTGCCATGTTGGTGTGCTGCACCCATTAACTCGTCATTTAGCATTAGGTATATCTCCTAATGCTATCCCTTCCCGCTCCCCCAACCCCACAACAGGCCCCGGTGTGTGATGTTCTCCTTCCCGTGTCCATGTGTTCTCATTGTTCAGTTCCCACCTATGAGTGAGAACGTGCAGTGTTTGGTTTTTTGTCCTTGCGATAGTTTGCTAAGAATGATGGTTTCCAGCTTCATCCATCTCCCTGCAAAGAACATGAACTCTTCATTTTTATGGCTGCATAGTATTCCATGGTGTATATGTGCCACATTTTCTTAATCCAGTCTATCATTGTTGGACGTTTGGGTTGGTTCCAAGTATTTGCTATTGTGAATAGTGCTGCAATAAACATATGTGTGCATGTGTCTTTATAGCAGCATGATTTATAATCCTTTGGGTATATACCCAGTAATGGGATGGCTGGGTCAAATGGTATTTCTATTTCTAGATCCCTGAGGAATCGCCACACTGACCTCCACAATGGTTGAACTAGTTTACAGTCTCACCAACAGTGTAAAAGTGTTCCTATTTCTCCACATCCTCTCCAGCACCTGTTGTTTCCTGACTTTTTAATGATTGCCATTCTAACTGGTGTGAGATGATATCTCATTGTGGTTTTGATTTGCATTTCTCTGATGCCCAGTGATGATGAGCATTTCTTCATGTGTTTTTTGGCTGCATAAATGTCTTCTTTTGAGAAGTGTCTGTTCATATCCTTTGCCCACTTTTTGATGGGGTTGTTTGTTTTTTTCTTGTAAATTTGTTTGAGTTCATTGTAGATTCTGGATATTAGTCCTTTGTCAGATGAGTAGGTTGCGAAAATTTTCTCCCATTCCGTAGGTTGCCTGTTCACTGTGATGGTAGTTTCTTTTGCTGTGCAGAAGCTCTTTGGTTTAATTAGATCCCATTTGTCAATTTTGGCTTTTGTTGCCATTGCTTTTGGTGTTTTAGACATGAAGTCCTTGCCCATGCCTGTGTCCTGAATAGTAATGCCTAGGTTTTCTTCTAGGGTTTTTATGGTTTTAGGTCTAACATGTAAGTCTTTAATCCATCTTGAATTAATTTTTGTATAAGGTGTAAGGAAGGGATCCAGTTTCAGCTTTCTACCTATGGCTAGCCAGTTTTCCCAGCACCATTTATTAAATAGGGAATCCTTTCCCCATTGCTTGTTTCTGTGAGGTTTGTCAAAGATCAGATAGTTGTAGATATGCAGCATTATTTCTGAGGGCTCTGTTCTGTTCCATTGGTCTATATCTCTGTTTTGGTACCAGTACCATGCTGTTTTAGTTACTGTAGCCTTGTAGTATAGTTTGAAGTCAGGTAGCGTGATGCCTCCAGCTTTGTTCTTTTGGCTTAGGATTGACTTGGCAATGTGGGCTCTTTTTTGGTTCCATATGAACTTTAAAGTAGTTTTTTCCAGTTCTGTGAAGAAAGTCATTGGTAGCTTGATGGGGATGGCATCGAATCTATAAATTACCTTGGGCAGTATGGCCATTTTCACGATACTGATTCTTCCTACCCATGAGCATGGAATGTTCTTCCATTTGTTTGTATCCTCTTTTATTTCATTGAGCAGTGGTTTGTAGTTCTTGAAGAGGTCCTTCACATCCCTTGTAAGTTGGATTCCTAGGTATTTTATTCTCTTTGAAGCAATTGTGAATGGGAGTTCACTCATGATTTGGCTCTCTGTTTGTCTGTTATTGGTGTATAAGAATGCTTGTGATTTTTGCACATTGATTTTGTATCCTGAGACTTTGCTGAAGTTGCTTATCAGCTTAAGGAGATTTTGGGCTGAGACGATGGGGTTTTCTAGATATACAATCATGTCATCTGCAAACAGGGACAATTTGACTTCCTCTTTTCCTAATTGAATACCCTTTATTTCCTTCTCCTGCCTAATTGCCCTGGCCAGAACTTCCAACACTATGTTGAATAGGAGTGGTGAGAGAGGGCATCCCTGTCTTGTGCCAGGTTTCAAAGGGAATGCTTCCAATTTTTGTCCATTCAGTATGATATTGGCTGTGGGTTTGTCATAGATAGCTCTTATTATTTTGAGATAAGTCCCATCGATACCTAATTTATTGAGAGTTTTTAGCATGAAGGGTTGTTGAATTTTGTCAAAGGCTTTTTCTGCATCTATTGAGATAATCATGTGGTTTTTGTCTTTGGTTCTGTTTATATGCTGGATTACATTTATTGATTTTCATATGTTGAACCAGCCTTGCATCCTAGGGATGAAGCCCACTTGATCATGGTGGATAAACTTTTTGATGTGCTGCTGGATTCGGTTTGCCAGTATTTTAATGAGGATTTTTGCATCAATGTTCATCAAGGATACACAATATCATTTTTACTGGGCTTTCTCTCAGATGATTATCTTTGGGATTGGGTGGCCATTTATTTCAGGCCTTTATTATTGTGTGAGTCCCCAAACTCTAAATGCCTTTTAGACATTTAGACATGAATTTGGATTGATGCTTTAGTGCTATGCATGCAATATATATTTTAAAAAAATTATTCTGACTTCAATTGGAAGGCTGCTTTCTTTGTCACATAAGCATGAACTTACTGCACAGAAATTTCCCCTGGCCAAATATAGCAATGCCTTGTTCTTTTATGATCAGCATTCTGGTATTTAGTAACCCATTAATATGAACCTTCTTATGCAATACAGTGACCTATTTTTAATAATTTACTTTCCACCAGTAATTGTTTTCAATGTGGAACAAAAAATATTTAATTTCATACATTGTGCACAAATTACTATGTATTCTAAAAATAACAAGCTCAATACTTTGATCAGATTCCACAGCAATAATAATTAGCTTATAGGGTCAAATATTCAGTGTTTCAACTTGGAGTAACCCAGAGACAAGGATGCTATCAGCCTAATCAAGTCATGATAATTCACAAACATAGAGTTCAAAGTGTATGAGGAGATTTAGCATTGTTATTCCTTTGCTACTCATAGGTCTCCTGCCTGTTTAAGCATAGATTACTAAAAAGTATGATATCCCATTATCATAAATAGTCATATATTTGCAAATGGTTGACAGTATATTTTTGATCTGTCATGTGATTTGTTCTCAAAACTGACATTATGAATTGAATATAATAGAAAGTAGACCCAGATTTTAGATTGAGTATTCAGATTGGAAGATTGTAGCTAGTATTTAATTCTATGCTAAAATCACATTTTTAAAATAAGAATTAAGCTGCTTTTGATTAATCAGTTAAGAGTTGGTATTTAACCTACCAACTCTCCAGAAGAGAGTCTGGAAATGGTTGAATGTGAAAGGCTGTGTTGTAATGACCAGAGATGCATTCATTCTACTGCTGTTAGAGTCCTGTCCTATCTGAATCCTGATGAGGAGTGTCCTTGAAGAACTTCTGTAAGCCTCCAGGATCATTGGCTGTGGTGGTTACTTCAATAATGCCAAAGAGGGGCGAGTGGGAAGCCTTCCTCATGGTTACCAAGTAAACAGCTATGCAATGTATAATTGGAAGGTGTAACCTCAGATTCCAGCTTCATCAAGTCATGAGCTGACAGAATCTCATGTTGTCAATGGTTGAATGAAGAGAAGCCTAGGCTTCCAGCACTGGTCTCCTGCTGCTCTGGCTAAAATGATCCTTGCTTCCTGGGTATGAGGGCATAGAGGTATAGGAGGAATTCAAGCACATGTTGAGATTAGTGAAGAATTTGGGGTTTTCTCAGAATGGATATGGATTTTATGTCCATTTTCCATTTATTTTCTCCCTGCAAGATACCTTCCTTGGGTAAAACTAAGTGTTCATGTGATTATGTCTCATGACTAAGAACCTATTTTCTTTGTTATTATCTGGCCATTAGATAATAATTGATATATTAATTTAGCCAAATAGGCAAAAATGGGCTTTATCTGTGGTTTAGAGAAAGAAATAATTCACATTTAAATAAAACACCAGCAAAATAATTCTGCATGTATAATGTGTTTTGCTTTGTCTCATGTTGGTGTATTTAAGCTGGAGCTACATTTCCCAGAATTTCTTTCACTGCATAATTCCAGGTTAGTGTGGGTCATAGGAGATACTTTGCATACAGTTTGAAAGGTAAAAATAGCCAGGGCCATATGATTTTTACATTGAGATAATTGGTGCAGGGCGCACACATGGTCCAGGGTCTGCTGGCTCATGCTATTGTCATGGACAGCAGCTGGGCACCTCCGGTTCCCACTGGACCACTCCCAGCTGCTGCTTCTCCCGGGCCAAGTGCATGTTTAGCCCCATTATAAAGAGCACCCCTCCTCCTGTAGGTTACTAGCATCATTGAAGTTGGAGACTGGGAGGCCGTAAGGGGCCAATACAGGTTCCAGCCTGTCCTCTTGGTTCCAGTTTGTCATTGCTCTCCCTCACCTCACAACTATCTTTCCTTCCTGGATGTCTTCCTTGCTGACCTCAGGCACAGTAATAAATGTGAAAATAACAGCAGAAAGTCAACTATTTGACCATCTCTCATGATTGTGTGAGATCAAATCTCTGTGATAATCTCCTATTACATACGTGACTTCCCAGAGGTTTTCCTTCTCTGATCAAATCATGATTGATACAACTGGTATGTTTTGGTGTCCAAGTGTATAAGCCAGATTTTCTTTCTCTAGAAATGTTTGACTCACAAGAGTTACAAACTAAGGACCTATATATCTTAGCTGGGCGAGGTGGCACGTATATCTAAGGACCTAATTATATGTCTGGATAATTTTTGTATTTTTTGTAGAGATGGGGTTTTGCCATGTTGCCCAGCTTAAGGACCTATATTGATATAATAAGTCTTCTGTTCAGGGGAGCTGGCAGAAAACTTAAGAATCTGAATATAGAGAGTGAATGTTCTACCGAGTTTGACTTTCAAGATTTCCTATATATTTATAATCTTACTCTATCTCTGATAGTAGTTTTATTGGAATACAAATTCTCTACTGAATCTGTGATAGAGATACCCTTTTAAAACATAAGATGCAGGCTAGAAACCCTGGAAAAGATTGGAATTGCCTTTGCTCTATGAGCTAAGCTGGTGGATTGCACCGGGTGGTGCTGGAAGTCTGGATTTTGGAATCATGCCAAATTGGAATCAGACATTTATTGCTGTGTAACCATAGACATGCCACTTAATCTCTCTGAACCTTGGTTTTTCTACCTGTTAATTCTGCTGAAAATATGGTAACATTTTCAATATTTAAAAATTGTTGTGAAGACTAGATGAAATAACAAATCAGGGCAAAATTCATGCACACGTGAGTGCAGAAGTTGCCATGTCCTGCCATATCCAATAGTTACCTGTGTATGTTTCACCTCTCTTTCAAATTTGAAAATGCCCTTGAGGGTAGGACTGTGCTTTTTTTTCATCGTTGTTCCTAATACTGTGTGAGGTGTTCAGTAACTGGCATGTATCTGGTTCATTCTCAATATTACTTGTGAGACAAATGGATGAATGACTGTCCAGAGGCACATCTTTATGGCTGATGCAGAACAATTCAACCTTCTCTTCTGTGATCCGAAATAGGTAAGGCTGGCTACTGTGTTTAGAAAGTCAGGAGTAATGGATGAATGTCTGAGAATCACTGTGTCTGTTAGCATTCGAGTTAAGGATTTCTCATCTGAAGATCTTGGAAGGCCTGCTACCTGCAGTTATAATTGTACACCAGTGGATGTCACCCTTGGAACACACAAGCATGCTCTCATGCTTGCTTTGAGAAGGCCAGACAGACATTCCACAGATGTTTGCTCCTTTCACAAGGGTAGTGTGGGAAATGATGTTGATCTCCAGGTGACATTCATCATCATGGAGCTACATCCTCATCCAAGGGCAGAAAGAGCACTTGCAGAAAACTTAGCAAAGCATGCCTTTATCTATAGGAATGGTGTTTGTTGATTGATGGAATTTTGAAAATGCTTCGTAGTGAATTGATACCATTGAAAAATGTTGTTTGGCTGTAATAGCGCTTGCCTCTAGAAAGGAAAACGGAGGATTCAGGCCTAGGCATGGGGAGTTCTCCTTTCACTTCTGTATTGGTGTTTGCTGTTTTGTTTGTACTTTGTCAATAAATCACTCATTCAAAAGTAAAGATTAAAAAATAAATTGTTTGGCAAAATCTTGGAAGTATAATTCAAGGATGCGAAATCCTGCTTCCTTGAATTGTTTGTCCTGTTACTAAGGAAGTTTTTATTTTGAAAAAAAAATACTGATAACATTCTCTGTAAAGTTATTGGTTTTCAAAACCGGTTTCTCATCAGACATCAATTCAAATTCATTTATTTCCATATTTATTATGTACCTAACTGTGTGTTAGATGTTGTACAGTTACTAGGGCATGATGGCAAATAAGACGTAATTTTTATTTTTATTTATTTATTTTTAAAATTACACTTTAAGTTCTAGGGTACATGTGCACAATGTGCAGGTTTGTTTTATATGTATACATGTGCCATGTTGGTGTGCTGCCCCATTAACTCATCATTTACATTAGGGATGTCTCCTAATGCCATCCCTCCCCCCTCCCCCCACCCCACAACAGGCCCCCATGTGTGATGTTCCCCACCCTGTGTCCAAGTGTTCTCATTATTAATTCCCACCTATGAGTGAGAACATACAATGTTTAGTTTTCTGTCCTTACTATAGTTTGTTCAGAATGATGGTTTCTAGCTTCATCCATGTCCCTACAAAGAACATGAACTCATCCTTTTTTATAGCTGCATAGTATTCCATGGTGTATATGTGCCACATTTTCTTAATCCAGTCTATCATTGTTGGACATCTGGGTTGGTTCCAAGTATTTGCTATTGTGAATAGTGCTGCAATAAACATACATGTGCATGTGTCTTTATAGCAGCATGATTTATAATCCTTTGGGTATATACACAGTAATGGGATGGCTGGGTCAAATGGGTCAAATGGTATTTCTATTTCTAGATCCTTGAGGAATTGCCACACTGTCTTCCACAATGGTTGAACTAGTTTACACTCCCACCAACAATGTAAAAGTGTTCCTATTTCTCCACATCCTCTCCAGCAGCTGTTGCTTCCTGACTTTTTAATGATCGCCATTCTAACTGGTGTGAGATGGTATCTCATTGTGGTCTTGATTTGCATTTCTCTGATGGCCAGTGATGACGTGCATTTTTCATGAAGACACAATTTTTGCCAGGCGCAGTGGCTCATGCCTGTAATCCCAACATTTCGGGAGGCCGAGGTGGGTGGATCACCTCAGGTCGGGAGTTCGAGACCAGCCTGACCCATGTGATGAAACTCTGTCTCTACTAAAAATACAAAAATTAGCCGAGCGTAGTGGTATGTGCCTATAATCCCAGCTACTTGGGAGGGTGAGACAGGAGAATCGCTTGAATCTGGGAGGCGGAAGTTGCAGTGGGCCGAGATTGCACCATTGCGCTCCAGCCTGGGTGACAAGAGCAAAACTCCACCTCAAAAAGGAAAAAAACAAAAAAACTGGTATGAATTGGTTTTATGGAGAACTAATAAGAAATACATGGCCTTCAAAATTATGTGTCTGGTTTCTAGTTTATGGGGAGATTTACAAATAGATAGATTTACAATAAAAACATATAGCTTATAATTTTATCAGAGTAAAAATTTATGATGAAGTTGGCAAAATTAAGTGGTTTCTACTTGAGAGTGTAATTGTGTCCTCAGAGCAATTTGTTAATACATCTCTGAACCCTCAGGAGTTATTTTTGACCCAGCAAGTCCACATCTAGAAATCATTCTCAGGTGAGAAAGGTGTATTAGAAAGGTATGTATAGGAAATTTTTATTAAGAACTATGTATATTGGAGAAAAATCAGAAGAAAGAAAGAGGAAATATAATAATCACTCCCTTAGCAGAACAGCGTGGCCGGGAGGCAGCTGTTGCCAAAGCACAAAGAGAGCGCGTCCCTGACCAGCCCTTCACCTTTGGGTTGCTTTGTGTCCCTTGTGCCCTTTGCAAGTTCCCAGGCAGGAAAATGTCACGCAGTGGGTTCTCTTCCCTTTGACTTTCGGGAGGAGGGAGTGGATAAGGTGTCATGTATCAGCAATATCTTGCACAATGCGGGATGCCCCACAACATAGGTGGAGAGTTGTGTGTTTGCCAAAACCTAACGGAAGTCCACTACAATAGACACAGGGAGGCAGGACTTCTCCAAATCCTAACTGGTTTCAGTTCTGCCTATTGAGAAGAATGAACTTCCGGTTGAAGAAGATGGAACGTTGTTAAGACTGAACGACAGCGTGAAGATGGTTGAGTTTACCTGGCTGTCCTAAATGAGCTCAAGTCTCTAGGATGGGACAGATTAAATTCTGGACTACTCACAGAACTGGCAAATGAAATCAAGTTAGCTTCAGAGAGCTCTGTTAAAAACAACAACAACAAAAAGTAGAGTGGTGCTGGAAAATGGAGCACAAGTAAAGATTGCTTTGATTTTATGAAGGGTGAAAAAAATTCTGAAAATGTTAGCCTTTGAGCCAACTGGTGAAGTATCTTAATTCTGCTTCACATCGGGGTATAGTTGGGTGATCTCAGGTTCAGGTTTCTCCTTCTGACCCTGTATTAGTTTCCTAGTGCTGCCATAACTAAGTACCACAAACTGCATGGCTTAAAACAACAAATTTATTCTCCCACGGTTCTGAAGTCCTGAAGTCCAAAATCAAGGTGTCAGCAGGGACATGCTCCTTCTGAAACCTACTGGTGAGACTCCTTCCCTGCCTTTTCCTAGCTTCTGGTGTGGCCATCGATCCTTGATGTTTTTAGGCTTGCAGCGGCATCACTCCAATCCCGGCCTCTGTCATCACTCGGCACGTTCCCTGTGTGTCTTCTAAGGACATCAGTCAGATTTAGATTAGGGCCTACCCTCATGACCTCATTTTAACTTGATTATGTCTGCAAAGACCCTATTTCCAAATAAGGTTATATTCATAGCTACTAGCAGTTAGGACTTCAACATGTCTTTTGGGGGATGTAATTCAACCCATAATGACACCTTCTTTCTTCTTTTTCTTTATCCTTTCATTATCTTATTCTGTTCTATATTGTGTGGTCTATTTCTTATTCTAGTCTATACCATATGTCTGCCTCTATAACTTCTACCACCTCTAAACTCTTTCCCACATTTATTTTTATGAGTAGGATTATTTCTGTTATCCATCCATACTCAGGTGACCCAAGGTAAAATTTAAAATTGACAAGTGTAACCAAAAATGAATTAATTGGGACATGCTTTCTTAAGTGGCACAGAGCCTGAGATGGGACCTAAGTACTTGGTCAGACTTTAAAGTTATCACTCCTGCTTTCTGGACCTCAGCTTCCTCATATGTACAATCATCTCCACACTTTCCAGCTTGAAAACTAATAACATGTGTGACAAACTAGAGTAACCAACAATTCTCATGTGGGGGCCTTTGATTAGGGGCAGAGATTAGGACAGGCTGAAACAAGCTCTACTGTTTGGCACATTAGGACCTGCAAATAAACTGTAGTGCATCCTCATTTCCCTACTGGAGTAGACATATCAACAGTCCCTCTGTCTTGTTGTTTGTGACTCATACTTCAAGGTTTCTTTAAACCCAACATCTGAAGCAACCACTAAAAGATGGAAGAACTGTAGAAGCAGCAGTTTCTTTTCAAAGAGACTGCTAGGCAAAAAGTCAAGTTCAGTCTGCAGGTCTGGTGATTGTTTCTGCTGCATATCAAAAGATGCTTATTTTTAATTTCCATATCATGTCGCCAAAGAGGTAATAATAACGAAGTGTTATTCTGTAAAGGAACAGCCCCGCCTCAAATGCATGTCCTTCTTTGATCCAACCAAGCCAGATGATAGTTATTTTGCTGTCAAGAGAGCAATGACAAAAGGCCAGCCAAGCTGCAATGTTTTAGCTGGGTGTGTGTCAACTGAGGACAGATGCCTGTGCCTCTTCGAACTAGAGGCTGGGAAGGCTCAGTTTCATTTGTTCAGAATCCAGATATAACAATTAGTACTGAAAAATCAGCTTATGGGATCAAAGCTCCCAGGGTGTGAGAAAGATTAAAGTGTCTCTTTGTTTTTACCTTTAGTCTGTGGAACAGTATCCTGCAGGCAGGAAGCTGAATGGATACAGAGAACCATTACTTCTTGTTCATTGTCTTTCTCATCTGCTTTGAATGAAAGCTAGTTTTTGTGCTACCTGGGAATAAAGCTACTTATCTTTCTTTTCTTTTTTTTGGAAACATTTTCCTAGGGTGCAATCATCAGATAATTTGAGTTGTACTTTATTTCAAAGTGAAATAAAAAATTGCAAGAAAGATAGAACACCATTTATCTTGATAGTGTCAATTTAGCAAGTTGTATCCTCGCTTTTAATCTTACTTAATAACAAGTACTTGGGGAACTTTGCCTGCCTAGTGTAATGGCATTCTGAATGCTGCCAAGTGCTCTATTTCCTACTGCAATTCTTCCACCAGAGCGATGTTGGTACCTTTGATCTCAGACCAGGAATGAGAATTTGTATGAAGACAAACCTTCATGTTCAGCTGTAGTATGGACCATGTTGGCCTTTCAATGGCCAGGTTCAGGCTTTGTGTGAGAAGCAATGGTTAAGCAACCTCAATTTCCCAAGGGAATTACATTTTGAGCCAGTCAGTCCTGATTTTCTGGTTCTAGGAAGGCCACCTCTGGTCTCCTGAACCCCTTGCTAAGGCTGAAACTCATCAGACCCCACCATCTAAGAGAAGGGCATTTGCTCATATTGCCTTAAAGAAAACAAATGAACTCTATCATAAACAATCCATTCCTAAATTTCCTCTAACAATCCTCAATTTAGGATAAGGACTAACTTCCTAGAGTGGGTGTCACTGAGTTCAGCCTTTCAGCTTCTCGCAAAACAAATGCTGTTTCACATTACTCTGGAATAAAGTCATACTTCCTAAAAGAATTTACGGGAAGCTTCATATTTTTGTGTCTGCTCTATTCTCCAGGCTTCTAGCCATATGGAACTGCTCACTCACCTCTGAATCTAATGGTCTCTGTGGAGAATGACTTTTCCCCACTGATGTGTTTCCTGCCCCTTCCCCTTTCTTGCCGCCTGGATAACACTCAGCCATTCATTGCACTGTGGGGCACAGAGGTTAAGAGCCCCGGCTAACCTGGTTCTACATCCAGGCTCTGCCATTTACTATCCATATTATGTTTGTGCAGATTACCTCACTTTTTATGCCTCTATTTATTTATTGGGGATAAATTACAGTATCTACATCAAGGGGTTTTCAAGCATGCGGTAACTAATTTGGGTAATATATGTAAGTCGTGTAGAATTGTGTCTGGCTCAATAAGAGTTAGCTAATATTATTATGATTCAGGTTTTCGCTTGGCTGCCACATTCCCCAGGGCCTTTTAGTCCCGGAGTAGTGCCCCTGAACATGCCCTACTTGCTGGTTCTTTTCCGTATTATATTACTTATCACACAGTATCGTAGTGTGGGAAAGAAGGCTATGCTGAGGTGAGCTAGAGCGGTCCTGTTTGTAGGTATGTAATACTGCCACCACAGAGTAATTATACTTCATCTTTTTTACCCTCTCCTATATTGAGTATTCCAGTCACTTAGACAATGCCCCTTAATCCTGTTTAGAAAAAAAAAAATGCAGCTTGCTGCCAGCACTCATTTAATTTTACATAAACATGCTCTTTGAGGCTGAAGGAAATCTGACTGATTTTCAATGTGAAAATAAAATATAAAAACTGTTCTTGGAGTTATTTCTAAACAGAACTAACATCAGAATCATTTGGATCATCAGACTTGTCTATTTTGGAAAAATCGGATTCCTACAAAATCTTTGGCCAACAACTGTTCAAGAACCACGTTAATATGCATAGGAATGTTACATTTTCTAGGATCAGACATTTTCAGCAATTGAGAATTACTATATTTTGTAAATGGGAATACCACTACTAGAAATGGAATGCTATGAATAGAATGATGTCTTTTGCTTCCAAAGTTGATATACTAGAGTGATGCAAAAATAATAGTAAAAGTGAGATATTTCGTGGCAAAGTTATCTCAGGGTAAATGCTGCAGCCGCAAGCACCACCCGTATTCTCAGGGTAAATGCAAAAAGGCTTAAATTTCCAAACCACGAACCCTCAAAGATACCACATAAAAAGTTTAGCTTTCAAAGGAGGAGAAGATGAAAACCATGCCTGTGAAACATCCCATCCTGTTCTTTCCTTACTGGGCCCATGGCACTTCTTTTTACATGCTAATTTACTGCTGTGAATCTGGGAAGCTGTTTCATTTCTTTGGCACATGTTACCTTCTTCCCCCCGCCTCTCCCCCCACCCTCCTCAGTTTCTCTATACAAAAAGGATAGGATGCCTTGCGGAGTTCGTTCTGGTAGAATTCTACTTCTGTTGTAGATCTGTGTCCAGCATGGCCACACATGCAGTGATAAATATTCAGATGTGCAAAACACCCAGACAAGCACATGTCTCATTACATATCTTTTACTGATGCTCCTAATACCATTGTCCATATGTTGGAAATACCACAGGATACAACAAAATCTTGATCTGTTAGCAGCTATGGTCATCTGGTGCTAGTAAATCACTGTTTTTTCAGGCCCTGGACTTACTGGGAGTCAAGGGTCTGAGAGGCCTAACCATGACCACAGGAGAAAGATGAAGCCTTCAGCCACTCTTCCAAATGCTCTTCAGACACCAGGGAGTGAAGGAAAATTGACTGAACTTTTTGTTTGCCATCCTGATGTTTCTATGTACAGGTCCAATTTCTTCACTCTCACTTTATCTCCTAGGCGACAAAACAGCTGATCCATTACTAAATCAGCCACTCTTCCTTTCCTCATTAATTTTTTATTTTAGTCTTACTCTGTCCTCCCAAGCTCCTGCCTGTTCCTTTTAATTGTTAACTCTTTAACCAGTTCTAATACTGCAGTCCACACGTCCATGAGCATGAAAGTGTTAAATGAACATAATTGTAGCATGGCAGTCAATCAGCATTTTAAATTTCATGAGTGACAACTTTAGAGATCTTTGATGTGGATTCACAGATTCCAACATGAAGAGCTTCTGAGCAACTTTCAAGTGTCTTTAATACTCAACATAGAAGGTTTTTTTTTTTCCTATGTAAAGCCAGGCACATCAATAAAACTCTCCTCAGTGACCCCCACTGTATTAGACATATGCATATTCACTCCTAGATTATCAAACATTTGTTCAGGCCTACTATATGCCAGGCACTGTGCCACTCCTGTAAGCACAGAAGATATATTACTAACAAATGCATTGGTATGGACTTGGAGGAAACATGTCAACAGTTACCATACACTGTTGTTGTGGACTGAATTGTGTCCCTAAATAACTCATATATTGAACCCCTAATGCCAATATATCAGAATGGAACTGTATTTGGAGATAGGGCCTTTAAAGAAGTGATTAAGTTAAAAACAAGGTCATTAGGGCAAGCCTTAATTCAGTCTGACTGGTGTCCTTATAAGATGGAAGATTTTGGACACACACAGAGACCTCAGGGACATGTGTGTACAAAAACCCTTTGCAAGCCAAAGAGAGAGGCCTCAGGAGAAAGTAAACCTGCTTTGCATAATGATCTTGGACTTTCAGCCTCCAGAACTGTGAGAAAGTCAATTTCTGTTGTTTAAGGCACCCAGTCTGTATGGCAGCCCTAGCAGACTAATATAACTGCTGATAAGTATATAGTCCTGTGTGAATATGGAGAAGAGGAACCTGATCTAATTGGGACTGGGGATAGGATTCAAGAGAGGCAAGAAGAGATGATACCTCAGCTAAATATTAAAATATATTTTTATAAGCAGCATGTATATTTTAAAGGCTTCTTCTATCAGGCTTTTGGCGTAGAAGAATATATTCACGTTGAATGAGAATTCAACAGTACACACATTTCCAGTATTTGCATGGGCCTTTTCTATTAACATGTAAAAATATAAATGTCTGATTGAAGAAAGTAGTTCTCAATCTTTTTAAAGGGATGTCCAACATTATTTTTAACTGACATTATATACATATCCTCAACACAGAAAACAAGTTTTAAATTGTTCCCATTGAAGTGGGTAGTGGGGCCCAAGGCCCATCCACTTAGCCTCACTCCCTAAAATAATTCATGGGCACCTTTGGTTATCTCAAGGTTCCAAGGAAAATTATTTATCTAGATAGTACAGGGCAGAACACTCTCCATGCCAAGGTCGGAGCTCAACTCACTTGTAGACAGAGACTGAAAACTTTCCAAAAAACATAAGCTTTCATGTCAGAAGTGACCTTTCCATGGATGCCTGGCATGTTGTAGGACAGTGTGAAGCCACCTGGCCTGGGCTGTAGAGATGACTTAGAACAAAGAAACAAAAGAAGGACCAGAGGGAGAAAAGGGCCATTCACTGCCATCCTTGGGCCAAGGGCTTTACCAATACTTTTCTCACTGCCTGGTTTTGTACTGGTACATGTTCCTAGAAGAATAAGTTTTGAGTAAAGCTTGAAAGGAGAAAGACACTCCATTTGTTAGAAGGAAGTAGAGTGGGAATTCCAGCTGTGGGAGATGAGAAAGATAGCTAAGAATGGTTGAAGGGTGCTAAGAAACAATGGATTGGGATATAAACTAGCCTGGAGGTAATATGTATGTAGATCTTTAGAAGGAGAGGTGGATTACTGAGCAAATAGAGAATCAGTAGACACTCTCAAAGCCCATACTGATGATTTTTCATATCAACCCTAGATATTAGCTATTTCCCTAGATTTTGGACCTTGGGCATTTTTCTGAACTTCTGGAATGTGGTTTCTTCATTTTCTCTGGTTGTCTGGTTTTGTACTCACCTTTATACTTTGTGAATACACTGACTCCAAATGGTTTCTTTAATTCTGATGCTAAGTCGTCTTGTAAGCTATAAGCTTTGGTTATGTGTTCATGTGCCTATTCTAATTTGATTACCAATTGGTTTCCTTGACCATCAACTCTTCTGTAAATCTTATTTACTCTTCTACTTGGATCTCTCATATTTGAGAATTTCTAAGGGGCTTTACCTCTTCTGACCCCCAATTTACCCTTGAAGAAAGGGGATTTCTCATATGGTTGGTCAAGTATAAGGATTTAATGGGTCTTGGTGCTAAGCGGTGGTACATTTAATGGGATGAACTAAAGATTAACAGTTGGTGTTTCTATCTGGTGTGTTCTTTCTTTAAGCTTTCTCCCCTGAGACTCACAATTGCTCCTGAATCCTATAGTCCAGTGAAACTGTGAGAGGCACATTTCCCTGCAAAGGGCCAGGAAAAAGGAGCCTAAATATCCCTTAGTCTGATTTTGGTAAGGACCCTGGTTCTACCCACAGTATAAGCAGAAGGCATGCCAGTTCAAGAAAAACTTGTATTATTAATTGGGGCAAAACACTGAGCTAGCAATAAAAAGCATGTATTTGTCTAAACTTTGTATATTTCTCCATGTAAACTGATTGTGATTGGGTGGCAGATAGTTGGCTGAGGATCTTGGTTACTGGCTTAATATCTTCTGTACATCACTAGCAAGTATCACTAAAGGTCCCAAGAAAGATAGACAAATCCTAATAGATGATTATGTTGCTGAGCATAGGCTGGCACAAAAGGAGGGAGAATTGACAAAGGTGGAAGCCAGCTGATGCAGCAAAGGTGGTGAAGGCCAACGTGAGGGCTGAGATGGTAGACGTGGGGAGGGAGGAACTCATCCAGAAACCACTGTGAAGGACTTCCAAATTCCCAGGCTGTTCCCCTGAGTAGAAAATCTGAAACAGAGTCTTGGCAGAGCATGGTGATTGGGAAACGGCAATCGCTTTGACCAGTTACATGTTGTACGGCCTGCTCCAACTTGGCAGTGAGATTTCTGACTCAGGAGAGGCGATTACACTCTGAAAATTTGGCCTCAGTGTGTCCTGTCCAAAGACCCCTGGAAGGCTGCAGTTAATCAGCAGGCTGGTCATCAGGGGTCACTTGACATTTTGAAAATGTGTTTTAGATACCTGGGAAAGTCTGTTGATACATTCTTTCAGTGTTCCTACAGAGTTGGAACCACTGGTGGCCAAAGGGACATGTCAGGCACTGCCTCCGCACATGGAACCATTTTGTTTGGGAGCCCAGGCCAGAGTGTGATGAGCTTGTCTCCTTCCTGCTGTCTGACTCAGAGGCAGAGGCAACTGGAAATAGCAGGACATGGTAGATTAGAAGCTTGAAAATCAGACATTCTGGGAGCCTGCAAACCAATAGAACAAGAACAAAGGGACTCAGTACACAAGAACAGCCCCCTACCAACAGAAAATCATGTAGGAACTAAAGACTTTCTGTGTGTCCCATTGTCCCCTGCAGAATGTCTGGAGAGAAAGCAATCATTCCACTGGATCAAAGTGTATTATTACCATCAGGAACATTCTTAGAGTGGCTAAAACACAGGGCTTCTCCTTGGAACATGAGTCAAATACCACCTTCCTCCCATCTATCTTTGGATACTTTATTACTCTGTGAAATTAAGTGAAAATGAACACCAGTTTTAAAGAGAAAAACCTCAACAGGAGAGGAATATGAGAGAATAAGCCACCTCTTTCATCTTTTACTTACAAATACTAAGTAGGGAATTTGTGTGTTGGTTGAATGAATAGAAAGCCATGTTTTGTTTGCTTTTTTAAAGGTAGCTGGTAGAGTCAGTCCTTCCTCCTGTCCACATGTCTTTCTATTAGAATCATCTTCCCTGTCCCCATCAACACCAAGGCTACTTGCTTATCCCTCACTTGCCTAGAACAACAAAAACATGGGACCCAGGGCAATCCTACTGTTTCATAGAGAATTCTTCAACTTGTAACTCTTTTTTGTCTCTAAAGCCTACATAGTTCCTGGCACAGAATAAAAAAATGATAATATAATAATAACAGCACTGTCCTAAGGACTGAGTAGAAAATAAATCTTTTGATTCTGAAGTAAAAGCTGATATTATTATATTAATATGCCTATTTTAAAAAGAAGGAAACTGAGGTTTAGACAGGTTTACAGAGATTAATTTGCCTAAGATTATGTTGTTAGAAAGTGTAGCTACTTGTGAATTCAGATCACCTGACTTCGGAACCTTTGCTTGCAACCATTTTCCTCCTCCATTCTTTGTTTTTGTTCTTGTTCTTTTTTGTTCTTATTCTTGTTCTTTTTTGTTCTTCAGGAAAGGGTCTTGCTCCATTGCCCAGGCTGGAGTGAAATGGCATATCATGGTTCATGATAGCCTCAAACTCTTGCGCTCAAGTGATCCTCCCCACTCAGCCTCGTGAGTAGTTGGGACCACAGGTGCACACCACCATGCTCAGCTAATTAAAAAACAATTTTGTGTGTGTGTAAAGACAGGGTGTCATTTCACTGTGTTGCCCACTCTGGTCTTGAACTCCTGGGCTCAAGGGATCCTCTTGCCTTAGTCTCCTAAAATGCTGAGCCACCATGGCCAGTCATCCATTTTTGTATGATTCAAAAATAGTATTTATTTTCCCAAATTGATCTACAGATTGGATGAAATTTCTATCAAATTACCACAAGCCCTTTTGCAGAAATTGATAAAACCCTAAAATTTTTATGGAGATGCAAGGGACCCAGTGTAGCCAAAATATTTTTGAAAAAGAAAAAACAAAGTTAGAGGACTACCTTTTCTAATTACAAAACTTATTCTAAAGTTACAGTAATCAATTTATAGTCAATTGATTTTTAACAAAAGTGCCAAGGCAATTCAATGGGAAAAAAATAGACTTTTCCAAAATAATGCTGGGGCAATTGGATGTACATGGTCAATATGATGAATTTAGCTCTTTCCCCTACATTGTACACAAAAGTTAAATAGAAATGTATCAGAATCGGGAGGCTGAGGCAGGAGAATCACTTGAACCTGGGAGGCAGAGGTTGTGGTGAGCCGAGATCATGCCAATGCAGTCCAGCCTGGGCAACAGAGTGAGACTCAGTCCCCCCTACCAAAAAAAAAAAGAGTATCATAAACTTAAATATAGGAGCTAAATGCTATAATTTTTTTTTTTTTTTTTTTTTTTTGGAGACAGTCTCGCTCTGTCGCCCAGGCTGGAGTGCAGTGGCGTAATCTCAGCTCACTGCAAGCTCCGCCTCCTGGGTTCATGCCTTTCTCCTGCCTCAGCCTCCCGAGTAGCTGGGACTACAGGCGCCCGCCACCATGCCCGGCTAATTTTTTGTATTTTTAGTAGAGACAGGGTTTCACCATGTTAGCCAGGATGGTCTTGATCTCCTGACCTCGTGATCGACCCCCCTCGACCTCCCAAAGTGCTGGGATTACAGGGGCGAGCCACTGCGCCTGGCCTTAAAATGCTATAACTTTAATAAGAAAACATAAGAGAAAATCTTTGTGACCTTGTGTTAAGACAAAGATTTCTTAGCTAGAACACCAAATGCACAATCCATTAAAGAAAACATTGATAAAATGGACTTAAAAATGAAAACCTCTGTACTTCAAAAGACACAATTAAGAAAATGAAAAGATAAGCCACAGCTGGAAAAGCATATTGACAAATCAGTTATCTGATAAAGAACCTGGATCTAGAATATATAAATAATTCTTACAAAACAACAAAAAGAGAGACAACACAGCTTGAAATGGGCAAATTATATGAATAGACATCTCCCCAGAGAAGATATCCCAATGGCCAATAGCACATAAAAAGATACTCAACATTATTAGTCATTAGAGAAATGCAAATTAAAATGAGATACTACTCTATACCTACTAGAATAGCTATAATAAAAAAAGAGAGACAATATTATTGATGAGAATGTAAATAGTATAGCCACTTTGAAAAACAGATCGGGAAATTCCTACAAATTTAAACATAGATTTACCAAGGGACCCAGCAATTTTACTGCCAAGTATCTATGCAAGAGGGAATAAAACATGTCCACACAAAAGCTTACACATAAATTTTTTTGTAGCAGGATTATCTATAATAGCTCAAAATGGAAAAAACCCTCGAATGTTGATCAGCTGAGGATGGATAAATAAGAGTCTTATATGGCTGGATGCAGTGGCTCACGCCTGTAATGCCAGCACTTGGGAGGCCAAGGTGGGAGGACCAGTTGAGGCCAGGAGTCCAAGACCAGCCTGGCAACACAGTGAGACCCTAGTTCTACAAAATATTAAAATAAAAATTTTTAAAAATGATGTAGCCACACAATGGAACACAATTCAGCAATAAAGAAAAAAATATAACATGGATAAACGTCAAGAATGTTCTGCTAAATGGAAATAGCCAGACATAAAAGACCATATATTTTATGATTGCATTTATATGAAAAGTCCAGAAAGGGAAAGTCTATATAGAGATGGAAAATAGACTTGTGGTTGTCTAGGATTAGAGATAAAATCAGGGAATGACTGCAAATGAACATGATGGATCTTTTTGGAGTCATGGAAACACTCTAAAATTAGATTGTGGTGATAGTTGTACAACTCTGTGAATTTTACAAACATTGCATTTTATACTTAAGATGAAAAATACATGGTTTTAAAATTATACACCCAATTAAATCTGTTAAAAAGAAAAGAGTTTTACAATGGGTAAATGAATGTGTCTTCAGGCCTTTAATGTTTGCTTTTTCGGTCTGTTATTCATTTCTTGGTTTTAGTTGTTGCTGGCCTAGAATCCACCATCCATTTTTTCAGACATGACTCTCAGTAGCATCATCAACTCCATCGTCCCAACTTCCCTGCACTTTACCTACTCAGAAGTTTGGATTATGGACAAACTGAACCACGTACATTCTCCACTCTGTATACACTTATACATGCCATTGTCAGTAAATATTCAAGTTATCTGATCTTTATTATTCTCTTAGCAACATTTGCCGATTTTAGTACAGATGCCTTGTGAAGTCTTTTTCTGACTCTTCTTACCTGTGGTTTCACAACTTAATTCTTCTTCTCAAACCCCCAATTTCAAATTGCTACCTTTGTTTTGACCTCTATTTCACAGAAAAGATAGAGACCATCTAGTGTGAACTAATATGAACTCCCTTAACTTCTTGTCTTCATAGTGACAGATATATTTATTTGTAGCACAATTGTCATTCCATACATCCTTACTTGAGTTTGGCAGTGTCTCTCCTCTCTCAAATCCTGCAAATCTTTAGTTCTGCATCAACTTATCTATGTTTTTGTTTTCTTGTGTGTTTTCATGCAGGCCATTGGGTACTGATTGAATACTGAGAGTCACATGAATGCATTGGAGCCAGAAATGTTTGATTTTTCAATGTCAGCTGGACCTCTGTCTCTGCTAAGTCATCCTTTAGATGTTTCTAATTCGCTCCATCTTCTATTTTCCATAGGAGCTATCACAAAAATTTACCCCATCCTAAACTCTCAAACCCTCAGCATATGGCTTTATTTTGCACACAATCTTGACAACCAACCTCCACTTCACCTATACTTATGTTCTTTCTGCCATTTACTCCTGTGATGGACTGAATTGTGTCCTCCCAAAATTCATCTGTCGAAGCCCTACTTCCAAAGTGAGGTTATTTGGGGATAGGGCCTTTAAGGAGGTAATAAAGGTTAAATGCAGTCATAAGGGTGTGGTCCTATGTGAGTAAGACTGGTGTCCCTGTAGAAGAGGAAGAGACATCAGAGATGTGGGGGCACAGAGAGGCCATAGGAAGACAGTGAGAAGGCGGCCATTGTAAGCCAAGGAGCAAGATCTCAGGAAAAACCAAACCTGCCAACACCTTGATCTAGGACTTCCAGCCTCCAGAACTGTGAGTAAATAAATGTTGTTGTCTAAGCCACCCAGTCTGTGGTATTTTGTTATGGCAGCCCTAGAAGACTAAGTCAACTCCTCTTGTTCATCTATTATCCCCCTTTCTATGCTTTAGAGTAAAATCTTTTCATGTCTTTTAGAATATTGCTCTACTCTCTCTTTCCTTTATCTTTAATCACCCTATAGCCTTTGGCTCTTTCTTATATTAAAAACAAAACAGATAGACCCAGTGTTTCCTCTGTCATCAAACATCTCCCCCATTCTTTCACAGTTTGGGAAGAAGGAACCCCTTCCCCCTCTTTCTGGTACCCATTTCCAGTTCTTGCAGCACCTTGTAGCAGATTCCTAGTTGTCTTTTCTTCTTCATAGAACAGAGCATGGAGTTCAACCAAAAAACTATCTTTCTCTGCTTTTCTTCTATCTATTAAGTTCTTGCTCATGAAATATAAATAACAATATTGTGTGGGAATTTCTGAGAAATTTTCTTAAAGGAAAGGGTGTGTCTTACGTCCTTTTGTCCTCCTTACTCTCTGAAATGTGGACTCTTTTCTGCTTCTCTCAGGTGGACTTAGGACTCTGTTCCCTATCTTTCCATTGTACTTTGTACTGACTTCTATTGTAATTACTATAATAATTTATAATTGTTTATTTTTACATATGAATTCTCACTGGGCTATAAATATCTTTAAATGTTTGGATTTCTCATGTTTATCAGTGAGCCCAGCACATAGTAGACATTCAGTCTATACTTTTTGAATAAATAAATGGATGAATGATTGAACCTATGGATTGCTTTGATCATTGTATTAGTCCGTTCTCAAGCTGCTATGAAGAAATACCTGAGATTGGGTAATTTATAAAGGAAAGAAGTTTAATAAACTCTCAGTTCCGCATTGTTGGGTAGGCCTCAAGAGACTTACAATCATGGTGGAAGGCACCTCTTCACAGGGTGGCAAGAGACAGAATGAAAGCCGAGCAAAGGGGGAAGCCCCTTACAAAACCATGAGATCTTGTGAGAACGAATTCTCTATCGTGAGAACAGCATGGGGGAACCACACCCATGATTCAATTATTTCCACCTGGTCCTGCCCTTGACATGTAGGAATTACTAAAATTCAAGGTGAGATATGGGTGGGAACACAGAGCCAAACCATATCAATCATGATAAAGTTTGGGTTTCTTTTTATCTTAATCCATTGATTAGTCAGTCATCCTTGCACTTAGTGTGTGGGGTAAATATTAGTTAGAATGCTCCATGCTAAGAGCAGTGCAGGATAATGGATGAACTGGATTCAAGGCTCTTGCTGTCTAGTAGACAAGAAAATGCATGTGCCAAGCAACCATAATACAAAGCAGAAGGTAAGAAGTGCCAAATGAGAGGTACGGAGATAGACTGACTTAAGAGATGGAAGAGAGACCTTTTGTTTAAAAGATTAGGGAAGACTCTATGGAAGATGTGGCATTAAATAGGGCTTTGAAGATGGCGAGAAATGAGTATGTGGAATTGGAAAGGAGAACATTCTAACATGTAAAAATAGAAGAAAACCTGGATTATGGAAAATGTGTGGTATCATTACATGGAAAACAGGGTACATACAACAGAATTATTATGACATAAATACTGAAAAGGTAAGCTGGGGTCCAGTTATGGGGAAATCTGGGATTACCCTGGATAAGGGGAGCCACTGCAGGTGATTGTTTGTGAGGGCTACAGTGACTCAGGTCTTGAGACCTTCCAGATAAATAACCAACTGATTGTCAGTCTTTCTCTGTGATTTCAGTTGACTTAATCATGACTGTAAAACCTCAACCTCCTGCATAGAGAAGGTGGAGTGCTAAAAACTTTTTTTGACATCACATCTCATTCCTTCAGATTCATCAGAGGAATTCAGAAACTGTTAACAAAATGTTAGACCAAACCCCTAGAGTATGCATAGCTGAACTCCAACAGTTGGTTCTGAAGGATAAGTAATATCTGCAACCACACTAATCTTCAGAGCTGATGTCCCAGTGTATTGGGAGACCTGAGGACTTGAAGGCACTTTGACGAAGCACCAAGCTGAGCAGTATGGTCACCTTCATACTTCAGTGGTAACGGTTGGAAGTAAGCAGATGTTTCTGAACAGATTAAGAGGAGTTTCCTTATTCAGAGTATTGGCAAGTGTTAGGTTTTGTAGTCAGATGGACTTGGGTCCAAATCTTAACTCTGCATCTCCTACTAGTGATGACTCTGCAGCTAGTTATCTAATCTCTGAGCTTCAGCTTCCCTCTCTGTGAAATACTGGCTTATAATCTTTAGTTCGTGGTGTTGTGCCATGCAATGTTTTTCAAATTACCTTTGGTAATTTTTTTTAAGTTCCAATCTGTTTTTTTTTTAAGTTGTAGTCTATTATAGATGGTTACTTTCATAGAATATAATACAAATAACTAGAAAAGTAAAATGAAAAAGATATATAAAATATATGCTTTGTTTCTTTTTTGTTATTGGATTCCACAGACATGAGTCTGGCTGTAGGTCTAGGAGCAATAAGGGGTAATGGGGACAGTTCCAGAGAGGATCATCTGTCTTTTGCAACAGACCTCAAGAGAGGCCATTACAGGTTATTTAGGCAAGGAAGACTAAATTCAGAGAAGAGGGAAAGCTGTTGGCAAGGAAAACATATCAAATTTGGAGTTCAAGGTTTCCAGCTTCATCAGAATCTTCTCATATGTCTCCATCCCAAATTTTAGGGCCATACTTCTTTTTCAATCCATGTCCTAACTTTATCATAAGAGGCATCATGGGGCTGGGAATTTAACTCGCATCGTAATTCAGCCACTCTCAGGATTAGTTTGTGTGTGTGTGTGTGTGTGTGTGTGTGTGTGTGTGTATGTGTGTGTTTGGAAACCTTAGCCCTGCAGTTATAAGAGATAAAGATTTCTTTTGGGTCACCATTCTACTTCATTTCCCTTTTGTGTTGGGAATAAAGCCCTGAGCTCATTATTTTCTTTCTTCAGTGCACTTAGAAGCAAGCAGGCAACCCTATTGTGCTCTCCATTTTCACTAAAATAATCCATGAGAGGAACTGAAACCCACAAACATGGATAGAACCCATGATGGACTAGAACCTGTGCTGGTCTCTGTATGAGTCAGCTCAGCTGCCATCACAAAGTACAAGTGACTGCGCAGCTTATGCAGCAGAAATGTATTTTCTTACAGGTCTGGAGGCTGGGAAGCCCAAGTCAAGGTCTGGCAGGGTTTGGTTTCTGGTGAGCACTCTTTCTGGCTTGCAGGTGGCTGCCTTTTCACTGTGTCATCACATGAGAGAGAGAGATCTCTGGTGTCTCTTCTTATAAGGGCACTAATCCTACCCACCCTTATGACCTCATTTAACCTTAGTTACTCCTTAGGCCTTATCTCCAAATGCAGTCACATTGAGGGTTAGGTCTTCTACGTATACATCTGGGGGAGACAATTCTGTCCATAGCAATCTTTCACCATCTTTAATTTTCCAACTTCAATGATGTAGGTCTCATGCAGGAAAAGCTGGGGTTCTTTGTTACAGGTGTAGACACACATCTAGCTCAGGGATTGTAGAAGATGAAGGATCCAGTGGGAAGTAGAATGGCTGTGGGGCCACCATTGTCCTGATCCACCGAGAGGAGCTAGCAGATAATGATGGGGTCCATGACTTGCAACAGTACCTGGTACCCCTGCAGTGACTTTCCAAGTGTAAAAGCAATGTGGCTGCAGCTTCACTTATACTTTTCAAATCTCATGCTACATGTCTCATGTGGCCTATGCTCTGAAACTTTCAGAGACAGGAAATGTAGTTCCAGCTTACCTAAGCTGACATAGTAGGGAGAAACTAGATCATCTAACACATTTAGGTTATAAAAGGAAAGAAGAATGGAGAGTTATTGATGGAGTGATGTGATCTGATAGGTGTTTTTAAAAGACCAGTCTTGTAGAAAATGGAGTACAGCAGAGCAGGAGTGGCGGAGGAACTTGGGTAGGAGTGCATCATGTGACAATGGTATGCCTAGGATGGTAGCAGGGGAGACGGAGACTTCTATTTTGATGGACTGAATGTGTACATTTTAGGTGGTGAGAAGTTAGTGAATCCCAGGGCTTCAGTTGGGGTGATTAGATGAATGGTAGTACAATTAATATAGTTAGGAAAGACTAGGGTAGGAAAAGGTTTGGAGGATCATTCGGTAGGCATTCAGGTATTCAGCTGTAAATAGAGACAGTCCAACAAATAATTGTTTAAGTAAGGAGATTTTAGACTCAAACGATTACAAGTCCTGGGGTAGTTATTCCAGTGCTGCAGAGTGGTTCAACAAAGTCATATAAAAGGTTTCAGCACCCCCTCCCCCATCCTCTCCCCTCCCCCTCCTTTCTCCTTCCCTTCTCCCTCCCCTCTACCTCCCCTCCCTCCCTCCCTTCCTCCTTCCCTTCTCCCTCCCCTCCTCCTCCCCTCCCTCCCTCCCTCCCTTCCTCCCTTCTCATCCTCAGGGTGGTTGCCCCATTGTTGCAAGATGCTTGGCAAATCTCTGTCCACATTCTGAGTATGGAAAGATTGAAAAACACAGGCCAAACTGGTATGCCACAAAGACTACCCCTTTTAAAGCGATTTCTGCTTACATCTTATTGGACAGAATGGAGTCACATGCCCACTGCAACTAGACAGCTGCTAGAGAGCAGGAGATATGTGGTTGGGGTTTGGATCAACCATATGCTGGATGTGTAAGTCTGAGTGAGTTAGTTAAGGAGCCAAGTGAAAATGTCAGGTAACCAGCCGGACAAATGGGTCTGTATTTTAGGAGTGTCAATCTTTGGCCTACCTGACTCACTCAGATGAACTGAAATGTGAAATGGTAAGTTCTGGTAAATGTGCTGTTATCCTACCCTGCAAAGCATGCTCCTGTGTGCATGTGTGCATTTATGAAGGGAGAGTGGGGCTTGGATATGACTGCCAGCCTAACAGCTAAGTCTGCAGCTGGGTTAATGTAAAGCTTGAGAACAGGTTTTAGAGATGTGGAAGGCTTGCACGTGCTGAGGCCAGCAGCCTACTACAAAACTGGTCAGAGCCTTGACTATCATGTGTGCTCTGAGCTCAGATTGGGCTGTTGTGAATGATAAAAAGATTTATACCCAGTTTGTAGATCAGAGGTAAACTATGACCTGCAGGCTAAATCCAGCCAGATTTTGTAAATAAAGTGTTACTGGAGCACATGTTTATGTGCCATCCACGGCTGCTCTCATGCTAAACAGCAGACTTGAGTAGTAGCCACAGAGACCACATGGCTTAAAGGGCCTAAGATATTTACTGTCTGTATCTTCATAGAAAAAAGTATGTTGACTGTTGGTGTAGATCACACTTCTGTTTAGGTTAATATCGGATTAAGTAATTATACTGTAGGTAGACTTCATTTGGCGTATAAGGGATTGAATGTATGTGAGTCAAAGATTACCCATTAGATCTCTCATTTGCTCTCTTGGTTTCCTTCCTTTGGAGACCTTCCCCTTTCTGCTAGTCATCCTATCTAGTGTATCTGTGGAATTTGCAGGCTCAGAGGACTGTCATAGCAATATACAAGATGAAGGTTTGCTCCTCGCAGCTCTGCTAGATGTCATGAAGGAGGGTTTCCCCACCCTGCCGTGTATCCTAAGGGAACTTTCAGGGTTGGTGATTGATCTCATTGCCTACCTCTGCTCAACCACTGGCATGCTTAAGATAAATTTCAAGGAAATGTTGTCAGAAGTACTTGGTTAAAGTCAAGACTCTGGCTGGATCTTCTGGCTCCCCAAATAGGAATTTCCAAATCAAATACTGTAGTAACCAGAAGTTTGTTCCTACTAATGACTATGCAGTAGCTCGTGTCTGGTCACTGTCCTGTCAATTTCTATGCTTGTAGAATATTGCACAGAGGAAATGAGCAAAACTAATGTGGTTTAATTTTAGAAAGAAGCTCAATGATCAGGGTCAGGTGTTGGAGTTGTTTACCAAAGTACTTAGTTATAAAAATGTCCTTTCTAAGGATTTAGGCATGAAGCAGACGTCTTGACTGTATTACATCAGCATTTCCCCAAGTGTTCAGTGAGATAATGTATTAGGGAAAAAAGATTTGGGATTAAATCTTTCAGAAAATGTTGGCTTGAATAAATTCATCCTGTTCACTGCAGAACTTCTAAAAGTTTCTTTGTTAGTGTCGATAGATAATCTTTAATAGGAGGATATGTTATGTAGTATTTTTCAAACTTGTTTGATCATAGAATGCTTGTGACTAAAAACACCTGTACTAGACTAGTATTCTGTAGAACAGTCTTTGGTAAACACTGATTTAGTCAATCACTTGCCTGACAGCTGGACTATGGAGTGGATATTTTTTTCCAGGTTTCTTTGAATAACGTGTTTCTAGGTTAAAAATCCTTCAATCATAGGTCACAATTAGGCCTTCACTAGTTTAATATCACACAAGATGAATTCACTTGAGATAAGATATAAAAAATGCTGTTTAGGTAGATGAAAAAACTCATGCAGTGGGAGTCATGACAGGGAAGGTATGACATTTCTGCCACTCACTAGCTGTCCTGTCTTAAGGAAGTTACATAAGTTACCTCTGTCCTAGGATCCTGACCTATACAATGTGAGTAATACTACCTCTCTCTCAAGGGGTCTCATGATTGTGTGTCTGTTTACGTGTACGACTTTAAATTTAATCCCTGTTTTAGCTGCAAGGAAACGAATTTTAGGTTCTTCAAAAGGTTATGAAAAAAAGTTGTGAAAATTTATTTAGGCTGATTTTAGTGTAACATTGTTTTTTATAAAATAATTTTATAAAAGAGTCCATCAAGATATTATATAGAAAATGCACACTAAGGTAATATATATACACTTCATAAAAATAGAATACATCTTGGCAATTGCTTAGAGTCTATTACCACCATGTACAGTGTATTGACGTGTAATATTTATGTTAATTTGAACACATGAGATTTTTAAAAAACCAAATCTGTCCCACTGGTATCTTTAAAAATTGCTTTCATTGACAGGAAAATAAACAAAATTCTGGAACGTAAAAGTTATGAAGCTAACTGGATGAAAGTTTATATTAAAATTTTTAAAGTTCCATGCCATGTACAACTGACGTGAGGGCAAAGCAGTCTTTTTTATTATTATTATCATAAGTGGTTCAGCTGATCTCACAAAATCACTGAAAATAATATCCTTGTTCTGAATGTTCAATCAAGATAAGCACCATTTGGGATCAAACAAGCCTTATAGTAGCTGTACTATATTTTATAAAATGAGTGGTGTTTTTCTTCTTAAAAATGAAAATAGGCAAGTCCTATTATAATGTATCAATACTTACAAAAATCTCCGTAAGTTATTTTATAAGCTTTGATCAAAATACTTAGTAACTAATTTTATGATTCTAAAAATAGTCAAATGCTCAAAAACTCTATTTGATTCTGAATTAGTTGTTCTTGTTTTTCGTTGTTTGGTTTGGCTTTCAGGAAAATGATCTTAGGTACTACACTACTGTAAACCATCACTGATATGTCCTGTTAGATGTTCAGAATAATCTTTGGGAAGTAACTGCTCCAGTGTAATAAATAAAATAATAAGGGACTTTTCTAGACCATACTTCAAGATATGACCATGGTGGGATCATGAAAATACCTCAGAAGTACCAAGGAAGGCACACAAAACAGAGTGTAGCACCATTTTCAAGCTGCCAAGATTGCAACTGTTCAAGAGACAGTAATCTGGAAGGGGGCTTGATTGCCATGATTAATGCGGTTTAAATATGTGGAATAGGCTTTGGAGAGTTCCTTAGTATGGATAGGCGGACACAGCTATATAAACTATGAATGTGGTCTGATATTCAATGGTCCCATTGGCACTGTAGGATGAGGCTCGGACCCTCATGCGGTAGGTCTCTGCTTCTCGTAGTGGTCGTGTTGTATACACCACTCCTTTCAGGTTTTCATCCCTCAAGGCAAAAGGAACAGTCTGTTCCTCATCTACCATGAGGAAAGTTGTCCTGGGATGCATCACTCCATCCTGTGTGTATGCAACCAGCCGGATTAAATCTTGATTGGTGGCTATTCCAAATGGGAGGGAGACGAGTTTGTATTCCAAGGCATATGGGCTCAAGGCACATTCCAAATCATTGGGTGGACAGTTCTTGAGGCAGAACCTAAGGACAACAAACATATCAAATACACATAGTTATCTGGAAGTAGGAGGAGGCATGATATAGGTGATCATGATCCATGACAACTTTTAGGCACTGCATGCAGTAGGCAGCCTGGCTGTAAAAGCGGTAAGACTCAGTCGTCTTCTGTGTCACTAACTCAAACCAGACACCAGATGACTAGGAGAAGATGCTGGTGTGAAGTCAAATACGTATCTTGCAGCTCCATTAAAAGCAGAAGTGTCTGAGCCATTGAAGTAAGTATGAATGCCACAAGAGTATTTTCTTTAAAATGAAAAGTCAGTTTTGGAAACAAGAGCTTCTGCATATATATTGGAAACAAGTACTTCTTAAAGAGGAATACAAGCTACTTTTTAATTATATAGTATCCTAACACTGTTTAAAAGGTGAAACAAAATATATTGACATTTTTTCTAAAAATAATAAAAGGTCAATTAGGATTTCTGGTGAGAAAGGGGTACTTCTTTTGTAATTGTCGTTCACATTATTGTAGATTAAAAAGCTTTATTTTCTTTTACCAGAGTGCACACTGACTGCTTTTTGAGTCATGATGACTTTTAAATTGTTTGCCAGAAACCGATGGTAATAAAGAAGGGAAAAAATGCACAGAGAACCATTTTATGAAGATAGGATTCTTCAGTAATAGTATTTTTAGAGGTTTTGTTAAGTCTGTATTTTCAATTTTCTCCTTCCTATTCCATGTCCCATCAGACCAATTGCAGATAGGTTTTTGGTGGATTCTGGGCAGTCCACACTTGACTATGCTGCAGTAACTTGGTAAGCATTACCAAGAGGAAAACAAAGTGAGCTCCAGCCAGTATTTGGTTTCAGAAACACCTTCCTATTAGCAGGGCCTATCCAAGAGGAATATTATCACTTGTTTTCAATCACCCTGTTAACTTGGTACCTGGATAGAGTACAACATTTCTGGAAGGGGAGAGAGAAAACAGAATGGTAGTTTATTCAGAATGCAGAAAAGCCTGTTTCAGACAGAAGGAAATATAAGCAAGATGATGTATGAACGGGCAGACAACTGACTCATTCCTCACTCATCTCCGTTCTCAAGGAGCGGTGAGTCAGTGAAGCAACAGAAAAGATGCTTCATGGTGGGCTCTAAGTGTGCAGAGCCCTTACCACCCTGAGGCAACACAACAGAAATGAAAAACTTTAAAGAAAGGCAGGCTCTATCACTCCATCAAACACTTGCTGCTGAGGCAGAACCCACCATGTTACATGTTATATTCTGGGAAGACTGCTCCAGGCAACACTGGCAGCCAAGAGTGAGCTTGGGTGGCAGTGGCTGCTGCAGGATGAGCTCATTTCTTGCCCATTCATTGAAGAGAATACTTACTGTAACCCCACATCTTCCTGGAGTTAGTGACTTCCTGTGAGTTACACATGACAAGAGACTAAAGTTTATGTTGGTCAAGGAGTGGGAGGAAGGATTTTCAAAAGCATGTCTGGGATGAGAAGGCAAGACATACCCTGAAACAGGATCCCGTTGGTAGTTGGGTGGACAGGGTGTATCGATGCACTGGTAGCTTCCTCTCATGTTGAAGCACATGCGATTGGGTCCACAGTGCACATTCTGCTCCAGACATTCATCGATATCTAGGGACAGCACAGGGAACATGCAGCATCAGCAGTGAGGGTGAGAGAAGGCCATCAGAGCAGGCACTGTAGATGTGTGACTAGAATGTGGAGGGCTAGCCTTCTCCTGCCATGAATGAACTTAGTCATACCTAACCTTCTTTAACCACAAAATGGGGATCATGACACCTGGCAGGGTTATTTCCCAGGTTGCCTCGAGCACATATTTCTTTATGTGAAAGGACATAAAAAAAATGAGAGCTATAAAAGTGATGGGGAGATATTAAGAGCTCTCTGGTGCTTTTTATATTTGGGGAATACCTTGCATTTGAGTTTTATAAAGCAAGAAATATTTTAAATGCACTATGAACAAGCCAAAAATTTAAAGGACATTTGTGAATATTTTTTGCAAAGTGAAGAATCTCCTTAAAATGTGAGTGATCCTTGCTGAGTGTTTTGTTTTATAATGTCAAATTGTTGAGTGGAAAATAGGGTCTTAGATATGAAAGGAGTCAAGTTATGAATTCAGGAGAGATGGTACAGGCTAGTCAGATCTTGAGAGAGACAAACAAAGCAGGATCAAATGAGTGGCCCAGGCACTACAATGTAAGCTGATCGAATGGAGCAGTTCACCTTGATCTGGACTGTGTTGAGTCTATCCTCTGTTGTTTGGTAGTGGGATGCTCTCCTTAGGCTAATGGTATGGGGAAAATACGCAAAAGAAATACTCTTTATTTTGTTGTTTTCTACACTAAGTTAAGTAGAAACACACTTAAGTGCTTCCTGAAAGTGTTTTTGAGCCACCACTTTAATTTGGGGTTTATTTTTGGGCATCAGGGGATCTGTGAATGAAAATGTTTGCATGCGTGTGTGTGTGTGTGTGTGTGTGTGTGTGTGTGTGTGTGTGTGAGACAGAGACAGAGAATGTGAGATTGATTGATGGTTGGATTTTCAAGAAAGAGGGTCCATGGAGTTCAATACAATTCTTAAGGAATTTTAAGATCCCAAATGTAAGAATGGTATTTTAGAGCAATGGTTTTCATACTGGGGCATCCTCGTTCCCCTGGTGATACACGAATGTTTTCTAGCAGTATGAATGCAGGCAAATATTTCAGGGAATCAATTCCCATAATCTCATTTTCCATAATTCTCCTCTCTAAAGTCAATTTGCCTGAGAACATCTCATGGCCTGGAGGTCTCTATTCCCATCTCCCTGTTTCCAACCTTCTGATTTACAAAAACAGATTGCAACTAATCTCAGAGGATAAACAGAGAATAAGAATATTGGTAATAAAGACTGATAGAGGTGGCTGGCAGGCCTTATTTTATCATGGCCACAAACCGATGGTCTTAGCTCTCTATTTTATTTTATTTTTTGAGACGGAGTCTCACTCTGTCGCCCAAGCTGGAGTGTAGTGGTGCAATCTCAGCTCATTGCAAGCTCCGCCTCCTGGGCTCAAGTGATTCTCCTGCCTCAGCTACCAGAGTAGCTGAGACTACAGGCATGCGTCACCATGCCTGGCTAATTTTTGTATTTTTAGTAGAGAGGAGGTTTCACCATGTTGGCCAGGCTGGTCTTGAACCCCTGACCTTTGGTGATCCACCCACCTCGGCCTCCCATTAGCTCTCTATTTTAAATTAGATTTCAGAAGTGGGTTGGTTGTCATGGGGACACCTACTAACATTTTTGTTTGAACAGAAAAATCACCTTAGACTTTTTCTGACGGTAAATCTGATTAATTTGACAACGAATACAGACTTTCAAATTATATAGTGGCCATCCTCCCTTAACCGAGAGAGTTAAATCTGAAGCTCTGAAGTTTTCATGAAAATATATTTAAAGCTTGAGCACATTAACATAACAATCTGTATAACAACGCCATAATTCACATCCTTTGCAACTATTTAAACTTATAAGAAACTTTAGTGGTTAATTTTTTAAAGTATGAGTAAAGTATAAGGTTTTCAAAGTCTAAGTCAATTGGCTGCATATAGCATTGGTCCTGAGATACAAGAGGGAAAAATGACAATTAAATGGAGTAAATTGGTTCTCCACAGGTGGGTCCTGACGGTCAAATGCACTTCTATCATGGAAGCTGTGCTGAGAACAGTGTTACTACGATGTCATTGTACAGTAGTACATAATTTGGTAGTTGGATAATGGTATTTATATTGGGACTTGATACAAAAGTAAGCATTTTAGATTTGGCTCCAAACATCTTCTAAGGAAACCACAGACAATGTAAGTATTTATTTAAAACAATAACAGTCTCCACAAAGTAAAAAGATACTGGGTTAGAATGATACGGAGTAAATAACTTTTTAGTTAGTTATATGTGCTGACAATGATGTATATGCTATTACTAGTATTATACTAGGATTAGCTTTCCTACAGGAATGAAACACAATGTGGACAAACTTTTTCAGTGAAGTCTTGCCTACTGCCTCTGTGAAAAAATTTCTAATTATGATTTTATCAGCCAGGAGGGCTTAATCTCCTTGACAAAATAAGATTGTCTCAGTGACTTGAAAAGCCTTCTAGAAAAATGTGAAATTCAATTAGCCTTATCTTCCTTCTCGCATTAAAAAAATTTCTCTTCATATTCATTGTCCACATTTTATCTTATTTTCATCATGAACTCTTGCAGAAACATGAAGCCAGTGGGCTGCAGGGGTCCATGATAGTGGTGTGGAGACTAGAAGGTGGACGCACATCAGTGTGCATAGTAAGTTGTTATTTAGTAGTTACCTTATGATATATTTTCATTGGGTAAATATGAATCTATAAAGAAATATCAGAATCTAATATAGAAATATACACTTTCTATTAAAAAGCTTTCCTAAGTACTGAGGTGCTGGGCAGGTGGCCCTCTTCTGTCTCTGGTCTATTACCCTCTCCTCAGGGTGAAGCATTCTCTCTAGGAATCCAGTCACTCTACTTATTTACTCTACTCACTATTCTTAAAAAAAAGAAGACAGAAAAAGAAATAGAAATTGTGTTGTCTTCTGTTCATGGATGATGTGATGTCTGGTTTCTATTAAATATAAGAATATTATGATTGAAATGAAAGTATTTTGTAACATAAATATTGCTACAAGAAAAGAATCCCAAAATGAGCTGAAAATTTTTATATTAACAGCTTCAGAACATATGAATGTATTTAACCTAGTGCTTCTGAATACTAAAAAATTTAGGATAAACATACTTGAAACATCTGTCTTATAGAAAATATAAGTAATTTAGATTCTTGATAAACATTATGCATTGCATTTTTAAAACACGGATGAATAAGAGCACTTATTTTAAATGCAGTGCTCATAGAATGTTTCCAAATTTTTAGAAGTAGATTAGTGGTGCATAAAATTAGCATAAGGGTCCTTTAGTTTCTCCTCTCTGTGTCTTAGGCAATTCTTGATTGGTCATGCTTTTTGTTTATTTTGCAGTCTAGTGACTTTCACTTTTGACTAGAGTGTCTGTCCTTGTTCAATGTCAAATTCACTTTAATTTCCCTTTTATTATTGACGTTTGTATCAGTAATTTCTAAATCTTTCAAAAAATCATATGCAAATAAAAAGCAGTCTTTGGTTCCTTATAAATGCCTCAAACACTTTCTAAAACTATAAAAAGAATGCAAGTTATTCTTCAGGGCAAAGAAAAAGGCATAATTGTTTTCTCTCAAGTCTTTTTAAAACCACAAAAATATGTAACCCATTTAAATTGCAGACATTTCAAGTGACACCTGTTTCTGATTTGACCACGTCATTTTCCACTCTCTGTAGCACAACTGAAAGCTGAAGAACGTTTTGAACTAAGTGAGTGACAAAGGCAATTAAAAAAAGAAACTGGCACAATTTAGAAAGGGAGAAAAATTCTCTAATGAGAATAAAATCTGGCTAAGGGGTTGTGCGTTTTGAGTGGTTATTCCAAATGCTTCGGTATCTGCCCTGTTGCCTTCCTTGGTGCCTGGGGTACCTGGAGGGGGTGTGGTTTTAGTGTGGGCATCGCCACTCCTTCAGGAAGACTCTTGGGTTGAAGAACTGGGGAAAAGTGGTAATATCTGGACAAAGTGCCCTCACCCCATCCTGCCGCCTCAGTGCAATGCTCCTGGTGCTCACAGCATCCCAGGAGACAAAGGACTATTCTAGACATATAGATCTGAGGTCAAGTCCTACCTCTGCTCTTGATTATTCTAGGACATTAAGGCTCACATAATCACTCTGATAATTAGTTTTAGAATGGGTACAAATTATCTAATGGGTGCCCATTAGAATGGGTGCAAATTATTGCCCTTGACATATTTATACTGCTGATTAAAGTGAAATAACAGTTGCTTTGGAAAAAGGTAACAATATGATTAAATAAATTATTCCAGTACTTTAAATCTGAGTAAAACTCTCTGCATGGGGTAGGTTCTTAAGAAATATTTGGTGACTGATGGCCCAAAGCGAAAGTTATTACTCAACTTCATGTTTCATCTCTGGCCCACATGACCCAGTGGGGGCCCTCAGGGAGTGTGAATGAGTAAATGGGTGGGGTAGGGTGGTGTGGGATGAGGTGGCAGTGTTCACAGTAACTAGGGTGAAGCCATTGTCCACCTTGGTTTTGCCTCCTGGGACCCATTTTCCATAAGCTGCATTGCAGCAAGTCTTTTGTGAATCCCATAAAGAGAAAAAAATTCAATCTAAATTTGATTGCTGCTGATAAAGCACTCTTTTGGAGCTTTTATTTGCTATACTTTACAAAAGGATATAATTTTCCATGACACAAATTAATACAGTTCAAAAGCTTATTAAGACCCACATAATACTCCTAGATTTTGTCTACAAAATTCAAGGGTTTCTTAGAAGATTTTTAGGAGCTATACAAGTTCTTATTTCTCCTTAATATAAGTACATGTTGCAATATAATCAACTTTACCAAATTACAATGCTCCTTTCACATTTTTGTGTAAAAAGGGAACCACTGAGATTGATGTTTTATTCTTTGTCATTGCTATATCTTGCCCAAAACTCTGTTATAAAACCAATGAGCTATATTTTGTTTGTTTTATTTACATGTCTGTCTCCACTAGACTGTAAACTCTTAAAGGGGAAGACTCTATCTTATTTATCTGTTTAAATCCTGCAATGCTAGCACATAATTGTTCCACATCAATGTAGACTCAACGAATGAATGAATCATTTAATTGACTACCAAACTGATCACTTTAAAAATAAGTTTAATAAGAGGGACAACATATAAAATAATATCTAACACTGAAGTAAATTTACTGAGTAACCTTCTCATTTTTCACTTCCATTTTAGTGGAATTGTAAAAAAGTTTGAAGAGATCTATTCCCATTAAGTTTTAAAAATATATAATATGAACTGGCTTAGGCATTCTTGCTCCTTCTAGTAAGACCATACCAAAAATGTTTCTCAGCTATTTTCTTTGCTTGCTTCCTCTCCCATTGCTTCTCCTGCTTGCAAAAGCAATGTCTGAACATAATTCTGACCCACGGGAATGGGTAAGAAGGGGAAGCCACTAGGAGAATGATTATTGAAAAAAAACTTCTCACACTCTCTGTTGGTTTTTAGTCAAGTTTGCAACAATAAACATCCCAATGTTTTCTCACCTTGGCATGTCTTTCCATTGTGTGTGAGTTGATAGCCAGGTGGGCAGATGCACTGATAACTTCCAAAGGTATTCTTACACTCATGCTGGCAGGCATCTGTATTTTCACATTCATCAATATCTGTTCAGGAAGAAGACAGAGAGTTATCACTACACAAGAAAAAAGCAGACACTGTGACAGAGCCAACTCTCATCAAGTTGTTGATATACATTAGAAAAACTTCTTGGTGATTTTATACTCATGTGTTAAAAAATGCTCAGAGCTATTTTCTATGAAGATACTTTTATGTTATAAAAATACTGAATATAGTACTATATACACAGTACTATATTACAAATTATGGACATTTCTTTGTGTAAGCACATATATGCTGAAGTCCCAAACGGGTCAATTTTTATATTACTTAAGTAAGAGTGACATGACAGAGGAAACAAATGTAGACAGGATCCTAAACCACCAAAATATGAAACTCTTTAAGGAATAGTAGAAATTACCTGAAATACAATATTCCTATTGAGATTACTTGCAAAAAGGACTATTTGTTTTTATTGTATTTAAACTTTGGCTCTCTTTCTCTCTCCCTGCAGCCCCACTCATGCATAGCTTTCCCATACACAGATATCACATGGAAATGTTTTTTATTTTTGTGACAAAAATACTCTTTTTTTATACAATTCAAACGTACTAATGACAAGTACATACATATATAGTTGTGTTACCTTTGGCAGGCCATTTAACTTCTCAAGATCTCATTTATTCTTCTGTTAAAAGGGACACTTGAGACCATCTGCCCTACTTCACAGTTTTGTTGAAAGGTTCATATACAGTAATATGTGGGAAAGTAGTCTATAAAGGGCTATCTGCTATTATTAAACAAAGCCATGAAAATGGCAAAAAAAGGAGGGTGAGAATAGATGATAATTCAAAATTAATTGATATTTGCTTTAAGGATAAAGTATGTGATTTGGGAGGCTGAAGATTTCTTGTCCCAGTGGTGTTTTGCTTTAACTAAAATTAAAATTTGCTCATAGTCTCTGAGCATACACCAACCAGTGGAAGACTAGTTAACCAAAGTGTTGATTCTATGACTTGTGTGAGTTTTTACTTCTTTCCTTTAAAATCAGCTTTAACCTAAAATAACAGAAATGTAAATGATGTTGAACTCCAAGTTGTTAGCACAGAGCTTTCCCAAGCATGAATTTTACACTACCCCCAAGTGTGATTTCTGCATTCAGAAGCAATGCAATGGTCATTTTTCCTGTTATGCTTTAGAATCAATTTCTTCAAAAACTAAACTTTAGCCCAAGCCTAACAAGATTTCATAGTGTTAATTTGAATCTTTTATAACTTGTCTGTCCCAGATAGTTCATTAAAAGCATTTGGTGCTTATTGCAAGTTGGTCTTGTTGTGTAATACCAAAGCTGTAGGCAGTCTTACTGTATATTTCTTCATTAGTCCCAATACTATAAAATACCATATTTTAAGAAATGTTTAAGCCTATGAATTGCCTCCAAAGAAACTTAAATATCCAGTAATGGACTAGCTATAAATTTTTACTTTAGATTCTCCAAGATTGACCCTTACTGTGAAAGAGTGGCTGCCTCAAATAGCAGATGACTGTCTGAGGAAGACGATTGTGATAACATAACATTGGTTTAACATAAACGGAAGACAGAAAACATTTATAAGACTCTACTATGATGAAACTGCAGCCATAGATAGTGATGAAGAAGTAGAGAAGTGGGTTATTAATCAGGAAGCTTTCTTAAAATAACTTGGACCTTCTGATAATTTGGAAGAAACCAGCTAATGGTGTATAGTGTGGAGGGTGTGGCTAAATTTATTTTTCATAACACAGATTTTTGGGCAGGAAAGTAAAGGTAGAACAAAAGAAAGTGCTTGTCTAAAATGAAGGTTGAGAATGGGATGGTAACCTATTACCTAGGCTGTGAAAACCCTCTAGTGGGGATGACTATTTGGAAGAAACTTTGAAAGACAAAATATCAGATGTTAATTCTGTCAATAAGAGAATAGTGAACAACTTTAATGAAGAGTCAGATCAAAATTGTGGGCATAAAATTTCCCAAAACTCAGAACAGTTTGTAGCAGATTGACAGTGTTGTTTAATATACTAGCAAGAATACTGGAGTCCACATATTTAGCAATTAAACAGTATTTGACCACGTGGGACAAAATGTAGAGAATTGTTAATGCATTAATGTTTGGTGGTAGAAGAAATGAGCACTGTCAACAATTCTGGTAAGCTAATCACGAGGGAGAAGTTTCCACATCCCTTATATTAAGCTGCAGATACATCAGGGTAAAAAAGACAGAAAAGTGCTGGAAAAAATATGAACCTAAAAAGCAAAGGGTAAAGTTTGAGTGTCCAGAGGGACTGAGGGCCCAACTGAGTGGAGATGATATGGGAAGATGAATCCACCTAAGGTTGACCAAGAAGTCCATCTGAGAAGATAATAATGAAGTAACAGGGCTTGGGCAAGGGTAGAAAAAGAAACAAAAAAAATTGAAGATAGAAGGAGAAGAAATGTTTAAAAAATGTTTAGCAAAAAGCATAGTTAAGAGAGTAAGCAAAGTGTAGAACGCTTTCCAGAAATGTAAGAAAATGAGGCTGGCATAGTGGGCTTTGAATTTAAACGGAATTTGTTTCTTCCCTCCCTCTTTACTTCTCTCCTATGTTCTTTCTTTGCTTATTTTTTCCAGCTAACAAATAGTAAAACTAATTCCTGCTTGCTAATTCCCCTTGAGTAGGTCAATGACATGCTAATTGTAGATGTTCACAGAAAATTGAGTTAAATGAGTGACAGATGGTAATGTTTGCAACTCGACTGAAAACAAGGTCTCAATTCTTAAGTGGGAAATTATACTTCACTTTTGCAAACAAATGGAATTATAGACTTGTGAATTTAGATAAAGATACTGCAAGCACATATTTCAGAGTGATAGAAACAACTTAATTTTGTCCCAACTCATATTATCTTTTCAGTGACGTACAAACATACACAATAATCAAACAGCAATTCCACGAGGACTGTGGAGCAACAGTCAATGGGATGTTGGTTGTTATACAGAACAAGCAGTCGACCGAGAAGCTGAAACTTTCACTTTTAAACCACTGCTTTTCCATCAATCCGATGTGGCCATAATCTGATGGCATTACGTTATGTGGCAATATTTACATCCTCTTTTAAATAAACTACATTCTGGATGCCACTGAAATTTATTTCTATTTAGTATTAAGTTTAGTAACACCTTCAGGGTGACCAAAAAGAAACTGACTATAACACAATAAATTATTAGAATGCCCACATGTAAATCCATAATTCACTTGACTCAAGTCTGTAATAGTTTTAGGTGCCAAAATAAATGTCTTGAAATTTTGAGTCATTCCGAACTTGAGATCAGATGTAGTTCACTGCACTCAAACAATCACAGGTGCTGTACACATACTTTGATCAGTAAGAGAGCCCACAGAAAGGAAATGTAATATGGCTGACATTTACCTACACATGTGTCATGGCTTGCCTCAGAGCCTTCAGGGCAAGTTTTCCTAATAGTCCTTCTAGTCCTGGAGAGAGATGTTCTGCTGTTTCTATACTCTGAGTAGGAGCTGTAGAGATGTGAGTACTGTCTGTAATGCTGTTGAGGTTGATAGTTGTTTCTCACAGGGGAGAACCGTGCAAGGTTATAGCTACTGTATTGAGTGCCATAATTTGGCAGCCTCTCCAATCCAGCGCAAGATTTCCCGTCCCCTAATAAATGTTGTCCTGGTGGACAGATACACTTGAAGCTGCCGGGGGTGTTGGAGCACTGATGTGCACAAGGTTTAGGCACTTGTTCACATTCATTAATGTCTGCTCGTATGCCATGATATAAAAAAGAAAAAAAAAGACACATACATACACACACAAAACACAGGAATAAAGAATGAGTCTGTGAAACAAACTGAAGACATTGTTACCCTCCAAAGCCAGGCATACAGTAATTTCTCCTCAACTGTTGTGAACTTTTGACAAAGCTTTAATCATTCAGTTATGAACATAGGACAGATTCTGCAAATCTCCCCCTAAATACTATATTATATCCACACATTTTATTTGAACATTCACATTGAAGCAAGTGGCTCAGACAACAAGACACACTAGTTCTGTAAGTTCATACCCCTTTGACTCACTTATGATGGCCTTAAGACCTAGGGAGCTCTGTTTTCAGCCTTGTCTCCTTGATCAGTTTAAGCTACTTTGGTATACATTTTTACACGTAATTCTAAGAGTAACATTAAGATTTTAAATCTTAGAAATACTACACTAAGCTTTCTTAGTTCAACTAGGCAGAGACATCTTAAATTGTTAAAATTTGTGTATCTTCCTCTGGAAAAAAAAAAGGTACAAGAGAGTGTGGAATCACAAATGAATATAATTTTCATCAAACTTCACTTATAAAAAAGTCTCAAGATAGTACCTCTTAATACAATCATACGTGTACATTTGGGAAATTTCTCTCTTGTTTTTTCTCTTTTGACAAATATTTCAGATGGAATTCAGATTTTTCTACTGGTTGACAATGTTGGAAGCTTTCTAATATGTCCACATATAATTTTAAAAAAGTAACTACTTTTATGTTTATTTTAAAATTTTTATTTAAATGACTTGGTCTTTCTGCAAGCATCTTTGCCCTCCTAATTCTCCACATAGCAGCCAGAGTGATCTTTTCCAAATGTAAACCATATCATATTGCTTGTCTGCCCAAGACCTTTCATGTTTTCCCATCACATTCTTTATTATGGGCTCTTCATCCTCCTTACCCTCTGCCTACCTTTGCTCCAACAGCCTGACCCCTTGGTTCTTCCTTGATTATGGTCAGTGCATTCTTTTCTGAATGACATTGCCCTGGCTTCTCCTCAGCCTGAAATACACTCGCTCAGACCTTCCCATCGTGGCTGCTCTCTCTTTTTTTTTTTTTTTTTGAGATGGAGTTGCTCTGTTGCCCAGGCTGGAGTGCAGTGGCATGATCTCGGCCCACTGCAACCCCTGCCTCCTGGGTTCAAGGGATTCTCCTGTCTCAGCCTCCCAAGTAGCTGGAACTACAGGTGTGTGCCACCACGCCCAGCTAATCTTTTTTGTATTTTTGACAGAGACAGGGTTTCACTGTGTTAGCCAGGATGGTCTTGATCTCCTGACCTCGTGATCCACCCGCCTCGACCTCCCAAAGTGCTGGGATTACAGGTGTGTCCCACCACGCCCAGCTAATCTTTTTTGTATTTTTGACAGAGACAGGGTTTCACTGTGTTAGCCAGGATGGTCTTGATCTCCTGACCTCGTGATCCACCCGCCTCGACCTCCCAAAGTGCTGGGATTACAGGCGTGAGCCACCACACCTGGCCTGCTCTTTCCTTTTGTCCAGTCTCTCAGAGAGGCTGCCTGGATCACAGTGCTACCACCCCAATCTGGGTCTCTCTTTTATGTTTTATGTTTCCTTTCCTTTTATGTTTTATGTTTTATGTTTCCTTATGTTTCTCTGTTTTATGTTTCCTTAAAGTGCTTATCACTATCTGAAATTGTATATTTGTTTTGTGATTCTTCTTTCTCTCCCTGGAAGGTAAACTCCACGAGGACAGAGACCTGGTCTGCCCTGTTTAGCAATGTATTCCCACAACCTAGAACATCATCCAACACAAAGTAGGTGCTCAATAAACATTTGTTGAATTAATGAAGGAATGGGTTTGATATCATGTGCCAAATCAAGCTGTGAACAGTAGAAACAAAAAAGATCATATGGGAATACGTAGTCTTAAATACACGAAAACCAGAGTTCAAAAGCTAATGTAGATCTTAATTCTATCAGCAGAAGCAGAAATGAAATCACATCTCTAGTTTGTATTTAGTTATAATATTGGTAACTAGTGTCTCTAATCTTCCATACCATTATAAGTTTTAGAGGTAGGAATACTGGCAAAACTACAGACTTTAAAATTTTATTTTCTGAATTAATAATTTTGAATTAATGAACAAGCCAAGCACATTTTCCCCCAACAGATTAAAATCAAGGAAACAAGGACATAGAATCAGTTCTTACTAAGATATAAACTCACCAAACACATAAAATTTTAAAAAGTTATTTTCTTTCTATTGTTAGGTCAACACATGGAATCTGTACTTGCAATTCTTCCTATAAATTGGAAAAGGGAATGAAAACCAAATTCTTTAATTCATTACCACAGTGGCATGAAAGAAAACAATACAGGAAGGTAGAATAAAATAGTAAATTTTGCTTTAAAAACTATTTTAGTAGGTAAAAATTAATACTTTAACTCCTTTCTCTTTTTTTGAGACAGTTTCTTTAACTCTTTTCTTTCTTTCTTTTCTTTTCTTTTCTTTCTTTTTTTTTTTTTTTGAGACATAGTTTCACTCTTATTGTCCAGGCTGGAGTGCAGTGATGCAATCTCGGCTCACTGCAACCTCCACATCAAGAGATTGTCTTGTCTCAGCCTGCCGAGTAGCTGGGATTACAGGCGTGAAGCACAGTGCCCAGCCATTTTAACTCTTTTATTGAGGCAATGGTTCTGCATTCTTCCTTGTTTTACTCCCTAGCACAATGTCTGAGATCCAGCTGGTGGCCAAATTGGTGAATAAATACAACTATTTCATTCTGAAAAGTCACGGTTATGGCTGATCAAGATGTTAAACTATATATAAATGATAATATCTAAATAGAAGACTAAAATGATGATCTGTATTCCTGTTATTAAAAAGCATTTTCTTTTAAAAGAGTTTCTAGTAATGGTATTAGTTTGAACATTTGGTACATACAAAATATTATGCTAGGGATTGCATAAAGACAGAGCTAAGTCTTTTTGGGAGAATTTGCTATAAATAATCATTAAGTGGACAAGAAGGCAACCAATTTGAAAAGCATAGCGTGAAACCCAGAAGCTAGTATTTAAAAGCCCACAACATTATTTTAGTGCAATTGAATATTCTAAGGAAGACTACAATTTGATAGATCAGTTTCTTGATTATAAATGCATTAATTTTTACCAAAAGTATGTGGTTATCTTACAGATATTTTCTATTTGCCTTCATATTCAAATATAACTAAGATGAAAACAAACAGGCAACTGGGGAGAAATGAGATATTTTTAGCAAAGGGAACAGCACACAGTAAGCATTAAATATATGATAAAGTAATTATCCATTTATTTAAATTGTGTGTCCCTATTTTAATACCTCACACCTAAACTTTCATACTACATACAAATATACTTCATGCTCAAATAAAATGTATCTATGCAAACATTTATGTCATGTGCATAGAGATATAATCAATGAGATAATCTTGATAATTAAGTTGTGATGGCAATTATATCAGAACCTCACTTTGATATGTGTGGTGTATAGCAAGCACAGAGTAAGTGATTATTATCACTTGAAATGTCAGTGTAAATTGAGCTCAATATGAAGTCTCTGAAGAAGTATCCAAATTGTGTTGAATGACGTAAATCAATTCACATACCTTATTATTGTAACAAGAGACCATTTGAGGATAGAGAAAGTGGCCCTAAGCGAGTTGGTAAGGCTAGGTAACTACATCAGTAGCTTTATTGCTCAACAAGTTCCTATTAACTTACCCATGCAGGGTCTTCCAACTCCTTGAGACCGATAACCTCTTGGGCATACACAACGATAGCTGCCTCTTGTATTCTCACATATCTGGTTATATCTGCACTGATGGGTCCCATCTTTACATTCATCAATATCTACAGACATGGAGGCAATGAGAAGTAACATTTCCTCTTTCAAACCCAAAGTCATTGTATTTAAAGTCAGCATTCTGTAGAATTGCCAAAGGTTGCATTTCTCACCAAGTGGTTGAGATCATACCAGCTTACAACTTGGAATCAGAAAACCTGGGTTCAAGTCCCAGCTCTGCCACTTATTAAATGGCTGCTTTTCCTCCTCCTGCTCCCTACTATGGAGAGAGTTTTATTCACAGATTTCTTTTTTTCTCCTTCTCTATATCCCTTCCTCCTTTTGCCATCTTATTTATACAAGTGATTAGAGTTTAGGCAGATTGAGAGCAATAGTGCTACATTGCTTCTGATCTACAGTCCCATGTTTCTAGCTGCTAGCTGGACATCCCCATCTCTCTTTGTTTTACCACTAGTTCAAACCCAGCACACCCTCAATGCCTTAACCTTACTCCCCTATTTGTGATAACAGCAGGCCTGTGTTTCAAGTCCATCAAGCTTTAAATGATAAATTATGTTCTGTATTCCTGCTATGGAAAAGCATTTCTTTTAAAAGAGTTTCTAGTAATAGTATTAGTTTGAACATTTGCTATATACAAAGTACAATGGTCAGTCATCTTTAACTTATTCTCTCAGTTGCCAAGATTGGGTAGTTCTATTTCCTTCAATCAAAACCATGTATCTCCACATTTCCATTCCCACTTAGCTAGATTTTTGCTGTAGCTTCTTAAAAAGTTTCTGATCTTTCAACTCATGTCTAGTTAAGCTTATACATAATTAGGGCCAATATTCTGAAAAATATTTACAGTTGCATGTAACTGTACATGATGCTCTGAGTTGGCTGCTACTTTTTTTTTTTCTTTTTTCTTTTTTTTTTTTTTTGAGATGGAGTCTCGCTCTGTCACCCAGGCTGGAGTGCAGTGGCATGATCTTAGCTTACTGCAACCTCTGCCTGCTGGGTTCAAACGATCCTCCCACCTCAGCCCCCAGAGTAGCTGGGACTATAGGCATGCGCCACCATGCCCAGCTAATTTTTGTATTTTTAGTAGAGATGAGGTTCCACCATGCTGGCCAGGCTGGTCTAAAACTCCTGACCGAGTTGGCTGCTACTCTTAAATGATAAGGAAAGTATTGACCTATATCTATAGTGTAAGAGCTGAAACAAGTCTTTGAAATCTGATACTTCAACTCCCATCACCAGTTGTTGTTTTTTTAAATTATACTAAACCACCATGAACTTAACAACTATCAACAAATGGCCAATATTCCTTCATCTATATCTATCTCCCACTCCTATCATATTGTTCTGAAACAAATCCAAGATACAATAATTTTATTAATATTTTATAATTGATTTTTAAAAGAAAAACTGTACTATTTTTACAATGAGAAACTTAAAATCAAATTTCTGTGTAATCATAAGACTTGTCCAAGGTTAGATAGCTGTCAAGAAGGAACAATGAATTTTAACACTTTATGCTTAAGTTCAGCTCTTTCTCCCTTATACAAGGCTTTCTTGCTTTCCTTTTTCTGTCATCTCCATCTAGTAACATCCCAACCTATATTTAAATGTGATCATTTTCATGACCTCCTTCATAGTGACTCCTACTGGATACAGTCACTCTCTTGGGTATTCCTGTAGAATTTTATTTGTTCCTCTTTATGGTGTTTCATTCTCCTCATATTATAGGTCTTTGCTTTTTTGGGGGGAGGGGGTATAGTGGAGTAGGCCAATTTAACCCATAAATTATTTCTTTCTCCTGTGTTTTTTAGCAGGAATGAGAATGGGAATGGTATCTCTCTTTTATTTTTGTAAATCCTGCAGTTGCTAGCTCTGCTAACCAGGCTGGTACAGCCTAGACATACACAGAACAAATGTAGGGAGAACTATAATGTACCTTTGTGTCTGGTCATTGATGTAGACTAGACAGGCAAAGCATAAATTTTGGGCAAATTATTTATTTTATTTGTCTGGTCATGGATTTGATATTTAAGGAATATACATCTCCAAAATAATTATATTTTGAATTTTAATCTCTACAGACATAATTTTTCTTTCCCCCAAGAAATTCTTAACATATATGCTAAATTTCTATTAGAAATCATGTGAGATAATATTAATGCTTGTGGATATTAAACTATGTAAACCAAATGTTTAATTGATGGGAGCTCAAAATGGTCATAAGTTTTCATAGTGAGCTTCCATTTCCGGGTACAGCCATGACCCTGGGACCTGGAGCTCAATTATCCTAGAAGTTGGGAGTACTTATGGAAAAAGAAAGATTTCCTTGTTAGCTTAAATTTACTCTAATCACTTCTTTTAAAATGAATGCCTTACTTGACTTGTTGACGGCAAACTGATCTCAGTCACGGAAACAGCCAGACACTCACCAATACAGGTTCCATTTTCTGCCTTGGTCATTCCATTTGGACAAAGATCAATGCACTTATAGCCACCACGGGTGTTCTTACAGTGCTGATCTGGTCTGCATACATTTTGTCTACACTCGTTCACATCTTGATAAAAGAACAAAGGTAATGTAGATTAAGAAAATTATTTATTCAACTTTTCCAGAGAAATCATACTTTTGGATTTTAGGGATATTATTTATATATACATTCATTGCATAATCATTGTGTAAGGTTAAAGTGCTTAAATTCAACAATGTATGTAACACACTTTAAAATATAATAAAAATCAAAAACAAACACAAAATATTGTTTTACAGAGCAGGTAGCCATACCAATCATTTTCTCCTCTTAGAAAAATAAAATTTATATATACTAACTTCATTTGTATACATATATATGTACATACATATATTTATATGTATAGATATACTTTTGCAAAAATATTAGAGGAAATGTTATGAAGAATGGGTATGTAATTAGAAAAAGAAACTCATAAAACAGCATTTTTTGTCATTTTGGTTTTGCATGGATTGCATACATGCTGCATGCTTGATGTCCTATATAGGAACCAGTACCAAGACACAGTGTATGCATTTAGATCAGACATCATTAAGAAGTTATAGAGGTGTCATTCCTTTAAATTCAAAGCCCTTTTCTTACCCATGCATTTTCTGCCTTTGAGCTGATACCCAGGTTCACATCCACAATGGAAACTTCCTATGGCATTGAAACAGCGCTGGTGACAGGGGCTGGATTCTTGACATTCATTAATATCTGTTAAATAAAACAAAACTTTCATTATATGCTATTAGGAAACCTGAATTTATCCCAAATGTTTAACATTTTAATGATCTTGATCATTACCATGTTTAAGATCTTCTCTAAAACCTATCCAATATATTGCACTCATGTGATCTGCCAAATACTTGATAGAATTAATTGTTGGAGAGGGTATCTCCCTTCAATACTCTTAAAAGTAGACAACTGCTAATGACACATAACTATGTCAATGAAACACTCTTCTACTTTAAGTATTTTGCCATATGGCTCTCACTCCTGTTTCTCGGAAGTTCCAGTCCTGGAATGTTACTGACAGACTGGGATGCTGAAGACAGAGGGAAAAAACTCCAACAACACTAAGGTCTTTTGCAATTGTCCTTTCTTCCCCTTTCTTGTTGCTACTAGCTTGGTGCAAGTCTTTATCACCCTGTGCCTGACTGCATCAACATCAGCATTTCTCTACATTTGGCAGTCACTGCCACATTGTACTTCCCAAACACCATCTGGGTCATAGTGTAACAAAAACAGTGTGCAGGCATGAACTCCTCAAACTCTTGGGGACTTGCCTGTGGTTTGTGTACCTTCTTTCCTTTACTTTCCTTTCCTCCAGTCCTGGAGGAAGAAAGCCCTCTTCTCTCACTGAAGAAAAGTCCCCCTATTTGAGCTTTTGAGCTCTGCAGCCCATCTTACCCTTCCTCACCAAGATGAGGACTGTAGTCCATCAATCATTCCCTCCTCCTATGCATTTTAAAAGTCCTTCCAGTCTATCACTGATGGGCATTTGGGTTGGTTCTATGTCTTTACTATTGTGAATAGTGCTTCAATAAACATACGTGTGCATGTGTCTTTATAGTAGAATGATTTATAATCCTTTGAATATATACCCAGTAATGGGATTGGTGGGTCAAATGGTGTTTCTGGTTCTAGATCCTTGAGCAATCGCCACACTGTCTTCCACAATGATTGAACTAATTTATACACCCACCAACAATGTAAAACATTCCACCTGCCAAATACTTGATAGAATTAATTGCTGGAGAGGGTATCTCCCTTCAATACTCTTAAAAGTAGACAACTGCTAATGACACATAACTATGTCAATGAAACACTCCACCTCCTCTCCAGCATCTTATTGTTTCTCCACCTCCTCTCCAGCATCTTGTTGTTTCCTGACTTTTTAATGATTGCCATTCTAACTTGCGTAAGATGGTATCTCATTGTGGTTTTGATTTGCATTTCTCTAATGACCAGTGATGATGAGCTTTTTTTCATGTTTGTTGGCTGCATAAATGTCTTCTTTTGAGAAGTGTCTGTTCATATCCTTTGACCACTTTTTGATGGTTTTTTTTTTTTCTTGTAAATTTAAGTTCCTTGTAGATTCTGGATATTAGCCCTTTGTCAGGTGGATAGATTGCAAAAATTTTCTCCCATTTTGTAGGTTGCCTGTTCACTCTGATAGTTTCTTCTGCTGTGCAGAAGCTCTTTAGTTTAATTAGATCGCATTGTCAATTTCGACTTTTGTTGCCATTGCTTTTGGTGTCTTAGTCATGAAGTCTTTGCCTATGCCTGTGTCCTGAATGGTATTGCCTAGGTTTTCTTCTAGGGTTTTTATGGTTTTAGGTCTTACGTTTAAGTCTGTAACCCATCTTGAGTTAATTTCTGTATAAGGTGTAAGGAAGGTGTCCAGTTTTAGTTTTCTGCATATGGCTAGCCAGTTTTCTCACCATTTATTAGATAGGGAATCCTTTCCCCATTGCTTGTGTCAGGTTTGTCAAAGATCAGATGGTTGTAGATGTGGTGTTATTTCTGAGGCCTCTGTTCTGTTCCATTTGTCTGTATATCTATTCTGGTACCAGTACCATGCTGTTTGTTACTGTAGCCTTGTAATATAGTTTGAAGTCAGGTAGTGTGATGCCTCCAGCTTTGTTCTTTTTGCTTAGGATTGTCTTGGCTATACGGGCTCTTTTTTGGTTCCACATAAAATTTAAAGTAGTTTTTTCTAATTCTGTGAAGAAAGTCATTGGTAGCTTGATGGGGATAGCATTGAATCTGTAAATTAAATTGGGAAGTATGGCCATTTTCACAATATTGATTCTTCTTATCCATGAACATGGAATGTTTGTGTCCTCTCTTATTTCCTTGAGCAGTGGTTTGTAGTTCTCCTTGAAGAGGTCCTTCACATAAAATGTGGCACATATACACCACGGAATACTATGCAGCCATAAAATGGATAAGTTCATGTCCTTTGCAGGGACATGGATGAAGCTGGAAACCATAATTCTTGGCAAACTAACACAGGAACAGAAAACCAAATACCACATGTTCTCTCTCCTAAGTGGGAGTTGAACAATGAGAACACATGGACACAGGGAGGGGAATATCAGGCACCAGGGCCTGTTGAGGGATTGGGCGGGGGTTAGGGGAGGGATAGCATTAGGAGAAATACCTAATGTAGGTGACGGGTTGATGGGTGCAGCAAACCACCGTGGCACGTGTATTGCTACGTAACAAACCTGCACTTTCTGTACATGTATCCCAGGACTTAAAGTATAATAAAAAAAAAAGTCCTTCCTTCTTATAGTCTTCTTTCCAATAAACCTGTAGATATAATCAAAATTTTCCTCTCATAACCAAATCCCTCTCTCAGGTCTATACTCATCTCCAGTTCCTGCCACTTCTGTCTTGCTATATTCCAAACTCTTCAAAAGAAAAATCACCATAGTTGGGCTCTTCACTTCCTCACCTTACATTCCAGATTGCCAATGTCTCTTATTGTGTACTGTTTTCTATTTGACATCTTTTAATTTAACCTCTCAAAATCTACAATGTGTTAACTTAACTTACAGAAACACAGATGTGATCATATACTTTTTTTTTTTTTTTGAAACAGAGTCTCTGTCACCAGGCTGGAGTGCAATGGCATGATCTCAGCTCACTGCAACTTCAGCCTCCTGGGTTCAAGCGATTCTCCTGCCTCAGCCTCCCAAGTAGCTGGGATTACATTTGTCAGCCACTGCACCTGGCTGTGATCACATACTTTTAAAAGATTTTTCTTAGTGCAGTTTTTTTTTCTTCCTCTTCCTCTTTTGGTTGGGCTCCCTTCTCCCTTTTTACCTTTCTTGCCCACCAAAGGCAAACATTAACTATCTAGTATGAATAATAATATATTTCTTCTGCAGCCACATAAATATCTCCACCTAAATATATAGATCCATTTCCTTTTTTCTTTGGTTGTTTCCAGTTACATACTCTTTTCTGCAAAATTATACATACCTTCCTACATCTGGATTTTTCTCATGGATGCACAATGGTTCATGGGTGTAGATGTACCATGCGTCATTTATTGATAGACATTCAGTTTTGGATCCACTGTCTTTTCCTCTATGAAAAATCCTGATAGCAGCTTTGTTTATATTTGCCTAAACTTGGAGGCAATTGAGATGTCCTTCACTAGGTAGATAAACTGTTCTATCTAGATAATGGAATATTTATTATTGAGCAATTAAAAGAAATGAACTATCAAGCCATGAAAAGGGGTGGAGGAAACTTAAATGTTACTAAGTGAAAGAAGGCAATCTAAAAAGTCTGCACAATTGTATGATTCCAACTATATGACATTCTGGAAAAAGGCAAAACCACAAAGACAGTAACAAGATCAGTGTTTGCCAGAGGTTGGAGGAAACAGACATGATTCGGTGAAGAACAGAGAATGTTGAGGGCAATGAAACTATTCTGTACCACACTATCATGGTGGATACATGTTGCTATAAATTTTTGCAAACCCATAGAATGTGCAACACCAAGAGAAGCTTAATCTAAGCTAGACTCTGAGTGATAATGATGTGTCAGTGTAAGTTTATTGACTGTAACAAACGTACCGCCCTGGTGTGAGATATTGATAGTGAGGAAGGCTGTGTGTGTGGAGGGAAGGGGTTATATAGGAATCTATGTACTTTCTACTCAATTTTGCTGTGAACCTAAAACTGTTCTAAAAAATAGCCTATTAAAAACATCATTCAACAAACATTCTGGCAGTCTTACGCAATGGAATTTTATGAAATAGATTTTATTGGACTGTGCAGTATGATCTCAATCAAATGGTAACAGGCAAATGGTCACTCAAAACCACTGTGCTATACATATTTAAAATAGCTGTGGAATATATCTGAATAAAAGCTTATGAAGAAGCTCAACTTATAAAACATATAAAATGAAGTTTAAGTCCTCCGGAGAGACAGGAGTCCCTCTTGCTGGATATCTCCTCATTCTCTCCCTTTTATGTGGTCCCTTCCTCGTGGAGTTTCTGAGACAGTTAACTTTTGAGGAGTCAAAAGGTGGGTCTAATTCTTACTGTCATGAACATAAAGAAAAGGCCTCCATTTTTATACCTTGACAACTCAGCCCATCAGAGGTTCTTCGAAAGCCACTTCCACAACGGACCACACAGCGATAAGATCCAATCGTATTGTCACAGTCCTGACCAGCGTGGCAGGTATGCCTACCCAAAGCACACTCATCAATATCTGCAACAGAGGGAATCATTCAACTGAGGTGAGCTGAAGAACACCCAGCCCAAGAACCTGCGGTGAAATAGGGATACAAAAAGCAGTGAAGGACCCTTGAAACTAGAAAAGAACAAGAAGGACTAAAGTTTTTGGTTGAGTCACATCAGGTGGGCTAAATAGCTGACAAACTCACAGCAGCACAGTGTGATTAATATCTTCATAGACTGACAGATTAATCAGACCACTTATAAATTAGGTGGCTTTTAAGAAGTTACTTCTCCTTTCTGAGATCTTGAGTGAGATGCTCCAGGCATTCCTGCCTTGAGAGTGCCCCACATGCAGGCAGTGCATGAACAGTGTTCCTGCTTTCTTACTTTCTCAGCCCAATGGAGACCTTCTTTGTTTGTTGCCAAGGTGTGGGCAGAAGTAGTAGGAAAGAAGATAATGGGTCTATCATACTTTTTCTAGGTCAAAGAAATCCTTGACCCATTGCTTAAATGTGTGTATTAGATTTGTGAATACCTTGACAAGTTCTTCCATCTGCAGCTATGGTGAGGCCTTTAGGGCAGGAGCAGTAGTAAGTCCCCATGGCATTGTGGCAGCTATGGGAGCAGGGATTCCCTGCTGCACATTCATCCTCATCTTAAAGAAGAAACAAAAAGGCCCAAATCAGTATGTAAAATCCTTACTTTCTGGGAGTTATTAAAGCCAGTAAAAATAACTGCTTATAGAGGCCAAGAAGTTGAATCAAATATAATAGAAAATGCTTTAAGTGCCACAAAATGAATTCACTGAATAAAAATAATTTGAGGCATCTGAGTTATCCTTGATAGTGAATAGATGGTTAGATTATATCCTAAAACAACAATGATAATAGCTAAAATATATTTATCATCTACTGTGCTCTAAATGCCTTTTACCTGCTTTAACTCTTTCATCACAGAATTCCTAGGAGATAAGTATTTTTATTACTATCCTTATTTTGCAGGACAAAACTGAGGAAAAAAGAAGTTACATAAATTGCTTAAGGTCATACAAGTCATTACTGGCAGGGCTGTGATTTGTGCCTGGGCAGTGGAAAGACCACCTCTTTATCACAAGACTATATTACATTGCCTACCAATGAAAGAAAAGCACTGTGTATGTAAATGTAAGCTCCTCAAGCCATTTACTTAGCAGTTATCTGTACCTCTCTTGTGCTGGTACTTTGGTGGGATAAAATTGGTTTAATCATTAGTCATAAGTCCACAATCCTGCCTGTCCTCTGATTAATTCTAGGGTTAGGTGACTTAATGTTGTGGCTCTCTCACAGCCACGGCAATCAAGCCACCAGATAAAGTATAGCATTGTCTGTCTGCTCACTCCACATCTATACTTAGTCACTATCTCTGACACAGTTGGCTGTGGCCAAATTCAGAGAACATGGGCTTTGGAATTAACTTAAATTCAAATGCAGCTCTGCCACTTGATGCTGAGTGGTTTTCCATAGTTTGACTTTTCTACATCTCAATTTCCTTAGCTGTCAAATGGGATGTTTACAGAACTGTTGTGAAGATTAAATACCTAGTGAAAGGGCAATAGATACCCATTAAATGCTATCCAATATTGACATTTTCATTAAAAGAAAACCCTTTATTTATCTCTGTACTTACCAGCACAAAAAGGTCCAACTGAGTCTAAGGTAAACCCGGAGGGGCACTGATTACTGCGATCTCCTACCACAGAGAGGAAAGCAAAGTTAACTGGCTTATTGGAATAGTTGCCCCTGGCTTCTTTCCAGTACCATCTTCCCTGGGAAGATATGCCAAAGATGAAACACATGATGCAAAAATGCAATAGGTGAAAATAAGCAGGCATGGAAAACTTTTCCTGTTTCTAAACCAAGAAGTACATGAATCACAGTCCAGAGATTGTTGACAAGCTGCCACTGGAAACAGGTTTCGTGTGTAAGTTATTTACATCAATAAAAAAATTATGTGATAACTAAAAAGGGTCCAAGATAAATGTATATGCCAGGCATAACCATGGGCAAAGTCCTGTTCTTCCAGCCATTGCTATCCGGTTTTACTCTAAAATGAGAAATGCTGTTTTCAAGCAACTTAAAATAATTTGTGCCCGTGAAAAATAGAAACTCTGTGAAGAAGCTCCCTCCTTTTGTGGATCTCCCGCATTAGCACTATTGAGCATTTGGGTCAAAATCCCCCACGTGTGACCAAGTGTTTTCCTTTTCATCTAGTCAAAATAAGGGGAAACAGGCATATTGTGATAGAAAAGATTTAAGTTAGCCGGGCATGGTGGCTCATGCCTGTAATCCCAGCACTTTGGGAGGCCGAGGCGGGCGGATCACAAGGTCAGGAGATCGAGACCATCCTGCCTAACATGGTGAAACCCCGTCTGTCTCTACTAAAAATACAAAAAATTAGCCAGGTGTGGTGGCAGGTGCCTGTAGTCCCAGCTACTCAGGAGACTGAGGCAGCAGAATGGCGTGAACCCAGGAGGCGGAGCTTGTAGTGAGCCGAGATTGCGTCACTGCACTCCAGCCTGGGGGACAGAGCGAGACTCTGTCTCAAAAAAAAAAAAAAAAAGATTTAAGTTAGATGTCAGAAACAAAAAAGCTAACAAGAACAGGTTAGTCAAGAAACCTCTTTCCTGAAAGCATCCAAGTCTGCCTGCTCATGCAGGGGGGTGGTACTAGGATAGATGGGACAGAAACATCTAGGGCATATTGCTAAGTGATCATTGCACGGTTGCTGTGTGTGTGTGTCACTATTTAGTTTCCACTTAGTTATTTGTTGATACATTCTTTAATCCAACCAGTTATGTTGTGTGGGACACTGCTGGGGACATAATTGTGGAAAAAATATGTCATGTAAACATAGTTATTATCTGATAGTAGTGTTAGGTTTTTGGTTATAAATAGGGGGGCTATCATCTAATAGGTGGAATTTGGGAAGTTTTTTGGGAGATACTTTGGTTGTCATAATAAGACTATTAAAATTCAGTGAGTGGGACAGGACTCATGGCAGGTTTTACAATATTGCCATGTATGAGACAGTCTTGCAAGATGATGATTTGTCCCTTGCCTTGCAAGACTTTCATGAAAGTAAGAAATCTATAATTATCTAAGCTTTGAATGTGTCTGCCGTATATTAAGCATTTTTCATGATTTAAATATATAGTGAATTTTCTAGGAATGCAATTTTCATATAAATTGGTGGCTGATTGGACTGTTTCATTCAGAACATTACTAAGAGTTGCTTAATTGGGGGGAGGAGCCAAGATGGCCGAATAGGAACAGCTCCAGTCTACAGCTCCCAGAATGAGCAAGGCAGAAGACGGGTGATTTCCTCATTTCCATCTGAGGTACTGGGTTCATCTCACTAGGGAGTGCCAGACAGTGGGTGCAGGTCAGTGGGTGCAGCGCACCGTGCGTGAGCCGAAGCAGGGTGAGGCATTGCCTCACTCGGGAAGTGCAAGAGGTCAGGGAGTTCCCGTTCCTAGTCAAACAAAGGGGTAACTGATGGCACCTGGAAAATCGGGTCACTCCCACCCGAATACTGTGCTTTTCTGACAGGCTTAAAAAATGGCGCACCAGGAGATTATATCCTGCACCTGGCTCAGAGGGTCCTATGCCCATGGAGTCTGGCTGATTGCTAGCACAGCAGTCTGAGATCAAACTGCAAGGCAGCAGTGAGGCTGGGGGAGGGGCGCCCGCCATTTCCCAGGCTTGCTTAGGTAAACAAAGCAGCCTGGAAGCTGGAACTGGGTGGAGCCCACCACAGCTCAAGGACGCCTGCCTGCCTCTGTAGGCTCCACCTCTGGGGGCAGGGCACAGACAAACAAAAAGAGCAATAACCTCTGCAGACTTAAATGTCCCTGTCTGACAGCTTTGAAGAGAGCAGTGGTTCTCCCAGCACGCAGCTGGAGATCTGAGAATGGGCAGACTGCCTCCTCAAGTGGGTCCCTGACCCCTGAGCAGCCTAACTGGGAGGCACCCCCCAGTAGGGGCAGACTGACACCTCACAGGGCCGGGTACTCCTCTGAGACAAAACTTCCAGAGGAACGATCAGACAGCAGCATTCGTGGTTCACGAAAAACCCCTGTTCTGCAGACACCTCTGCTGATACCCAGGCAAACAGGGTCTGGAGTGGACCTCTAGCAAACTCCAACAGACTTGCAGCTGAGGGTCCTGTCTGTTAGAAGGAAAACTAACAAACAGAAAGGACACCCACACCAAAAACCCATCTGTACATCACCATCATCAAAGACCAAAAGTAGAAAAAACCACAAAGATGGGGAAAAAACAGAGCAGAAAAACTGGAAACTCTAAAAAGCAGAGCACCTCTCCTCCAAAGGATCACAGTTCCTCACCAGCAATGGAATAAAGCTGGACAGAGAATGACTTTGACGAGTTGAGAGAAGAAGGCTTCAGATGATCAAACTATGAGCTACAGGAGGAAATTCAAACCAAAGGCAAAGAAGTTAAAAACTTTGAAAAAAAATGTAGATGAATGTATAACTAGAATAACCAATACAGAGAAATGCTTAAAGGAGCTGATGGAGCTGAAAGCCAAGGCTCGAGAACTACGTGAAGAATGCAGAAGCCTCAGGAGCCGATGCAATCAACTGGAAGAAAGGACATCAGCAATAGAAGATGAAATGAATGAAATGAAGTGAGAAGGGAAGTTTAGAGAAAAAAGAATAAAAAGAAACGAACAAAGCCTCAAGAAATATGGGACTACGTGTAAAGACCAAATCTACGTCTGATTGGTGTACCTGAAAGTGATGGGGAGAAGGGAACCAAGTTGGAAAACACTCTGCAGGATATTATCCAGGAGAACTTCCCCAATCTAGCAAGGCAGGCCAACGTTCAGATTCAGGAAATACAGAGAACACCACAAAGATACTCCTTGAGAAGAGCAACTCCAAGAAACATAATTGTCAGATTCACCAGTTGAAATGAAGGAAAAAATGTTAAGGGCAGCCAGAGAGAAAGGTTGGGTTACCCACAAAGGGAAGCCCATCAGACTAACAGCGGATCTCTCAGCAGAAACTCTACAAGCCAGAAGAGAGTGGGGGCCAATATTCAACATTCTTAAAGAAAAGAATTTTCAACCCAGAATTTCATATCCAGCCAAACTAAGCTTCATAAGTGAAGGAGAAATAAAACACTTTACAGACAAGCAAATGCTGAGAGATTTTGTCACCACCAGGCCTGCCCTAAAAGAGCTCCTGAAGGAAGCACTAAACATGGAAAGGAACAACTGGTACCAGCTGCTGCAAAATCATGCCAAAATGTAAAGACCATCAAGACTAGGAAGAAACTGCATCAACTAACGAGCAAAATAACCAGCTAACATCATAATGACAGGTTCAAATTCACACATAACAATATTAACTTTAAATGTAAATGGACTAAATGCTCCAATTAAAAGACACAGACTGGCAAATTGGATAAAGAGACAAGACCCATCAGCGTGTTGTATTCAGGAAACCCATCTCACATGCAGAGACACACATAGGCTCAAAATAAAGGGATGGAGGAAGATCTACCAAGCAAATGGAAAACAAAAAAAGGCAGGGGTTGCAATCCTAGTCTCTGATAAAACAGACTTTAAACCAACAAAGATCAAAAGAGACAAAGAAGGCCATTACATAATGGTAAAGGGATCAATTCAACAAGAAGAGCTAACTATCCTAAATATATATGCACCCAATACAGGAGCACCCAGATTCATAAAGCAAGTCCTTAGAGACCTAGAAAGAGACTTAGACTCCCACACATTAATAATGGGAGACTTTAACACCCCCTGTAAACATTAGACAGATCAACGAGACAGAAAGTCAACAAGGATACCCAGGAATTGAACTCAGCTCTGCACCAAGTGGACCTAATAGACATCTACAGAACTCTCCACCCCAAATCAACAGAATATACATTTTTTTCAGCACCACACCACACCTATTCCAAAATTGACCACATACTTGGAAGTAAAGCTCTCCTCAACAAATGTAAAAGAACAGAGATTATAACAAACTATCTCTCAGACCACAGTGCAATCAAACTAGAACTCAGGATTAAGAAACTCACTCAAAACTGCTTAACTACATGGAAACTGAACAACCTGCTCCTGAATGACTACTGGGTACATAACGAAATCAAGGCAGAAATAAAGATGTTCTTTGAAACCAACGAAAACAAAGACACAACATAACAGAATCTCTGGGACACATACAAAGCAGTGTGTAGAGGGAAATTTATAGCACTAAATGCCCACAAGAGAAAGCAGGAAAGATCCAAAATTGACACCCTAACATCACAATTAAAAGAATTAGAAAAGCAAGAGCAAACACATTCAAAAGCTAGCAGAAGGCAAGAAATAACTAAAATCAGAGCAGAACTGAAGGAAATAGAGACACAAAAAACCCTTCAAAAAATTAATGAATCCAGGAGCTGGTTTTTTGAAAGGATCAACAAAATTGATAGACCACTAGCAAGACTAATAAAGAAAAAAAGAGAGAAGAATCAAATAGACGCAATAAAAAATGATAAAGGGGATATCACCACCGATCCCACAGAAATACAAACTACCATCAGAGAATACTACAAACACCTCTATGCAAATAAACTAGAAAATCTAGAAGAAATGGATAAATTCCTGGACACATACACTCTCCCAAGACTAAACCAGGAAGAAGTTGAACTCTGAATAGACCAATAACAGGATCTGAAATTGTGGCAATAATCAATAGCTTACCAACCAAAAAGAGTCCAGGACCAGATGGATTCACAGCCGAATTCTACCAGAGGTACAAGGAGGAACTGGTACCATTCCTTCTGAAACTATTCCAATCAATAGAAAAAGAGGGAATCCTCCCTAACTCATTTTATGAGGCCAGCATCACCCTGATACCAAAGCCAGGCAGAGACACAACCAAAAAAGAGCATTTTAGACCAATATCCTTGATGAACATTGATGCAAAAATCCTCAATAAAATACTGGCAAACCGAATCCAGCAAGCGCATCAAAAAGCTTATCCACCATGATCAAGTGGGCTTCATCCCTGGGATGCAAGGCTGGTTCAATATACGCAAATCAATAAATGTAATCTAGCATATAAACAGAACCAAAGACAAAAACCACATGATTATCTCAATAGATGCAGAAAAGGCCTTTGACAAAATTCAACAACACTTCATGCTAAAAACTCTCAATATGTTAGGTATTAATGGGACGTATCTCAAAATAATAAGAGCTATCTATGACAAACCCACAGCCAATACCATACTGAATGGACAAAAACTGGAAGCATTCCCTTTGAAAACTGGCACAAGACAGGGATGCCCTCTCTCACCACTCCTATTCAACATAGTGTTGGAAGTTCTGGCCAGGGCAATTAGGCAGGAGAAGGAAATAAAGGGCATTCAATTAGGAAAAGAGGAAGTCAAATTGTCCCTGTTTGCAGATGACATGATTGTACATCTAGAAAACCCCATTGTCTCAGCCCAAAATCTTCTTAAGCTGATAAGCAACTTCAGCAAAGTCTCAGGATACAAAATCAATGTACAAAAATCACAAGCACACCAATAACAGACAGAGAGCCAAATCATGAGTGAACTCCCATTCACAATTGCTTCAAAGAGAATAAAATACCTAGGAATCCAACTTACAAGGGATGTGAAGGACCTCTTCAAGGAGAACTACAAACCACTGCTCAATGAAATAAAAGAGGATACAAACAAATGGAAGAACATTCCATGCTCATGGGTAGGAAGAATCAATATTGTGAAAATGGCCATACTGCCCAAGGTAATTTATAGATTCGATGCCATCCCCATCAAGCTACCAATGACTTTCTTCACAGAATTGGAAAAAACTAAAGTTCATATGGAACCAAAAAAGAGCCTGCATTGCCAAGTCAATCCTAAGCCAAAAGAACAAAGCTGGAGGCATCACGCTACCTGACTTCAAACTATACTACAAGGCTACAGTAACCAAAACAGCATGGTACTGGTACCAAAACAGAGATATAGATCAATGGAACAGAACAGAGCCCTCTGAAATAATGCCACATATCTACAACTATCTGATCTTTGACAAACCTCCCAGAAACAAGCAATGGGGAAAGGACTCCCTATTTAATAAATGGTGCTGGAAAAACTGGCTAGCCATATGTAGAAAGCTGAAACTGGATCCCTTCCTTACACCTTATACAAAAATCAATTCAAGATGGATTAAAGACTTAAACGTTAGACCTAAAACCATAAAAACCCTAGAAGAAAACCTAGGCATTACCATTCAGGACATAAGCACAGGCAAGGACTTCATGTCTAAAACACCAAAAGCAATGGCAACAAAAGACAAAATTGACAAATGGGATCTAATTAAGCTAAAGAGCTTCTGCACAGCAAAAGAAACTACCATGAGTGAACAGGCAACCTACAGCATGGGAGAAAATTTTCGCAACCTACTTATCTGACAATGGGCTAATATCCAGAATCTACAATGAACTCAAACAAATTTACAAGAAAAAAACAACCCCATCAAAAAGTGGGCGAAGGACATGAACAGACACTTCTCAAAAGAAGACATTTATGCAGCCAAAAAACACATGAAAAAATGCTCATCATCACTGGCCATCAGAGAAATGCAAATCAAAACCACAATGAGATATCATCTCACACCAGTTAGAATGGCAATCATTAAAAAGTCAGGAAACAACAGGTGCTGGAGAGGATGTGGAGAAATAGGAACACTTTTACACTGTTGGTGGGACTGTAAACTAGTTCAACCATTGTGGAAGTCAGTGTGGCGATTCCTCAGGGATCTAGAACTAGAAATACCATTTGATCCAGCCATCCCATTACTGGGTATATACCCAAAGGACTATAAATGATGCTGCTATAAAGACACATGCACACGTATGTTTATTGCAGCACTATTCACAATAGCAAAGACTTGGAACCAACCCAAATGTCCAACAATGATAGACTGGATTAAGAAAATGTGGCACATATACACCATGGAATACTATGCAGCCATAAACAATGATGAGTTCATGTCCTTTGTAGGGACATGGTTGAAATTGGAAATCATCATTCTCAGTAAACTATCGCAAGAACAAAAAACCAAACACCGCATATTCTCACTCATAGGTGGGAACTGAACAATGAGAACACATGGACACAGGAAGGGGAACATCACACTCTGGGGACTGTTTTGGGGTGGGGGGAGTTAGTGGGTGCAGCGCACCAGCATGTCACATGTATACATATGTAACTAACCTGCACATTGTGCACATGTACCCTAAAATTTAAAGTATAATAAAAAAAAAGTTGCTTAATGTTCCCAAAATAATCATACTAGGATTCAGTATATGTTTGAGTATACAACTACTTCTTTCTGTCCAAAGATTTTCATATTAAAATGTGTAATGTTATTATGAGTTATTTTCCTTTTATTGATTTTCATATTATAAAGTGTGTTACTTTGAATTATGTTACAATTTTTATTTCAAGATAGTAAAAGGCAATAAAAAATATTTGCTTATAATGTATGATAGTAATAGAAACCTTGAAAAGCATAAAATTCTGGTAGTCTTGTCAAATGGAACAAACTACTGCTGAGATTTTGATGTTTTTCCTTCCAGTCAATTTTATGAATACATACTTAGAAATTAAATTTAGGATATACAGACTGATAATTGCCAAGCTTGACTAATTATAAAAATCATTTGAAAATCCTATTAAAAATATAGGTTCCCTTGGTCCCATTTCTACTAGAATTGCTAAGAAAGAGACCTGGGTATCTGTGTTTTTAATGGGTGTAAAGATTTTCTTATAATCACCCACGGGTGTGCAACCCAGGTTTGGCTCATACAGTACTTTTCAGTTATTATTGTCATGAACATTCCCCTTTGTTACTTGTTTACAGTGATGCTGTCAACACCTAGAACAATGTTTAGTACATAGTAGGCACTCAACAAATATTTGTTAAATGAATAAATGAGCTAAATATTTCCTATTTCAGTGATTAAGTTATTATTATATAGCTGTGCCATAACTTACATATTTGTTTCCTACTTTGAGGATATTTAATATTTTTCTATTATAAATAACAGTGGATAAAACTTCCTAAGCATTCATCTTTGGCTATTTCTGTGATTTTCATAGGACAGGCTCCCAAAATGAGATAACTGAAAAGATATGAACATTTGAAAGGCTATTGGAGACACAGTGCCTTCCAGAAATGTTGAACCAATTTATCCCCCTGCCAGCAGTGTGTAAGGGTGTTCACTTCCCCATACCTCTGTAATACTAGGCAGTCGTCACCCTTGTTATAGTCAGAAAATAACTCATTAATTTGCATTTCCTTGCTTACTAATGAGGGTAAACAGTTTCTTCACATTTGTCATTATTTACTCTTTTGTGAATTTCCCTTATGCATTTTTCTACTGAGGGTATTTGCCTCTTTCTGATTTTGAAGCGCCTTTGTATGTATTAAGATTAATCATGGTTGTCAATAACATGTGATGCAAATATTTTTTCTTGGTGCATATTTTACCTTCTCATTTCACTTTTTTTCCTTCCCATGAAGAAGTTGTAAAAAATGTATCTGTAGTTAGTTAAATTTATATATTCCTGCATAATTTCTGATACTCTGATTCATTTGTAAAATATATACTTTATAATTAATTTTAAAAATAAGTTAGATTTTAAAGATATAAAAATATTTTAATGACACTGACTTATGTTAGTGAGTTTTCTCGACCAGTACTTTCCAAAAGCAAGAGTGCAGACCAGATATATTAGAATCATTTAGGGTCTGTGTTAAAAATACAAACTCCCAGACCCTACTGTGGACTTGCTAAACCAAAAATCTTTGTGCCCAGAAATCTGAACTTTCATCAAGCTCTCCAGAAGATTCTAATTTCACTGCAACCATACTTAGCTCTAGTCTAGACAGAACATAATTTGCTAGTTAAGCTACCAGGAATGCAAGCTTGCCCCCTAATGGTTGCTCAAAAACAAATTGCAAGTACACAATTCTTAAAATTGACAAGAACCATGACACATACATCAGATGTGATTCATAGAATCACAGTGTCTAAGGATAGTAAGGGGCCTTAAAGGTCATACAGTGTGTTTCTTTATATTGTGGGACCCAGATCCCCCAACAAACACACTTAAAGACGGTACAAAGATCTTTAAGCAGTTTTAGGCTTGGAAAATGTACACGATTAGGTAGAAAGTGAACATGACTTTTCAGAAATCATTTTAATTCATCTAGTTCCAGATGGTAGAAATTCTCTTATTTGTGCCCAGTTATCTTTTTTTAAATTAGATGGAGTACTGAAAAAAGTAGAAACAGAAGTTAGATTTGAAAAGCAGGCATAATTAGGGAAAGAAAATGTAACTCCTCATTCTGGCAGCTCGTTTCTTTTGTTCAAGTGGCATGGCATGCATGGCAATAGTAAAAGGTAGTGGTGGCAATGGTGTGCGTGGAGGAGATGGGCTATGGGTGTCACTGGCTATGAGACTTCGTGAATCTGTGATTACCTCAAAAAATGTGTGCTTGTACTTCCAGATTACTATGATCTCAAATTTTATGAAGCAGTTCTGATACAAGTTGAAGGAAACAGTCATAAGCATGACTGATGGAAGCAAGAGTAAACACTGAAAATAAATTTTTAGCATATCTGCTAAACATGATAAAATGGTGAAGTTTAAAATTTACTTGGCTCTATTTTAGGAAAGCTGGCACACAGCAAAACACATTGACAAGGTCAATGTGAATCCTTTTAAGTGAACTCATGGGAGCCTAAAGTTCAAAGCTAAAGTCACATAAACATTTAATGTCTAACAGGACTACATGCAAGAATCATCCCAGCATTAAAACCCCACAGAATATGGAATGTTAATTGCCGTGGTGGCTCTTATGACTGAAAAGGGAATCTCAGGAGACAGACACATCAAAGAACCACATAGCATAGATGGACTACTTAGATCAAGGGTTGCAGAACCATGCTTGGAAAATGAAAAGCAGTTAAAAAATTATAACTTCCAGGAACAAGAAATGACAGTTGGAATCCTGATTATTGCTGCACAGTTTTAAAAAGCTGCTTTTAAAATATAGAAATTCTTTTTGACTAGTTTAGGTTAAGACACAGCTTTGTATTATGTTTCAGGAATTTAAAAAATTTCTTGACAAACAAAATTCAAAACAATAACAAATGGACTTTATTATTTGTATTATTTGAATAAAAAGCATTTGGACACATTGTATGTTTTTCTTTGCTTGGAGATGGAGTTTTGCTCTTTGTTGTACAGGCTGGAGTGCAGTGGCGTGATCTCGGCTCACTGCAACCTCTGCCTCCTGGGTTCAAGCAATTCTCCTGCCTCAGCCTCCACAGTAGCTGGGACTACAGGCACCCGCCCCCACGACCGGCTAATTTTTGTATTACCATGTTGGCCAGGCTGGTCTGGAACTCCTGACCTCAGGTGATTCACCTGCCTCGGCCTCCCAAAGTGCTGGGATTACAGGCATGAGCCACCACGCCCCGCCACATTATATGTTTTTAACCCTCTCTGCACATATGGAATAGAACAACAGCAACCCCACTGTGTAGTATGAAGAAGTATATTAGTAAAGTAAATGTACTAGAACTCCAATTGGGTTGGCTTTTCCATAGGGCTTTACTTAACAAAAAGGCATAGACAACACACATGAAAAACCTGATATCATGTTAGATGTAGGCCTCAATGTCCTTATTTTGAATTTTTTTAACCCTTTAGACTGGATGGCATAAAGATATGGATTTTCTTTTATCAAATTACCTTTGGATATTGAAGCATGAATTTTAAAACCCAGTGTCTCTTCTATCTGGTTATAGTCAGATTCCACAGAGGATGCATGAAGTGTTTCAACCAAGAAAGGCATTCTTCCCTGTGCCTGATCATAGAAAACGGTGTGGTTCCATGTGTATGGGATGCTGATGCCATCAATGGTGAACAGCCGGGTTGAGTAGGCGTACAGCTGCCCAGGACCTGTTTGAATGTAGTCCTCTGTGTAATCCTAAGGAGAACAATGTGGATTTGAAGATCAATATGGCTCATACTAATTTTTTTCCCTTAAGGGGACTATGAAATGCAGAATGAGCGGGGAAAAAGGATTAGGAGCTAAAAAACACACATCATGCATGATGGTAAACATTTAATATGTGTTAACTTTTAATCCTAATTTAATACCTATAGCTTTAATACCTTAAAGCTATAAGGTAGCTTTAAATTGCCATAGTTTGCAGACTAGAAAAATAAGTTTGTAGAAATTAAGCAACTTTCTCATCATTACATTGGTACAAAGTGGCGGAATGAGGATCTGAATGTGGATCTGCTTGGCATCAAACACTATGTTCTTTTATTTATTGCCTCCTTCATGAGAAAATGTATAGGGGCTAATAAAACTTGTATAATAATTGTACAGTAGTGTTCAGGAAATAACATAAAGTTTGAACCCTTTAATTATAACATAGTTGTTTCATAATTTTGCTGTCATAAATTTCAGTTTAATAAGAGACTCAAAGTTATAGGTCATGAATAAACAAAGATGTGAAAGGGCGATTGTTATCCTTTAATTTCTGAAATATTTTATGGATGATACACAAAAACGTTTATGCAAGAATTACTATCCTCTTTGTCTAAAGAAAATTAAACAAATGCCTTACATCAAGTATTTGATCTTGGTCCTGATAGGGAGGGTGGTAAAACCATTAAGAGAGTTTGTAAAAACTTGTCCCTGAAGATTTTTAAACAAAGATCAGATAGTTATTTATAGCCTTGGTAGTTTGGACATTTTCCCCCACAGAGTGAACAAGTTATCTGTGCTCATTCTATGGACCTTTCACTCATCATTACTCTAATAAGCAGCAAAGACAAGTTATCCTGGCATTTTACCTTTACAGTGACTTCAGCAGGTGACTGAAGCTGTAGGACATAGCCACTCACAACGATATCTAGCAGCAAAGAACCATCGGAATCCAAGCCCCGGGCAATATGACTCATCTGCAAGATTTCTCCTGGGAATTACAAGACATTCATTTTGACAGCAAAAAAATATGGTTTCTGTAAGCACAGAGCAGATTTACCTTACATACCAGTTCAGCTATGCTTTTTGAGTTCAAACTTGAATAAGTATAGATGATGAGAACTGAAATAGCACTTAACCTCCCAATTAAAGAGTTAGGTTTATTGAATTCAGTTTCTTTTAACATTTCTTTTTATGTAGCAAAAATGTGGCAAACGGTTACACGAATTTCATACTTTAAATTCACAGGCAATAACAAAGCACTCTTATAAAAATGAATTGTCTGTGACTGGCAAAAACCACTAGTCTGGCCACAGTGCTTTGTTCTTTCTGATGCTTCAAAAAGTAACAAAGGACATCTGAGTAAGTGGATGCCCATGAAAAGAACCAATTGTCTTCTCCACTGATTAAATGTTGATTAAAGATAAGCCGTCCTCAAGCCCCTCTTCCTTAAAGGTCACTGCTATTGAGGCTGACCAACTGTGAAGAGGCTTGAAATGGAGCTCTCTAAACATCTGTATGTACATGGAAAGGGTCATGAATAGCTAACCCATACTCCTTAAGACTAGGGATGAGTGAAAAGCCTTTAGGTTTGCTTTGTTTCTATCTTTTTCATAAAGAACTGCTATAAAGTATCCTAATTGGATCTTGGTTTAAAGACAAAGAAGGTCTTTAATTAATAACAGTAACTCATTTTCCTTCTTTGTTTGGTCTTTAATATCCTCTCTATGGATTTAAAGAGAAAATATTTTTAAAAAGAAGAAAAGAGGAGAGGAGAAAAACTTTTAGGGTATAAAATGACTGCTTGAGAACACATGACCTCTTATGATCTTATGTTAGTACAAGTTTACAGGAAAACATGAAATTGCTTTTATATCACTTATAAGATTGCGTAAAAAGTTTCAAATTATTCTATGTGGGAACACGTATTTTTCTTAATCACCTATCTTCATGGCACTTTTTATAGTAATAGAATATTAAATTCAGCTGACACTAACCAGTTGCAAATTCCACTTGAGTTTCTCTTTTGAAGACTGCATTGGTGAGGGTAAAGCCATTGACTGCTTCTCCTATTTCCTTTGCTGTTGTCCAATAAATGGGATTTAGAATAGAAACTATCTTTCTCATTGCTGAACCTAAAGAAAAAAAAGGATAAATAAGGTGATAGCAAAATTTTTAGTCTATTTTATTGTCTTCATAGCATATTATTCACAAGGATGAATTCTAAATAATGTTGAATACCAGAAACAAATACCAGTACCTCATGTATGTTTGTTTAAAAGCTTACCATACTTATGAGTTAGTAGTAGCATTCTCTAGAACTTTAATGGAAGTAATAAGATGAAGAATAATATATAAGTTTTTAAAAAGAGGCTTGAGGCAAAGACTTACCAAGACTACGAGGTACATTGGTAATTTTGGCACGTATTATTCTAGTATCAGAGTTAGGGCTATCAGTTATTGTGGCATTAAGGAAAGCAATTCCAAATTCAACATCATTAATATTTCCAATAACACTTCCTCTGGCTCGCTGGGGCCCACCTATTGGGGGAAAAAAAAACATTCCTGGATAAGGATGCAATTTCATCAACATTACATGGGAGAAAAGAGGGCCAGTATTCAGAGATGCTACAAATCTTTTCTCAAACATCAAAAAGGTCATATGACATCTGAATTTAATAGTGAAATAAATAAGCTTTTAAAACATTCTACTTTCACATAACAACCATCATCACCCATAAATCTAAGATCCTTCTAATCTGTGCACATCATAGTGTTATTAATATTTCATAAGCCAAAGAATACAATCAGTGTCCAGTCCCCAAACTAAAAATAAAGAATATGTTGGTGGTGGTGATGACAATGAGAGTTTATTGAGCATGTCATGCATGATGGTAAACATCTAGTATGTGTTAACCATTTTAATCCTATCAACAATTCTATAAGGTAGCTTTAAGTTTGTAGAAATTAAGCAACTTTCTCCTTATTACATTGCTAGACAGTGGCGGAATGAGGATCTGAATGTGGATCTGCTTGGCATCAAACCCTGTGTTCTTTTATTTGTTGCCTCCTTCATGAGAACATCCAGGAAAAGGAGAGACTTCATCAACAAAACAGCTTCTAGGCCACTGCCAATGTAAACGTGGATTATCTAAGGACGTTGTTCAGTCTTGGGTTTTAGAGTGAGGGTTTATCAAGTTCTTCATATTACAAATATACTGAAAGATGCTTAACTTGAGAGAGACTGTGCTTTTGCCAGTGCTATAAAATTCATACCAAGGTAATCTGGTTGCAAAACAATTATAAATTTTTAAAAAAGGGCCTCAACATTAATTTTATGCCTTCTTTCTATTGTTCAACAAAATTACTGGTGACTAGCACAGAATAGGTGGTTAATGAATGTTTTTCAAAATGAATTTCATGCTTTGACAAGAGAAGGCAACATACTGGGAAGTAGCTGATAGTCAAATCCATAAATATTCATTATCTGATGTATTTTAATACATTTTAAAGCAATCACTAGGAATTTCAGATACTGTTATGTACAAGCATATTTAGTTTTATCATACTTTGCTTTGTTGCTCTTTGCAGACACTGCGTTTTTTTTACAAATTGAAGGCTTGTGGCAACCGTGTGATGAGAAAGTCTACCGGTACCATTTTTGCAACAGCCTTTGCTCACTTTGTGTTCCTGTGTCACATTTTGGTAATTCTTGCAATATTTCAAACTTTTTCATTATTATTATCTCTCTTAGGGTGTTCTGTGATCAGTGATCTTGGATGTTACTATTGTAATTGTTTTGGGGTTTCATGAACCATGCCCATATGAGATGGTGAACTTAATCAATGTTTTGTGTGTTCTGACTGCTCCATCGACCACCAGTTATTCCCTTGACTCTCTTCCTCTCCTCGAGCCTCCCTATTAGCTGAGACACAATATTGAAACTAGGCCAATTATTCACCCTACAATGGTCTCTAAGTGTTCAAGTGAAAGAAAGAGTCTCATGTCTCTCACTTTAAATCAAAAGCTGGAAATGGTTAAGCTGAGAGAGGCAGGCATGTAGAAAATTGATGTAGGCCAAAAGCTAGGCCTCTTGCATCAAAGAGTTAGCCAAGTTGTGAATGCAAAGGGAGAAGTCTTGAAGAAAATTAAAAGTGAACACACAAATAAGAAAGTGAAACAACCTTATTTTTTATATGGAGAAAATCTGAGTGGTTTGAATAAAAGATCAAACCAGCCACAATGTTCCCTTAAGCCAAAGCCCAATCCAGACTAAGGCCCTAACTCTCTTTAGTTCCACAAAGCTTGAGGTAGATGAGGAAGCTGCAGAAGACAAGAGGCTCAAGGACAGAAGCCATTTAAGTAACATAAAAGTGCAAGGTAGAACAGCACATGCTGATGTAGAAACTGGAGCAAATTATCCAGAGGTAGCTAAGTCACTGATAAAGGTGGCTACACTAAACAACAGATTTTCAATGTAGACAAAACAGCCTTCTATTGGAAGAAGATGCTGGCTAGGAATTTCATAGCTAGAGAAGTAAAATCAATGCCTGGCTTCAAAGCTCCAAAGAACAAACTGACTGTCTTGTTAAGGACTTACGCAGTTGGTGACTTTAAGTTGAGGTCAATGCTCATTGTGAAAATCCTAGGGCCCATAAGAATTGTGCTAAATCTACTCTGCCTCTGTGCTATAAATGAAACAACAAAGCCTGGATGACAGCACATCTGTTTATAGCATGGTTTACTTAATGTTTTAAGCCTATTTTTGAGACCTAACGCTCAGGAAAATAAAAAAAAAAAAAAAAGATTCCTTTCAAAGTATTACTGCCCACTGACATGTGAATGTTCACTGCAGAGGTCTAATGGAGATGTACAAGGAGATAAATGTTGCTTTCATGCCTAATACAGCATCCATTCTGCAGCCATGGATCAAAGAGTAATTTTGACTTTCAGGACTTATTATTTAAGAAATACATTTTCTAGGTCAGGTGCCGGTAGCTCACTTGAGGAGTTCAAGACCAGCCTGGCCAACATGGTGAAACCCTGTCTCTACTAAAAAAAAATACAAAAAATTAGCTGGGCATGGTGGTGGGCACTTGTAATCACTTGGAGGCTGAGACAGGAGAATCGCTTGAACCCTGGAGCCAGAGGTTGCAGTGAGCTGAGATCACGCCACTGCATTCGAGCCTGGGTGACAGAATGAGACTCTGTCTCAAACAAAAAAAACAGAAAGAAATATTTTCTAAGGCTATAACTACCATAGTGATTCCTTTGATGGATCTGGGCAAAGTAAATTGAAAACCTTCTGGGAAGAATTCATCATTCTAGATGCCATTAAGAATGTCTGTGGAAGGAGGTCAAAATATCAATATTAACAGGATATTGGAAGTTGATTCCCCCCATCATAGATGACTTTGAAGTTTCAAGACTTCAGTGGAGGAAGTAACTACAGAAGTGGTTAAAAGAGCAAGAGAATTAGAAGTATATCCTAAAGATGGGACTGAATTGCTACAATCTTATGATAAAACTTGAATGAATGGGGAGTTGCTTCTTACAGATGAACAAAGAAAATGGTTGTTTGATATGGAATCTACTCCTGATGAAGATGCTGTGAACATTGTTAAAACGACAACAAAGGACTTAAAATATTACATAAACTTAGTTGATAAAGCAGTGGCAGGATTTGAGAGGATTGACCCAAACTTTGAAAGTTTTACTGTGGGTAAAGTGCTATTTAACAGCATTGTCCACTACAGAGAAATCATTCATGAAAGGAAGAATCAATTGATGTGGCAAATGTCATTCTTGTCTTATTTTAAGAAATTGCCACAGCCACCCTAACCTTCCGCATCCACCATCCTGATCAGTCAGCAGCCATCAACATCAAGGCAAGACCCTCTGCCAGCTAAAAGATTGACTTTCTGAAGGCTCAGATAATCATTAGCATTTTTTAGCAATAAAGTATTTTAAAATTAAAGTATGTGCATTGTTTTTTAGACATGATGCTGTTGGATACTTAATAGTACTACAGAATAGTGTAAACATAACTCCTATATGCACCAAAACATTCATGTGCCTTGCTCTGTTGCAATATTCACTTCCTTGTGGTGGTCTAGAACTGAATCTGCAATATCTCTGAGGTATGCTTATATTATATATTGGAGAGAAATACAATTGCATTCAGCCTCAGAAAAATCAGTAAGTACTTTACCATTTTAATTTACATTACTTTTATTATTAATACTGAGAGAAAACATTTTTTCATGATGATTCAGCCTTCATGGTCTGTACTACATTCATTTGTTTGCCACGAATTAAAGAAAAAAATGGTGAGAAAAAAAAAAAAAAAAGACATGAAGCCTGCCTTCATAGAGCTTATGTCTGAATTGGGGAGAAAAACAATCTAAATCCCACAAATAAATGTAAGGTTGGAATGCACTACTACCTACTATTTAGGGAAGTTTGAGAAGGAAGTAAAAATAAAGAAGAACCTTAAAGTTTAAGTCTTAACTAAGCCAGGGAGGGCAGAAGGGCTTTCTGGGTAGGGGACAGAGTATGTGTCACTCTTTTGTGGGTAGTGGCTTGCCACATCTGAGAGGGCAAAAGCAGTAGAAAGCGTAGAGAGTAATGGAAGCCATGCTGCAAGATGATGTAGGAAAGTAGAGAGCCAGTCAAGGCCCGGTAGGCCATTTTGGTTCTTATCCTTAGTCCTAAGCAGGGAGAAAGAGGAGTATTAGGACCACTAATTTACTTAGCTCTCTGGGTCATCACTGACATTTTGACCCTGGTTCTCTAGTCTCACAGAGGGACTTGAGTCCCAGTGCTCAAAAGACTCCTCATTCTGAATACCTGGCTGGGATCTCTGAAATCCTCTGCCAGATTCTGCAACCCAAACTGTCAACCTATTTGGACCTCCTGATGCCACTGGGGCCCTGCTACTACCAGAGGCTGAGCTACAAAGTGCATCAACTGAAGCTGACACCATGCCTCAGCTGGAGCCTCAAAGTCCTTGTTAATTAGTCGATAATGTTCAACAGTTGTTGATGGTAGTGGACTATCAACTTCCTTCAGCTTGTCTAGGTCCTATACATTTTTAAATGTAAATCTCTCTCACTCTGTCAAATGATCTTGATTTTTCAGGAACATTTTATTTCTAAGAAGACCTTAAAGCTTTGGAGATTCTAACTGATATCTTGACACTTCAACAATATAAAACCGTTATTGTTGGTCTTCTTACAACCTTTAGAAGCCTGCCTTCTGAGACAAGGTATTGAGTATTAGCTACCATTTCTTGGAATCCCAGCAAATTCTAAGGCCCATGAGTTATAGACTTCTGAATTTTTACATCACTTGCTAGATGCAATGCATGACTCAGGCTGAACTTGATAACTGAACTCCTCTTATTCTTTCTCCTCAGACTGAACTGATTCTTATTTTACTTCCCACGCTCATGTCATTCAAATTCCCATCCACAGATGAACAGCCTCCAATTGTAGCTTTCTTTAGATATTTAGCCACTGCCCCACCTTACCTTCAGTCTGGAGTCTCAGCCCATTTTTCCCCACTCTGCCTCACCCTTTTTCCTGTCAATGCCAGGACTATATCCTTTTACCAGGAAGCCTGGAAGGGAGAAAATAGAGGCTAGAACCCAGCCTTGGATTGATACAGAACTGTACCAATTAGGAGCAAGAAAGCACTTTTTTTTTTTTTTCTAATTCCACCTCTCAGGGTTGGCATTGTTTTGTAATTTGTGGCACCTTTCTCTAATTTGCACAAAGGCTCTAAATGTGCTACCAAAGTCCAATTTAGTTGCTTACCTGGACATGCTTGTACATTGCACCTGGTCACCTGAGTAGTGTCTCCGGGACAGGGACGGCCACCTTTAACTGGCACAGGATGGTCGCACAGCCGCTTCCGAGTCTTTTCACCTCCTCCACAGGAGGCAGAGCACTGGCTCCAACTATGCCAGCTTCCCCAACTTCCATCCACTGTGAACAAGAATGGAATGGTCACTGTTAAGAAATTGGCTTCAAAATCTTCATAATCTATACTTGGGGTGCCCCTGCCTATACAACTTTCATTTTAAGGTCTGAAGCAATAGGCCTGCTACAATGAGCACTAAATGAAATGCTTTACTTATTCAACTGCCAGAAATCAAGAGGCTCACCAGGACACATGTCAGTGTTGCACCTCTGGATCTGGGAGTCTGGTCCCCCACAAGCTCTTCCCCCATTGGAGGGAGGAGGGTTATCACATGTGCGGTACCGCCGCATCTGCCCTCCGTTACACGTCCGGCTGCATGTTCCCCAGCCACTCCAAGGACTCCAGTTACCATGGGCTACAAGACAGAATAATCTGAGATGAAAACAGAGCCCCTAAAATGAGAAGTGGTCAACAATGACATTCATCCAAAAAGTATTAAAAAAAAAGTCTCTTCTCAGCACCTAAAACAAAACATGCAAGTCTATAAATAGGCAACTTCCAAAGGAAGATAGTTTAGCTTCGGTTTTGACTAGAAACTGAGTATGCATTCCTGTATTTGTGTGATTCAATTTAACATACATTTATTGAGTCTTAAAATATTCCAGGAGCTGGAGGGTATAAATGAGACAGGACCTCTGCTTTTGATAAGCCAAGGCTGTAAACTTCAGGATACAATGTAACTCAGATTTCCAGATATCAAGTTGCTGCAAGGGTCTAAAAATCCAGGTTGATGACGGCACTAAGGCAGAGAGCTGCCTGCTTGCCTTCATAAAAGAACTGTAAGCATCATGAAGAGTTAGCATGCAGGGGTGCTCTCATTCTTATACTCTGGGGCTAGTCCTATATAGAGCAAGTGAAATAGGACACAGCTCCTGCCCCTATGAATCGAAGACATCTAGGGTATTATACAGACATGACAGCAACCTTACAACATTCTGACATCCTAAACCAAAGGTTGAAGAACCAAATAACGGAATATTGCAACTTTAAGGAATTACAGTCATAATGAAACTTTATGAAAGTATAATGTTGACTCACTATTTCCAACACTCACTTGGGCAAGGGTCACTGTTGCAAAAATCACTCTGGACATCACTCCCTTCGCATTTCCTTCCTCCATACTGGGGCACAGGGTCGGAGCAGCCCCTTGTTCTCTGTCTGGCACCTCCTCCACATGACACAGAACAGGCACTCCAACTGGCCCAAGTCGCCCACTTGCCATGAACTGGAATAAGGGAAAAAGGTACATGCTTTCTTACTACCTAGGAACCATCGTGTTACACTCTGGGCATTGTTAGTTTGAGAGATGTTCTTGTGGGCACAGTTAGAATGGGATAGATTCTTGTTGACATACTACCTAGATAAGATAGGTAGATGTTAATTTATTAAGGTATAAACAGTGTATTTCTCTTACTTGGACAATTTCTTTCATTGCAAACTTGCATCTGTGTTTCTGCTCCATCACAGTAGGACCCACCAAACGCTGGTGGTGGGTTATTACAAAGTCTTGCTCTTGTCTGAGTACCTTTCCCACAACTTTCGCTGCATGTTCCCCAAGGCTGCCAAGCGCTCCATGCTCCATGAACTGCAAACACCCCAAAAGACAGTTGCAAGTCACAGAACCGTGTTTGTTTAAAACCAAAATTATATAAATAAATTAACTCAGTAATGAGCTAATTAGTCCCCAATCTAAGAGAATTGAAACTGAACCAAATGAAACATAACAAATGATGATCTTTCTCCTTCTGGTTAGATTTTCAGAGGAATTTGTGTCTATAGGGAAATTCAGAAGGCTTACCTGATGCCAAGATAAATGTTTAAAATCACCCAAAGGAGCTATTTTATTACAATTAAATTTACTCAAACTACCATATATAAATACAGTCTGAGTGTTTAAGCCCTTAGCTAAGTATTTGTCTGTGTTCTTTGCTCTGGAGAAAGTGAAAATAACTGGGAGCTTGGGAACAAGGCTGTATAACAGATTGAGATGTGGTTATAGACAATACAAATATTTCCACAAAGATAATTTGGACCCTAGACAGCAAGACCACATCCTTAAGCCTGATTCAGCTTCATATCTACATATGTACTTGGATCTTTCAACAACATGATGATTTGCACAGCTGTAATTCTTTGGAAAACTTTTTCCATTACATGTGTTCATGAATTAAAGTTCTGAATAACATACTAACCTGCTTCCTAAACAACATAAAAAGCTGACTAGTAGTTTCCAAGGAGTGATATTAAGGCCTTCCTTTGGGAACTAACACATCACATCATTGGACCACAAGAATGAAACAACCTTATGTTTTACCAGGTACCTGGGCTGAGATTCAACATTATGGCTTTCCTTATATACACGTGAATACCAGGTCATATTTTTGTTTTCAGGGAACTTGCTAGATATGGAGCTCATAAAGTACATCTTTTGGTCACCTGGTTTAATCAAAATATGAGCAGAAATAAGAGCCTCAAAGGCTGAGTGTAAATATTCTCCAGAACAAGTTGAAAACCATGTAATGAAATTATCATTTGTCTGCTTTGGTTAGAAAAATATTTTTAAATGCATGTTACAGTTTCTTATAGTTAATGGGTTTCTGACTGAGTTGACTAATTATCCTTGTGCTTTGTAGACAAAAACATAGTCACACAAATCTATTTTAGCCAACAAGAATTTGCACTAAAAAGTATTTGGCTAAACCTCAGAGGAAAGAAGAAAGGCTTTAAATATATGGCAGATATTCAAAACTACTTCTGTATTAATTCAGGCTGTGGATGCTCATAGCCCTCAAATATTGACTGTATGATTTCAAAAATTCTGAAGTTCCAATTATTTTAATACATTTTATTTTCAAGGCTGTTGGTTAACAAAAGCCTCAGCCTCTTACAATATAATGCCATTTAATATAGATGCATTTTTAATTGGAGGGTTAACAATTGGGTAACATTTATTCATTTCTGTGTCATTTCTACTACATATAAATACAGGTTTTCAGCTAAAGACTTTTTTATTTTTATTTTTTAATCAATATGGAAAATCCTAACTAGAATTGGACTTCAAGATACAAAATGTTGTAGAGTTCAAGTGTTTCTTTTATAAGAATGGAATGATAGCAAGAAAAAAGGGAGAATGATAATATAAACTGGAGTTGGCATAAAACATCATGCTATCTAGATGATGCAAAAAAACAAGAACTAAAAACACAACTACCATTTGACCCTGCAATCCCACTATTGGGTATATGCCCAGAGCAATATAAATTGTTCTACATAAAGACATATGCACCTGTGTGTTCATTAAGCACTATTTACAATAGTAAAGACAGAAGCAACCAAAACACCCAACAACAGTAGACTGGATAAAGAAAATGTGGTACCATACGTGCCATGGAATACTATGCAGCCATAAAAAAGAATGAGGTCCCATCCTTTGCAGGAACAGGGATGGAACTAGAGGCCAGTATCCTTAGCAAACTAACTAACTCAGGAACAGAAAACCAAATACTGCATGTTCTCACTTATAAATGGGAGCTAAATAATGAGAACACATGGACAGAAAGAGGGGAACAACAAACACTGGGGCCTACTTGAGGGAGGAGGGTGGAAGGAGGAAGAGGTTTAGAAAAATAAATTTGGATACTATGCTTAGTATCCAGGTGACAAAATAATCTGTACATCAAACCCCTGAGTCATAAGTTTACCTATATACCAAACCTGAACATATACCTCTGAAACTAAACTAAAATGAAAGTTAAAATATTAAAAAACTACAGAGGGATTAGTAGGTAAGAAACATGCAAAATATTATAACTCAATTTGTTACACTATGTTGCAGTTTTAGTTATGGCAGGGTAGAGGAGCACAATGCTAGGAATGGGTCTCCAGGCAGACACTCTGGGCTTGAATAACTATTCTGCCCTTACAGGCCATGCAATCCTGACAAGTCACTTGGCTGCTGTGTGCCTAGTTTCATCATCTGCAATATGCAAATAATAAAAGATAATTTATTAGAGTTGAGGTGAGCAGTAATGAGTTCATAGAAGAAAAGTGCTAGGAACAGTACAGGACACATAGTAAATCCTACATAAGTGTAAGCTAGGAGCTATGATGGCTTTGCTCAAAGTTCTCAACAGTTTTCAGACAGACACTTGAAAAAATGGTCACTCTTTAATCTGTAGCTATATATGTATTTTAATGACAATGATTCTCAATTGTCAGGACAGGCCATCACCGAAGATATCAATCTTAAAAAAGATTTGCAGTTTAAAAACACTCTTCTAACTAACTGGGGCAGGGAAAGTACAAAATAAGTTTGAAGTAACTATTTGCACCGGAAAGTAAGGAAGTACTCAAAGAATCATGAGGACATCTCAACACTGAAGCCAGCCCAGACAAGCCTGCCTCCACTAACCTATTCTAGGATAATGTGAACATGATGATAAATAATGACAGTGTATGATAAACCAGGGGTCCTCAATCCCATGGGCCACGGATCGCTTGGCAAGCGAGCAAAGCTTCATCTGTATTTACAGCTACTCCCCATTGCTAACATTACCACGAACTCCGTCTCCTGTCAGATCAGCAGTGGCATTAGATTCTCATAGGAGTGCGAACCCTATTGTGAACTGTGCATGCGAGGGATCTATGTTGTGTGCTCCTTATGAGAATCTAATGCCTGATGATCTGTCACTGTCCCCCATCAATGCCAGAAAGGACCTTCTAGTTGCAGGAAAACATGCTCAGGGCTTCCACTGAGTCTACATTATGGTGAGTTATATAATTATTTCATTATATATAAAATCCACAATAAATGTAATGTGCTTGAATCATCCTGAAGCCATCCCCCCAACCCTCGATCTGTAGAAAAATTGTCTTCCACAAAACCAGTCCCTGGTGCCAAAAAGGTTAGGTTCCACTGTGATAAACCATTGAATAATACCTGAGTCCTGATTGATATAAATCACAAAGTAAAGAAATGAGAAAGTTCTTGACAGAGGTCAATAATAGATATGGAAGATAATGATGGAGTTAGAAAATAGCTATTTTGCAAAAATCATAGTAATAACTGATTCAAGCAGAAATCAGAAATGGATGCTAAAACTAGTGGGTGAAAGGTTGATAAGATGTTTATAGAGACTCTAAGTTTCCCTACAAAATACTTATTAATAATAGAAGTAAAAATAGTAACTATACAATGACAGACACTACCTTAAACAAGTGAAGAAAGTTAACACCACCAGTATGGGACAAACTGACATTATGTGCCTTTTGAAATGATGCATGGAGAAGGACACAAAATCATTTCTGTGGTGTTCCTGCCAAAATGCAAAACCTACATGTAATCATGAGGAGATGTTAGACAAATCCAAATTGAATTGTCTTCTCTAAAATACTTGGCCTGTATATTAAAAAATATCAAGTTCATGAAAGAAAAAGAGACTGAGAAAATTTTCCAATTAAAAGAGACCAAAGGGACACAACAAATAAGTACAAGTGTGATCGTGGATCGGATCTTGGAATGGGGGAAAAAGAGTTACAAAGATATTACTGGGACAACTGGCAAAATCCAAACATGGCCTGTGGATTAGATAACCAGATTAGATAATGAAATTAGATAATAGTAGTATCAATGTTAAAATTTCCCAATTTTGATCACTGTACTATGTTCATGAAAGAGAATGTCCTTGTTTCAGGAAATACACAAAATTTCACCTAGATAGTGTTACATAGAAATAATTATCTGTACTCTTCTTGCAACTCTTTTTTAAGTTCAACATTGTTAGAAATGAACTGTACTAAAGCCAAGTATCTTCTGCCCCCGAGATTTTCACATACTTTCTGGATGAGAAAGGCTGTCTTAGGCTGGCTGCCGATTTTGCAGTGGTGAGCTGAGAAATATTTAACAACCAGCTCTCTAGGGGTGAGGAGGAAAACTTGTAGCATCGCTAATTTTTGTGGTATAGATACTCCTACTACAGCTGATATTTACCTACCAATGTGGCATCACTAAATTTTCATACATGCTCTTATTGGGAAGAAATACATGCTTTCATTGAATGGCTCTAGGACACCACCGACATTATGCTCAAACAATAGCTAAATTCATTTGGTTTAGGGACTGGGGGAAATAACTAGAGAAAGCCTTTAAAAAAAAAAAAAACAAGCCAATAGAATAGTGAACAAAACAACAGTAAGTAACCAAACAGACAGTAGTAGGCGAATAGTTACTCAACATGAAAAGAAAAAACTGGCTTTTATTTTAGGATATTTACAAATATCATTTAGTTATTATATAGTTATTATAGATGACAAATTACACAAAATTGCTCAATCAAGTATTTCCTGCTCTTTTAAATTTAGAACATAATGTTATTACAACCAGCTTTCAAATTCTTTAAGACTAAAATAAATGGCTTCTCGTTTATTTTAAGACGTCAGGACAGTACTTAGTTTTTGTAATGTAATCAAAGTTCCGAATTGCAAATCCAGATACCTACGATTTAAATAAGCTTCATAATTAGATCAACCTGAGTTCAAAACTTTGATTCATTTTTTATTAGCTGTCTATCCTTAGTGAATTACTGCACATTATTTTCTAAATCTTTCCTCATCTGCACAATAGGATGCAATACCCAATGTAGTGAATACCTGTCCCTTTTTGGTTTGTCCATTATTTCTTTTTCTGATCATTCCAGCTAAGATATCTCTCCAAGTTGTACTCCATCATTTCAAGTCTCTGAGTTTTTTGGGTATGTTGATAAATACTGGAAAGATATTGTTTATTATTTTAACTCTAGCAACTAGAACAGTGTCTTGATGACAAAGTAAGTGCTCAGTAAATATTTGTTGGATGAATGAATGAATAAATGAACAGCTCCTCCACTTTGCATGATTTCTTTCTCAACACTCTTTACACTAGGTAGACAGTTCACCCAAGATGGCTATTAAAATACCCTTCTCCTGGACTCACTTGAGTTCAGGGGTAAACATGTGACCTGAACAAAAGCAAACAGGGTTCCTTTCCAGAGACTGATACGAATTCTGAGAGACAAGGGAACTCTTTTTCTCTGAGGCCTCACTTAGATTATAAGGCCCCTGTGAGCCAGTAGCTGTCAGCAGCCATTGTTTCCACCACATGGAAAGAGTTTAATAGAGAATAAAGCCAAAGAGAGGAAAGTAGAGATGAGAGATGGAAAACATGCTAGTAAAAGCACTGTCCAAATCCTTGGATTCAATTATACCTGAAAATTTTCTACTTGGACTTGTTTGATTTGTCACTTTAATTGGAAAGAGTGCTAAAACACAAAATCAATAACAATACACAATATTAACAATATAAAGCACCTAGCATGGTTCCTATTATGTGGCAAGTATTTAGTGAATGACAGCGATTCGTATTTACTCCTCACCAGTTGTGTGTTTCTGGGCAAGTCTTTAACCTCTCTAGGGTTCATTTTTCTCACCTCGAAATGGATGGCTGGATTAGATGTTACTTTATGACCTTGTAAATACTTATGTTTTCTTTACGTGATTGAGAAATACACTCCAGTTTGGACCCTTTCTTCAAGTTCAATTAAAGCAGGTATTTTGCTTAACATCAATGAATGCCATACCTTTACAAGTTTATCCATGAAAGAGAACTAAGAATATAGTGAATGAACATATTCTCAAGGGTAGAGGCCATAACATCTTTTTACAATGAAGAAGAAAAGGCAAATGTAATTCTTTCATAGGGGTTAAGATAGAAAAGTTTTGTTTATCTTAGCATTATTGGTGGTTTCTCACCTGGGCAAGGCCTAATGTTGCACATAATTATTTCCACAGCATTCCCTTCACATGGCCGCCCACCATGCTGAACTGATGGATTATTGCAAGTCCTGGTCCTGGTTTGGTTGCCGCGTCCACAGCTCCTTGTGCATTCTTCCCAAAGACTCCATTCCGACCAGCTACCATCCACTATACAAAGGTGAACCATTACACCATCAGGTATATTTCAATTGGGAATACTTACACTGGGGCAATCCATAGGTAGAAGACAGAAATGAAGGTCTATTAAACACATGCCTATCAGTTAAATAAGGAGGTGTACCTGGACAAGGCTTATTTTGACAGTTTCGCATTTCCAAATCTGAACCTTGGCAGGGCTTCCCACCATTGGCTGGAAGGGGCTGGTTGCACAGACGACTCCTCTTTTGGATGCCTTTTCCACAGGTGACACTGCAGGCTCTCCATGCAGACCACTGGGAAAATCCACCATGAACTGCAAATAAAACATTGTACTTTGTCTAAGCTTTTGCAAATAAAACATTGTAAAGGAGATTTCATTTAAGATATGCACGGGTTACAGAGCTAAATATATAGTTGCTGAGAAATAGCGTATGGAAGCTCTCCTTTAAGGAAAATTAAAATCCAAGAGAGAGAGAAGAACTTCAGTTAGCCAAAGTTTCTTCTCAGATCGAATCCTCACTCACTTGCACATGGCTGCTGGAAGAGTTAGAGACCAACAAGTTTACAAACTGTTCACCTTTTGGACATAAGTCATTCTTTGCAGCAAAACATATACATTGATTTCTAAGAATAGATTTAGTTGTGAATCAAAAATCTAGTTTGGGATTTTAAATTAAAACCTTGGCATTTTAAAGCTCTAATCTGTGTTGGTTTAGGCCCTTCAATCTGTAAATTTTGATGATTTTGTCCTCTCCCCATCATCTAAAAGTATGTTAAGGTGACAGGAGACTTGGACTAAAGTGCTTAATAATTTCCATGATTTGAGTCACCCCAGGTACTGTTTACTATGAATATTCCTCTGATCACACTCACCCTGGACTATGACTGGCACTCTGACAAGGACAGAACCCATTAAGTTTCGAGCAACACATTCAAATTCAGAGGTATCTTCTTTCTGAGCATCAGCAATATATAATGAGTTGTTGGACAACACGTTAACCCGGTCATCCCAGGAAATAGAGTGCCCTTGACGGGACCATGTAATGGTTGGTTGAGGCTCTCCAGTTGCCTGACAATTCAATATGATTTTGCCACCAGCATTAATAACAGTTTCCACTGGCTCAAGAGTGATAATAGGAGGACCTACGGAAAAAAGCACATAGTGTCTCAGTTTTTGTGGAGTTACAGCATTTTTTTTTATCATGTATTATATGGCGACATTATTTTGAAAAAAGTGATTGATTTGTTTATAAAACACTGTTGCTTCCCAACTAAGATTATAGATTATAATTGCCATTAATACAATTTTCATAATTCTTTTTTATTTAGTAAATGTCAAAAATTTAAAATTCCTGAGATTAGCCTAGAGCATGGGCTCTAGAGTCATGTTTCCTGGATTCAAATTCTGTGTCTGCTCCTTACTACCTCTCTGAGCCCCATGTCCTTAAAAATGGTGCCTACTTCAGAGGATTCCTGTTAGACTCAACAAGAGGATGTGACTACAACTTTTGAACAAGGTAAGCACACAGTGCTCTTAGTTACTATTATTTTTGTCTGTGTTTTATATGGTGAATATTCACTTTTTTCTTTTGATCATTTTTGAGGTAAAGAGTCATTAACTCATTCTTTTTTTTTGAGCCAGAGTCTCCCTTTGTCACCCAGGCTGGAGTGCAATGGCACAATCTCGGCTCACTGCAACATCTCCCTCCAGGGTTCAAGCAATTCTCCGGCCTCAGCCTCCTGAGTAGCTGGGATTACAGGCACCCGCCACCACGCCTGGCTAATTAACTCATTCTTTTACCACTGGCCATCATTTATTCAATAAACATGTACTGAAAGCCTGCTATTTGCCAGGCATTGTGGTGGATGCTGAGAGCATATAGAGAAAAGATATTCTTTCTAGTCTCAAGGAGCTCACAGTCCACTGATAAGACAGACTTGTGCTATAGCATACCTATGGAACTAACGTGTACTAATATGGGAGCATAAACCATAGAAATAATAGATCAAACAAAAGCATGCCACTGGAAATGGAGGGGAAAAGGAAGACATATCCAAGAATTATTAAGAAAGTAGAAATGATAGAACTTTGTTACGGATTGGTATGGGTTAAAGGGAAGAACTCATGACTGCAGGGTTTTGATTTGGACAATATGGTATATTTGGGCAATGCAATAGCACACAACAGGAAGAACAGATTTGTGGATAGGGAGTAAGGAATGATAATTTGCATCCATTTAGAACTGCTGAACTTGAGGTATCTCTAAGACATTCATATAGCGATGTCTACATGACAGGGATATTCATATCTAGAGCTCAGAATAAAGATGAGCAAGAAATATATATGTGTGAGTCTTTCATAGTGAATAAGATTGCTTCAGAAGAGAGTCTAAAATGAGAAGACGGCCAAAGACAGAAACCATTGCAACAGCATTATTTAAGAGATGGACAGAAGACAAGCTTATAAAGATACTCAGAACGAATCACTGAGGTAGGAAGAAAATCAGGATAAAAATGGTATTCTGGTAACCAAAAAGGAAGGAGGGAGATATTAACAGTGTCTATAGTGAATGACAATGGCTGAAGTAAAGTCCTTGGAAAGATTGTAAAAGGAACTGCATGCAACTGCTGGCAGAATGTTTACGTCTATATTGGTCTACAGTGCCAAGACAGATGACAGAATATGACAGACTTCATTGGGAAAAAGAGAGTTGAACTGGATTTTCAAAAATAAGTAAGGTTATTTGAACAGAGAGGAGAGGGGAGAACACTTGGAGAGAAAGACACAACATGGAGATGGAGTTAGCTCTTTTTCTTTTTCAAGACAATGAACAGAATAGAAAGGAAGGTTCACCCTGAAGAGTAACAGCATACAGGGTTGTGAACATTGGTTCAAATCCTAAAATAAGAAAGGTTTTCATTTAAATAAGAAAGCAAACGGGGCAGCATATACATTCTTGAGAAGGAGCATGATGGGATGAGAGCAGTGTTTTAGTGACATTGAACTGAAAGGCAGAATGATTTGTTCAGTGAGAGGTAATAGATAATTCAAGGTTGTGGCTGCATATTTTAGACTGAGAAGTGTATCTAGAATAAATAGAATACAAATAAGACAAAAATAGAACAAAAATGTGTTTTGTTGTGATATTAATATGTTAGTTTTTTTCTGCAAAGGTATCCGTGACATGTTGTCTTTTAAAAAAGTAATTCCTTCATGTGAGGTTTGACTCTCTTAGCAAATGTCATATAAAGCATTACTCTGACTTATGCTCATCACCCTACACAATGCCTTCTAACTGATGTTTATATTAACCTCACTCTAGAAACTTTCAGGGCCAGTGCTTTTATTTCTCTCCTAGTTTCCTGATTACATTATGTATTCAATAAACTGTTGCTGCATAAAGTAAATACCTCAGGTTTATCCCTCAACACTAAGTGACAACATGACTAAATAAGCTTGTCTGCTCGTATTAAAATGGCTAAATTATCAAATAAACTCAGAACCTTAATTTAGATACCATCCTTGAACATTCCCAATTGCATATGAAGCTATAAATTAATACAATAAAATTCCATATGTACATACTTCAATTGAATTAATTTCATCATTCACATAATAAATATGAACACTTTAAATAAAAATATCGCTTCTGGTACTTTAATCCTAATTTGAACCAAATTATATTTTTGACTATTTAATATGCCTCACTTACTAAAATGAATTTATTGTCAATATGTGCAGATGAGCTGCTCTAATGTAGCTTTTTTTAAACTGGGTCAGTGGATTGTGTAGTGTTCTACCTACGTTCACTCAACATTTATTTGGAAAATGTGGCATATTATATTCTCTCCTTGTTGAGCCATAATTCACACCAACATATTAACATTTCTGGAAAATCTGCAGTAAAGAAATTTGGTATGCCTAAGGAGGGCTGAGCACATAGTAACTGTTCTTTATATATTTAATAAATAAAAGAACTCTGTTTAATTCATTTTTTCTCAGGTTTGTTTGAACATAGAACCCTATTTTTTCCTAATGACATCCCATGTTATCATTTGATAGATATGTTCTTTAGTGAAACATTGTATTAGATACTTATTAAATGTCTATCCATCTATTCGAGTCTTACAGAATTATATAGTTTGGCAAACAGCTAACTAATCTAGAGCATCTCTCAATAGTGATGAAGAAAATGTAAATTCACCCTGTTAAATACTGAGCCTAGTCACAAAATGACTTGACTTGCTTAAATTCTCAACCCAGTGACATTGTCTTTGGGTCAGCCCCTTAAGTGGTTCTGTAAACTCTCCAGTGGGCCATTGGATTATTTTATGTTTATCCAATTATGGATGCTCTGTTTTCCGATGACTCTTACTGAAGGGCTTCCTGATGAGCATGAGAATCTCACCCAGAACGTTTAGTTATTTCATGAAAGATGACAGCCATCAAGCTGGAGCACTTTTGAGCTCCTTTACATTAGTCTTTATTTTTAATAAATATCTTAAAGTGCCATAAATGGCAATCTTTTTAAGCATGTTGGAATAACTGTGGTGAATTGTAAGAAGGGGCACTCCATTGAATATGCTGTAATTAAAAAGCTCTGCCACCTTTATAGCAGCATGATTTATAATCTTTTGGGTATATACCCAGTAATGGGATTGCTGGGTTAAATGGTATTTCTAGTTCTAGATCCCCAGGAGTCACCACACTGACTTCCACAATGGTTGAACTAGTATTCAAAACTTGGAACCAACCCAAATGTCCAACAATGATAGACTGGATTAAGAAAACGTGGCACATATACACCATGGAATACTATGCAGCTATAAAAAACGATGAGTTCATGTCCTTTGTAGGGACATGGATGAAGCTGGAAACCATCATTCTCAGCAAACTATCGCAAGGAGGAAAACCCAAACACCGCATGTTCTCACTCATAGGTGGGAACTGAACAATGAGAACATGGACACAGGAAGGGGAACATCACACACCAGGGCCTGTTGTGGGGGGTGGGGGGAGGTATAGCATTTGGAGATATACCTAATGTTAAATGACGAGTTAATGGGTGCAGCACACCAACATGGCACATGTATACATATGTAACTAACCTGCACGTTGTGCACATGTACCCTAAAACTTAAAGTATAATAAAAAAAAAAGCTCTGCCACCAATCAATTGCAATCTTATACTATATACGTTAGATAAAATAGAGAAAAATATCTGTGTGTTATCAGATTTATGTTTGATGACAACTGCTCCATCAGCAGCAGAAAACTAAATTAGACACACTCTGAGAGCTACCACTAATGAACTTGCTATAGAGTTAAAGAAAATAAATACTCTTTATTAGGTAATATTTCCTAAATCAAGTGTTTAATTAGTTTCATTAAGCAGCTTACTTTGCAGAGTCAGACTCATGCTGCGCTCCACCACCCCAGCTTCATTGGTAGCTACACATGTATAGTCACCGGCATCTTCATTCTATGGAAATAAGCAGCGTTTTTACAAAAATATGAGCCTACAGAGCAGGGCAATCACTTTTTTCACCATGATGCTAGTTTATTTGAAATTTCATTTTTGAGAAGGAATTTTAATGGAAATAAGAAAACCTACATATGTCTAACCTCTTAAATAGATTTAAAGGAGGGAGGAGGAGGAAGAGAAAGAGGAGGGGGAAGGGAGAAAACAAATTCCAAGCCTAAACTTTCTCAAAATAGCCTATCATTGATCTCCAGGAATACTAACTGGTAAGAAACCAAAGCAAAAATTACATTATTTTATGATCATCTATCTGGAATTATCTTACTAAAGAAAAATACTAATGCTATACTTATAGATATCTTAAAAAGCATTAAAATAATCAGGACAAATTAACAAATACTGAGTCCTTTCTAATGGGGATTATTAAAACTACATTCAGCTGGACCTTTGTCTAGAGCGTTTGAAATTTAGGAGAGAAAGTGAAAAACTAATTTACTTATAATAATAAATCACAGATTGTAGGTCACATTATATACATATATGTATGTGTCTGTGTGTGTAAATTTATGTAGGACTGCACTAAATAAATTTCAATTTGGTGACTAGAGGCACAGATTTCGCTGAAGGTCTTGTGAATGGAAGAATTCAGGTCTCCTTAACAAACAGTAAGTCAATAAAAGGGAACTGATTTGCAGGTAGTAGATTGGGAGAAGGAAAAATAAATGTTGGTTTAGATGTTTAATTTGAGGTTTCAGTGTATTATCCAAATGGAAGTTCCTAGTCAACAGCTGGAAATGGAAGAGTTTCAGCATTGGAGATACTACAGTTTTAGGAATTTTAAATTGCATGATGAAAAAAATTAGTATTAACATTGGTATTAGAAGTACCAAGGACTTCAGAAATAGTAATAGAGGAAAAGGGAAAAGTGGTAATGAAGAAGGCTGAGCCATATTAGTATTATGGCACATAAAGTAGAAATAATTTCATAACAGAAGGAACAATCAACAAATGACATCTAATGTTGAAGTAAAATCAATGAGACTAAAAGACTAAGACTGGTCCACTGGATTGGGTAATTAGATAGTATATTTTAATTATTTCAATTACTTAAACAATGACAGCACATAAGTGGTCTCACCAAATGTGATTTAACAAATTAATGTGTATTCTAGTTGAGACATTTTTGGATAAAATATTTCACTTTGGGGTAATTTGACCCCAAAACTAGAATAATAAACCAAAGCACCACTTATTTTCTGAATTACTGAACTTTGGAAAAGCCTAATATAGTTATCAGCTTACTATGAAATCTACTCTATAATTTATATGTAACTGTGTTTGTAATTCTTCAATTTCCTTGTCCTAAAACAGATCTGAGGAAGTTATCTCCAAATGTTAATTAGTAAGTCAATGATAAGGAACAAGGCAGCCACATTATCTCACTGCACTTATTTGAAAGGGCTAAAATATCTATTTCAATCCTTGTTTCAGTTTTTTAAAAGGAGTTATTTGATTCAGATTTTATGATTTAAATAGGAATGTAAGAGAAATGTTTCTTATCTATGGCACTCACAGAGGGGTATTGGCTGTGGGGGTTTAAAGGTGCATCAATCATTCTGGCGTGACTTACAACAGTGCCATAGATGGCCAGGGAGCCATTGCCCAGTTGCCGGATTCTGTGGCTAATTTCAATATCCACTCCCTTTCTGTTCCACTGGATGGTTGGGGTGGGGTCTCCTTTCACCTCACAATTCAGGATTGCATTCCCACCAAGTGGTTCAATCCAGTTAGAAGGATAATCACCTTTGAAGACTGGAGGTTCTGGAAAACAACATAAGACAGGTACAAAGTAAAAGTAAGTGCTGATAATTTCTTTGTGATCTTTGACCTATTTGGAAAAATAATTTAGTAAAGAGGGGAGTAAAGCCACCTTAAAGACTCATGAAATTTCCAGAATCAACTCTTCATGCTAAATCACCAGATAATTTTGTCAATTTCAATATTCTAAGGGGATGATTCCACTTTGTGTGAAATGATCTCTTTACTTCTTATCTACTTTTGAGTTGAATGTTCATAATTTTTTTCTCATGAATTTGTACATCTGTGAAATAGGACTGAGTGGATTAAAAACTTGAAGTTATATTTTATTACCATAAAATAAAGAAGCAAAACTTGAACTATTCATTATGAATGCATTATAAATTAAAAATGGAGCGCTTTTCCCTACCTTTCACATAAACAAATCCAATTGCCTTCACAAAGCCAACGCTGTTCTCTGCGGTGCACACATAAGTACCTGAATCCTCTTTTGACACTCTTTCAATAACAAGTTCACTGTGTCCATTCACACTGTCAAAGTGGGCTGAGGGAAACAAGAAACAACACAAGTGCCTCTCAGTAACCTAGGAAAAATTTCACGACAGCTCAGTATTTTGCACATTAGATTTATGAGTTGGTCAGCAATTGAACCAAAGAGATGACATTGGAGAAGAGAGCCTTTTCCACATTTCTTCATCTGAGCTATTTACTATGTCTATAGACACTTGTTTGAAGAACAAAAACAGCAGAAGGAACAGGAAAAGAGGATGAAAACAAACATCTTTTAAAAATTATTTTAGGTTTAAAGTAAACCTTTCATCTAAATGCGTTGCTTAAAGCTGGCTCGTAGTCTGAGTTTCAAAAATCTTTCATTCAGAAATATTACATTTTCCATTTCATTTATCTCATTACCACTTTTCCTCCCAAACAATTTACATCAAACACATGAAAACCTTTTCAGCTTATAATTCAACTGACTTGGCAGGTCAAAGGGGAAAATTATGAAAACGTATGCTACTTAGGTAATAACAACAACATAGTCAAATTTGTAATAATTTAAACTTCTCTGTAAATCATAAATGGTGATTATATAAATATTTACAAAGGCATATATTTTATTTAAAAATTTATGATAGTAATATTTATAAAATTTATATTATAAATAACATATAACATTTAGAAGAAAATATAAGGTAAACATGCTAATCCTAAAACAACTAAGACTAAATAAAATTCTGACTAAACCAGTCCATATCTAAATACGTATGTTTACCTTGCATGCTCTCCTCATTTAAGTTTTTTTTTTTTAAATCTTTTACTGCTGAATATTAAGTGGAAAATTAAGCTTTAAAAGTACATTTACATTACTGCACTTTCAGAAAACATTAGTACTGCACTTTCAGAAAACAATATAGATTAGATTTTTTAGTGTCTGTTTTTTCTTAGTGAGATGTATTGTTATTAAGGTAATGCAGTTGATAAATTCCAGCCATTAACTGGAATTAACATTAACTAATGTCATTAACATAACTCTTTATAATAGAAAAAAACTCTCAAGCTTATTACTACTTTTCTAGCAAGACACTTAGTAAATGCTAACAGTGTAATACTTCAGAACTCAATTTTGGGATAGAACAATTTCTCAGTATTGACAGTCTTTATGCTGATGACAAAGTCTAACAAATAGGTAGATATTTGTTCACCCAGGGATGGGTGCTCCTGGGTTCCAGACACGACCTTAACTTGTAGTATACACAGTGACTAGAAATTTTCTACATAAATTAATCTACACTATAATAGAGGTTGAGGCAAACAGTGAGAAGTAGAATTCTTCTCTGTAAAATTAAGTGAATCTTTAGGACTCCAACAGCGGCCATCTTAATCTACTGATCAGTGATGAAGGGGGTCCAGCTGGGATAAGTTTAGGCGCCTATATAAACATACTGCCTTCTCATGGGGTAAGGGGAATTATATTTAGGTTAAAAAAGCTACTTATAACCTGCAATATATGGCCCTGTGATCAACTTATGCTTCCAAAAGAAGGAACAAAACATATATATTGGGTAGAGGGTAAAATCCAAGCAGAGGCACACATTTTACAGCATTTAAAGCAATCAATTCTTGTTACTTTTCAATTTTCACAGCTGGAGGAAACAGAGCTTCGTCTAGAGTTCTACATAGGTGTATTTATTCACTTCTTGAGAATTAAATGACCAACCTGGAATAATATTGTTATTGAAGGTCCATGTTAATTTGGGCAATGGAATACCAGTAGCTTTACAGCTTAATCGTAGCTGTTCTCCTTTATTTAATGACACGTCTCCAGGAAGTTCAGTAAAAGTGGGGAGAACATGCACAGTCAGGCTGACAGTGTGTGTATCTTCACCTGCAGCATTGTTAGCAACACAGGTATAGAAGCCAGAATCCTCCAGCTAAAATTAAAAAAAGTAACATTTAAAATTTCATAATCATCCATCATAGTACATAAAATACATCAAATTGCATAGCTAGGCCCTCAAGAAACTCTCTTATCCAAAGACAATTTAAATTTCCATCTTTTAGTCTTAACCATCAGGTTAGCTTTTGCATAACATAATTTAAAATGTATAGAAGTTTAAACATAAGCCCATACCTTTCAGAACAATAATCATTTTACAGTGGTAAGATTTCAGAAAACTGTAGTTTCTGTGGTTTGCTAGATATCAAGTGTATTGCTGCTCTGCATTGCACAAATAAAGAGCAAATAATCCCAAAAGCTGACAGCATCTTGACAGCATAATTGGCTCTCTAAGGCGGTACCAAAGATCAACAAAACTATCAGAGGAAATGGTAAGAGAAAGGGCACTATTACCTAGAATTCTGAGGCCTCACTTGCTAAATTCAACGGCCAGCTCTCATCACTCATCTTTCTTGATGCATTTGTAGAATCTGACACAATTATGAGTCCTTTCTATGCGAAACCACCTTTACATGGTTTCCAGGACACTATGCTCGCCTATTTTCCCCTCCTATCTCACTGGCTGCTGCTTCTCCAACCTTTTTTGGGGCTTCTCCTCAACATTAACATTTTAATGGTGGCAAGCGAGAAGGCTCAACCTCTGCTCCTCTTTTCTTCTATATCTGTACTCAATTTTTTTGGTGATCTCATACAGTGCTATAGCTTTAAATATCAACTATATGCTGATGCCTATCAGTATCTCCAACCCAAATACTGATACTTTCTTACAAACTCAAAGTCTATTGAACTTCTTATTCTAACTCTTTGCTCTGATGCCTAAGATATGTCTCACATTCATGCCCCAAAACTGACCTCCCGATTCCTTCCAATGGCCCCTTCCTGTACCACCTGTAGCCTTCACCGTCTCGGCTGATGGCTATTTCACCCTTCCAATTGTTCATGCCTTCAGTCTCAAACATTTGAGTCATTCTTATTTTTTTTCCTCACACCCTACTTGCAATCTACCAGAAAATGCTAGCTTCAAAGTATATGCAGAGTCTTACTTCTTGTCTCTTCTCTGCTAACATCCTGCTTTGAGTTCTATCATTTCTCATCTGCCTCCAGAGAGTCTTCCCAACAGGTCTCACTGCTCCTGTCCTTGTCTCCCTACCTTTGATTCTCATCACAACAGCCAACGTAACCCTTTAAAATTTAAGGCATATAAGATTGCTCACCTGCTCAAAAACCTGCAATGGATTCTGACTTAGAGTAAAAGGTAAAATTGTTACAATGACCTGTAAGACCCGACATGATTTGGCCTCCATTTATCACTGACGTCTTTCTCCTTTCATTCTTTGCTTTGCTTTCACTGGCTTCCTGCTTTTCAAATACACTGGACATGTTTCCACCTCAAGTTCTTTGCTCTACCTATTTTTGTTTTTCCCCCGGTCTGCTCCTCCAATATTTGCTTGGCTAATTCACTTCCTTCAAGTTTTGCTCAAATGTCACCTTCCCAAAGAGAATTTACTCTGACTACCCTATTTACAACTGTAACCTTCACTGCTCCAACTCCTGACACTCTTTTCCCCTCTTATTTTTCATGCCACTTTTTTCTTCTGACTTATTTTCTTCTGACATTACTATTTTTCATTTTTATTGTCTCCTTCCTCTAGATATAAACTCCATGAGGGCAAAGATCTTTGTTTCTTTTGTTCCCTGATGTATTCCCAGTGCCTAAACCAGTGCTAGTTGCAGAGAAGGTGTTCAATAAATATTTGTTGAATATTTGAATAGGAATATTCAAATATGAATATATATGAATATTTATGTTGAATATTAATGACTGCTTCTGATTGCATTGAGACACATAGACTTTTTTCCTTTTTTTAAAAAAGTTTAACATTTTTCCCCTTGAAGCACTAAAGAATTGAAAATATAGCATAAAAATTACAATTATTTACTCTAGATACTTATCATTGCCAAATAAGGTTAAGAGCACAGAATATAGCACTGGCACTTAAAATTTTTCCTGATAAACACATATTTCCACAAACACAAAATAATTTTCGAAGGAGGGCATTTATGAGTTCCTATCGTCTGTTAAATATTATTCTCATTCAAGGGACATGAAATACGTGTAAAATTAATTTTGTGACCTGATTTTACAAGAATATTTTTTTTAATTATTAAAGAATATACTTCCATGCTAAATTACTAAAAGTATGATGGCAAATTTACAATCTGGCTTAATGTATCTGTTCACGTCCATTAAACTTACCACAACATTTTCTAAAATGAGTTCTCCATATGGTTCAGCAGTGTATTTTCCTAACAAGTTAGCTAAAAGAACATTGTCTTTTTTCCAGTTAATTGCTGGTGTGGGGATTCCATCAGCTACGCATGGAAGAATGGCTTGTGAATTCTCATTGACCGTGTAGTGTCCTTCTGTACTTCTGATCCTGGGTGGTACTATGAAGAGTTTAAAAAAGAGTCATCCAGGAAGCTGAGTTCAATAATGTCTTTATTCACAATAAAAATTAACACATAAAAAACTCTTTTCAGGGTAATTTTGCTAGAAATACTAAAAATGAAAATCTATTAAGATATTGATTTGCTTCCTGCTATGAAAGAAATCAGTATTTTTGGTGCTAGCAAGAATCCTAATGTAATTGAACTTACTGAATATATTTACGTTTGGTTTCTGAGCAAATGACAGAACTGGGTAGAAGATCTTTAGATTTTATTTGGCTTCCCTGACTTTTCCGTCTTTAAGTTACTTCTGTTTACTGCAGTGAAGTAAAACAAACCAACAACAAAACGAAAAAATGCTTCTATGGTTGCGTAACTGCTGTATATTATGAGGATGAACTAATAATAGTCACCATAAAACACTATAAAACACTCACCCAATACTGAATATCACAAAGTGCTGTAGAAAAAAAAATACTTATTGCAGTATTTTACATGTTACAATGAATACAAGTAAACCAGATCAAGACACTTAATTCAGTTTTCATACTGTCAGAGAAAATTTTCAGAGTGACTTTATAACTGCACAGTATAGTACCAAATACTTCCTGTGACTCAAATTTTTTTAACTAGAATTTGGGCAATATAGAGATGAACTGAATATTTTAGTGTAATAAAAAATACTTGATTGGACTTAGAACTAAGATAGTTACTTCTAAAGAAAAGACAAAAAGTATTAAGAATTCTCGGTTCAAAAGTAAAAATACACTCCCTTCCCAAAACAATGAATTTGGAATTATTCAAACAAATCAGAAGCAGACCCATCTTAATGACATTTTAACGAGTGAAAAGAGAACAGTTGGCCTTAGCAAAAATAAAATTGCTATATAAACTTTAATTAGCTACTTTCAGTTAAATTAACTGTTTTCGATTAAAATAGTTAATTTTTTGTCCTTTATGATTATATGATTAAATATACAAACATTATATAAATAATTATAGATACAAACATAGATAACTTGGAAAACACAAAAATTGATTTTGCTCAATGGTACATCGTAAATACTCATTTTTAATTAATTCTTGCTCTATTTTCATTATCTTCTTTATCCTGATTTCCTTGGGTTGCTATTTGTCTTTTGTTACGGGATACAAACTTGCAGCATTAGTATATTTAATTCAGTTCTTTCTTTTTCAAAATGAAAGAATTATTGCTATGACTTTATATTGATTTTAGCTTTGAGCACACACTGTACATTTTGATATGTCATGTCTTTATTTTCTAAATAATGTGAAAACAGAAAAATACTCTTTGACCTACTTTTTGGCTAGAAGAGTGTTTAAAGTTGTCTGGGTTTGGGGTTTTCAAAGTTCATTACAAATTTCTAGCTTTGTTGCATGGTGGGTAGAAATTATGGTCTATCTTTTTGAAACTTATTAACAATTTCTTTGTTTAGTATATGGTCAATTTTGGTAAATTTTCTATAGACATTTGAGAAGAAGGAGTATTATTTATTTGAAGGCAAATGGATAGTGTATATTGATTAGTTTAATTATATTAACTGAAAGCAGGGGAGTTATTTGGAAAACTCATAAATGATGATTTTTAATTTTGGCTAAATTATTCAACCAAAAATGTTTCCACTCAAAATTGTCTCTGTTACTATGAAGTTACAGAAAATTAAAATACACTTGAAAAATAAAACAGCTTTCACAAATTTCTGAAAAATGAAAAGGCAGAAACTCCTCATTATAATAATTACCTCTGAAAATAGAGGCTGGAAGCAGTTTAATCTGGTATTGTTTCCCACCACTGATATTAACGTGGATTCTATCCTTAGTCAAAATATATAATAAAAACTAAAAATATTTCAATGCTGATTTTTCAATATTTTGTTGTCTTAATACAAAGATATTTTTCTGTTATAAAAATATACATGTAATATTTTGCCACTTTAATATAATGAATCAAATAGATCTCCTAATTCTCATTAGAGTCAAATCATACAATGTAGGTCATATGATGATTCATTTGAACCAAGATGACTTGAAGCTTGAGAAGTAAAGCAGAAAAGTCACAAAACACAAACGGACTCTTCATAAGCCAACTAATCACAATATGTGAGGGTACTAGCAACACATTAAAAATCCTGGCAATATTAATAAAATCTGTCTTTCTCTCTCACACACCTATGTGCACAAACACACAGAAACACAGCCTACAGAAAACAGATTTGAAGTGCACCTACACACCACACCCCCACACACACTTTGGATTACTGAGTTTAAGGGTTTTTGACTTCCATCAGATTTGCTCTTGGTAGCCTTTTCTCTTTGCCATGGTAGTGCAGCAGACTAAAATAATTCATGTTAAACAACCTACCATGGACGGTGAGCTTGGTGCTTGTGCTGCTTGATCCTGCTACATTGGCTGCCATGCACGTGTAATGGCCAGCATCACCAGGCTGGACAAATGCTATTTGCAGAGAGCCAGAGCTGAGGACGCGCTGGCGGATAGATTCCACAATTGCACGCCCATCTTTATGCCATGTAATGTCAGGCGGAGGGAGGCCATCTGCTTCACAGGATAACGTGATGGGCTTGTCCACAGCAATAACATATTCCTTTAGATGAGGGCTAATGACTGGAGGAACTAAAATATACAAAAAATATAAAGTTCAAACTTTATCTTAGAAGCATGAGTGCGCAAATTACATACTACAGTACTGCTCTAGCAAACATTGATAAGAAACAAAATCCTGACTTCACCATATCATTAGAAAAGGAGCACTACATTTTTTCATGGGAACAAAAAATTATCTGGGCGCACTTCAGAAAACTAGTCCCTAGCTAACCCATAAATGTTAAGTGATAGTCGATTTTAAATGAGGAGATAAACATATATTCATGAGGGCATGCATGTCTAGAAAATTTAAGCTGTATCAACAAAAATATTTTCTTTAACTTACATAAATTATGTGATTCACTTTAGGTATTTAAACTTCCAAAATGAACGCCAGGTTTTGGAAAATATTCAACTGCTTGGATACTTTTACTTACGTATTTCCATAGAGCTTAGAATACACATATACAGTGGCTACATTTAATAAAGGATTATTTGAACTAATGAATACATAAATAGATCATGGAAAATAATTATATAGGTAAAACTCTTCCCATTTATTTGGAAACCTATAAAAGAGCTTATAATAAGGATTTCCTTTCCAAGTGTTTACAATAGGCTGATCACCACTTAGGTATTAGCCTGGATATTCTATTCAGTTGTAACGCATCACTATAAAAAGGCATATGAAATAACTGATAATCGTATTAAGATTATTTATAGCAACAAAATTATTTGGTTGAATTTGTGCTTACCATTACATTTGTATCTGCAAGAAGACAGTCTATTCAGAATTTTTCATGCCTCTGAGGAAGCAATTATCTCCGATTGCTTTTGGAATGTTGAAATGCTTTTGGTTGTTTAATGTGTTTCTTTGTCCCTTAATTTCTCTCATGTCAATAATTTCAATCATTTCATGAAGAAACAACTCCTCAAATCTAAAAATGTTCTTTTCTACGACCTCTGTGTTGCTGAAACCAATGAATACTTTTGGGTCCTTATCCTACTTGACTCAACTGCATTTAACAAAGCCGTTCACTCTCTTCTTGAAACACTAACCTTCCCTAGCCTTCATTAAGTTTTCCAACGATATCCCTGCCCTCTCCATTGTATTATTTTCCTTTCTCAGACCTTGAAACAATGCACAGCCCCAGGACTTTGTCCTTGCCAATCTTTTCTGTACACATTCTCTTTCCTTAGTGATCTTATCCAGTCTTGTGGGTTTAACGCTGATTATTTCCAAATTTTTATCTTTGACTATACTTCTCCCATGAGCTCCAAATTCATATATATTCAACTCTCTACTTGACATCTCCACTAGGATTTCTAATAGTTTCCCATATTTAATAAAATTAAACAGAAATCATGGTTTCCTTCTTCCCAACCCAGTTCTTCCCCTTGCGTTCCAACATGGCACTATCATCTACTCACTAGCTTAAGTCTGAAGCCCAGGAAGCTTCACTAATTTTCTATTCCTAACCTACCAATTCATCAGAAATCCTAACAATTACACCTCCATAAACAACATAAATCCATCAGTTTTCTCATTCACTTCTGCAATTTGTGCTCCCATCTCCACTCTTGGACAATAACACACTACAACTCCAGTCCTGCCCTTTTCTCTAAACCATTACCTAGAGCTGCAGGAGGGGTCTTCCTAAAACCAAATGAGAGTCCTGGATAAGCCCTTCAAAAGATTTATTTGCACAGAGAATAAAATCTACATATCTTAGGGTACATCATGCCATCCATGCATGGGCCCTGCCTACTTTTCTGATCTCCCTTGTGTTTTGCTTGCCTTGGGCTTGCTCACCACCATCTAGCCACACTGCCATACTTTCTTTTCTCACTCTTTCTTGACTTGGGGTCACTGTACATGCTGTCCTCTCTCCTTTGGACACTCCACCAACCTGCCCATGGCTTATCCTAGCTCATCATTCAGGGGTCACTTAAATATTACTTCCTCAGAGAAACCTATCCTAACCATTTTCTAAAGTGGTCCCCACATATTCCCATTATTCTTCTCTGTCTCAGTCTTTTGCTTTTCCTCTATATAGCATACATCAGAATTTATCATTATTTCATCTATCTGGTAGTTTAAGATTTTCCTTCTCCATCAATGTATAAACACCATAAGAGAAGGATCATGTCTGTAATGTTCAATGTATTTCCAGTTATTAATGTTGAATAAATGTTGAAAAATACAAACCAATTAGATTTATAATATGCAGGAAAGTGAGGTTTATTATATTCATGAATCTACCATAGGAAAATTACAGTATAAGACATTTAAGCTAATTCAAATTTAGTAGCTTGAAATCTATTTCTGGGTCACCTCTAATTTGCAAAAGCAGTGCATGCAAGATATAAAAATTCTATCAAGAAAATATCAGTTAAGTTTGAAAACACAAAAATACCCTGCTTTCTCTTTAGAATAATTTTTTCCATCAAGTTGGTTTAACTGCGATTATGATTTTTTAAGTGGAACGTTATAATCCAGTGTTTTGTAATGTATCCAAGGTAGTATTGTAGAGAGAATGGTTTTAACAATCACATCATACATATGCTATAATGAAATGGAGTATCAAACAGAGGTTCATAGAAGTTCAAAATAGGATTAGATGCCTGTGTTTTCTTATACAAACAATGGCCAACAAAATAAAATACATTAAACTTTCTTCATAAAAGTGATAGAAAAACCAATAGGATAATGCAAACTAAGAATGTCGAGAACTATGGGGGAACAGCAGCATAATCATTTTAGATATATAAATATTTGGTAGACATTGTTACAAACATCTTTGAATTGAAAACAGAGATGAATTATTTAGGTACCTTGGACATTTAACTTGATTTTGCCCAAGGCTGTACCAGCCGGGTTCTGGGCCACACACATGTAAGTGCCAGCATCCTCTCGGACAGCTCTGGAGATCTGTAAGCCGCCACTAGGAAGAACTGCATGGTTTCTGCCTACAACATAGTTACAAAAGCAGAGTGGGGAAAAAAAAAAGCCTGTTCATTAAAAACAATCATGCTGATTCGAATTATAAAACACTGATGTGCTATGATTTTCTTGATAGAAAAACAGTGGTAGGTACCTGAAGTGTTAACATTGATGCCTTCTTTTTGCCAAGTAATGAAAGGACTGGGTGTCCCTGTTGCTTCACATGGTAATAAAATAGGATTGTTCAGAATGACGTGTAGTTCACTTGGTTGGGGCTGAATGACTGGAGGCTCTATAAAAAAACCAATCAACAAAAAGAAGTAATAGCACTAGTTAATAAACCATGTCTATTGTAGTAATGAGCTTAAAAATACCCAAATTCATAATTCTAAAATATTAGTGATTTGATTGCCCAAGAGAAAAGTGAATGTTGGCCACACTGCATTCTTTGAGTCTTGCTACAGTAGCCAGTTTCCATTAGAAGAACCCCACTGGAAGACTAGAGTCAGGAACAGATCATAAAAAGCCAAGAAGAAAAATTATTTTGGAGTTACTTTGAGTGGTTTGCCATTTGTGTGCCTTTTTTAGCCTATTAAAAGTATCTACCAGGCTTTCATATCCCCAAGATATTACTATGGTTCATAGCTCTCGACAGTACCTACCACCTTTCAGAATAAATATGACTAAAAAACCTCCCCAAACCCAGCGAACTTTGAATGAGTAAATAGCCTTCCATACCATGAACATGAAGGGTCACGTGTCGATGTGCAGAGCCAGCCGCATTCCTAGCGACACAAGTGTATCTTCCAGCATGGTTTAATTGGGTGGCAAGTATTTCAATTGCTCCTAAAAATGAAAAAAAATGTTTTAATATATACTGCATCTCAGTTTTTTTAGTTCAATAAAATTTGACTCTCTTTTGTGTGTTTTCTGCAAATAGCATGGTGGTGCTTGGCTTATATTCATACTTGTATCCCCTGAAGTGCCTAGCACAGTACTTAAATTATTACTAACAGCTTTATTGAGGCATAATTTACATATCATAAGGGTCACTCATTTAAATGCGCAATTCAATGATTTTTAGTATACTTAGAGTTATGCAAACATCACCACAATCTAATTTTAGAATATTTCCATCACCCCCAAAAGAACCCTGGTGCTCATTTACAGTCATTCCCCACTCACAACCCTGGCCTTAGCCCACCACTAATCTGCTTTCTGATTCTACAGATTTGCCTTTTCTGAACACTTCATATAAACTGAATCATCCAGTATGTGGTCCTTGGTGTCTGACTTCTTTCACTATGAGCATAATGTTTTTGAGGTTCATCTGCTGTAGCATTTGTCAATATTTTGTTCCTTTTTATTGCCAAACAGAATTCCATTGCATGGATATACCACATTTTATTTATCCATTTATCAGCTGATGGACATTTGAATTGTTTCCACTTTTTGGCTATTGTGAATGATGCTGTATGAAGATTTGCATATAAGCCTTTGTGTAGACAAATGTTTTCATTTCTTTTGGGTAAATACCTAGGAATGAAGTTGCTAGGTTTAATATTTTGAAAGTTCTAAATTGTTTTCTTAGCCTAATACTTTATTTTAAAATCTTTTATGATTTCAATTGCTACCAATCCATAGTCAAAATAATTTGTCTTGAAAGCCAAGTTGCATCCTGGGAACACATTTTCCACTATTACCCTTCTATTGAGGAAATACACAAATTCTCTTAGAATAATATGCACATACTCTTAAAGTCCCAGGATATTAGTTGCTACTTTATCTCTATTGTGTTTCCCCAGTGTAGGATAAGTTTTAGAAACACCAACGTGAATCACCTATACTTTAGGTGATTTTTTTTTCTTCAATACTATAAATTGTATAAATGAGGGTTACTACCACTATAAAAAATTTTCCTTCATAGAACTCGCTACTCACTCAGTCTTACATACTCAATTTTAAAAACCTTGAAACCTAGAACCCTGTTTTAGTTATACAGTCTCAGAATCTTAGTAGAGTATATATCCTGTCTTAGGCACTAAATGTTCGATAAATGAAGAGACATTCTATTTGGCCAATGAAAGAAGTGTGATTCACTCACAGGTAACTCGGGAATTTGTTAAACCTTAGGTTTGGTAAATATACACATAAATACCGGTGATCATGTTTATTATATTCAGATCAGTCTTAGATATTGTTATTTTGTTTCCAGACTAATTTTTTTCTCTTCTATTCCCTAGAACCCCTTTCTATGTTAAAAATATGTTTTAACAATCTGTTTTCCAGATTTTTAAGTTCAAGAATGCATGCATATTTTATTCTTTTATTCTGGTGCAACAAAGGCCAGGTAAGAATATGCATCAATAAATAATACAATCAATAGATGTGAAATCACTGAGCTTGGTCTTACCTGAGGACAGAATTCTATAGCCATCTCCCCTGGGAAGCAGTCTTATACCATTTTTGGTCCAGTGAATTGAGGGAAATGGAACTCCCGAAGCAGTGCAGGTAATTACTGCTGGGGCATGTTTGGTTACTAGGAAATCTGTAGGCTCATCAGCTATGGAAGGTGGAACTAAAACAACAACAACAACAAAAAGGGAAAAAACTACACATTTCCAGCCCTTAAAGATTTCCAAAGACTTATCATACATCCTCTTTTTGCTCTGAAAGTGAAAGTTAGGTAAGTAGAAAAGGGATTCCTCCTTTTATTTCTGGGTTAATACCTGGGTGATGAAGTAATTTGTACAACAAACCCCCATGACACTAGTTTACCCATATAACGAACCTGCATGTGTACCCCTGAACTTAAAATAAATGTTTAAAAAAAAAAAGAAAAGGGATCCCTTTTGTAAAGTAGTAGAATAACGAAGTGATAGCATTATCATGTTTCAATCCATGTTCCAAGCCAATTCTACCTTGGACAGTGAGATCCACAGTTCTTTTATCATCTCCAGCACCGTTTGTCACAGTACATTCATAGGTTGCAGTGTCATCCACAGAAGGGGAAATAATTACTAGTGAACCTGAAGAAAGGAGCCTAGAAGACACATTTCAAAGCATGAGATACTATATGTAGGTTTTCATAAATTTTCCCAGCTAGTTTAACATGGTACCATGTTGTAAATTGATGAAAACAGTACTCTTCCCTCATGTTAAAATTAACATCATGTCCCTGAGGCCAACTTTATGCATTAGAGTTTATGTTTGTATGGCAGTGGCTTTCTAGAGCCTCAAACTTGATATAATATTTACAGGAAGTAATTGTGGGAAGGATTGTCTGAAGAGGGAATCTTACATTCTCTAAATGCTTATATTATGATCAACCTGGCTCTCCTAGGAGAAATACAGTACAATGAGAACACTGATAACAGCCACTGTTTACTGGGCATCAGATACACTCCAGGCACCATCTTAAATGCTTTGCATAAATTATCTTTAAATTTCACAATAACCTAGCAGGTTGATATTTGTTTATTTCCATTGACAGATGGCTAATGACAAGTCTGTGTGTCTCACCCCTTTATGTACTTTGCATGTCTCCTTAAATGTGTGGCTACCTTGTAGATAATATGGCAATATCTATTTCAAAAAAAGTATATATATATATATTTAGTTTTGAACAAGTGTGTGTATGTGTGTATATATATTCAAAACTAAAATCTAGAACACTTCACATTTTAGGAGGTTTAGTAAATACACATACATGATTTAAAGTAAATCTAAATTAGAATATCTATTTGATTTCACACTGTGCATGATAGAAATGATTTAATAAAAAACATTAATAAAACATATTTGACACACCTTTTAATTCAAAAGCATGGCACATTTTCCATACAGTGTATACTTTCAAGTCACTGAACCTCCCAATGCCAAAAGATTAAAAGGGTGAAAAAGAGACATGATAGAATTTCAACTGCAGCACTCCTAGTTTTATATTTCCTGATGTATTGGAATTGATTTTTGTTAAAGTGGACATAAGAGAGCATTTATTTTTAGCGCTATGGCAAATGTTTGACAGAGTAATAATCTGATAGCTCAGGTGAGATACAAAAAATGATGCTCACCTATAACATCAGAAATTCTTAGTGATTTAAAGTTTAGCCTTTGAAAAATAGATATTGCCATATTATGAGCTATGGTATTAAAGCTTGGAAAAAAGCAAAAAAAAAAAATGGAGAAAATGCTGTTTTTCCTCCCTACACATTCTGCCAATATCTAAATTGTATTTTAAGGTATAAAATTTGACTTTTATTCTACAACTAAAGATCGTATTTATTTTTACAGAATAGTTTTTCTTTTATATAAAATGATGTTTTTATCCTTTGCCTTTATAAAAGTCCAAAAGGTACTAAACAAATAAGGCAGGATATAAATCTAATCCTATATATAATCACTGACATTCATCCACAGGGTTTATGTATGGAAAAGATGACCTATAATTCAGAAAAATATTTTAGGCTGAAAAACTAAGTCCATATTAAGGAAAAAAACCCTCTATATGCTAGCTAATTTGTTATAGTCTATATATTTGCTGACCCCACTGATAGAATTAAAATGTTGATTCATTACAAACTGTTTGTAAATAGTTGGTAGGAGTTTTAAATTATCCTTACCTGTATGAGTTCTGATTTTGATCCACATTAAGAAGATGCCCATTTTTTCTCCAATTGATTGATGGTTTTGGTATCCCAGTAGCCTCACAAGCCAGAGTAGTTTGAACATTTACTATTACAGTCATGTTGGTAGGACCCGGAGCAATAGATGGAGGAACTAAGACAATGTCACCAAATAAGAAGGAAACACAGTCAGCAAATAGCGTGCCATTTGAAATATTTCTGCTGAACTGAAATTAGTCATTATTAACTTGCCTCATAGTTATGAGCAAACAAGACTCTGCAAATTTTAATAGTGCTGTGATGATATTAACTATACTAAGGAGAAAACTTGGGGCTTGCTATTCATACCATAATGTAAATTGCTTAACTAGCCTTCAATGTCAAGATCTTTATGACCTCACTAGTTTAGGCAATCAAAGAGCATTTGACACAGAGACCGGATGTTGTCTATAAACGGATATTTACCATGGACCTGTAAATCTATTCGCCTGCGATCTGTTCCAGCAGCATTGGTGGCCATACACAAATACCGTCCAGTGTCAGTGACATGTGCTGATTGAATATGAAGGAATCCATTTTCCAAGATGGAATATCTACAAGAGAAATCACAAGTGAAGTCTTCTGAATCAGCCTTTTTTGATTGTTCATATTTTGACTGAGGGAAATGTTAAACACTTGGTGAAATCCATTCAGTATTTTTCCTGTTTCAGATGACACATGTTTATGATACCCTTGGTGGAAGAAAAGGCTACGATGCAAAGGTGCATAACAGATGGGCTTGTGATCTTTAATGGATTATAATCATTATGTAGACATAAGCCTTAGGGATTATGCTTTTAAAATACTAAATTTGGGCCTGGAGTGAAGGCTCAAGGCTGTAATCCCAGCACTGTGGAAGGCTGAGGTGGGCGGATCACCTGAGGTCAGGAGTTCGAGACCAGCCTGGCCAACCTGGTGAAACCCCATCTCTACTAAAAATACAAAAAATTAGCTGGGCGTGCTGGCGTGCGTCTTTAATCTCAGCTTACTTGGGAGGCTGAGGCAGGAGAATCAATTGAACCCAGGAGGTGGAGGTTGCAATGAGCCAAGATCATGCCACTGCACTCCAGCCTGGGCAACAGAGCAAGACTCTGTCTCAGAAAAATAATAAAATACTAAATTTTGATTCTCGTATTAAGATGAAATGCTGATTCTAAACATAATGAGACCAAAATAGTGCACTAGGAAAAAAAATTAAGAATTTGTATTTCAGGTCTTATAGCATTTTTTAATTTTCCAGTATGGTTACCTTGCATGATTCCCAGCTAGAACAGCTCCATCCTTTCTCCATGTTATCCTTGGAGTTGGCACACCTTCAGCGATGCATTCCAATACAGTTGACTTATTTAAAAGAATTACAAGGCTCTGGGGGCCCCCCTTTATGTTTGGAGGAACTGAACAAGAGATACACATGAAAAAATTCAGTGAGACTAAATAATACAGCCTGCATGAAGACCCTGAAGATGTAATATAAGATGAGCTTCGAGTCAAATGTATAGCTTTGTCTACAAGAATCTAGGTTAGTATAAGTAGAATTGAGGTTTAATTCCTAAAGTCTTACTCAAGATACTTTGTGTTTAAAAATAAAGGGTAGATAGGGAGGGGAATTTTAAATCCCTAATATGGTGTATGAAATCTGGCTTACTGTGAGAGAGGCTTAAATGAAACTCAGCTCTAGTCTGATGCAAATTAAAGATGATATTTCTTATTTCTCTTTGGCCAAATAATGGTCAGAGAATGCTAACACTGGAACAGCTTCACTTTAAATGAAGAACAGAAAGTGGGCTGTTTTAACAAAAAGCACATCTGTGATTAATCATGTAATTCTCAGAGCATGCATTTTATTGATCATTGAGTTCATATGGGAATAGACAGCCTGAATTTTAATTTTAGTATTAGAGATATTAGTTGTTTGGGTCACCCAATATTCTGTAAAATTTTATATATTAAATATCCAATAGATTGTTTTGAGGAAAAGTCTATATTATCTTCCTAGATGTTGGCATTCAGCTATTATACTTAATAAGATTACAGTCCTATGACAGTCTCTGTTTGGCACATATGTACTCTCAAGCCACCATCAATAAAGGTGAACTAAATGATGGGCCATTTGTCATCCAGTGATTTAGTGTATTGACTTCCTCAATGGTTCTGATTCTGAATGACAGAAAACATCATGATATGCTAAGAACAATTGGACATATTCTCTAAGATAGAGTAAAATATCTCTAGTTATGTTTTTTGGAAATTGAGTTAATTTGCAGTATAGATATAATACAAATACTCCACGTTGCCTTTTTCAAAAGCAGTAAGATAAGCACAAGGCTTCATTTAGTATGCTCATAAGAAAAAGCTATCATCTCTTTGAATGCCCTTGGTCAGATTTTTAAATTGTGGAACAATGAATACCTTTTCTTACCATTTACAGTGAGAATAAATTCTCTTGTAGTCTTTCCTGCAATGTTGCTGGCAACACAGGTATAATTGGCTGTATCACCTAGGTCAGCATTGTTGATTTGCAAGTATCTCCCTCCAGATAGGATTCGCACTCGAGGTGTTGCCTGGATTCAGCAAGTAAAGAAATTTGCCGTTAAAATGTCAGGAAAAGAGAATAAATATTATTTCACAGCATCAAAAGTAAGTATAGTGAACTGTGGACCTGCTGTCTGTCAGCATGCTTTGTCTGCTCCTCCACCATTTTCGTAGTATCAAAAATCCCTGGGAACTGTTTTAATGAGTGATGTTAAGTCAAAGGCAGAGGCAGTATGCCCAATTGCTCTGACAATAATGATCCATTCAAGAATGGGCAGGTGACTCAATCAGGCCTACCAGAGTCCTCCTCTAGACTCTGCTGGGAGTGTCGGGGAAAGGGTGTGCCCTTTTTCCTAGAATCACAGGTTGTGAGGATGACCTAAGCCTAGTGGCAGTCTTATCATGTGGAAACAGGCTGTCCTGAATCTAAGGCAATGCAAATAGAGTTCATTCAGATAAAGGACAGATGCCTCATTATAGAGTTAGAGCCTCTGGAAATTCATCAATTATTGTAGCCAATAAATTTCCTTTTTGTTTTTCCTTTTCATTTAAGTTGGTTTGAATTTGAATTCTGTCACTTACAACTGAAAGGTTGCTGACTAACTTTGGTTAACTTAGAGGAAAACATTGTACTCTAACATTTAAAAAAAATAAGCAAATAAACCACCACAAATATTTCTTAAGAATTTATTTTGTAACTAGGCATAGACAAAAATTATGAAAATAGAGCACAATGAAACCTAATCTCTGCTATTAAGTCTAATTGGAGAGCTACATATATAAACAAGTAATTTAAGGATAAAATATATGATCATAGTTATTAAAAAATTCCAGATAGCATCAAAGATTGATATTCTCTCATTGTACCTAAGATGAAGCATTTCAGGAATAGCCCAAATAAGATTTCTCTACCGTATGAGCTTGGTCCCAGATACATATATCTTTCTAAGAAAACATTGTTCAAAGTAAAATATGCAGTTCAGGTCCATTTATTTTAAAAGTTTACACATTTTCTCTATTCCTTTCATTTCTATTGGGGCTATTAGTGATAAAATTATGTTACCTTTGATGAGAATAAGTGATTTCTTAAGTATGTATAGTAAGTTCTATAAAAAATATTTTATTTTTTAACTTTTATATGGGTATAGCAGAGTTTTAGGCTAATAAAAACTTTCAGAGTGATTCTTTTTTTCTTAAGAGACAGATTCTTATTCTGTCACCCATGCCGCAGTAGTGGTGCTATCGTAGTTTACTCTAATCTCAAAATCCTGGGCTCAAGCAATCCTCCCACATCAGTCTCCTCAGTAGCTACAACTACAGATGTGTGCCACCATGCCCAGCTAACTTTTTTTTAAATTCAGGTGGGGTCTTGCTCTGTTGCCCAGGCTGGTCTTGAACCCTTGTCCTTAAGCAATCCTCCTGCCTTGGCCTTCCGAAGTGCTGGGATTACAGCACGAACCACCACACCTGGCTCAGAGTGATTCTTATAATGTTTTTCTTCCATGAATATCAGTACTTTCTGCTAACTTATTAAGTCTCATTAGAATTTTCTCTGGTTTTGGCCGGGCGCGGTGGCTCACGCCTGTAATCCCAGCACTTTGGGAGGCTGAGGCGGGTGGATCACGAGGTCAGGAGATCGAGACCATCCTGGCTAACATGGTGAAACCCCGTCTCTATTAAAAAATACAAAAAAGTAGCCGGGCCTGGTGGTGGGTGCCTGTAGTCCCAGCTACTTGGGAGGCTGAGGCAGGAGAATGGCGTGAACCCAGGAGGCGGAGCTTGCAGTGAGCCGAGATCGCGCCACTGCATGCCAACCTGGGCGACAGAGCGAGACTCCGTCTCAAAAAAAAAAAAAAAAAAAAAGAATTTTCTCTGGTTTTTCTTCCGTAGACCACCTATAATTCTTCCAAATTTGACTTGTCTCCTGATAGAACCTCATTCTTAGCTGATAATCTCACTTCCTGTTCCACTGAGAAAATTAAAGCCCCACACCTGCAGTCCTCCCCTTCCCCCACCTTGGGTATGAATACGACCTTCTTTTCTGTTTCCCCATCTCTGCAGAAAATGGATGACCCTTCTGGACAAGGCTAACCTATTCAACTGTGTCCTGGGTCTCATACCTCCCCTATCCAACATAACGTGTCCTATAAACTGCTCTTTCTCTCTCCTCTGTCTCCAATCTCTTTCTTTCAGCAAATACACATACAGAAATCTTTAAAGAACAGTTCATGCTTGTTTCTACTTCCTCTTCTTCGATTAACTTCCCAAACAACTGTAACCTGCCTTCTACTTTGATCACTCTTTGAAGAACCATTCCTCAGGTCTTTAATTACCTATATGTATTGCCAAAGCTAATGGATACAACTTTATTTGTACCTTCTGTGGCCTTTGTTAACCACCGCCCCCTCCACTTTTCCTTGGCTTTTAGTACACCGGTGTCTCCTACTTTTAATCCTATTTCTGAGTCCTCCTTCTCAGTCTCATGCATCTTCTTTTTTTCCTATGCTCACCTCATAATTGTTACCATTGCCTAAAGCTTTATTTTCACTTAACTGGGACTCTTATACTCTGCTTTCTAGTCAACCTCCTACAAACTTATGACTTCAACAAGAGATTATACCATGATGATTACATCAAAGGCCGCTTTTTTTTAAAGTAAATATGGACCATGAAACCAAAGCCTTTTTTGATGAAATACGGGCCAATATTTTAAAATGATTTCTACAATCTCTTCTTGGAAAATACAGGTAATTCAAATTCAAAATGTCTAAACCTGAACTCATCTTTTTTTCATTTTTCATCACAAGTGAACTTACCCTTTCCTAGGATTGACATCACTTGGTCAACCTGGGATCAACCTAGACTCCTCCATCATCAACATTCACTCAGTTTTTACCTTTACACCTAATGGTCTGGAGTGAAATGCACACATGGGAGATCAGACTATGGAGGCAAAGTCAGAGCATGAAAGGGCTTGTGAGCTAAGTTGAGTGATTTAACCAGAATCCTGAAATCTATGGGGAACCATCAAAGATTTTAACCAGGTTCTATTTCAGGTATACCAAGCTACTTGCAGTTCTCAGACCAGCAGCCTTCCTTTTCCTGTAATAGCTTTGTACATGCCATTACCTGTGATTGGAATCACTTTCTTCTCTGGCCTCACCCAGTATATACTGATCCTTTAAAACTGAGCTCATCTTTTCTAAGAGGCTTCCATGGGCTGTTCCTTACCCTTTAGTCTGGATTATTTGCTTCTCATCTCTGTTTCTACACATCCTTCTAATATACAATTTACTAGTGGCGTTCATTCTATAATCTTTGACTAACCTGTCTTCTCAGATAGTGAGTGAGCTCTTTGAGGTAAAGCCTATTTTCAGTAGCAATCATAGCACCTGGCATTCTAGTAGGCACACAATAAATAGAGAAACTGAAGTACTGGAGGGTTAAGTGATATGCATGATGATTTAGCATGTTAGTAACTCTCAGAACCTGGCCTCTCCATGTTTGGTGTTTGTGTGGTTTGGTGGTGGTGGTAGTCTTTATGTCTTAGGTGTTAGGGGACATAATCTCCTTTTTATAATTAACTACTAGAAACAAAGTGTAGGTTACAATAAGAGGATGAGGAAGAACGAAGAAGAAAAAAATAATGAGGATAATCCAAAACATTCAAAGTCAAAGCTTTCAGTGGTCTCTAAAAGGCTGCTGAGGATCCTGGCCTTTGACGCTGTATGACAGCAGGTAGGTATCATCTAAGCATGGCAAGCTTTATACAGCCAGTAACTGGTTCTTCACGGATTCCAGTCTCAGATGCCTGGTATCTTTGGGGTCACTTGTAAGGTCCAAGCTTAGACAAGGGAAATTCAGTAAAAGAAGCATTCTCCCTAGAGACGTGGAAGTTATTTTGAGACTTTGATGGTTTCTTCTCTTTTAAGAAATAGCTGAGTATTTCAAATCAAACTTTAATGCATGGGCGCTAGGAAATACAAACTTTGGCAAATTTCCAGAGCATCATGAATCTAGATACCTTTCTTTGACCCATGACCAACTATTAACTACCCCAGCAAAGGCAAATAATAAAGCAAATAATAAAGCTAATTTAAAAACCCTGTGCTTACTGCTGCAATGTTGAATAATTAGTAGCCTGATGTTAGTTGGTTTTGTGTACCCAGCAAAGGCCCTAGAGCTGATTTTTTTACTTTTTTCATCTCAAAAAGGAATTTGTGGAGCTTATCAAAAAATTTACCTGTAACCGTTCTCCATTTCTGAGCCAAGTAATTACAGGTGGGGGCACTGCATCTGACTTGCATTCCAATGTCACTTGTCTGTTCCGTAACACAGTGATATCCCGGGGCTCATCAGTTCCAGCAATATTAGGAGGTACTGGGTGTGAGAACAAATACAACAAAAGCAATCTGTATTATCATAGGTATCCAAAAAATGTTGGTTCTGCTATATGAAATAATAAGAGGCATAAAATTAAAACATTACTCATTTAATTTATAGCCTAGATAATTACAAACAGTGGGAAGTGTTTTTTTTTTAACCTTATTTAGCAATTTCATGTACACTAAGTAAAGAAATCCTTCCAACAACTACATGCATGATGGAAGTAATATAATTGCATTATTTTCACCATTTGATAGTAAAGAAATGGAGGCACAAAGAAGGGAGCCGTTGTCCGGGTTATACACTTGGTAGTAATTTTCTCTGAACATAAGATTTAAAAATTACTAAATCAGGGAGTGCCCATCATAATATACAGACTGTATTTTTCATGTGACTTTTTTTTTTTTTTTTTTTTTTTTACAGAATTTACGTGTCAATTAATTTGTATGTGGGATGATGGGGGCACTTAAATCCCAGACAGTTTGCGCTGCCTAGTCATTTAGGCTATGAGAATGAACCAAAGATCTTCTGTTAGTTTTTTAATTATTCCTCCCCATAAAGAATAATTCCTATTTCAATGTCAAAAGCATATTGGACGAGTCTAACTGGCCCAACTCTTCTAGGAAGTAATTTGACAATTAGTTTCAAAATCCTTAGAAGAGTGAGTGTGTTTGTATGTGTGTGTGTGTGTGTAACCAAGCAAGTGCACTTACAGAAATTTCTCAAAATAAAGGGAATGGGCTAACATGTGCATGCAAAGTTATCCATAGCAGGGCTGTTTATATTGGTAAAAATATAGAAATAGCCTAAACCTCCAAAAATATGGAGTAAAATGGGATACTATACAGTCACTAAAAATGTTTTTAAAATGTATTTCTTGACATGAAAATGTTCACCAAACCATTGAGATAAAAGCAAGTTAAATTCTATAGGTACACTATATAAACATGCATTTTCTATCATCATATTTTTGTGACAAAACATTTATATGCAAAAAAGTCTTTGTGTGATGAGATTCTGGATTTTTAAATTTTCTTCATCATAGTTTATATTCTATTATTTTAAACCAATGAATACAAATTATTAATGCAGAAACTAATCAAATAACTCAAAAACAATCCATGAACTGCCCCCCAACAGCGTTTGATTAGTCAAATATAAGAATCAGATTTGCACCCTGTCTCAACCAAAAATACAAAAAATTAGCCGGGCGTGGTGGCAGGCACCTGTAGTCCCAGCTACTCAGGAGGCTGAGGCAGGAGAATGGCGTGAACCCAGGAGGCGGAGCTTGCAGTGAGCCGAGATAGTGCCACTGCACTCCAGCCTGGGCGACAAAGCGAGACTCCGTCTCAAAAAAAAAAAGATTCAGATTTGCAAAATATATATTCCCTAACTTATAAACATATCCTGTGATGTGCTGTGGTGTTGTCCCAGGGTTTTCTAATTAGGTGTGTGTATGATAGACTGTAGGATATTTTGTCAAATTTACCATGCACTCTCACTAGATATTCCTTATCATCATCTCCTGCAGGACTGGATGCCAGACATGTATATCTTCCTGTATCCTCCACCTACAAAACCCAAATAATGAATTACATAATGTTAACATGTTAGCTTTTGTTATTAAAATAAATATCCACTAGAATGAATGTAAATAACCCCACACCAAAAGCAAGATAATTAAAGCCAACTGTTTAACACTACGATTAGCACTCTGATAGAAAGCATTGTTTGGTATCTACATTATATGCAAACCTATGTTTTAACAGGATTTTGGTATCGATTTAAGAATGTTTGTACGTTAAGTATATTTAATGATATCTAAAAAGGCAGATATATATAGGACCTAGAACCATATGTGATAGGCTATATCCTCAATGTTCATTGAAGAAACAAATATTCATGGGTTTAAATTGCAGACTGAAAAGTTAAAACGAAGCCTTTCTCAAGAAAATAAGATGTTAAATAAGTAAACAGATAAACAAAATATCTGGTTATTAAAATCAAACACATAATATCTCATCTTGACTCTACATTTTATATACATGGTGAAACAAAACAGTTATGTTATGTAATATGAGAAATAGGGTCAGACTGACAGCAGGATCTATAATTATCTAACTAAAACCAAAATCATTACTTTAAAAATCACCAAGCATGGTTTCCATGGAAAGTTAATGTTCATTCATATGTTTGAGATTGTGTAGACACAACCCATGATCGTGTACATGTAGAGGGTACTCTGGAAAACAGATGCTCTTACTACTGCGAAAAATGTATTTTGGAAAAACAGAAAAATCCTGTTCTCATTTATTTTACTACTTGAACATTCCCAGAATATTGGCATTTTAAAAACTCTTACATTCAAACTGACTTTAGAGGTTATGGAAACACTTTTTGGTAGGCTGCAAAAACTCCTTTCAAAAACATTGAGACTAGAATGTTTGGAAAAATACTTAAATATAATTTTAGAAGAACAACACTTACATCGTTATTCAATTAAGAATTTTAAAATGATGTGCCATTTCCTAAGAATAATTTCTGAATTTCTCATCATATCTTTAAAATCTCTAAAACTAACTCTTCTCTCCCAACTCTGTTCATTCACAATTGATATCATCCCCCTCACTTGTCTGGACTCAGCCAAACTTGAACCATCATTCAGGACTATTCTTAAATGTTCCCTTTTCCACAAAATATTTCCTGACAACTTCTGCCCTTCTGGCTACCCACAGACATCACCTGTAGTTAGTTTCTAAAGTCTTGTTTTACTAATAGAATGTTAGAAAAATTATAGTTAAGCATGTATCTTTAGAGGAAGATTTTGCAGAGGTGGACATGCATTATGGCTCACAAAGAAAAGGAGGGTACAGTATATAAAGTTTTCCAAATCTATTAGTCATAGAGTGGTCCCCTCCCCTCTTGGGATAAATTACAGAACTAGTGTTTGATAAAAGATGTTTTAGGAAACTCTTGTCTATACCACACAATTCGCAATTTGCAAAGCATCCACATCCATAATGTACCAGGCATAAGTAGATGTTGCAGATAAATACACGAAAAAACAAAGTTGAGATAAGCAAAATATAATGCAGTAAGAGTTACTACAGAAGTATATACAAATTGCTATGAAAACATAAAGGAGCAGAGTAACCAAAATCAGTCTGGGGGCTTAATGATATTTAATTTTCCACTTCCATATTGTTTTTAATGTTTCTATTATTGACTCATATCTAATTGTATCTTATGTATACAGTCATTTTTCTCCCCTAGACATCTAGAAACTTCTTGAAGGCTGACACATGTCACATATCTTAGGTCTTATGGATTCTCCACAATAGCTAGAACACATGGTAAATCTGGCCATCATTTAACACTCTATGACACCTTCATCTTGTTTTCTTATAACTCGACTTTTTGTTCTTGCCTTTAAGACCTACAGTAATGGCCTTAACTTCCCTTTCAAGCTTTATTTGTCATTTTTTTTATATTCATGATTCTATTCCACATACTTTTCTGTCTCCATGCTATTCCTAATGTCACAAATTCTTTTGCCTACTTTTTGTTTGTTGAAATTATATCATTCAAGAGTTTTGATTCAATACATGGTTTTAGTTTAACCTGACTCTAAGTTACTGTAATGTTTGAAATGGAGAGAAAAAAGGGGAATGGAAGGTATGCACTCGAAGATGCTAGAAATGCACTGTGCTGAGATGCACTGGCTAGGCTTCTGAATCAGACTAAGGATTGAGGCCTAGCTCCATCACTGAGCAGCAATGAGTACTTGGCAGATAAGTACTTAATCTCTCTGCACCTGATTTTGGATTTGTGGGATAGACACATTGCCTCACAGAGTTGCCATGAGGGGAATGGGTGGGATAGATAGCACAGAGATGAACACAACAGGACATAGTAGAGAGTTTATAACTCTTAGCTCTTTTCTTCCAGTTCCCTTTCTTCCATTCTCAGTGAAAAATGCAACAAAATATGATCAAATAATTTGTTATTCTACATTCAGAGGAATGATGATTATGGTAACAACAGCAACAGCAGGAACAATCCTAAGTCTTTTTTTGAAAGCATTTACTACATGCCTGTGGCACCAGTCTAAGCACATCATGTTGGATTATTTCTTTAAATCCCTCAGTGTATGAATGAGGCATGATTATTACTTTTATCCCCAGTTTATAAATGATGGCATTAGGGCTCAGATGGAGAATAATTGTAACATAAGGTTTGCCTTTACTAGTAGAATAGAAGATTGCTACAATAAGACATCCCAGACATACTTCTCTTTTAATATATTCACATTTCAGATCAGTTTTCTTAAACATAAACTAAACCAAGTCAATTTTATTAAACTGATCATTATTTGAAAAATTGTGTCTCTTCAGACTTCCATATCGGCTAGTTCATTTTGGAGATCAAAAGTGCTCTTTGAAACCTTATATATATGCATGTTGGATTGCTTTTTGCCAGTTCCATTAAGGGGTACATAGTATAAATTAAGAACTTTGGGAAATATACTAACACTTATAGCACTGTGAAAACTTGCAAAAGTTAATGGAAAGGTATCTTGCTTTCTTCGGAGTTTAATATGATACTGCTTTGTCTTCCTTTTAATCAAGTTACCCAATCATGCATATCATAGGACTAATCCATCCTGCTCCAGTTACACAGATCTGTGATATATAAGGATTCAAAGACATAATTTAACAAATCTCATATATTAGCAAGTGAGAAGTTTGACCTAACCTAAAATAATTCTATGAACTTTGACACTTACCTGAGCAGTAGAAATTCGAAGAACCTCTCCTCCTCCTAGAGTTTGCACTTGATCCGTCTGTGGAAGGGGCCGGCCATCTTTCATCCAGGTCATTTTAGGGGCTGGGATTCCAGAAGCAATGCAGGTAAGTTCAAGTGGGTTATTAACAATTACTGATATCTCTTCATGTTCTTCAGATCCATTAATGTGAGGTGGTTCTATTTAAAGGGAATCAAAAATAATAATAAACCCACAGTTTCATAAAATATTGCTCGTTAGAAAAACTTGAAAATCCAACACAAATTCACATTCACATGATAAAAATTGATTAGAACAAGGAAAGTGAAATAATTCCTAGATGTCATTACCATTTCTCATTGACACACTTTCAAAAGGGATGGATCATGCCTATGAGAGATAATGAAGTAAATGGCAATTCATTACCATGCAATTATTGAACAACAGTTCAAACTCAGTTAATTAGAACAGTCTCACTTGACTGAAAGATTTGAAAACAATAAAAACCAAACGCAGCTTGTACCACTTTTTTTTTTAGAGGGACTTAGCATATTATTATGTTTTTGTATCTTTAAATACCAATAGTTTCTACAAAAACAATGCGTGAATACTGTGGAATTTTGCTATCATCTTTTCCATGCAGAACTTTGAGAGGAAACAATGACTAAGCAGAAGAAAAAATAGTTACATTTGGAGATAATTTCTGTATAAAACACATTTGTTATGTCTGGATGGGAGTAACTTCCTCTTTTGTTACTTATACTTCTAAAATTACCTTTCTCAAGAGAAGGTCAAACAATCTAAACACTGGGAAGAAACATTTAAGGTTCTTTAGTCTAACTACTCCCAACTTTGGTAATTCCTTTAAAACACATTCCCCTTATGATGACCATTTGCGTTTTCTATGACACTTTCATAGTTCAAGTTTCCAGCTTACTATTTGACAAGGCAGCCAAAATAGCTGTTGGACAGCGCCAGGGGTTAGCAGGTTTGTTTTTCTTTCTTTTTTCTTTAATAAGGCACATAGTTTAGAACAGTGACTCATAGCAGAAGATCTGGAGTCTGAGTTTTAATGCTGGTGTCAACAATTATTAGTTTCATGGATTTGAGCAAATCTCTAAAATGGGGATACCAACATTATTTACCTAATAGGATCAGTGTGTGGCGTCAGTGAGATACATTATACACTTTTTTGTGTGTTTCTGTATCTATTTTACAATTAAAGGTTTTAAAAAACTTATTACTACTACAGTGTTTACTGCAACTGTTGGTATTATTAAAATCTGCTTCCTAAAATTTCTACCATCTGTTAGTCTCTGTTTTCCTTCTGGAGAAAGATAATATACTAAGTCAGTTCTCCTTCTTAGATTATAATGAAGTCAGCATTTCTACACCACTGTCCCACATGACCTCTTTTTACTTCTATCTATCTTACATATTGCTGTCAAAATACATTTTCTGAAGTGCAGTTTAATATTAATCTAAGATTTTCTGCTTAAAAGATTTTAATGGCTCCATGTTGCTTACTGGATTAAATAAAAACTCATCATGGTTTCCAAGACTTCCACAATATGGTCTAGATCTATCTTTGTCATTATTTAATTTTAACATACTTATATGTAACCTAGACTTCAAATCTCTCAACAAGCTTCGTCCTTTCTTGCTCCTCATAGTCCCGCAACTGAGAATGCCCAAGTACCATCACGGTTACATTGTCCTCAAGTTCATTTGTGAAAACTATAAATCATTTATTGATTCTCTGAACTAATTATAAAATGTCTATGCTTTTTCATTTTCGTATCAAGTTGTTTGTACTACTCAAAACACTTATCTAATTCCTGGTTTGCCATAGTCAATTATTTACTCCTCTTACTTCTCGGTTATTTAGTATATGTCAATCATCATGAATACAAAGATTAATAAGGCATGCTCACTGCCCCCACCCCAAAGTTTATAATCACTGGATTTAAAATAGTAGCAGCAGTAACAGTATTAACATGCTCTTGTGTAGTTCAAACCCCAGACTGTCCAGATCTTACCTGTGTTAAGTGATTGTGAACTATTTTACTCTGTGTTTTGTCCATATGTCTTGTACTTCGGGCAGAGTAAGAGTTGTCTATACTCCAATAACTCCAGAATTTATATTTCCAGCCTAGACTCTCTTCTGAGCTCCAGATTCATAAATGCAATTATCAAATAAACATCTCCATTTGGATGTTTGAAAATCACTTAAAACTCAACATGTATTCAGACTGAACCTATTGCCTTATTTCTCAAAACTTGTTTTTTTCCAGTATTTTCTGCATCTAAGTGATGAATTTACCAATTAGTCACATAAGCCAGAAACTAAGAGTCATGCTTGATACCTTCTTCATCACTCCCTTGTGTCCCAGTCTACAACCAAGTCCTAATACTTCCACTGTACTTATTTCCAGAATACACCTTTTTCTCTCATCTCCCTCACTCTAATTTGAGCTACAATACCATTTACTTAATGTTTTTTTTTTCTTCCTAGTTGTAGGTGCCTACCCAAAATTACTGATTTCTTTCTGATTAACAGACTCAAATTTTGTTGGGATTGTCAATGTGCTAAACAAATTACATTTCCTAGCCTCTTTAGCAGAGAGTAGATGGAGTGGATGGAGTGGTATATGACAATTCTGACCAATGAGATGTAGGTGGATGTGGTTTTGTGGGGCTTGTAAGAAAGTCTTAATTCTTTTCTAAAGGGGCAACACTTTGCCCTTCCTAGTTTCCTGCTCTATTGTTGCATCTAGAACAGCATCTAGTTATGCTAGGGGTGAGCAGATACTGCATTGATCACCAAACAACCATGTTGTAAAGGTTCAAAAGAACTGAAAATATTTGAACTGCTGAACCAATCCAACAACTGCCTACCTCCAGCCATCCCAGTGAGAAAAACAGAAGTACTGTGTTTAACCCACCATATTTCAACTCTGTAATTCACAGCCAAACACAATTCCTTATACTGGTCTCTCGGAATCCATTCTTGTCCTGGTCCAAGTAGCCTTGCATTTTATAGCCAGAGTGCTCTTCTCAAACTGTAGTTCTATTTGTTATTCCGTTTTTAGAACTTTGAATGATTTCTCATTGTTACAGGATAAAAAGCAGACTTCTTAATGTGGTCAAAAAAGTGCTCTATGACCTGGCCCTATGAAAACCCCCTATTTTGTAATATGCTGTCCCTTGTTTTCAGTGGTCTAGCCACACTGGACTTTTCAGAACCACTATACCATGATACCTCCCACCACATGGATAGAATTAAATAAAGAATATTTCCCCAAGTTAAGATGTTTGCATTCTGAGTGGTAGCACTGCTTCAAGTGAAGAACTTTTCAGAGTTTAATGGAATTAATTTTCAACATATGCTGAAATGCTAAAACTTCTCATCTTTCTTCTAAGCCAGTTTTCAAATCTGTTTTGAGAAATTATTATTCTTATAAACTCTTCAACTTTATTAAAGGCAGGCTGTTCTTTAAGAATTCCACTAAGAATATCATTGTTGTTTTTCTCCTTCATTTTCTTCATCCAGAAATGCACCAGTCTGTGATTCTGCTCCTGAGTTCTTTCTCCCCGCTCTCCCCCTCCCCCTGCCACATGCTAGACCAGGCCCCTGCATTTACAGGCTGTATGAATACAGCAGCCTCTTCAATTCATTTTTCACTCTGTCACTCTGTCAGAGGGATTTTTTGGAAACGAAATCTGGCTGTAAAATATTTCTCCTTAAGATTCTTCCATTGCCTTGGTAATGAGGTCCAAACTTCCTCAAAGTTCTCAGAGCTTTGCATAGTTTGGCATCTGCCCATATATAGTTCTTGTCTTGTCTCTTGCTACTCTTCCTCTTACACTCAGTTTCAGGGAGTGCAAATTGACAATTCAAATTGTATTACCTCCAGGTGAGAAATGTATATAAAATTCCCCACTCATCTCTACAGTCCTACTCTTCAGGGCTCAGATTTATGCTTGAGGAGATCGAATCTGAAATCTACCATCCCACAGAATGTTGTTTTATCCATATAATCCTCATTACACTGAAAAGTAATTACTTCTTTAGTATCTGTGTCTTCCACAGATGGAGGAAGTTGAGGGCTGAGATCATATCTTTCTTAGTGATGCATTTGCATGTTTGCCACACCACACATGTTCATAATTATAGTTAAATGATGGCTAGAAACATACCTGTCATATAACGTATATTCAATAATTAATACTTGATATGTGAATAATGAATGTACAGGATCACATTATGTCATCTCCTCTTACTCCTCATGTTCTGTGAATTGATGTACAGGAATTTGCTACCCAACCCCACCCTGCACCTCCCAGACACACAGTTTTTCTTTTTTCTCTCATTGACACATAATTATTATGCATCTTTAGGGAGTACAATGTGATGTTTCCATACATGTATACATTGTGTAATTATCAAATCAGGGTAATTAGCATTTCCATCACTTCAAACATTTATCAGTTCTTTGTGGTGAAAGCATTGAAATTCCTCTCTACTAGCTACTCTGAGATATACAATAGTATATTATTAACTATAGTCACCCTACTGTGCAATAGAACACCAGAACTCATTCTTCCTTTCTAATTGTAACTTTGTACCCACTGACCTACTCCCCCTGTCTCCCTTGTCTTTGGTAACCACTGTCCTATTCACTACTTCTATGAGATCAACTTTTTAAAATTTCACATGAATGAAATCATGTGGTATTTTCTTTCTGTGCCTGGCTAATTTCACATAGTTTAATGTTCTCCAGGTTCATCCATGTTGTCATAAATGACAGAATTTCATTCTTTTTTATGGCTGAATAGTACTGCATTGTGTATATCTACTACATTGTCTTTATTCATTCATCCATTGTTGAACATTTAGATTGATTATATATCTTGTCTGTTGGGAATAGTGCTGTGATAAACATGGATTTATTTGACATACTGATTTCATTTCCTTTGGATATATATCCAGTAGTGGGATTTCTGAACCATATGGTAGTTCTATTCTTAATTTTTTTAGGAACCTCTGTTTTCATAATGGCTATATTAACTTACAATCCCACCAACAGTGTGCAAGTGTCCCCTTTTCTCCACATCCTTGCCGACTCTTGTTATCTCTTATCTTTTTGGTCATACCCATCCTCACTAGAGTGAGGTGATATCTCATTTTGGTTTTGATTTGCCTTTGTTTGATGATTAGTAATGTTGAGGCTTTTTTCATATACCTCTTGGCCATTTACATGTCATCTTTTGAGAAATGTCTGTTAAGGTTTTTGTCCATTTTAAAATTGTGCTCTTTGTTTTTTTGCTATTAAGTTCTTTACATATATCGGATATTAACCCCTTAGAGGTATAGTTTGAAATATTTTCTCCCATTCTGTAGGTTGTCTCTTCACTTTGTTGAATGTTTCCTTAGCTGTGCAGAAGCTTTTTGTTTGATATAATACCATTTGTCTATTTTTGCTTTTGTTGCCCATGCTTTTGAGTTCTTATCCAGAAAAATCCTTGCCTAGTCCAATATCATGAAGTGTTTCCTCTGTGTTTTCATCTAGTAGTTTCGTAGTTTGGGATCTTACATTTAACTCTTTAATCCATTTTGAGTTGATTTTTGTATACAGTGAAAGATAGAGGTCTAGTTTCATATTTCTGCATGTGGACATCCCAATTTTCCCAGCACCATTTATTGAAGAGACTATCCTTTCCCCAGTATGTGTTCTTGGGACCTTTGTCAAAAATCAGGTGGCTGTAGATGCATGAATTTATTTCTGAGCTCCTTATTCTGTTCAATTGGTCTATGTGTCTGTTTTTATGCCAATAGCATGCTGTTTTGATTAATACAGCTTTGTAGTATTTTTAAGTCAGGTAGTCTGCTGCCTTCAGCTTTGTTCTTTTTACTCAAGATTGCTTTGGTTATTTGGAGTCTTTTGTGGTTCCATACAAATTTTAGATTTTTTTTTTCTAATTCAGTGAAGAATGCCAATGGTATTTTCATAGAAATTGCATTGAATCTGATTGTTTTGGGAGTATAGCCATTTTAATAGTATTAATTCTTCCAATCCATAAACATGAAATATCTTTCCATTTATTTGTTTCCTTTCCATTTCTTTCACTGATGTTTAAATTTATTCTTACATATCTTTTTTTTTTTTGATAGCTATTGTACCTCAGTCTCTGCAGAGGATTGGTTCCAGACCCTCTGTGAATACCAAAATCTGCAGATGCTCAAGCCCGGCAGTAGGCCTTGAGAAACCCATGGATACACAGTTGGCCCTCGGTATCTGCAGATTCCACATCCAATGAATATTATATTTTTGATATGCAGTTGTTTGAATCCACAGATGTGGAACCGATGGATATGCAGGGCTGACAGTAAATGGGATTATTTTCTTGATTTCTTTTTCAGACAATTTGCTGTTGGCAAATAGAAACGCTACTGATTTTTGTACGGTGATTTTTAAGTCACAACTTTACTGAATTTGTTTATCATTTCTGAGAGTTTTCTGGTGGAGTCTTTAGAGGTTTTCTATATATTAGATTATGCTGTCTGCAAACAGAACATTTGACTTCCTCCTTTCGAATTTGGATGTCTTTTATTTTTTTGCCTGTTGCTCTAGCTAGGACTTCAATACTATGTCTAATAGAAGTAGAGAAAGTGGGCATCCTTATCTTCTGCTAGACCTTGTAGGAAAGGCTTTCAACTTTTTCCTGTTTAGTGTGATGTTAGCTGTGGATTTATCATAAATAGTCTTTATTGTGTTGAGGTATGTATCTTCTATCCCTAATTTGTTGAGGGTTTTTCTCATGAAGGAATGTTGAATTTCATCAAATGCTTTTTTCGCATCTATTGAAATGATCATATGATTTTTGTCCTATCTGTTAACGTGATGTATCACATTTATTGATTGTGTATGTTAAAACATCCTTGCATCCCTGGAATGCAACCCACTTGATCAGAGTGAATGATCTTTTCAATATACTGTCGAATTTGGTTTGCTAGTATTTTGTTGAGCATTTTTGCAACTATGTTGATAAGGGATATTGGGTTGTAGTTTTCTTTTGCCCCTAAATATCCTGGAGAACTTCCTTTACTACCGGCCTCCATTCTATGGAAGTCACATCTACTCCAGAGAACCATACTTCATTTATTTAGATATGGTTCTGCTTCCCTCTACAGAAGAAACTCCCTTTAATCCACCTGGAAAGTAACTAGTTCGGTTCAGTTTAATCCAACAAATAACACATTAATAGTCTCTAGTGTATTAAATGTCATGCTAAGCACTGGGAATGCAGAAGTAAGTAAGAAGACATCTGCCCTCATAAAGCTTAACTAGGGATGAAGCAGAATTTTAGGGTTACATGAATAAATTTTAATAGTTGCTCTGAGAAGGATTATAACACACGCTGAAACATATGCTAACTTCTACCTAACCAAGACTCTTGCCAAAAGTATTTTTGCTCTTCTCTATAGGGTGTATTTTCTGCTATGTAAGGAGCATGGAGTCTCACTTACTTCACAGTGAGAAAAACAAGCAAAATGCCAAAAGCTCTTGGTTATTGAAATACTTCGTTTCATTATCTTACTTTCTCTTCCAAGGTTAGCATTTTTTACTTCAAGGAAAAGAAGTGTTTTCTCTTTAAACTGTTGCATTTAGAACACTGGAATACATATTTTAAGTATTTACTTTAAATGCACACAAGAATAAATAGAACTAGACTATTTGAAATGATTATTCCAGCTATAAGGTACAGACTGGATCATTTAAAGACAGGGATAACATATCATAGTATACCTATTATGCTTTTTCATCAAATTTCTATAATCGGATGTGTTTTCAATTCTTGGCAAAAGTTTAAAAAGCTGCTTCTCAATTGGTTATAAGGTTTTATCAATGAGTAATGTTTTACAAGCTGGAGTTTTCATCTTTTCAGAGAGATAAAAAATACAATTTAAATTCAACATGCTTCAGATGAGAGTAAGCCAAGGTGAATTATAAAAAAAATTAAAATGCAATAAAAATTTTTTAAAAAATTCTCTCACAGCAACTGATTCTCAGAATTATACTTATTTACTAAACATTCACTATCACTTACTTTCCAATTATTCTACATTTACCACAATGTTTACATACCTAGGACCTTGAGGATAAAGTGCTTGCTGACTTCTCCAGCTTCATTTGAGGCAATGCAGGTGTACTTTCCCGAATCTTCAGTCTCTGCTTTGAGGAGCTGCAGGACCATTCCATGGGTGCTGACTGTCAGATGGGCATCAAGCCCCAGAGGCTGGCCATCTCTAAGCCAGGCCATACTGGGAGCTGGGGTTCCATCAGTAATGCATGCCATAGAGGTGGAACTACCTTTGAGAACTGTGATTTCCTCTGTCCCCATTGAATTGTCCATATTTGGTGGTGCTACATAGAAAACAACATGGGCAAAATTTGGATGTCTATTGTAATTTGAGATCAATTTAAATTAAAACATTTGAATAATTCTATAATGTTTCTGTGGTTGATAAAAATATATACTTTAAAATTGTGTATAATAACTAAGGACTTTACAATAAAAATATCTATTAGGAATGCTAATTATTAATCTTCCAAAGATTAGCAATGAAACTTAAAAATTGTTTTCTTACAGAACGCACAATGTGTTTTAAATTTTGGTGATTTTTCAACTTCTTCACTCTATCCCTTTAACTTGTTGTAATGTATATAATAGTTTTAGTAGTATTCTTTTAACTACTCTATAGAGTATAAATAATATCAAGTTATAGGGTAAGTCATTTGTAGATTACAATAAAGCGTTACTTAACTGAGGTGTTCTTGGGGATTGAGAAATGTGGATCAGCAAACTTCAATATTTCCGAAATGGAAGGTATTGAGTTCTCTCCATATATACGCATACACACACATGCATATATGCACATGCATCCATTCATAGTTTGAATACTCCAAACAAGCTGCTAATATTGTTAGAAAAGTTTTGACTTTTTCTTTACATGAAAAGACTGGTCTTGTGTCTGGATTGAAATGCTATTTTTAAAAATTAGATTTGATTTAGTGCAAATTTCTAGATCAGTATTTTGATAAACAGACAATATGGTCCAATAATATGGACCCCTTGGAAGAAAATACATTCTCTAGTCAGTAAGATCCTATTTCACTAATCCTTTTTGATAAAGTCAGATTTCTAAATCTCTGAGGAAGTCGGTTTCTAAAGATAAGTCTGTTGCTTAATACTTGACATAGCAAAGTAATAGGGTCATTTCTGTGACACATACCAAACACTTGAAGATTGTAATGCTTATTATCCACCCCAGCTCTGTTGGAGGCCACACAAGTATACACAGCGACATCAGACACCTGAGCTCTCACAATCCTGAGAAACAATTTGATCCACATTTCATCACTTGCTCCCATACAACAAGTACACATAAAATAATTATGATTTATAAATAGGCTATAGGTGGTGATTTATGTTGGGAAATTTTAATTATGAAGCTTATAGCCATCCATCACAAAATATAGGGGCCTCAAATGCAATTTATTCTACAAAGCTGATTAGGCAGTGACAATAAACCACTGAAAATATAGCACAATTTAAGAGGTGAATATTTTTCAAATATATATTAATAGAGAATGCTGCTAACATGAAAATCACATTATCATAGTAGGCATCTTCCTACTACCTTGCCACATAAAGTTTTAGCTAAAACAGTAATTCCTGGAAATACATATATGATAACAAACCTGTCTATAAAAGACCATTTTACACATTTACTAAAAAATGAAAGCACTTAAATAAGGATAAAAAATCATTTCAACTGTATATTTGTTGTCCTTCCTCTACTAAAAATATACTTAAAGGGAAAAAAACTGTAAAGGCTTAGAAAAAAACATTTCTTCAACACTGTTTAAATGAAGGAAAAGTCTACAATCACAGTTACTTCATCTGTTTAGGAAATCAGACACAATAAAAGCTGACCTGATAACTTGTCCTGCTGCCAGTAACCGGATATGGGAGGAGAGAGGCAGAGGAAGTCCATTCTTCAGCCAGTTTATCTGTGGTGGAGGCGTCCCTGTGGCTCTGCATTCAATATTTATTGAAGTATCCACTAAAGTCATTAGTTTCTCTGCTTCATCTTTATTACCCCTAATTGTAGGTGTAACTATGTTGTGCAGAAAGTGAGAGAGAGGGAAGAGGGATGTATTATGTAATACTAGTTCAAATAATTTCTACTACAATTGCTCTCATTTCAAAATTGTAGCCCAAAAGGAAATAGTGGTGGCATCAAATTTAAAACTAAATGCTCCAGACACCTGCTGCTGGGCCTTCACTTCTACTGGTAGATTCTTAAGGCAGCATCATCAAAAGAGGGGGATATTTCATATTTACCATAGACATTCAAGTTAAAAATTCGGTCTTCTTCTCCAGCGGGATTAGTAGCAACACATGTGTATTTCCCCGTGTCAGATGTAAGAGCTCCATAAATGTTTAATGTGCTGCCATTTGCACTCACTCTACGGAAAAGATCATAACAGAGGGGCTGAGATGAGATTGAATCTATTTCACTAAGTACATGAAAGCCTATTAAAATCAGTTACTGAAAGTGATGGAAAATTCAAGCAACCAACTGAAATTCTACAGTAGCGAGTCTCATATCTACCACCTCCTTATAAGAAAAAAAGGAAGTGAACAAAATCAGGAATACTTCTCTATTCAAATCATAGGCAAAGACATGATTTTCTCTGAGATAGAATACTATATTCTTAGTTATCCATATAAGGTTTGAATTAAATGCATGTTATACAAAATTCTGGCATGAAAATTGAAGACTGTTACAATGAGAAACTGAAAAAATTACACATAAAAATCTAGTTATAAGCAACTTAATATAGTTATAAACAACTTAATACCTTAATAAAAAACACAATAGGATCATTTAAATTGTGACAACAATTTGGTATCATATGTGGCTATATTTTGCAAACTTTTTTTCTACAAATTGCTAAATAAAGCTTTTCTTTTGAATTACATAATAGTAAAAGATAAATATACAATGAGATCATTAAAGATCTCTAAGCTAAGATTATTGCATTATTGGTTGTCCTCACACACCATTAATTACAAATCAAAATTTCCTGTGTTTTTTGTAGAGATTAAATTGCCATCTACAGTTACTTGTACAATAGTGGTTTCATTAGAATTACCCTGTGTCAAAAGTAAAAGCTCCATTTCTATTATATCTTGTTATTAAATGTTTATTGAGAGCTATATTATTATCTGGGATACAGCTGTATTTTTTCTTTTTCAAAATAAAATTTTTTTAATTCCATGAGTTTAATTAAATTAATAAGCAAAAAGCAAGTTGCCATGATCAAACAAAGGTAGTACATTGACTTTGGAAAAACTATTGTAGTTGACTGACAAACTGTACTACCTACAAATCTATACATATTATGGAATGAATAATAAAGATAAAAGAATAAGTAAATTTAGAATGTTAATGTAGGAGAAGGAATGATAGACTCCAAATTCCTAGCTATGAATACTATCTTATATAAAAGATATCATATATAAAAGATCTTATCTTTATAGCCCATATAAAATCTTTAGGTACCATCAAATATGTAGTACTTGGTCTGGAATATGGCAAATACCAGCTGATTTAACAAAAATAATTAAACACTTGTTATTTACTCAAAAATGTTCACACCAGAGAAATAAAACTTAAAATGTATCCTCTGAAAGACTAGAAATTTTAATACACAATGAATACAAAGAAAATAACATTTATCTCTTTAAGTTATATATATGTTCAATTTATTGACCAGAAAATATACTCCAAACCCTTAAATTTACATATTGGTCCACAATGTTAAAGTTTACAATACATGTAGTTAATGCCCACTTATGCATATAATTAATCTGGTATGTGTAGGTAATGGGATTTTGTGATGAAGTAATCTAGTACAATATCAAATTCCAGATTGTCCTTCCAAAGGAATTTGTTGTTGAAAGTAGTACAAGGTCTTTACCACATTATTATTCCATCTCTATGTGGTTTGTGGCATGGGTAGCAAGTGCCAGCTGAAAATGGGATTTGGACAAACCATTATGAGAGTTATGACATTATTGCATCTTTTCTCAAAATGAGCCAATCAGGATAGCATGCCCATCTCTATGTGGTTTGTTGCATGGGTAACAAGTGTCAGCTGAAAATGGCATCTGAACAAACCACTATAACAGTTATGACATTATTGTATCTTTTCTCAAAAGGAGCCAATTATAGCATGTACACAGTTTGGTGGTTTCAGCATACAAAATCATATCTAGAATTATTGATGAATCATTTGTGAGATAAAGTTGGTTTGGCATTTGCAGGAAAGAACTAATTATTTTTATGGCATGGGCTTTAGCATAATCATTCTGAAATTACAAGAATAAAATCACCAACAGTTAACATTACAGTTAATGAGTTAAAGTTAGTTAAAGTTAATGAGTTAATTAACATTACAGAGTTAACGGATGAGAAACATACACAATTCTGAGTGACTCTCTAACGAGAATGTCTATGTCCAGTTCTCAAAAAAAAGTTTTTTGTTTCTTTGTGAATATAATGATAGCTAAGTTCCAATGGGATGGAATTCGGTATTATTATTCATGTGAAATTTGAAGCATAAAGCATTGTAGAAGGGCTTACAATTTATAATGGAAAGATTATTTTTAAACATACCGGATTCTTTCTGTTTCACCACTAGCTATGGGCTTTCCATCTTTAAGCCATTGAATAAGTGGAGTAGGAATGCCATTTGCATTGCAGACCAGCTCAACATTTTCTCCTAGAAGGACACTGACATCACTTGGAATTTCAGCACCAGCAACACTTGGAGGAACTTTGGAGAAATAATTAGGAATTTCATTAACAAGACACAGGATATAAATTCTAATGTAACAGAGTCATAAAACAATATGACATTTCTAGTTCATATTCTTTGTAGATTATGGTTCAAGGTCAAACTATTGTTATCTTCATGAATTACTTTTAAATGACAAAGATAAAGGAACGCTTCAATATTTCTGGTGTATTTGTAAGTTGATATAATTATTTAGTCATAGGGGCTAGTGATAGAGCTACCTCATGATCACCCTTTCTGGCCAAATTAAATTACTCTTAGATTAAATCCTCAATGGATAGTACAGTTAAAGAACCACAAGCACATAGGTAAGGCAGTGTGCATTTTTTTGTGTTTTTCTTTTGCTCTTAATTCACTAGACTTATAGACTCTGTCTTATAAAAACTTGGCATAAAGGTCTGAGGAAATTATCTAAGTTGGTTATTTCTTTCTCCATTATTCAATTTAATTATTGTTTATTTTGAACAATGGATAGGTTTGTTGTAGTTCTGAAGAGCCAATAGTTTCTATTCTCTTTTTCTAGCCATCTTTGGTTTCCACTTTGATTTCACTGAGAAATATTGCGTAATAAAAATACTGCCAATGGTATCAGATATAAACATGTTTGAATTCCTATTCTATATGATCATAGCGATGTGCAGAAGGTAGTTCACACCAGGTCGCAAAAGCCAATTTTGTACATGTTTTCCCCACTCCATGTTCAGTAACATCCCTTTGGTAGGTTGAAATCTTGTATATATTAGATCATGGTGGGAATATTTACACCATGGAGACTGGCAAACAATTGGCTACGAATCATGGTCTTTTTGTCTGGAGAGAAAATTCTTAAACATTTACCAGCACATCACTGAATAAGCTCTATAAATCTAATTTTAGTCATTCAGAAAATAATAATTTTACCACTTTTGCACAATTTAGAGTACTAAAGAAGTTGAGTCAATAAGAACATTAGTAATAAGAGACATCCTATAATGAGTATCTAATATATGACAAGCACTGGACTAGGTCCTATATGCATATACTATTTCTAGTTCTAAGACATAATAAAGTATATAAAAATCTGGTAAAATGTTTAGTCCTACAACATATCTCATGATTAGCATCTGTTATTATTAATGCATTAGACATAATTCAATATGCAACTTCTGACGTTGAATCTCTGACTAGCTGTTTTTCCTTCAGCTTCTGAAATCCCAAAGCATCACTAATCATCACAGAGAGACCACTGATACCTGTGAACTTAATTCTTCTAATTGTATTTTTTTGGAGTTAGCTTTAGCAGAGCACACAACAGATACGTAATATTCATAGTAGAATTCATAATTTATGAGAAATTCTTTCCCTAATAACTATAAGATTGGAAGAAAAAGTATTTCAACTTAGTTTCAAGTTAGACTTTCATTTCAGTTTCAATACTGAGCCAAATGTAATAATCAGAGGTTTACTGAAAATCAAAAGAAAACAAGTTGTCCCTGCAATGCTTAATACTATGTTGGAACATAATAGGCATTAATTAAATACTTGATGAATTGCTCATCTTAAAATAGTATAAGATTCATCATTCATTAAAATTTACCTAATCTACCTGCGGTCAGATCATAGTACAACTTCTTTGTGAATTAAATCTTATCTATACAAGTAAGAACAGATCTATAGGCTTACCATCAAAATGAATTATACCAGTTTAAAATAAGTATAACTCCATAGATATATACTATAGAAAGATAATAATGGAAGTGGAAATGGAAAATTGGAAAAAGTAGAGATTACCAAATTTCCACTATTCTTTTTTCCACATTTATGTCCATTTCCATGAAAACAGAATCTACTGGTAAATATAAGACAGAAAACTGATGATAGTTTTTGATGATCTAAAGATATGTTGAATCAATTACTACTGATACCTTTAAATGTAGATTATTTTGTACTATAAATGGAATAACAAAGAAATTGAAGATAGATCATAGTGGACAATACATACCTTGAATTGAAAGAAAGTAATATTTCTGGGCTTTTCCCTCCATATTTGAAGCAATACATGTATAGTTTCCACTATCTGAATGCTGAGACCGGGCAATCTGGAGTTTGCTACCTCCAGACAAAATACGAACTTCCAGTGAGTCAGAATTTTCTAGAGGTAGAAACAAAGCACAATAAAACATAAAAAAACCTTTAAACTTTAACATCTCTAAAATTCATGATAAAATGTCTTACTTTACGTGATAAATGCATTTCTTAAAAGTTCTCCATTTTCTTTTTTAAAAAAGAAAAAATTCTTTATAAAATGACTAATCATTTTACAATGAGTCTATTTTGTAAATCTGTATTTCAGTGCGTTAGCCTTCTTGAACTAAACACCCCTATGAGCATGGTACTTAAAATGTGCTAGTTTAAAAGTCTAGTGAATTAAGAGCAAGAGAAAAAAACACACACACACACAAAAATGCATGGTTGCCTTACCTATGCGCTTGTGGTTCTTTAACCATGCTATCGTGGGAGGTGGGATCCCAGTGGCATCACATGTTAATGTCACAGGATTGCTGATCGTCTCCACAATCACTTCTCTTTCAGGTCCTTCAATACTGGGTGGCACTGTAAAAAACAAACAAACAAACAAACAAAAAAACAGAAGAAAATCATTTGTCCTCATTAAGCTAATTTGGAACACTTTTTTCATTTGCATATCTAGGGGAAAAAGAGTTGTATTAGAGGCAAATGCTCACCATATACATTGAGGTGGAAATTTTTATCATCCCGTCCTGCTACATTTATAGCTCTACATACATACTGGCCTGTGTCAGATACCTAAAAGAAAAAGATACTATTGTATGTGCTCCATTAAGTTATAGATGACCAATCATACTGTTCGAGTTTAGATTAAATCATCAGTCATCTGTATGCTCAATGCCCCAGTTCTAATTGCCTTCTGCAATCTTGCTATTTTTTATAAAAATAGTCAATGGCATTGGCTATGTATTTTTTTAATGAAAATCATTTTTCACTGTAGTAAAAGGGAATATGCAACTTCCAAGCATCTTTTCCACCACCCCACCAAGGTGTCATGACACTCAAACAAGAATAAAAGATGCACCTCAGCTTTCTTAATGTGTAGCATTTGTCCATCAGCTAAAATCTCCACATGAGTAGACTCTGTTATCATCCGCCCATTCTTATACCAAGTGATGACTGGAGGTGGCACAGCGTTCGACTCACACTCCAAAGACACAGAAGTTCCCTCTCTTACATTAACTACAGAAAGAGATTCACTGTCATGGTCTTTAATGCTTGGGGGCACTGAGGGAAGAAAATAACAGAAGGATTTTCTTTTTCATTAAGGTGCTCAGATAGAAAATATTGAATACCAGTTTTAAAATAAAAGAATTTTATGAAGAGAGTAAAAACGAACCATAAACAGTCAGGGAAAACTTTTTCTTGCTTTCGCCAGCTTGATTGATAGCTATACAAGTGTATTCACCACCATCTGATACCTTGGCCCGAATAATCTGTAGAGTTCGACCACCTGTAGGTAAATAGAATGCAAATTGTAGAGTGGTATACAGGTTGTTCTAACAACTATTTTACCAATCAGATAAATAGCAACATATATCCTTCCCCTTAGAGTAAAATTTATAGAGAAGCCTTCCTATTTAAAATAAAATAATTGGATCAGTTTTCTTTGATCTTTCCTTTATTATTCACCTAGTTCCTTATAAAGGAAGAGATTCATAGAATTTTTCTCTCCAGCATCAAAACATGGACAGTAAAACTGTTTGATACAGGCTCTGGTGAGCAAATAGTAATTGTACTATGGTCAAAATATATTAAGTGTTTTCTGGGTTTAAATTTCCCACAATGCCGAGGTGTCTAATCTATCTATCTATCTATCTATCTATCTATCTATCTATCTATCTATCTATCTATCATCTATCTATCTATCTATCATCTATCTATCTATCTATCTACCTATCTATCTATCTATGTCTATCATCTATCCTTACGGAACTTTAGGATTAAAAACAACCAGCAGATGTATCCAATGAAAGTACTATTTGCCATCTACCACTTGGTATTACTAGGCCGTTCTAAGCTGTTCTCTTTCTAAATTTTATCATTTCTTGAAGGAGACCTTGTTATTTGTACATTCCCACTAAAATCAGAGAAGTCTACAAAATCTTACCTTAATGACCACAAATGGGCAAAGAGAGGCATTTACTGTGAATAAATAAATGAAGCACGACAAAAGTTTGGAAATACACTAATTTGAAATGCTGTTTGTATTAAAATAAAGATGAGAAAATTTTGCCTGCTTTATAATAAGAAGTTCCTTACCAGGCACAATGAGAGTATTTGTGTTCAGTTTGATGGGCTGTTCATTCTTGAGCCAGCTGAGGTCAGGAGGTGGAAAACCAGAGACCTCACAGGTCAAAGAGATGAAATTGTTCACCACGACGGTAAGATTTTCAGATTTAGGACCAATGACACTTGGAGGAACTATAATAGTAAATATATTAAAAGTGAAAGCAGGTGTTATCAACATATATTCCCATTTACTAAATATAAATCCAACCACTGTACTCTGCTAAAGGACTGAGTTAACGATTCTGTTCATTATCTAGCTGTCTGTCTTACAATTCCCTAATGCCTTCATCAAACTCACGTTGGAGTTTATTTTTCCCAATTGAAAGAGAGCATTAGAATTTTCAGAGACAGAATTATTCTGCATTTTATTTGTAAAACATAGTCGACAATTCCTAAGACGATTTTGTCAATGTACAAAGGAGACCTAATGTGCTTTTTATTAAGTATATTTGAATAATCTTGTTAATATTTTATTTTTACTTAAGTGCTGTAGAGAAGGAGATAATAGTGAGAATTTCAATATTAAAGAGACAGGAGGAGATTTTTTAGGAGATAATGGGGCAGGGATCTAGAGTCAGGTTAGACTTCGGCCTTTGGAAGGTAGAGCAATGCATTTCTCTTATTTAAACAAGAAGGAAGAAAGAAATGGCAGGAACAGATGTGGTCAGTACTCTCGATTTGATGGTAGGAATTTGAGGTGGATTTCTAGAATATGCTTTCTCTTTTCCCTGCAAAAGAGAAGGTGAAAGTGTTAATACTTACTGAGAGAAAGTGAGAGGGGGCTGTTATGAACTGAATGTTTCTGTCCCCGCAAATTCATGTGTTGAAGCCCTAAGTCCCAGTGTGGCTGTATTTGAAGATGAGGCCTTTAAGGAAGCAATTAAGGTCAAATGATTCCTTAGGATTAGTGTCCTTAACAAGAGCCACCAGAGAACTGGCTCTCTCTCACCAAGCATGCTCAGAAGAAAGGCTATGTCAGGCCATATGAAGACAAAGCAGGTGCCTGCAAACCAGGTGGACAGCCTTCTCCAGACACCAAACCCTGCCAGCACCTTGATCTTGGACTTTCCGGCCACCAGAACTTTGGGAAAATAAATTTCTGTTCTTTAAGCCACACAGTCTCTGGTCGTGTTAAAGCAGCCTGAGCAGACCAAGACAGTGGCCACTTGATATTTTTGAGGAGGGCGTGAAGGTTTAAGAGAATCACTATAGTGTAGACACAAAACGACAAGTCGCAATCAGTATGGAGGGCTCAGTTCAAGCTGGTACTATGAATTTATAATGACATCAATATTCCTGCCTTCAAGATTTCCTTCAGCCATGGTGAGCTACCTAAGTGCAGGTAGCGTACAGATGTGGAATTTAGTGAGAGGCATTAGAGAGAAGCAGGTATAAAACTTATGGAATAAACTGCCTACATTGAAATCCTGGTGCAGCATTTGCAAGCTGTGTAATTTTGAGCATGTTACTTAATCTCACCGAGCCTCGCCTTTTTCACCTCCAGGGGAGGCATAAAATGGTAGCAAGCACATATGGTTATTGAGATAATGAAGTGAAATAACCTATATAAAACATTTGGCACAGCACCTGGTAGGTTTCAAGCAGTCAGTTTGTTGTCCTTGTTGTTATATGCAACAAGGACATATAACATATGTTATATGTTGCTCAGCTTTTACTGAGCAAGAGTGATGAGAAGATATGGGCTAAGAGAAGTGACTGAAATGCTGTTCCACAAAAATTAAGCTGGCCATGAAGGAAAGTGAAAAGAGCTAAAACCTAAGATGCCAACAGACTGAAGGAGTACAAAAGAAGCAAGCAGAGTTGTAGAGGGAGATAACAAATGGTATTGTTTTACATGAAAATAATTTACATTATTTCCCCTCAAATGAATTTTCCAACATTTAAGTAATGAGTTCCTGATTGCAGTCAGGAACTCAAGACATCATTAACTGGTGAAAGAAGAAACACATTTCTGAACTCCAATCCTTATTGGTAAAACACTAGTGATTACTTCCTCACAAGTCACTGTCCCACTTCAGGTGTTTCTACTGTACATTGCAAAGAGGCAATGATTATGAAGAAAATATAATAAACATGCAGAAAACATTTATTTAGCAACTACCACAACTATAGACACCATTCTAGGTTTAGGGAGACCAAGATAAGTAAGATATGGCCATCTGTCTAGAGCACTTACAATAAAGTTATGGGATAGAGGCATAGATACAGATATATGAAGATAACACAAGGCAACATATGGAACTGCTACAATTGGGGTATTTACAAGATGCTTTTCTGACATAGAGAAGGAAAAATGAATTTTGCCTTGAGCAATCAGGAAAACTAATCAGTATTTTATTTTCCAATATTTACTGCACTTTACAGATTAGAATGTGTGCTTTCACAATGATTATGTTTGTTTAATTAATTCATTCTTCCTGAGAATTCATAACACATGTGTTCCTGCTCTGGTTAGATTTATCCATTCAAAAAACTTCAAGGACACTTATTAAGCATCTACAGTGTGTTACTCACTGTGCTAAGAACGGGAATTAAAAAGATAAAAGTGTTTTAAATATCTATTACACAAACACCAAATACTGCTAGATACCAATACTCACTACATATCACACCAAAGAAGAATATTTATCATACTACATAAAAGTCCTTTAGAAGGCAGAAATTTTTCATGACATTTCAAATTTCAGTTACTTCCAAAATGAGCTAGAATTTTATGTGTGTATTATGTATGTAAAGGAGATCTTTTATAATGATTATCCACCATTTCCAAGTTAATATTCTGGAGGCACCAGCATCTCACAAAATAAAACTACTCTTTTGCAGTAGATATTCAACTACTTTTTTTTTTTTTTTTTTAGCAAAAAGTGGTATTTATGGAGTGTCTAGCATGTATTTAAAAGAGTTTGATGAATGAATTAGGTGTGCTGGTGGTTTTAAAGGAATTATTTAACTCCACAAAGTGACTTTTTCTTCTCCAGGGAGTATATTAGTTACTAGAGGACATAGCTCAACATGAATTCTGCACTTAAGGACAGAAACCAATTCCAATCATGACTAGTGGATAGATTTTTATGAGTAGGAGACCTGTATTTGCTTCTAACTTCATAAACTTGTAATCATTAATATTTTAAATTCTGATTTTCCTTTCAAATATGCAGGAGTAGTTATTTTCTCTTGAGACACTGAAGTAATATAAAAACTGTGTTCCTGGAAGTTTTATGCTTTATAAATCCTACTAGCCATCGTGGAAAGAAAGAAGAGAGGGGATTGAATGAGTATAGGCTCCTCACATTGTTTAAGTTAAAAAATACAAAATAAGCCTACATAATCTAAAACAGAAATTTTCTGCTTTTCCAAGCATACCCTAACAGATGGTTTTGGAACTGAGCTCTTACCATGAACATTGAGGTTAAAATATTTTTTGGCACTCCCAGCTGTGTTCTCAGCAACACACACATACCTGCCGATATCTGTTATTTGAGTATTCAGAATCTAAGGGAAAAATGAAGAAATTCCAAATAAAATTTTGAATAAAGCAACTTGTCATATTTGTCTATTTTTTAGAATAAATAATATATATTATTTCTATTTAATACCAGATAGAAAAAAATGTTGTACATACTAGTGCTGATGCTAGCTTTTATTAGGTAAATCAAATAAATATTTACTAAGATTTTTAATCAGGAGAGGTAATTCTATACATATTTGTGGTATGTTGACTAGAAAAAAAATGTCCCAAATTATTCTCCCATTTCTCTCTCTCTGCCTCTGGCATTGTGACTTTGACACCCCTCCCATCAGGAAGTAGAATTTGTGTTGGTCTTGTGACTGGCTTTGGTCAACAGAGCGTGACGGAAGTGACTGTCATTTCAAAACTGAAGCCTGTTCACTCGTGCTCACTCTTTTGGAACTCTGCCAGCACCATGTGAGGAAGCCAGGATTAGCCTGCTGGAGGGTAGAGATCACTTGGGGAGGAATCATCACAGTTTATTGCAACTTAGGCCCCAGATATGTGTGCGATCCCAGCCAAGGCCACATCCGGAAGAATCATCTAGCAAACCAGCAGGCTTGTGAGCTAAATAAATGCTTACTGTTTCAAGTCATTAAGTTTTGGAGTGGTTTGTTTTATGCAGCTAATATAACAATTATGTTTTCTTCATTTTATTACATAGAAATTTCTATCCAACTATATATCTTTTGGACTTGGACACAGAACCATTGAAGTATTTTGGTAGAGGTTATATGATTATCACATAGAAATAGTCACAATATTTAGAAGATACTTTGAAAATTTAAGGTTATTTATAAGTAATAAACCTCTTTCTCTTTTGAATAAGGAATTCCATGAGATATGTCCTATGTTGGATACACTGAAGGTTATGCTTGGATTCTTGAGCCAATAGAATATTATTTATTTTGCTCAAGAAGTAATTTATCAAATTGTATCCTAACAAAAGAATTGGTATTATTTCTACAAGTGCTTTTCTTTCAGGACATGTGAAAAGAAGAATATGGACACACCATTGGTAAACAACAATCCAGGATATGTATGTGATTTTCATAATTTTTATTATTATCAACCTTTTGCCTACATACAAATTTAAATATATAGGGAACTTCCTACCATTTAGAATTTTACCAACAGAAATATATAATGGAAAGGACTGCAATAATGATTTGTTTATAATACAATTTTTATCAGAAAGGCCATATTGTAGTCAATTGAGGTGTGTGTAGAACATTTCTGGAAAAATCCACACAAAACTATTAACAGTGGTAACCTCTGGTAGTGGGAATAGAATGAGGAAGAAGAATTTTATTATATATACCTTTGATGGTTGGTTATTTTTACAAATATAATATTTACAAGCTAATAAAAATTATTTTTAAAAGTCAAAAACAATTATTACAAAGTGCAAAGTCAAATAGCTCTTTTAAAATTAGATCTTTCTTTACTTTTACCTGCAGAATTCGTCCATTAGATAGAAATTTATGATGGTCATCTTCTAGCAAGGGCTGTCCATCTTTCTGCCAGGAATTCCTTGGTGCTGGGCTGCCACTGGATAAACACTCTATCAGTGCACTCTTGTTCACCAGCACGGTGACCTCTTCAGGGAGATCACTATTTGCTCCCTTGATAATTGGCGGCACTAACAAAGGATTGCAACAAAGGGAGAAAAATGGGCAACAGTCTTTTCTAAATCATGCTAATTTTCTGACAGCTTTAAAAACTTTGGGATAATAATAGAGAAGCAAAACTTGAAGGAGAAACTATATGATCCCCAGGTAACATTTTATACTAATAAATTGGGGTGGTGAAAACAGTATTTGAATTTGGCTTTATTCTCTTCCCTCTCTTCACTTATGCTAGACTAATCCCTCAGATAGTATCATTCCCCTTTAGCCCAATCTCAATTCTTCTCCAATATATCTTTTACTTCTCTCTCAGCCCCTCCCACTATACCTTCTGAGTTTTCAAGCAGACATATAAGAAGCATCTGTATAAATAGATATTTAAGTCTATATGGTCATCCAGAGGGGACAGAAAAATTACACCTTTTAAAGTGTAATTGAAATGTTCAGATTTGGCCTTATTTGGAAAGGAATTGCCTGGGTGATTCAAAGTGTGTTTCCCAGCCTCAGCACCAGTGGTATCAGCATCAGCATCATCTGCGAGCTTGGTTAAAAATGCAAATTCTTGGGCCCCAACTAACTTCAATAGGCATCTCTGAGAAGGGGCCAATAAATCTGTGTCTTAACAAGCTCTTCAGGTGATCTTTATGTATGCTAAAGTTTGAGAAGTCCCACTCTAGATTTTTCTACATGTGTTCATTCTTGTTGAAAACAATACTATAGAATCCAGCTACACATTAGTTATGAAAAATCACGTTACCCATAGAATTTTAAAAATGAAAATGTTAAATGAACTAGGAACACATGTTGACTGCTTTGGTAAATGTAGAAATTGATTTTTAAAATAATCATTTTTGTTTTGAAAGCTTATTTCCCCCCCACTTTAAAAATATACCTTATCTTTAGCAATCAGTGAAGACTGCAAGTTGATGTAGATGCTATCTTGTGGTATCTGGGTTTCCAACAACTAAACTGAAAGTTTGTAAAGAAAATACTCAATGCCACAAAGCACACAATAGAATTTCAATGTTATTTTGAATGCGTACTTTCACATTCAAAGCTACGTGATTGATTTTATTATACTTCAGATAATATAAAATGTATAATTTGAACTGCAGATTACTAAATAATAAACTTGAGTTTTAGATTAAATGAGACTATCACCACCCAACATCAAGAAAACCAATCAAGAGCTGAAGCATTAGGAGGGCTAGGAGATTCAGGCACTGACATGCAGAGGCCCCCACCTCAGCTCTTTGCTTCCACCTGCTCCAGCTGCCACACCCTACTAGTGGGTTACACCACTCAGAATTGTTCTCAGTGGCCCTCCCTGCACCTGGGAGGTGAGCAGCAGACTTGAAACAGCCCTAACTCAGAATTTGGGGACCAGTTAATTTTCTTGCTTTGTTCCACCTTCTAAACTCATCTCCAACTTGCTTGCTGACTTCCTAATTGAAAATAACAGCCTGAGGCATGAACATCTACCCTTGACCATCCAATCCCATAGTTTCATTTCAATTTCACTGAATCGCAATCTTTCCCTACCTATATTATCAACTCCTTCTACTCACCCTAAATTAAACTCTTTCCAAATTTAGGCCTGTAAGGTACATGGATGTGTTTGGTCAAGGAATAGGCAGAGGCAGACATCCAGGCCTGCATGACTCAGTGGGATTGATGCGCAGGCACACAACTCTACTTGTTATATAACCTGTTTGTGTAAGTTCATACTTGGCTCTGAGCCACTATTGTCTGTAGAAGGTATAACTGCTCTGCGACACTGTGCACGGGGCTCAGTTTGGCATGGCATAGCATGGCTTGACATGGCTTGCGTGTGCCCAGAGAGAGAGAGTAATACTACTGACCACTGTAAGGGAGAGCCAGGCTCCTTTAAGGCAGGCAGGAACCAGCTCGTCCCCAGAGAGAAAGAGTTAAGCTGCTAACACTGCAAGAGAGAGCTGGCCTTGCAGGCCAGCCATAGAGCTATGCACGGGAGCCGGCTGCTGAGAGGAGCCACAGAGGCAGAGCAAAAAGCCAAGATAAAGGGGGACAGTGTAAGAGAGCTAGTGTGAGAGAGCTGCTGATGAGAGAGCTGCTGATGAGAGAGCTGCTGATGAGAGAGCTGCTAAACACAACTAGAGCTGGGGATCGAACCTGATCCTAGGCAGGACATATGGCGTAGCTGTGAACCTGACAAGGTCAAGTTAAGCCAGGTGGTCCAAGATATTCCTTCACTGTCCTTGACAATGTCAGCATTGATTTTTTAATTGTCATCTCATCTCTTTTCCTTGTAACTCTCTCATGAACTTTAAAATCTATGTTAATTGTTATGTCACTTATCTTTTCCCTTACAGGAAAAATACTTCTTCAACTCTCTGTTCATGCATTCAGATGGTGATTTGGTTCAAGGTTGGACACATGAACTAGACCTTATCAATTAGAACATTGCAACCTCTTGCTGTCTGTGATTGGCTCTGGATGGATACGTGATTCACACTTGGCCAATTAAAACCACGGAAATTCAATTCTAGGGCTTCAATTGTAAATACTAGGAGAAAAAACTTTCATTTGAATGTGGAACTAGGAGGATGCAAGCCTAGAGCTGCTAGAGGCCACCTTGCTATCCAAGGGGATCCCCCTCCCTGAGAGTGACATTAATAAAGAAAAGCAGAGTCGAGAGAGGTAAAGTCTGGTTGACCTCATTTGAACCACAGAAGTCAGACATGACTGTAGCCAGCTCTATTTTGGGACTTTTCTGATTCATAAGTCAATGAATTCTTTTTGTTTGTTTGTTTTCATTTAAGTCAGTTTGTTTCTTAATACTTCAAGAGTCCTGACTAATGTGCTGTCAATTTGTAGAAGATAATTACCTCCTTGGGAGAACTATCAGTTTCTGGTTATCTTTATAGTCTCAAAAGCGCTTAGTGTAACATCCTGCAAACATTAGTTCCTCAAAAATACTTTTCAGTAAAAGAATGAACAATAAACAAAAGAAAAACTCACCGAGTACACGGACATCATATTGAAGGGAATCTTCTCCAGCCTCATTCACAGCCACACATGTGTATCTCCCAGCATCTTCTACTTTAGCCCGAGGAATCTGCAACACTCGCCCTCCTGAAAATAATATCCCACTATGTTTACTCCTCTAATCTTAGAGTGAACACAAGCCATAAACAGATACAAATTTTCAGGTCTAATGACTGCCTTACATTTTCTTTCAAGGTTCCTGTTTCATCCAATGGTTCAGTTTTAATCTCAGATACCACTTTTACAACAAACACTGCATTATTAAAAAGTGAGCCAACATATGAATCGGAACTCCTGAGAAATGAATAGCTCATGTAGATTTTCCTAGAAGGGGGACTGCTACTCTATGTGCTTCATCATATTTCCTAGGGAATGTTACTATATAGTGACTCCTTGCTTTTATAGTTTTGAACACTTTTAATAGAAGTTTACACCATTTGCTGCAAGTACTTGTTTGAGAAAGCAATATCCAAGGTTGTAAAAGTATAAAGTGTACTATTTTACATACATTCTTATGAGGATAGCTGTATATTTTTAAACATCATGTAGATATAATTTCAAATTTAGAGAAAAGTTGCAATAATTATATAAAGACTTTTACTCATGTTCACTAATTATTTATATTTCACTCCATTTGCCTTATCTCTCTCTGTCATATGTATATAATCTTTTTCTGAACCATTGAAGAGTAAGTTGGAGACATGGTGCCCTTTCACCCCTAAAATACTCATAAATCCATATTTCATAACAAGGATAATCCCTTATATAACCGTGTTACAATGATTAAAAACAGAAAATTTAAAATCAAAACAAAACTACTATTGAATCCGCAGTCCATAATCAAATTTCATTATTGTTGCAATAATGTTTTTTATAGCCATTTTCCCCAAACCCAGATCTAATTTAGGATCACATATTAGACAGAGTTACCCTATCTACTTAGTCTCTTTTCATTTTTATTTTCAGGATACTCTTTTATTTAATTGGGGTCAAATTTACATTCAATTACTTACTGCACTGACCTTAAGTGTACAATCTGATGAATTTTGATAAGCCCTGTATATCTGAATGCTTGTTAAAATTAAATAGAAGCCTTGAAAATATTATTCCATAACAGTTTAAACATCTTTGCAATCAATAAACCAGATAACAATTTAAATATTTGAAACTAATAATCTTCCCTATTTATTTATGATAAGTGCATTTAATAAACTGAGCAGTAATGATCTGTAAATATATATTAGCATTTATGTTAATAATATATATAAACCAAACTGATTATCTTATTGCACTAAAAGAGAAATGGAGGCACAAGGAAGCCAAAGGACTTTGAGTTGATAGAGTGATGCGTAGTAGATCTGAAAAGTTTACTAAGCTATTTTCTCCTATTGTCTAATTCTCAAGCAAGACTCTTCTAGATTGAAGCTACGTGGATGCCAGTGGCATTCAGCAGTCTAACTGCCAGTTAAATTACTTAGCCAGAGACCCAACCAATTCAATTCGTCTAATACATGAGAGGAAACACATTTGGCAGAGAGTCAGCTTTTCACCCTGTTGGTATCAATCTTTACCTGGCAAAATCAATACTTTATCACTTGAGGTCAGAGGGTGGCCATCTTTGTACCATGTCAGTGTAGGAGGGGGAGCAGCATTTGTCTCACAGTAAAGAGAAATGGGATTGTTGATGATCACATCTTTGGCTTCACCATTCCTGCCAGTATCTAGCATGTTTCCTATTTCCCAGAGTTTCTGAAAACTTGGAGGAACTATGGAGGAAAGGCATTAAATGTTGGTCACATATAAATGCTTAAACAAAGATCTTGGCTGTGTTTTCACCAGAGTGATTTGTAAAAGCAATAGATTAGACAATGTGGAAATAATTTCAAGTACTGACGCCACCACCAACTCTAGCCCTTAGCCAAAAAAGTAGTACACGAAAGTCGGAGCTGGTTGTCAAGTGGAAGAACAAGAAGTATGAGGCTCAGAATGCTGTGTTTATGCTTTGCTCTCCCCGTTAAAGGGCTCTGGCACTTAGACAATAAAGGGGCTCACTCTCAGGAAGGAGCATTGCTAAATGATACACAGCAGGAAAGACTAATTTTGAGAAACCATTAAAAAATACTGGTTCAATTGAGAGCATTTCACAGTGATTTGGCTTACTAAGAAGGCTAAAGAAATTATGCAATCAGGATTAAAAATTCCATTAACAAAAATAATAGGACATTTTCATACTTTTCTGGGGACAAGTATGAACTTTATGAAAGGCAATTTGCCTGCACATCAAAAGCATTAAAAGAGTGCATAACATAAAATTTATCACAGAAAAAAGTACATTTAACCTAAAATTTCCACCCTTAGAAAATTATGAAAAATCAAAGATGTACAAAAGTTTTATGTATAAAGATGTTCAGTGTAGCATTATTTATGAGTGGTGAAAGCTTAGAAACAACCCAGACATTCAACAATAGAAGTCTGGTTAAATAAATATTTTTTGGATATTCAACTGGTGAAACAGACATAATTATTAAAAATCATGTCGAATAGTTAGCAACATCAAGAGTAACAATATAAACAACAATAATGGCAGGTATCATTTCTCAATCATTTTGCTAGGAGCTTTATATACTTTATCTCATTTAGTATTCACTGCAATTCTACAAGACAGTCATGTTACAAATGAGGAAACAATCTTAAAATTTAGGTAACTTTACTAAGTCACAAAGCTTTTAAAAGCCATAATCATCATTCAATTCCAAGTCTGTTTTGTTATGTTGTTTGCTTGTTTTTATTTTTACATTTATTTATTTATTTATTCCAACTTTCATTTTATGTTTATGGGGTACATGTGCTGGTTTGTTACATGAGTAAATTGCATGTTTTGGGGGTTTGGTGTACACATTATTTCATCACCCAGATAATATGCCCAGTAGTGGACAGGTAATTTTTTATTACTCTGAATTCTGTACTGTACTACTTTCCTGCCTTTCATGTAAATGCTGCTTTTAAAACTTCATGATATAAAGTTAAGGGAATGCTAATGCAACAGAGAAATCTATATTGTGTGACCTCAACTTTGTAGAAGTATACACTTTAAAATATCAGAAGGAAACACATAAAAATAACAGAGGCAATCCTGAATGATGGGATTATTTCCTTCTTTAATTCTCGAGTCTAAATTTTCAATCATGAATTTATATTATTGTCAACAGAAAAAAACACTGTTTAAAATAAGTCAAATCTCTTTTCTTTTACTTTGAAAGATCATATAAATTACATTATATACAATAAGCAATTAGTATTACCTTGAATATTCACATCAAAATCCAACTCATCTTCACCTGCAATGTTAGATGCTACACAAGTATATCGTCCGGTGTCTGATATTTGAGCCTCCTTTATTTGAAGTGTGTGTCCATTCGCAGCAATATTAACATGATCATCGGATTTAAGGGGCTGTGATTCAATTATAACAATGTTAGCATTAAGTGCTATAATGAATCCTCTAAGAGGCCATGCAGTTGATAGTTTTTGTGATTTTTTAAATAAATGAAAATAAAATTGTATGCAAAACATTCATGACAATAGTTTAATCAAAATAATTGATTTACTTTGATTAAACTCATTGTTTTTGACTAATCAAATTTTTATTTATTGAAATTGCTGCTGTTACAGTTTACATTTTTACGAGGCATTTGTGCATGATGCATTTATACATTTTTATGATAAATATATGTTCTTAGTTATCATATTAATTTATTCATGTTGGAAAAATTTTTTTCACTGATCTCATATAATATTTAAAAAGCAGTCTTTTATAATTTTGTAGAAAATGTTAGAATTTCTTTATGAAAGATTGAGCACATTAGTATAATCTGATTTGATCTAAATTACTTTTGTTCATTCAGAAACATCATTACTTTATAAATAAAAAATTTTAACCTAAAGATATTTATATTATGTTTTATTGAAATTATTACTATAAAATAGGATATTAACTTACATATATTCGTATTATGGTGTTTTATCAGTAACATTGCCTATAGCTAATAGAACATCTCCCATCTTCTCAACATTTTCATTTATACTAAATTCCCCCTCATTCATTGAAAATTTTAGCTCCGGGCTCACTATCATTCCTTCTAATGATACTCTTCTCATAACTCTTGGTGATTTCAATGCCCACAAAGATAATCATCCAATGCTGTGTTCTCTTAGCTCCTTGATCTCCTTCTTTTAATTTTCTTGTCCCTCACCCTTTCTCACCCACTAAATAGGAGTCATACCTAGACCTTATAATTACCAATAACTATGCTCCTTCATAATCTCAGTTTCAAGCTCTCATTTGGTGACTATCACTTCCTAGTTTTCTATTATTACTAATTTTCTTTAAGTTTTTTTTTTTTCATCCCATGGGAGCCCCACAATCCATTGACCTTGCAATATTTTCACTGCCACTCAGTCTCCTCCTGACTTCTATTCCCTTCTTACCCAGAGAAGATCTGTCATGATAATTGTTCCTTGTATAAAACTCTCAACTCTTTTGCCTCCTCTCCCTTTATTTTACTCCCCTGGCAAAACCCTAACTGGTTAAAATCAGTTTCTGCTCATTCTGAGAATTTGCTGGTCAAGGGCATCCCTCCAGCAACTGTGTTTCTCTCACCTACATCATCATTAACTTATTTCTTTCCACTGGATGATTTCAGCCTAAAAAAACAAAAACAAAAACCTCTCTTGCTGCAGCCCACCTCTACATTTCTACATTTGTTGCCAAATGACTTAAAAATATTTTCTATACTTGTGGACTCCAATTACTTTCCTTCAGTTTTTTCCTTCCATCATTTCTTGATATGTTCCAATCAGACTTTCACTGTTTCTTCTTGATCAAAAATTCTTTGCCAAGGTCACCAATGACATTCATGCTGGTAACTTCTAAGTACTTATTTTACCTGATCAGTATCATTTAACAGAGTTTAACTTGTGTTCATTTTGAAGTACCTTTTTCACTTATCTTTTGGGACACTACGCTCCCTGCTCCCCAACTTTAAATACAGGAGTACCCTGAGGCTTAATCCTTAGACCTCTTCTCTATTTACTCTCACTTATCTTGAACCTATATTTGATCTCCTTCCTACACATCCCACACCTCCTGCTACCACCTTGGTCCAAGCAACAACCATTGCCCTTTTGGTGGAGATGCAATTGCCATAACCATTGCAATAACTTCATAGCTGGACCTTTTCTTTATTCTCCAAGTACAGAAAGAAATGCAATCTGCTTAAAACCTTAAGTCAGATTGTGTCATGTCATTCTTGTGTTCAAAATTTCCCAGTCGGCTTTCCGTCAGAATAAAGGCCAACTGGCACAAGGGGCATCATGGTCTGGCTCTCCATTAGTCTTCTGCTCACATTTTCTGTTCCCATCTGTCACTGCACTTCAGCCCAAATGCCTCAGGGCCTTTGCCCTTGCTGTGCTCTTTACTTTGGAATATTTTGCCCTCTATTATTTTATGTCTGCTTCCTTCATTTTGGGTTTCTGTTTAAATGTCACCTTATCAGTGAGGTCTTCCCTAAGTAAGAAATCACACTCTCCACCCTTGGTTTCCTTCTCTCATATTGAGTTTTCTCCATGATACCTGCCCCACCTGACACATTATGTCTTATTGGTTTGGTTTAGTTTTGCCTTCCTAAACTTCACATGAGTAGAAATTTGTGTCTGTTTCTTTCACAGCTGTATTCCCTGCATTTAAAACAGTGTCTGACAAATAGTAGATGTTCAACAAATAATTCAGAATGCAATTAATCATTATTAACATTGTATCACTTATATAAAAGTAGCATAATTTAAATTTTTTTGCTAAAAGAAAAACTTCAGGGTATGAATAAATAAAACTCAAGATTCTATCAAAACTTATTGTGGCCAATACTTTGTCCAGTTTTTAATGTCTGTCAATATGTTTTGTGTTTCTTTTCTTGAAAACACTACTTCACTTTAGTATTGCTCATCTGAAGACTGAAATAACAGGAGAATGAATATGGAAAATAAATTTTAAAATAGTACGTTTTTGTTCACATTCTAGGAGACCAATTGCAAACCCTAAAACACCTAGCAGTGTAAAGCATCATAATTGGGTCAATTTCAAAGCCTGAACCTGAAGCTGCAATTTAACAACTTATAATGAAATTTTCAAAAATAAGACAAAAATGCCTCATTTCCTGTGCACTTTTAGTCTTTACCCAGTTTTTAATGTGTGTATGTGTTCATGTACATGTGAGCATATGTGGTAACTATAAGGAATGAAACAACTTTAGAAAAGATTAAAATATTTCAAAGGAGAAAGGGATTATTTGTTTCCAAGTAAACTCATAAAGAATTGATATTGTACTATGAAGTGTGCTTGTAGTCAGAAAAGAAACTATAAACGGAGCATGGTGGGAATTCTATATTTTCCCTTTTGCAATGGCTTCCAGATGAAACTTGCTTATTTTATAAGATGACTTTTTTTCTAGCTGCCAATATTGCAAAATCCATCTGAAATCTGAAAAAATAAAGCTATATCTTTCCTGCATCTTAAATCATGATTATGATCTGAACTTCTACAACTGGAATTTGACTGACTATTTGGTTGATTATGTGTAAAACAGGACAAACAGCAGCTTAGCCGTTTCACATCTGTATTAAGTACGGTGTTAACAGCTGCTTAAAAATCTATTTTGGTCTAAGATCAACAGCACATATGTCTTTTAAAACATGCATGGAAGAACATAAGTTGAATGAGAAATATGGATATGTGGTCTGAAAATCAGATCACAGAATTGAAGGATCTGTCTTTTATTTAAAGTTTCTCTGTTCCCAGTTAACTGTACTGGGCCCTTCATCATCTTTTTTAGCTTTTTGTCTTCATCTTGGAATATTTTAAAACATTACCTTTTGTAAAAGAGTTAAAGATACTTAAAGAATATCTGAGTAACTTTAGTAAATTTAGTACCCATGTTATACCTGTCATTCTAACCCGGGATAGCAACATTTATGTGTTGCTTCTTTACCTGGTTTACTTATTCTGTAAAACTGCAAAATAACAACAGCAAAAAAATGAAAAGAACTGTTTCCCTAACTTCTCCAGTGGGAGGGTGGCCAGATTTTCATAGACAACTGCTAATATACAATTACAATTGTATATTAATTAACTGCTAATATACAAATACAATTACAAAATAATTATGCAAACTTTCCAGTGATGGAATAATGCTAAAATTGTTGAACATCCTTCAGGTTGGTTGGGTTTTTTTTTTAAGTTTTAGATTCTAGGAGCATGGCATTTGCTAGTTTTAAGATCACATTGATTCTCTGAGTCACTTGTGTCTATTTTATTATTTCTTTTCAATTGACCATTTTAGTCTTTAAGAAATCATCAGCAAATGAAAAAAGTTGTGACTGGCCTGTCCATCCTTGTACCAGCTGAGGGAGGCAGAAGGAATTGCATACGCTTCACATTCCAAGGTCAGAGTGTTGTTTACTTTGATCTTCACTTCTTTAGGGGAAAGACCTGGCCCCCAAAGGTCCCCTTTATTGATTATGGGTGGAACTGCATAAAATAAATATTAAAGAGTTAGACATTGGTTATTTTCAATACATGGAATACCACAGAAATCACACTGAGGATTACTTATCAAGAAAACAAGGAAATAACAGAGGCATTCTATGCTGACCTTTCATTAAGTATCTAAGTTAACATCTTATGAAAGAGTGTTCAAATACAAGATGGAACAGGAAATCTCTTTCTCCCTTTATCATGTGATACTGCCAATAAAGCTAATGTCCTTTACAGAACAGTTAGCTTCATTTGTTCCAGGTCCACAGACATAGTCTGAACATGATCCTTAAAATGTATCTTATTGGTCATTAAGGGTACCAAGTCAAAGAACAAAAGATAATCAGAAAGATACTCTTCCTTTACAAACACAAAAGCAAAATTCTGAAATATGAGTCCCATTAATGGCAGTGTTAGCTTTGCTTTTTATTTATAGGTCAATGTACATTGGAATAGCTCAAAGTCACTAATGACCTCATCTTGGGCTGTTGATTAGAACATATGCATCTAACGACAGTTTTGTACATGAAAGTACTACATCTCAACCCAGAGGGTAATTCAGAAGGAAAAACAGAGAAACTTAAGGAAATGCCACTGACAAAGTCTCCAACAGAGAGTAATGAGCAGATTTAGTAGGCTCTTCACATCTTGAAGCAATTGAGGCCATAGACACAATGCTTAATTCAACTTCCATCCTTAATAAAGTAAGCTGCACAAACAAGTCTTTAATGGTGAGTATAAATAATTATGAACCCATAATGAAAAACAGGATTGAAAAAGTTAGAAAAATTGGGGAAGCTATGAAACATAGTATTCTTTCAGAACTTACTGTACACCTTCACTTCATAGTGCTTTATCATTTCTCCAGCCTCATTCGTGGCTACACAAGAGTATCTTCCAGCATTGTCCTCCTGTGCATTGAGGATCTGCAGAGTTCTGCCTCCTGTAAAATCATGGGACATCAAAGAGTCTCTAAAATCACAGTGACAGTGGAGTACACACAGGCTATCAGGGGTTTACGTCTTCTTGTTAACATATTTCTTTTTACATATGACAATTCTGTGATGGACATATGATATAAGATAAACTGCAATACTGATGGGGATTGCATGGTATCTGAGGACAGCTGCTGAGTCCCCAGTGGTGCTCTGTGGTGATGACTCTCATGCTCATTCAGACCTGCCATGCCTTTGTATACCACTCTAGCTAAGATCCTTCATAAGGTCTTTCATCCTCTTCATAAATAGGTTTCTGCCTTAATCATCTTTTCGTCTTATCTACCTAGCCTACAGGAGAAATTAATTGTGCTGAAGCAAAGTTTTTATTTTGGTCCTATCCTTCTTAAATATCTTCAATCGTTCTCAATTGACCAACATATAAAGTAAAAACTCTTAATTCTTAATTCAGGCATTCAAAACATGACTCCAGCTTTTCTTGCTGAACTTATTTCCTGCCCCTCTGCCAACATACATACACACAATATTTCCACTCAAGTTTCGGGTAGTGGGTGAGAATTCTATTGCGCAGGGCTAGGCCATTCTCACTTTATACTTTTCCCACACAGGTTACCCTGATGGAACTGAAACCTCTCCTAACTCATTGCCAATCAACTAAATTCTAGAATGTTCATTAAAGTCTCATCCAAGTTCTGACTAAGCAACAAAGCTTTTTCTGACCACTTCAGCCTACAGTGCCCATTTCTTCATTTGAAGTCTTTTTTTTTTTTTTTTTTTTTTTGAGACCGAGTCTTGCTCTGTTGCCCAGGCTGGAGTGCAGTGGCACGATCTCGGCTTACTGCAACCTCCGCCTCCTAGGTTCAAGTGATTCTCCTGCCTCAGCCTCCCGAGTAGCTGGGACTACAGGCATGTGCCACCACGCCCAGCTAATTTTTTGTATTTTTTTAGTAGGGACAGGGTTTCACTGTGTTAGCCAGGATGGTCTCAATCTCCTGACCTCATGATCTGCCCGCCTCAGCCTCCCAAAGTGCTAGGATTACAGGCGTGAGCCACCGCACCCAGCTTCTTCATTTGAATTCTTATAAAACTCTTTCCCTATTTATCATACCCCCTGACTATTCAGAATCCATGATTTTTCACAGATTCATATTCTTAATCAACTCTTTGCACATATTACCTCTTCTCAATATAAGACTGTCAGTCTCTTAAAGCCAGAAATAATCCTTTATCTTTTTATTTGCATTATCTATTTCCATGCAGTAAAGAGGAACAAACTCTCTCACCTTGAATTAAACTTTGAAGGAGAGTTAATATTTAATCAGGAATGAATTTCTACCCTTTTTGGCATTCATATTATAATATATTTTAGCAGTTAATTACATTGTGGCATTTATTTATTTGCCTTTTAATTTAGGTATTCTTCTGATCTTTTAAAAAGTAATTTTCAGTACTTTACAGCAGGGGTCCCAATCCCTGAGCCATGGACTGGGACCAGCCTGTGGCCTATTAGGAACCAGGCTGCACAGAACATAACACAACCAACAAAACATTGGTGTTTTTATAAAAAGTAACCAATGATTCTGCTTTTCTAGAATAGTAGATGACGCAGATGCATCTTGGACATCTGAAGCAAATGAATTACCTGGAAGAATACGAATATTTCGGTTAGATTCTAAAGGAGTGCCATCCTTAAACCAGGTGATGGTAGCTGGAGGATATGAATAAGCTTCACAGACCAAAGATGTAGGGCTGTTAAGGATGACAGTGACATCTTCAGGGTTGCCATCACTACCTACACCAGCAATTGTAGGAGATACTGAAAAAGATGAAAATTTGTTGAAGAAATATATGTAGAAATTTGTATATTTGTGCATTTCTAAATTTCCATTATATGTATTTGTATAATTTCATTCCCTAGCAGTTACAGAAAACAAATTATTATTATTATTATTATTTTACACAAAAGAGTGATCCCTTAAAAAACTCATAGGGTAATGGAGGAGATGACACATAAAAAGGAACCATAACACATAAAAAAACCACAATGTAGTAAGGGCAATAATGGGAATGCTGGTGCAAGGTAAATGGAGGTTTTTTGGAAATGAGTTAGCATCCAGTCCAGTTTGAGGTGTTTAGTGTGAAGGGTCTCATTAGAGAAGGCCTCTTAAAGGAAGAGGATTTAAAGTGAGCCTTAAACGATCAGTGGTAGTTAGCAGGTGAAAGCAGAGACTAGTAAGAGGGAACATGTTGGGAGCATGGTAGTATTAAATTGTAAGCAATGAGGGGCAAGCAGGGTATATCGGGAGGATGAACTCAAGTGGATCAATATTGGAAGCAAGGATAGCTGAGACAGGTACATTTGTTTTATAAAATATAACGAGGAACTGAACTAGAGCATTAAAGGAAGGTATAAAGTGGAAGGAGCAAGTAAAGAAAGATTTAGGGCATTACTGACAGGACTTGATTATGGAAACTGGGGGGCTAAAGGAAACTGAAGTCAAATATAACTTCCAGTTTGCTTGCTTGGGAACCTAAACTGCAGAGAAGCAACATAAAAATATAAAATGTAGAAAGATTTGCTCATTTAGGAAGGGAAAATAGTTTGTTCCATTCTGAATATCTTGTATTTTAAGTGCTTATGGGAATTTCAGGTGGAAATGCCCGACAAGCAATTCTATATAGGAATTTGAACCTTGCAAGAAAGATCTGGGTTACAGGTATACATTTTTAAAAGTTTCTTGTGTATAGAAGATAATTAAACATCTGGGAATGAATTGTATTACTTGAAGAGAATATGTAGAGTAACACAAGCAGTGAAGTAAGGACAGAACACTAGGGAACCCAGTATTTAAGAGGTGGCTCAAGCTTCCATAAAGGGCAGAGAAAGGGAGCAAACAAAGATATGTGAGGATAACTGGGAAAGAGCATTGTGAAGGAAAAAAGAGATCAAAATGTACAAAACATTAAAATTGGGACTGCAAGATATTTGCTGGACCTAGAAAAAGGGAAGTGCTTGCCAGAGTAGTGTCAGACAGAGCCTGTTTTCAGTAGGACAGCAAGTATATATATCTGGGCATGGTTAAAATATGAAGTGGTGGAGACAGTAGACGGTGAAGCTGCAAGCAAGGCAGATGGTGGAAAGATACAGGGTCGAGGGTGTAAGTGCAAGGAGTAACTGAACAAGAAGGATAAGTTATCCTCTGAGAAAAGAAAGGGTAAAGGCACTGACTTTTGGCCGGGTAGATTGGAAGTTGCAAACACATGCACTTAAATAGCCTCTACTTTATGAAGTTGGTGGAAAAGGGCTTTGATTCAGATCTAGATCCCTCAGTCTTCAATGAATGAATGAATGAATGAATGAATGAATGAACATATATATAATACCAGATACTGTATGTCAATTTATACACTTATACACTTATGACATTTATAAGTTTCAATTTATACACTTACACACAATACAATATTGACACTTATACAGTATCTGGTATTTTGATGTAATTTTTCTTGCACATATAGCTCCCCTACTCAATTAGACTATCAGCTCCTTGAGGGCTGTGTTCAATATGAGAAGTTTCTATCTATGGTGGTATCTTTGTACTCCTTAAATGGTATAACCAATAACTATAAAAACAAACAACTATACAAATTTTCATACTCACATATAGGTCAGTTGATTTTAGTAGAATTATATGATATTAGGAATCTAATACAATAAATTTAGGGGGTAGAAATTTCAAAAAGTGAGCACAAGTTAAAAATCTATTTTAATGTCTTTCCTGAGACATAAGCCAGAACTGAACATACCAACAGACAGGTATTTCATCACTCTTAGTCCACAAAGACTATAATATGGCCAATTTCCAATAATGGCTAAGTCTCACAAAAAAAAGGATAGAATATCTCAGGTTGAGACCCAATCACTCTTTACCTGCTTCTCTTTGACCAACATATCTTTATCTTTTACTACTGATTAGTCTATCTTATTCAGAGTTGTGTCCCTAGCACAAAACACTGTGCCTAGAACATAGTAGGTATTCCATATGTCATAAATTAATTTATAAATTAATTCAGGAAAAATAGTAAATGTACACAAGCACTGGTCCTCCTTACATGATGAAATTCTACGACGGAAACATTACTTGAACAGAAAAAGAAAAGAAAATTTAGCCTACAGTCATGTCAGATTCTTTAAGATATGAAGAAAAGCCCACACCTACCAAATACATTAAGACTGAAGCTCCTGCTCTTGTGGCCAGCTGGACTGGAAGCCAAACATGTATATCTTCCAGTGTGTGGCACCTGGACATTGGTAATTTGAAGAAAACGGCCACCAGATATAATGTGATGGGCTTCATCTTCTTGGAGGGGCTGCCCATCTTTGTGCCATGTAATTTCTGGCACTGGATTCCCTGTAAAAATCCATTTCTGAGAGTCAGCTAATAATTACATGTATAGAATGAATAAACTTTGAAAGAGGAGGTTTTCACTCATTTGTCTTCCTACATATCCCATGTCTAAAACACGGCAGTAATCATTCATTTAAAAATAACTATGCAAGCTAACTTATTTTATAATAATAATGGTTATGTTGACTTTAAAAATATGCATAGATTATAAATCATTTTCAAATGTAGGTTAGTGTTCATCTATAAGTAAAATGATTCTAAATTGACCTTCATGTTTAACTAAATAACTAAATTTATACTATTTTTTAGACTATTACAACTAAGTATTTTGATAGTAAAGTACAGTTTTTAAATAATGCAGCATTCATTTTTATTAAAACTATTATTCGTGAACAGCTTTGTATTCATATACTTTTTTTTTTTTTTTTTTTGAGATGAAGTCTCACTCTGTGACCCAGGCTGGAGTGCAGTGGTGTGATCTCGGCTCACTGCAAGCTCTACCTCCCGGGTTCACTCCATTCTCCTGCCTCAGCCTCCCAAGTAGCTGGGACTACAGGTGCTTGCTACCACACCCGGCTAATTTTTTTGTATTTTTAGTAGAGACGGGGTTTCACCGTGTTAGCCAGGATGGTCTTGATCTCCTGACCTTGTGATCCACCTGCCTCGGCCTCCCAAAGTGCTGGGATTACAGGCGTGAGCCACCGTGCCTGGCCTCATAGAAAAATTTTCTAAAAGATTTTATATTTTTGACAAAAAGCTGTAAAAAAGCAAAACCTTTAATTAATTCAACATGCAGATATTTTGAGTCTATACCAGGATTCTATCATAGATAGATGGAAGAATATTGAACTGATCAATAGAGATAAAAATATATTAATTATTCTTTAATATTTACAGCCTCTAGGAAGAGATCCTGTATTTTTATTTTCAAATGAGATCTATGTTAAATATTAAGTTTTAAATTATTCAAATACTTAAAAAAAATTTTAAAACCATAAAAGCAAGTCATGTTAGGAAAGAGGGCTAGGATGATATACTAGCTTGAAGAGAGGATTTTATAAAATGTAGGCAATGCTTGTCTATGCAACTGTTGTAAATTACTATATTATTTCTAGAAAAAAATTATTAACAGGTTAATAGTATATATCACACTGTTTATATCTGCCTTTCTTAAAATAGAAACATTCCCCCCTCTGCTTATTTGAATTTATTGCTCACATAAGGCAGACAAACAATGAAATAAGAAACTCATTGAATCTTCCTTTAAACTCTGACTTTCCATAAAATGTTATGGGCTACTTTCATTCTTACTTTAAAACTGCAAGGCCATCTACAATAAAAAGACAGCCTTGAAAATATCCTCTTAGAGATGTGTTTATTTTGATTATATGCAAGAAATCAATTTACTGGTAAAGATGGTGAAACTGGTTTTAGAATTTTTATTTTTCCTACTCTATATTCCCTCTGTAATATTCAAACATGCTAACAAAAGGTAACAATATTGTTCTTGGAAAATCCCCACTACAAAATAACGTCATTCTTTCACCAAAACTCCAACCTATTTCTTTGAAATGAAATTTAAGAAAAAAAGGAAAAGAAAAGGAAGGCACAAACACAGGGAAGGAAACAAAAATTTAAAAAGGTAGGGCAAGATAAACATACATGTAAGTAGAAGCAGAATAATTTTTCAAAAGAGAATGATTTATTGAATTGAAGGAAAAGACTCCCTTCCTTCCTTCCTTCCTTCCTTCCTTCCTTCCTTCCTTCCTTCCTTCCTTCCTTCCTTCCTTCTCTCTCCGTCCCTCCCTCCCTCCCTTCCTTTCTCCCTCCCCACTCCCTCTTTCTTCCCTTCTTTTCTTTTTGGTATTTCCTTTTTGTCTCCACAGAATTTGAAAGGTTTCCTCCTACATTTCTACCAGCTATACTGGACTAGAATTTAATTTCAAATGCCAATTATAGTAGCTGAACTTTTCCTCAACTGATTAATATATAGTGGGACTCAATATCTACCCAAAGGAAAATAAGTCATAACAAAAAGATACCTGCATTAGTATGTTTACCAGAGCACTATTCACAATAGCAAAGATATGGAATCAACCTAAGTGTCCATTAACAGAGGTTGGGTAATGAAAATGTGATATATATATATATATATATATATATATATATATATGCACACACACACACACACACACACACACACACATTCCATGGAATACTACCTATCCATAAAAAGAATGAAATCATGTCTTTTGCAGCAATATGAATGGAACCGGAGGCCTTTATCTTAAGTGAAATAACTCAGAAACAGAAAGTCAAATATCGTATGTTCTAACTTATAAATGGGAGCTAAGTAATGTGTACAAATGGACATAGAGAGTGAAATAATAGACCTTGGGGACTAGGAAGGGTGAGAGGGTGGGAGAGGGATTGAGAGATGAGAAATTACCTAATAAGTAAAATGTACACTACTTGGGTAATGTTTACCATCACTGAGACTTCACCAGTACTCAATATATCCATGTAACAAAACCGCACTTGTACCCCCTAAATATATAAAAAATTTTTAAGATATATAGTGGAGGCAATGACTATCAGTGAGTGGGGGGAGCACCAAAAGTCTGAGAGCTGAGCCCATACCTGTCACTTCACAAGTCAGCGTAACACTCTGTTTCTCTTTTACCTTCACATCTTCCAATGTATTTTCACCCACAATATGAGGTGGTACTAAAAAACAACAACAACAACAAAATAACAGCTCTTAACAGCAAAGCTGCTATTTTATAGATATTTATGTATGGTTTTATTAAGCTATAACCTTCAAAACAAATCCCCCAATCCACATTCATTATTTGATTGCTAGAATGTCATAATATTATTTTGATCAAGTCTACTTTTAAAGTCATAAATCCAATTATAATGAATTTTATTGTAATGTAAATCATTAAGTCTGCATAAAAATGTCAACAAATCACCAAGAACATTTATTTGACTTTTATTTCTTCCACTATAACTCTAATATGTATTCACATTAAACAAGTCATTCAGCCTCTCAGAATATTGTTGAGCAATTGTGAATTAAAACAGGCATTTTAATTCCCCCAAACGATTGCCTGATTACCTCCAAACAATTCTGATATTGAATTCTTGCCAAGAGTCACAGTCCAGGGTCTAAATAACACAGGTATGAGATCAAGTGGTAAATAAATTTTAACTCTGCTTCCAGGATTTAAGGCAATTTAAGTTTCTTCTAGATATTGCAAACTATATAAGTACCTAATACTGAAAGCCCAAAGATTTTTCTTTCTTCACCAGCTGCATTCCTTACAACGCAAGTATATTGGCCAGCATCTTCCATTGTGGTCTGCATCAGCCGTAGCATCCTGCCTCCTGCAGAAGCAAACCATCTTTTTAAGATAACTTAAAAAGAAAAATGAAACTTTATAAGCCATCCAAGTGATGCTCAATTTCGGTAAAAATTTAATCAGTATGCTTTAGAGGCCCTTAAAATGAATTTATGTTAAGCTTTTTTAAAAATCACATTTTAAACTTCTATAAAACAAAATAGTTCAGAAAAATCTTCTAGTTCAATAGATAAAAAAATAAATATAATGTTAGGTGACAGCAAGCAAGAAATGTTGTTTCACAGAGAAGGTGATGTTTGAATATGATCTTAAAAGATAAGTATATTTTAACACGAGTTGAGAGATGCTGATATAGTTTGGCTCTGTGTCCCCACCCAAACCTCATCTCGAATTGTAATCCCCATAATCCCCTGGTGAGGGACCTGGTGGGAGGTCAAGGGAGGGACCTGGTGGAGGTGACCTGATCATGGGAATGGTTTCCCACATGCTGTTCTCATCATAGTGAGTGAGTTGCCATAAGATCTGATGGTTTCATAAGCGTTTGACAGGTCTTCCTTCACATACTCTCTCTTCTGCCGCCTTGTGAAGAAGGTGCCTGCTTCCCCTTCTGCCATAATTTTAAGTTTCCTGAGGCCTCCCCAGACATGCAGAATGTAAGTCAATTAAACCTCTCTCCTTTATAAATTACCCAATCTCGAGTATTTCTTTACAGTAGTGTGAGAACAGACTAATACAGATGCTATTGTGAGTGGAGTATGAATGAAGAGATAGATAGAGGTAGAAAGTAGGTGTGAGAAGTGGTATCAAAAGCAGAGCAGGTGGAGAAAATGGTAAGAGATGAGGCTAGATGGAGTATGGCCAGATTGTATGGGCCCATGAATGCTATGCTAAGGAATTTAGATTTTATTGCACTCACTAAAGACTATGGAGTGTATAAACAAACAGGGCTTATGATCTGATTCGTGCTTAGAAAGACACCTGTGATCAGATGGTTAGGAAAAGAGTCCTAGTTTTCCATTGAACATGTAATATGGGAATATCAGAAAGACAACCAGCCCAGACACCCAGATTTGGGTGACATCAATATATTACCATTACTTTCAATGGCAAAAACCACAATTACTTTTGCACCAACCTAATATAAGGAAGATAGGAGAATGAAGACTACCAGCTTTCAATTAAGCTTCATGGAATCCTACATTATATAAAATGTTATGGGGTCACTTCATGCACTAGTGATACACTGCTTTTGCTTCTTTTTGTATTTTGAACATCTATGTAACATTTTGTTTGAAGAAATATTCATCCAAGAAATGTATGTAGACTGAAAGTGAAACTCTAATATACTGGGGGTGTAATTTGGAGGAGAACTCTATTTAAAGATAAAAGCAGAGGAGCCAACAAATGAGATGAAACAAAACCTGCAGAGAACTAAGAGACACTGAGAGAACAAAGTCCTGGGCACCATTTGAGGAGTAAGGTCCAACAAAAAAGTAGGTCATTTATTGGATTGTGTAATAATTTTCTAGCTGGTATATTTTTGCTTAGCACCCTGAATTTGAATTAAAAACAGTATAATGGTTAACATGAAATTTTCATGTAAATGTTCACCTGGGTCTGGTTTCCCAGGGGTATTCTATCTGTTTTCTGTTTATGTAAACACAAGCTGACATTGAACTTTTTCTATAAGCAACCTTCCCACCCTAAACCCACTGAAAGGTGAACTTAGTAGTATCTTATTTAGACAAACAAAGCTAATTACCTGAATTTAGCCTTTTTTTCCCAATTGAATTTAAGTAAACAGAAATTTTGTTTACTTAAAAAGTAAAAATGCTTTAAAAACTTATGTCAATTAGGGAAGGATTCAAGCACTCACTGCCACTTCAGATTAGTGAGATCATAATATGATTCCAGTTGAGAGGTATTAAAGCAATACAACTTTTATGAATCACTGCTGGCTCTACAAACGTCAACCTCATAAGTTTCACGATTCTCCTTTTCTCTTTTTTCATGGACTTCTCGCTTAATCCAGTGAAAACCAAAAATGGGTTCTGACAGTAAATTATACTTATATGGAGACGTTTCTTGTACCTATTAAATTTTTATAACAGTTATCTGTTTCTGGCAGATAACTTCATAACAATGATAGGGTCTTCACCAAAGTACTGCTTTTAGAAAAGCTATGCTTAAATTCTCAGGAGGACTAATATTAATGAAATAGGCATGTACAGGAGACTGAAGACCAAGCAAGACATATGCCATTCGATTCTCATTTACCTATTGCACAACACAACATGTTCAGACTGTTAAACTGAATAACTCCTTTGGCAGCACCACAAGGTGAAATACTTATCATGTGTTCACTCAGGGATCTCCAGCTGCTAGTCAAGCACAACAAAGATAAATAAAACCAAAACACCACTTCTGTAAATTTGTAACAAGCTAGAGCACATCACTTTAGCTTGCCTTTTTCACTTCCAGGAGCTCTGCTGCACTTACTATATTTAATAAGAGTCCCTACTTCCTTAGCAAGTGAACATTTTTTAAAAAGCCAGAAAGATGAATATAATTTCAAGCCAAGAAGATAATGTGTTTAGGCTTTGGTAACCACATTTTAATACAATCTTTGTCATTAGTATGTATTTCTTAAGATCAACAGAGACTGAGAGTCCTGTCAAAGTGAAAACATCATAGTAAGGACATAGGAAAGTTTCCCAGGACAGGGAGACCACAAACCTTTTACCAGGTTGTCTATGACAATAACAAGAAATAGGTATTGGATGCTTACCATAGAAGCAAGTGCTGTGTTAACTGTTTTAGGTATCTCATTTCATCCTTACAAAAACCCTGAGGCAAATACTATTATTATCGCTTTACAAGTTATCAAACTGAAGTTAGCAAAGTTAAGTAACTAGTCTGAGGTCATAAATATAGTGAGTATTATAGACAATAAATGTGGTTAATGGTAATGTACATTCTTCCTCAAGCTCCTATCAGTTATAAACCAAGATCGGGAAGAAACAGGGGGAACTTAGGTTTTTTAGACCTAATTCCAGCACTAGGAAAAAATCTTTTCTGAATATGCCTTCAGTAGTGGTAATGTAAACTTTGAGCACATTTAGGTGAAGGGAGCTTACTGCCACTTAAAGTAGCTCATCTTGATTTTAAGCAAGCTAAATAATCTTTTAAGTTGTTTATATTCAGACACAAATCTATCCCTAGAATCTTCCATATACTGACATTACTTTTAACCTCTGGAACTAGAAAAAAACAACATAATCCTTTCTACACCATGGCTCTTCAAATATTTAAATTTACTTTGGATTAGATACCAAATACACCACAAGATTTATTTTTCCAGGTTAAATACAGACATATTAATCATTATGTGATAATTTCCCATCATAGTTATTTTCCTTTGCAAATACTGTCATTAAGCCTTTCTTCTTGTCTTTCTAATAAGTTCTGCTAAGTTTATAGTGCACACGATCTCTTGCTTTTCTTATTGGAGAAAATATAGTTTATTGATGTGGCAAAATATTACATTTGTTGTCTTGATAATCGCATTGTATTAATGCATACTGAGAAACTAACACAATTCAGACATCTTTTCATATTAAGAGTTCTGAAGCTATACTTCACCATAAGTTCATAACTGGTTTGACCGTAAGTGCAAAGAGATCATAAATTAGCATAATCAGATAATTATATAGAGGGCCATCATGAGCCTTACTTAACCTTCATCTTGTTAGCTTTAACCCAAAAGCTCCAGCATGAGGTGTGTTTGAATTTTGATGCCTTCAATCACACATTAGGTATTTTTCTAAGTATCTAAGCTTTTTATTAACCAAAAACTTGGCAAGATTATCTTAGTCTGTAACCAAGTCATTAATAAAATGGGCCAAGTGCAGATTTCTGCAGCTTGCCTCTCTCTACGCTTATATTGATCCACAAATGACAAGCTATTTAGATTTTCCCACAAAATTATATGAGGAATATGATCAATATCTCTTGAAAATAAAGTCTTAGCTCACAGGAAACTACCCATTTTAGAAATGTAAACATCATTGAGATTAGTCATGAATACATTGAAATATTAATATTTGGTTATAGAAGTATTTTATATACTAGGATTCACTGTAGAATTTGAATTCAATTTCAGCACTTCCTATAATTATTTTCAAATTGGTGGATGCTCACTGTAGCATGAATGCTTTGACATCTCCATGACTGTCGTAATCAGCGAGTGCCAAGATTTGTTTTTTAAAGGGGTCTAGAGATATTTGGAGATTTCTCATTTTCATATAGTTTCTTACATCCTTTTAAATATTTTTTCTTAATATGATTAGTGAATATTACAGTAAGCAGTAGGTTAAAAAATAAAACAATAAAAACACTGAGCAATTTGAAATTAAGGAGAAATTGTAGCCGTATGAAGCTAACAAGATTATAAGGCTACCAGAATTTCTAATACCTGAAAGAATCCTCACAGAATTGCTAAGGCTGACAGGCCACCCATCTTTGAACCAGGTTATGGAAGGCAGGGGAATTCCAGAAGCTTCACAAGTCAAAGATACTGAGTTCTTTTCTACCACACTAATATTTTCAGGTGACCTGTGGTTTCCTATGATGCTTGGAGGAGCTGTAAGACAAAATAAAACAAACAGGGAATGGAAATATTAGTTGCCTGATATACATTTGATATACCTGATGTTGTATATCAAACATCAAATCCTAAACAGTGTATGTTAATAAGACTTCCATTTTCTGATTAATAGTAAGCAAAATAAGCAATCACAACAACCAGCTGTGTGTGTGTGTGTGTGTGTGTGTGTGTGTGTGTGACATTCCTGGAAGTAAAAATGTCACTTCTTCCTCAATCTTAGCAGTAAATTATTTTCATATTGTTATTCCAATAGTGGTGAGTGATGTTGTATGAGTCACTCGCCCCCTTTTTTTTAATTGCAATTTCAACTTTCATTTTAGATTAAGGGGATTCATGTGCAGGTTTGTTACATGGGTATATTCTGTGATGCTGAGGCTTGGGGTATGATTGATCCTGTCACGTAGGTGGTAAGCATAGAACCCAAGAGTTAGTTTTTGAACTCCTGCCTCCTTTTCTCCTTCCCCTTCAGTAGTCCCCAGTGTCTACTGTTGCCATCTTTATGTCTTTGAGTACCCAATGTTTAGTTCCCACTTATAAGTGAGAACATGAGGCATCTGATTTTCCATTCCTGCATTAATTCACTTATGATTATGGTCTCCAACTGCATTCATGTTGCTGCAAAGGACATGAGTTTTGGCTGTGTAGTATTCCATGGTGCATATGTACCACATTTTCTTTATCCAATCCACCATTTATTAATCAGCACCTAGGCTGATTCTATGTCTTTGCTACTGTGAATATGAATCACTCATCTTTTCTTGCAAATTTGTAATATGGATTCATAACCTACTTATAGGAAAAGATTTCCTAAAAAATCAATCATCTAATTCTAAAAATTAAGAGTAATCCAACAAAAAGAACTTAAGATTAATTCATCTTCCCTTTTGTGTTGTGATTCCTATAGCTTTGGCACACACGTTGGCTGCAAACTGCAAGATATTAACACTGAGCTTCATGCATGTCTTAACTGAGTTGAAATTACAAGATTTGTGTCCATTAAATTTACCATTGTTCCTATAGCTATAAAAATTATAGTTCAAATTGTACACATCTAAGTCATTGTCCCTGTGTATGTGTATGTTTGGTCTATTCTTATTGACATTTATGACTTATTAATTAGAATTAGAATATTAAAGCTGACTTCAGTATAACTCATGCTCAACTGATGGTGAGTCAGTAAATTCTAAGGAGCTTACGTTTATACAAGCCCAGTTAAGTCAGCAAATTTGGAAAACATAAAAAACAGATTTTACTTGGGATAGCATTGGACCAAAAGCATTTGAAGACAACAATTTTCTACTTTACTGTGTGCTTTCCTTAAAGAATATCTAATATGCGCTTATTTCAGCAAGGTAAATAATGTGAGGTCAGGCATAGAAGGATAAATGATGAGACTGACCTGGGGAAAAGGTATATATGTTTAAAATGATGGGTTATAAATAAATGACTTTCAGTACTTGAGGCCTATATCTCCCATCCAGGATGCTAGATTACGTTAGCCAGTGAATGGACATATTGAGCCTCTTTCTACTTACCATGGACACTTAAGTCATATTTTTTGTCAGTCATTCCTGCTACATTCACAGCAACACACACATAACGGCCTGTGTCAGATACATGAATGTTCTTCAGCTGAAGGATGTGACCTTCATCCAGTATTTCTACTCCCTTTGCCTTGATCAAGGGGTGGCCATCTTTCATCCAGGTCACTGTTGGTGGTGGAATACCCTGCACCTCACACTCCAAGGAGATACTCTTCCCTCGGGTCACAATAATTTCAGTAGGGTGGCTGCCACTGTTGGTTATGGTTGGTCTAACTGAGGGTTGGAGGAAGATAAAAAGAAACAAAAGAGGAAATGTTTGCTTCAAGTCTTACATAGGAATTTTCATCAGCCAAACTTAAATATATTTTTATGTTAAAATATAAATAACTAAAGAAAAGACCCAGGACTAACAGACATGATGTTATGCTGAGAGGCGGAATTCTTCTCCAATGTGTTAAGTGGGTTCATACCTAAAATGAAGCTATTGACACAGTAAGTAAAGATTGCTGTGTTCACTAACTTCCCACTTTTGAGAAGCTATACAAATATTTGAACTTATCACTTGTAGCCCTGCCTTACGTAAGTCTTCCTAATACTTATTTAAAATAGATATAGTAGCCTAGCTTACAACCCAATGTCTGTTACTAACTCCTTTATCCCTTCTCCCTTTTACAATATGAGTTGGAAAAACTGAGATGGTTTCTCAGTCTTGTTGGAAAACTGGGGTAACCACATGAATGAATTTAGGTGTATAAAACCTACACAGAGGTCTGCTGGGGATTTTGGGGAAAATTTTTTGCTCTCCTAATAAAAGGGAAAGATACCAGCCCTTTCCCTTACTCTTGCCTTCCATGTGGAATTGATACCACAATAACAGCTACCATCTTGAGACCATGAAGGAGGGACCAGTAGAATGCCAGAGCTCCTATGCTGATACAATTAAGCTGCTGACCAGCTCCAGTGACCAATGCTAACCTCTGCTTTCTCATTATGTGAGAACACAAACTTTTACTTGGTTAAGCCACTGACAACCAGTTATTCTGTTACTTGAAGCTGAATTCACGTGTCACTGATTCTAGGAACAAAAATTAGATCAATTCTAATACATATGTGTGTGGGAAGAAAAGTAGGCCAGTGTCAGTAATCCAATGTCCTAGTGCCAGTCCTACCACACACAAGCCACGCGACCTTGTTCAACCAACAAAACCTCTTGGAGCTTAAATTTCCACATACACAAAATGGAGGCGACAGTTTTGTCTTATATAACAGCTCATGTGAAGATTAAATGAGTATATAACTATCTTAAGCACTCTAAGATCTTATACGAGTAAAATATTCTTTAAAATAAAATGTTTTTACATATTGTAAATATCCCCTATGTTAAAATGCTCCCCCTTCCCCCTCCACATGTCCACTATCTGTCCCCAACAAAATTACAGCCACATTGATGTGTCTGTCATTGGTGAGCTAATGCAGAGTGGACAGCTGTAATGCCGAATAACAGCCAGAAGGAAGTAATTGCTCTCCAGTTATGTCAGCACAATTTAAATGTGTGTGTCATATGATAGTTACAACCATACCATTTTGAATGAACATTAAAGATATTTTTAAAAGTAAATGAGAAGGATGAAAAGATTTAAGAGAACATTTTGCCAAAGCCTGGCTAATCAACAACTTACTGTAAACTTGCAGATTGTATTCTTTCTTTGCAGTCCCAGCAACATTCGACGCCACACATGAATAGAGTGCTGCATCAGACTTTTCAGCAATTGAAATTTGTAATTGCCTGCCCCCAGATAAAATTCTAACTCGCCCCATGGAATCAGTCAGCACTGGAGAGCCTACAAAGAAGTCCAAATGGCAGAATATGAGGCAGAAATGTAAAGCATTTTGTATACATTGCCAAGTATGACATTTGTTTATTCAGTTCAAGTATATAAAAGGCAAATGACACTGTAAAATAATCCTGCCCTAGTGTGTAAAATGAAGGAGCAGTAATATTTAAATGAACTGAAAATTTAAATGATTTTTCTGCCACTTAGTGGGCTTAAGGAGTTGTTGATAAATAAATTGAAAATCTGGTCAAACGCAGAATTCAGTCTTAATGTACATTGAAAACTGTCACAAACAGAAAAATGTTACTTTTTAATATCAACTTTTATTTTATATTCAGGAGGCACAAGTGCAGGTTTATTACGTAGATCTATTGTGTGATGCTGAGGTTTGGGGTATGACTGAACCAATCACCCAGGAAGTTTAAAACTCATTTTAAAGAAGAAAATATAGTTTCTGAATGACGGATTCTCGATGTTTATAGCTGCCCTATAATGTATTTGAGTAAAAAATAATCAATTAATGCAGAAAATTATTTTTTTCCAGGGAGGAGTTAAGAGTCTTAAAAATAAAAAATTTCAGCTGGGAAGTGTAGAAGTATCACATGTTGCACATTTAATATAAAGCAATTTTGCTGTCTAGCATTTAGTATGCAAACCCCAGGAAAATTTGTTTATAATCTAACACATTTATTAAACGAAATCAATATCCATCTTATATTTTCTTTAATTTTATAAATTTCAAGGATGAAAACTGACCTTTCTTCTTCCAGATGAGATTTGGGGGTGGAATACCACTTGATTCACACAACAGACTAATGAGATTCCCTTCAATGACTGTAAGTTGAGTAAGTTCATCAGAACCACCAATATTTGGGGGGACTAGAAAAAAATAAAAATATGATTTTTCCACTCATTTCATATAGAATTCTCATAACAGTTTACATGTAAGATAAAAGGCTTCTACTCAAATGACATAAGGAAGAAATTGTCATATGAGGTTGACATCAACATCAAATTAAAAGTCACCTGTAAGATGTAGCATAAATAGCTAATAGCAGACTTCCCATGTAAACAGATATAAATTTTTCAAAATATTCAGAATGGCATAAAAAGAAGCTACTTTATTATAACTTACAAAATATATTACCTCATATAGCTATTAGAAAAATGTATATTTGATGCAAGATATTTAGACACCTTGCATCAAAAAGCTAAAGTACCTACCAAGTTTAAACTTAGCCCAGTCACTGTTGCCTAGCTAGCTTTGATATCTCAAATAGTGAACAGAACTGGAAACATAAGGCATACAACATATACTAAAGAACAGAGGCAAGGGGTTTCATCTAAACAAAGGACATACTGCATATTTCAGATTGCACAGTCTGCTTCTCTACTGGCCTACAGCTTCTCTCTGGAACCTTCAAAGTGAATACTGACTACCCATGATTTTCTCAAAGGCGCTGGAGTCTGCAGATGCTGGCTGAACTCTCCTTAAGGACACTTCCTTGGCTGCAGGACTGTCAGCTGGTAGACGGCTTGTTCTTCCAAGATCCTGAGAGTTGAGGAGTGGGAGAATCCTCCTTTACCCCCAGTGTGGCTTCCAGTCATTGTTCAACCATCCCATGTAAAAGCCTCTATTCCTTTGAGGCTCATATAACCAATTTATTTCTCTCTCTCTCTCTCTCTCTTTTTACCATCTGTAAACCTGTCATTCTTCCTTTATTCACTGAAGAGTTTGATATGTGTTCTTACACTTTTCATACTAAGCCCTGCCATCATTCTGTATGAACCCAGCATCCACATGTATAACCAGTCTAAATACTCTGTCTACTCAGTTATTGATCTACCCATCCCATTTTCCATCAGAAGCCATACCATAGGCCTTCCCATCATCTAGAACATTTCTCCTGTAAGTTTATAAGTTTAGGCCTCTGACAACTTCTCTGTTCTTTTTGCTCTCACTTAATTATTCCCAATTCTCAAGTCAATTCCCATTGACTTAACTGAATCTCAAGTGCTTTCACTTCTCAGAAGTCCCCCTATCCAGCTGCCTATTCTTCTGTTTACCGACTTCTCTACTCAGCTTAGATTTCATAATCAATATTTGTCAATATTCTCAACTACCTTATACCTTTTGCCTTCTTATTTGTCAATACTCTTACTCTGGATGAGTCCTACAGTTTACTCTGTTTGTCACTGATACCACAAACTGAAAGTTCCAGAAGAAAATGACACAATTACATAGATTGCCACTACTATAAATTTATGATCTCCATTCTAAACTCTACCCTTCTCTACCCCCATGGCTTCCATTAATACAAATACTTGAAAAGCTATATCTGTAATGGAGACCCTCTCTGAGGTCTAGACTTTAATATCCAACTAACTACTTAACATCTCAAGTTGGTTGCCTTAGAAGCATTGTCAAACTTGACTTGTCCAAAACTGAACTCAACCCTCTTTGTTCCTTCTCTGAGGGAAAGACACAGACATCCCTCCTTTACCCTTCTTGTTTCCACACTTCTTAATCTAATCAACTTAATCATGTTGATTCAACTTATTAAATATGTCTGCTTTCTTCTAAAATACAGACCTGAGCATCCGGTCCTTCTTTAAATCCCTTTAGTTTATTCTATCACCTTTAGAATCAAATCTATACTTTTTAAATTGATTTAAGAGGCCTTCTTCAATATGCCTATTTTTACCTTTTTATCTACCATCTCCTCTCTCTCCTTGCATCACACTAGGCTCCAGAATGAATGATATTAAGCTCATTGAATACAGACAGTGTTCTCCAGGGCTTTGCATTGCTTTTACCCTCTTCACAGAGTTAATGCCTATTCATCCTTAAGGGCTCAGTTAAACGTGTCTCATATGCTTTTCTACATAACCACCTATGATAGCTCTTAGGAGGTTTAATTTTAATTTTGACTATTTAAAGATATTTCTCCACCAGCCAACTATAAGTTCCGTGAGAACAACATCATTGTCTTTCTCACTAATTGCTCTATGTCCACACATGGCATAGCGCCTAGAAGATGGAAGCATAATGTAAGTATTTTTTAAGTGAATCTATCTTTGATGTCTCAACTTTTTCCCTTATCATTCATTCTTATATCTACTGCATTCTGCTTTCCACTATTACACTGCTTTTCTTTAAGAGGTACTGGTCTGCATATTTGTAAAGTATGTTTTTTAGTTTATGACTAATTTGACTTTTCTGCAATATGTAATATTACTCATTCACCCATCCATTCATCCATATCAAACTTACTCATTGTTTTCTTCTGAGAACAACACTGTCGTTAGTTTCCATGGCACATTTTTTTTTACTGGGTTTTCCTCTGACCTCTTAGGCTCTTCCTTCTCAGTTTCTTATCTAGAGTCTCTTTTACTAGCTCTCTTCTTATATGGTACACCTGAGAGCCATCCTATCGCGTACTCTTCTGTATACATTCCTTTTACCTTCTCCAAGTGATTTCATTGCAACCTTATGTTTTTAACTCTTATTTCACCTAAATGATAAGTTTCTATTTCTGGTTGCAGGGAGGACAGCTTCACATAGTCCACAGGTACCTCAAATATTGCATATGAAAAAGGAATTCTTCACCTCAGTTTCTAATTGATCATCACTCCTAATTTTTCTTTTTTCTCTCTTTTTTTTCTCATCTTTACTTGATAACACTTAGCCTAGTGTCTTGTCCATATTGGGAACTAGATATAAATATTAAATAAATTATTAAATAAATGAACTAGATATAAATAATAAATATTTTTCCCATCTGAAAGAAATGAGGACAGAAGGGAAGGGAAAGTGGAGAGGGAAAATGGGTGAAAAGAGGCAGGAACAGAAGTTAATTACATATAAGTAGTATGTAATGAATATAAATTTACCATATAGTAACTTTTACTATTTAATAGTAAATTTTTACAGGGTGTATAATAGCATTTCTCATAACCTGCCTGAAGGATTTTTAAAAGATGATACTCATTTATTTATAAGTCATTTTCTACATCAGTGCATGCTTTCAAAATTTTAAAAAGTATTTGTTCTCCATTGGAACAAAGTTATTTCATCTAGTTTTATTTTTATTTAAAAATATGTGAATAAACTATAAATCATAGGTAAATTCAGCTTATAATCTCAATAATTAAAAAGTTTAAACAAATACAATCAAAATGAAGAGGGCTTATTAAGTTATAAGTTTTTTAAAGTATGTAAATTACAGGTGAATGTACTGGAAATAGGAATGCTTTTTAGCTGATAGCCACAGCTGAGGCAAAAGTTGTGACTATAAGAATTATCTTAATTAGTAACAAATGGTAAAATTTCAACTGAGAATAACTTTTCTCCCTGGTTATTATAGTAATCCCATCTCCCACCACACGAGTGAATAAGTTATAAATGAGTTTTTTAAAGTATGTGAAATACAGGTGAGTATACTGGAAATGGGAATGCTTTTTAGCTGATAGCCACAGCTGAGACTCAAGTTGTGACTATGTATGAGAATTACCTTAATTAGTAACAAATGGTAAAATTTCAACTTAGAATAGCTTTTCTCCCTGATTATCATAGTAATCCTATCTCCCACCACGCAAGCGCCCATGTTCTTTCTCTCACATACACACACACAGTTCACATATATAATTTGGCCTTTTGGCTTATTTTCTTTCCATTGACGAACCCACCAGTAGTTACTAGAGAAGGCCCAATCATTACGAGATGCTGGCTGTGGAAGACAAAGGGCACATTACTACTCAGGCAGATGAGGAGAATCCTTCAACATCTAAGTTACAAGAAAGTTCATCTAGAGTTACTCTCGAAGTAGTTATATGAACTGATACCCAGGACAGTTCAGCACCATGTAAATGTACTAATTGTTGTTCATCTACCTATTATAATCAGTTTTAGTTACATGGATGAATGTCATTTTAAGTGACACAAAAAACCACAGCTGCATTATTTGCTTTCAAGAGCTGATTACACTTACCCCAAATGTTGACATTGTAGTTTTTTTCAGTTTTTCCAGCAACATTTGTTGCTTCACAAGTGTAACGACCAGTGTCTTGAACCTGAGCATCTTCAATCTGAAAACAAAATCATCCTTTGAAATCACACTTTCTATTTCACTTGGGGTTTTTTAATTAATACTATTTGTGATCTATTTCTTATTTTTATTCTGAAGATTCACATACATATAAAAAATAGACAAAATAGCAATATAAATGGCTATATACCCATCACCCAGTTTCAACACAACAAGATTCAACCATTTTCATCTATGCCATACCTTATTTTAATCTGGTTTATATTAGGGGTTGAGGGTCTAGAACAGTCTTTTAAATACAATTCAGAAAAAACGAAAAGGTACAATTTCTGATAAAGTCATTTAAGACTTTAAAATATGAAATCCTTATACATCTAGGAAACTGTCCAGTAAAATAACAGCCTTATTCTTGAGACCAATAATATTACATTTATCTTTCTCCCATGCTAGGTTTGTAAGCTTCTTTAAGCTAAGTATTATATTACATTAGCCTCATTCTTCTACTACCCAGTTTGGTGCTTGGCAGATGAATTAGTATCAGTAAATATTTTTCATGTATTTATGTACAACTTGCATCAATGCTGATTCATCCATTGACCATCTGCAGTTATTACAACCCTTGTGCTAGGTAGTGTAGGTAGGAGATATAAAGAGATATAATGTCACATATGGTTTCTGATTTAAGTTTGCAATCCAGTTGAGAATATAAAGGATGTGAACATAAAAAAGAATTTAATAAATAATATTTAAGTAATAACACAAGATAATACAAAAGATATAACAAGCAGTATGGGACTTATTGCCAACTAAGTTTGCAATCAATAATTTCTAAAACATTCAATGATCACTGAAGTTAGAGTGATCATTTGAAGCACTTGGCTTAGCAGGGGTACACAGAAGCCAGTCAATAAACACTTATTAATCAATTGGTGTGAACAATAGAGCTGGAATTAGCTAAAAGCACACATGGAGAACCAAAGAATATTAGGCTTGAAAGAGGACATAAAATCCAACCTTCTCATTTTACAGATAAGGAAACTCAATCAATTAAAAGATCTTTGCTCAGAGTCACAAATTCGTGGCAGGCTCACTCAGATCTAGGGTTCCAAGTTCTTAAAGTCAGTATGCACAGGCCTGCATGTCTCATAGAAAGAGTTGGGGAGGGAATAATAGAGAGGAGGGATTAATATTTATTGAGCACCTAGTGTGTACCAGGCAAAACAAAATGGTAAGATTCTATTACTTGATTTTGTTAGAGATGTGTGTGAATGGTAGTACATAGGTAAGATACTTTTAACTGACTAATTAGGATTGTGTTCCATAAAAGTTTTCATTCCTCTGATCTTCTCCCTAAACCCCTCAACGTGACGAACTTCTGTACTCACTGAGATTTGCATTCATGCAATTGTATCCCTCTGTCATTTGGTCAGAGTTAAGGTTTGAGAACTTTACCAGATGCTTTCTAGAATGCTGGGCTCTGCCCCTGAGAATAGGCAATGCCTTTTCTTCTTCTTCTTTTTTCATGTGTAGTTCAATTAGCTCATCCCTCTTTCATTCAGCAGTGATTCTGGTCTTTTCTTTCTCACCCAGCTCCATTATTATAGAATCATAATTCCTAAGATCTCCATCCTTTGCCCGTAACATACTCCTTCATGCTCCCTTTCACTCACACCCATGCTTCTGTCTTCCTTGGGTAAGCTGCCCAGCTTACTGCCCGTCATCTATTTCTCAAGACTCTCATTGTTTATCAGTAATAAACATTCCTTTAGCAAGAGGCTATGTGGTGGTTAGTAGCATGGGTTCTGAAGCCATAGTCTGGGTGTTCTAATCCAATTTCTGTCTTTCAGTAACTGTGGGCAGATTACTTACCTGATCTTTTGATTTCTCTGTTGGGTTATTATGAGAGTGTTATAAACATTCGGTGGTCTTCTGTCCTCCTGAATCTGAATTCCTTAGGATGACTTTCAATGTCACACTGTATTTCATTCAAATCAACCTTTTCAACATTATTTCCAAACATTCACTTTGTTAAATTATCTGTTCCAGCCAAACTAGCTGACTTGCTTCCCTTGCTTTTTATCTCATCTACCGTTAAAACACTAGTCTTTCAACACTAATCCTGGCAACCAGAGCCTCACCTTTTGCCACCCCCTAAAATGTGTTATCTGTACCATCCAGTTGGTAATTGACTCAGACTTACAGTACTCATTGCATTTTTCAACTAAATTGTTAATTTGTTATGTATTTACATGAGACTGGAAGACATCAAGGACATGAAGAGTGTCATGCTCTTTTGCATTTTTTTTTTTGTTGTTTGAGACAGTCTTGCTCTGTCACCCAGGCTGGAGTGCAGTGGTGTGATCTTGGCTTACTGCAACCTCCACCTCCCGGGTTCAGGCAGTTCTCTTTCCTCAGTCTCCCAAGTAGCTGGGATTACCGGTGCATGTCACCACGTCAGGCTAATTTTTGTGTTTTTAGTAGAGACAGGGTTTCACCATGTTGGCTGGGCTGGTCTCGAACTCCTGACCTCAAGTGGTCCGCCCACCTTGGCCTCCCAAAATTTTGGGATCACAGGTGTGAGTCACCATGACTTTTTTGCATCTTTGTCCAGAGCACCTAAAATGGTCACTTGGTGATTGGCTGGAAGACTGAAGGTGAGGCACACCTTGGATTATTTCTATGATATTTTCCTGGAAGCATTTTTTTGGGATCATTTCTGGATATGGATGACAAATACTTAAATCTCACTAAACAAAAAAATTTTTAAATATTACAAACCTCATCAATAAAAGGGTTCCTAGAATTTTGTAAGAGAAAATTAGTCCAACACTTATAAAAGACAGTCACGCTAAATAGGGTAATACCAAAACCATGAACTTCTAATAACATAAGGTAAAATAAATGAATCCATATCCTTACCTTTAACACACTTCTATTTTCAGATATACTGAGGCCTGGTTTCTTCAGCAAGGGGTGGCCGTCTTTTAACCAAGTAAGAGTAGGTGGGGGAATAGCATCACTTTGACATAGTAATTCCACAGCTTGGCTAATGAGGACAGAGACATTCTGTTCTTCTCCCATAATATTTGGCGGAACTACATGAAAGATGGGTTTTCTTTCAGGATAAAACAGGCCAGCACACTGTTTACATTCATCAATTATCAGGACATATACTGAATACCTTTATTGGTTCTTTTAAAGATATAGGATCACAATCATTCTAACATCACTTTGCATCACTTGGTTCAAGTCCTAATAAATCACTAATTAATGTATTCTCGTTGAAAAATATTTCTCACTAACTTCTTATTTAAAAAACTTTTAGAACGGGAAGTTCTCATCAAGTGCCCAATTAAGAAACTTCTAGAACTAGATGTTACTGCTTAAGGTTTTCAAGATAACAAATCACTCATGAAATATTTTAGAAACAATAATAAGCTAAGAGTGAATACGCATTCAATATTTATTTGTAATTTTTGCAAAAGAAATAAATGTCATAGTCACAGAGGCAACATTAAAAAATAGTTGGAGAATATCATAGAGCTCATCCAGTCCCATCTCGCAGCGTGCAAAACATAAAATTGGTGTCAGATAATACCTTGTGCAAAATAATATGACTAATTGATGGTAAAGCTAGGAGCCTTCTGACTTGCAGTTTAGTGTTCTTTTTGGTTTTCCATGATGCTTTGTCAACTTTCTAAAGAACAAATCAATTCAATGACCAGCTGTACAACGTACTCACAATTACATAAGAAGAGGAATGAGTAGAAATTTTAATGAGATTAACATTAGGATTCCCTGGCTATATAAGTCTTGTTAGATGCTGAAATGTGTTTTCTGAAAAGTTTAAGGAATCTCTTTCCCTTGGGTGTATTAAAGAATAGAGTAAACAATCATTTATCTTAGATGGTTTAGGTACAGTCCTGCCAAGAATGAGAGGGTGGGCTCCATAACTTCTCAAGGACTCTTTCAGGCCTGTATGTATAATAATTCAGAAACACAAACTAATGATGAAATTGAGCCTGTTACACTCCAATAAAGCACAGAGGGGAATTTTCTTGGCCATTTTTCATGAAACCCCATCACTATGCAGGGCTGTAGAAAATTTGCCATATTTGTAGCATTTTTTTAGTTACAAAAAAAGGTTAAGTTGTACTAAAATGTTCTGGTAGAAACAAGATTTTTGTGGTAAAAATATTATTATAGTCTATCAGCCATTGTTTCAGGCTTGATACTTCACCAGCATGTGGCAAGATAATGAAGGCAATAGACTTTGACTACAGTAGTAGTATTGTGCCTCCGTAACCATGAGGTTTCTCTGTTACCATGTCTGCTACAGAGGGAAAGGGTATGAACCAAAGAGCACTTTCATGCACTGTTTTGGGGTGCAGGACTTATGTTAAACTCAAAGAAATTGATGCTAAAGGAAGAAACACACTGCACAATGGCTGAGATTGACCAATGGAGCATTTGTGCAGAGATTCATGATGTTCCTTCGTTCCTTCTGCTAAATTTAGTAGCACACACAGACAGCTGGCTCTCGATAAGGTTAAAGTAATCTGTGAGAAACAGAAAACACTGACATTATTTTCAATGTGTAACACATTCAATAAAAGATACATGATTATTCTGAGACTAAAACTACTATAAAAATAGCAAAGTGAGCACAATTAGTGCCACTTTCTTTCCTTTTTCTTTTTTGAGAAGAAGTTTTGCTCTTGTTGCCCAGGCTGGAGTGCAATGGCATGATCTCGGCTCACTGCAAACTTTGCCTCCCAGGTTCAAGCAATTCTTCTGTCTCAGCCTCCCAGGTAGCTGGGATTACAGGCATGTGCCACCACGCCTGGCTAATTTTTTTGTTGCTGTTGTATTTTTAGTGGAGACAGGGTTTCACCATGTTGGCCAGGCTGGTCTCAAACTCCTGACCTCAGGCGATCCACCCACCTCGGCCTCCCAAAGTGCTGGGATTATAGGCATGAGCCACTGCACCTGGCCTAATTAGTGCCACTTTCTAAAGATGCCATGAAAACAGATTCACAAGTCCTAGCACTCAGGAAGCCCAAAATAGAATAGCTGATTTCACAGCTTGGAAATAATTTTAGGTAAAGTTTGGCCTCATTGAATAAAAAAGAACCATAACTGTATAAAAATGTTTGTCTTAGATTATTTGTAGAATCTACAAAAGAGCATGAGTTCATTATGACTGCAGAAGTGAAAGTCGGAAGCAATTCAAGACTACAGAATGCTAATTCATTTCCAAATATATTTTCCTTCAGTTACTTTTTTTACATTAAATGAGTTGAATCAAGTTCAAAAGGAAACCAGATTTTTTAAATGAGAGGAAAAAATGCAAAAACAATGGAGTATTTGTTTAAGGGACAAAAATTGAAGCAAATCTAATTATAGCCAAGGATATATATTACCAAAACATGTATTTTTTTTTCTGTCCTGTCTCTCATTTCCAACTTTTTGTTTAGTCTGAGAAGAGAACAAGAGTTCTACCCTTTAGATCCTCAGCTTCCTAAGATATTATCCTTATTTTGCTTTGTGGTTATGTTGCTTAGGAAGGGATGTGTTCTGGACCTGTTTCTCATCCTAAACATTATGTTTGTTAAATTTAATTACTAAAATCAGAGTTGCCATAGGGTTGTCGTTGCTGGGAAGCTGAAGAATGTGTGATCTCCAGGAAAGTTGTCTGAGCTTAAGTTTAAAGAAAAGGTACTACATGAATCCAAATCTTTAAAAACTCAATTCTCTTGTTTCAATATCTCAGGGTATGGCAAAACATACTCTGAATTATACCAGGGAGAAAAATGTTAATGAACTACTCATAATTGTAGGAAAAGCTATTTTGCCTACTATCTACTTCCCCTATTCCACCCCCCAACAGCGTACCCCACAATGTAAATCTGAAGGTGATTTATCTCTGGGAATTAACATTCATTAGGCTCTAATTAGACACACATCACCAAGGTTACTACTACAAATATAAAAATATAATTTATGCAAATAATAATAATAGTGAATACAGATTGGAAACTGATTTTAGATTAAAAACCTGTTTTAATCTTACACTTTTTCAGCAGCTTGCTGCATGTATATTTCAATGGTTAAACATATATAAACATTCAAAAACATATATATCAGCTAGCCATTTGACCTTTATTTCAGAGAAAGATCCTGATTTTCAGCCTAAGAAAGTAGTATAGAAGTATCTTAGCAACTGATAAGGAACAGTGATGCATGTTTCTGTAATTCCTGGAAAATATCAACTCTTTTATCATCTCCCAGGTTCACCCTTGACGCTAGCCAGTGTAGAAATGTAAGGAGTCCATCTCAGATTTCTGTGGTGACTAAAACCCAGTCAATACCAACGTCATCCCTCTACTTGCTTCCTAATGACTGAAGAACTATTGTGTTACATACTTAGATTGATTGATGAATCAGTCTCAAAGGATATTTTAGAATAGAAACTTTCCAGTTCTTCATAAAGCATAAAAGCGGCTCAATTCAGGGAGGAAGTTAAAATTCCTGGGGTTGGGCATTATAGACCTATCTGTTACCTCAGACACCTAAGCAAATCTGGAGGCTGAATGTGAACTCGTGTCAATTGCAGGAGCAACAGAAAAGAAAGGGAACATAGAGAACCCTTTGCTAGTGTACCGATGCCAACTAAAACTTTTACTTTCATTAGATATGTATGATATCCATGTTGTAACAAGGGGTCTTTTTACTAAAAAATTATATAACAATATATGTTATTTGTGATCAATACATTTACATTGGCAAACTTATAAGAGAAGACAACATGGTCCACATTGTCTGGAGGTAAAAATTTTTAAAAAGGTAATGTATTTCAAAAAAGAATAAATTATTTGGAAGTGAGGTAGGACTTTAAGGAGAAGGCTTGCATTCTGCATTAAACAGAAACTCTTCAAGAGGTCATAAAAGAAATAATTTAATTATTCCAAGAACTAAGGAATATAATGCAAATAAACCACAGAAAAAAGTCTAAAAGAGTTCTGAATGTAAAGGTATACTGGAATGTGGGCTGAAAAGCTAATATATAAATGGAGATCAAGAGGCCCCAACTTTCTTCTGGGGCTCTTCTGTGATGGGATCGGGCATTCCCTTTTGTGAGCATTGTGAGCGGCATTGAGAGTGGGCAAAAACGTAAATTTTGCCTAAATTTATATTGAGTTTAACTTTTTGCTTCTCAAAGAGCCATTAATTCACATAGTATTGATCACAAATATGCTGATTACAAATAGTTAGAAAGTAATAAAATCATGGCTTTGAGTAGAATGAATGAAGAGAGCTACTTGAACAGATACTTGCTTCAGTGATGAGAAGATTATCTCTTCTAAATGGCAGAGCTGCTATCCAGTCATGGTTTTCAGAGTACTCTATAAAACCAACACCCTACATGCTGGATGTGTGCATTTTACTTTCTCAGAACTTTAAAAAAGGAAAATCATCCAAAGTCAGATATAAGGCAGAAAGAGAATTTGATTTGAATTGATCCTGTAATATCATTTCTAAGGTTCATTGTTCTTTATTGTCAACAACTTCCCTTAACTTTCTCAATGATTTTAGGACCCAAACATATCTCTACCAGAAGAGAATTAATTACTAAAATGTCTCACCATATACTCGGAGGTCAATGTCCCTTTGCTTTTCTCCAGCAGCATTCACTGCCACGCAGGTGTACCTTCCTGTGTCGCTGATTTGTGCACTGGTCAATGCTAGGATTCGACCACCAGAGAGAACCTATCAATGGTAAGAACGCTAAATAACCAATATGTCTCTGAGAATGGTAGGTGTAATAGATTTTTTCTCTTATTTTTTTGAGGCTTATCAGTTGACATTTGCCTTTTAGGAAGATTTTCCCTTGGACATTTTTAAGTAGGCAAACATCATATAATACCCTTTTCATCTTCTCAGTGGAAGGATGTTAAGAGGCTGGAATTAAATTTGGTAATGACTACTGAAAATAAGTCTTTACATACAGCATCAAATGAAAGTCAACTTTCATCCATACTCACTACAAAGACAGACAAAGATGCCAGGGGAGAAACATGAGTGAGAATAAATGCTAATTCTCTTTCTAATTTTTCTTTGGGTAAAAAGGTAAGACGCTAAAATTAACAACAAAGTAGTAGCCAAATTAATTAATAAGCTACCTTGATTATCCTTTATCCCATGGATTCAGTTGTATTTCTAAAATATTGACATTAACTCTGGATCTTCTATGATCCCAAATTTTGAAAGCATTAGATTTGCAAGAAAACCTGAAGAAGTATAATGTTAGGAATACTATGCTTTCTGTTAGGCAAGATAAAATTAAACTTTATATTAGGTATATACGCATTTCTATATTTTTAATTTTGACTCAATATAATGCATTTAAAATTTTTCTAGGACTCAAATTTTATTTCTCGTGATGTTTTAATTATATTTTTTCTTACTATATTACTTGATGTTTTTGTAGAAGTATATATGCTCTGTGTAGTCTCTGATTCATTACTATTTCAAGACATTTAAACCTAAAGTCTACCAGAAAATTCCTATTTTCTTATTAACATTTCTTTGTGTAAAGTATCTATTGTGGTAGCAGCAGAAAGTGGAGTGGGGCAGGTAGAAAACAACAAATATCCAAAACAAATGGTCAAAATATAACACCTAAAAGTAAGATAAGGGAACTCTTAGAAACAGTGAGCTTTTAATGAATTGTTTGGGGACCCCAGTTATGTGTCCATGGTGTTTATGGTTGCATATGTGTATTTAAAAAATAGCATCTGTTAATCCTTGTTCTCTAAATCTCTTCAACAGTTTTACCTGTGTGTACTTCCTGTACTGAATAATCAGGTGGTAAATGTCACCAAAGAAATGAATGAAGGTACCTGTAATCCATTAGAAAAACTAGAAACAGGACTCCCATCTTTCAACCAGGTCAGACTTGGGGCAGGAATACCTCTGGCTTCACATTCTAACCTCACCGGGTTATTAACCACCACTGCCACCATGTTATTGCTGCCAGAAATTGATGGGGCCACTGAAAAAAACAAATGAAAGTAAGACACGTTAATATCACAGGATTTGTGATCTCAAATGATGAAAACTACATCTAATGTCTACAATATTATGTTCTTATTGGAGGGTTTGCTTGTTTTTTGGTAAGTTCTTTCACATCTCTCTTATTTAAGATCTAATCACAGCCATCCTGTGAGATAAACAGAGCAAGTATCAATTTCTCCATTTCACAGATGAGGAAAAACAAGTTTTGCCAGTTTGTTAAAAAAATCAGTTTTTTATGCCGGAGTGGAATTTTATTTATTGATTTCTAGGCGTGTGTGTGTGTGTGTGTGTGTGCACATGAACACAAGTGTGTACCCCCTTCACTGCATCCACTGTAGTATGTTAACTACCAACTCGTCTTAAAAGCATTATTAGAGATAATCACTCAAAAACATTTCGTTAATACCTATGATTCTTTCAGAGAGCATTTATAAGCAGTGTTTTTTGTTGTTAGCTAACAGTATCAATGACTATTTCAACAACTAATTGAAAGCAAACTTAAGTCAACAGCATGTGGAAATTGAGCATTTTAATAGGAATCAGGAATAAGCACATTTATAAGTTTTAGAACACTGTGCCCTTACATAAAGATGACAATAACACATTCTGTTAAATACTTACACAAGAATTTTATAGAAGCACTTAATCATTTTGAATGCTTCTTTACCCCAGAATGAATCTAGGTGAAGTGGCACTAACCATGAACTTGCAGACTGTAAAATAACTCTGTAGCTCCAGCTGAGTTGATGGCCACGCATTTATATATGCCAGCATCTGAGATCTGGGCACTTTCAATATCAATGATCTGTCCTCTGTTCAAGAAAGTCATGCTGGTGGAACCTGAGAGTAGACGATTATCTTTGTACCATGTAATAACTGAAAGAAGAAGGGGAGAAGATGATCTATGTAAAAATTTTTTAAATTAAATATACTAAGTTGGATCTTAGCTAAGTCACTATTACTTTATTCTTATACTTATTATTTGAATTTAATCTGTTTACATAATCATCTCTTTAGCTTTGATTTTTAAGAGAAGGTAACCCTTAGAAAAACACCAAGATCCAAGTCGGTGAGTCCTGAAAATGAATTTAGAAGAAAGATATTCTTTACTATCTCTAATATATCAGTATTATTTAATAGCAAACTTTCAACCTATCTATTTTTTGTTGTATGTTTCCTCTCATCCATAAAATTTTGGCTACATGTCTAATCAAACCAAATACCATCCACACTGTTGGCCTCAAAGATTTATGTTGTTACTGATTCATATGAATAATCTACCAGTGGTGGGAATATACAAAACAAAGTTGTAGTCTCATTAGAACGACAATTTTATCTAGCTTCATTAAGATACTTTTAAGTTAAAAAAAAGTTTCAGCATAGATGGATATAAACCACCATGTGGGCCTTGTGGCCACAATATTGACAATAAGATGATTAAGGTATTCATATATTTCTACATTGTTTAAATAAATTGTTTCATGCAGTTAGTTAAAGGCAACAAAAATTCAAAAATGTTATCTAATAATATTCTTATCAATGTTTCACCCATGAAATGTATTCTATAACCTGTTCTTTACTAGTAATTAGTATATTATGCTCAAAACCAATTTCAGTTATTCCCAGAAATCTTAAAATATTAAGTTACAGAGTTCAAAAGTAAATGTACCAGGCACAGGATTTCCAGCTGCCTTACACTCCAGCTGTACAGGGTTGCTCACCAACACAGTCTCATTCAGCATTTTTCCAGCATCTTCCAGACTAGGTGGTTCTACAAGAGGCCCAAACAGATAATTATTTCTTATAAGTAGAATATTTAAGCTGAAATTGTTTGCTCAATTAAAATTATAATTTTTCTTCCTCTCTTCTTTTTTTCACATATATACACTGACCTATTTGGAATAAAAGTAAACTATTAAATAGACTGAAGAACAGGATTTAAAAAAATGTAAATAAGTTTTCTGGATCACACATTTCTCTGTGTCCAGATAGGAAAATCCTTAGAATTATATAGATTAGTAGAGGAGTAAAAAAAAGTTAAAGAAACATTTTTTATTTTACTTAATCTGATTGATTTGGTAAGTAATTATCTTTACCAAGAAGTAATTAGTCTACTAAATTTGAATTCTTCCAGTGAAGAAGAAATCAACATCTCAAAATATCTTACTTTATCTTTGGACAGCACTGTCTTAAGCTATTTCAGAAAAAAATAGAATAACTTTTGTGTGGTTTTTGGCAGTTTTTTTCCTTTGATATAAAATTTAGACTTAAGTTATTCACAAAATAAAACAGAAAAGTACGTTTTCAACTTTAAGTAATTACTGATAATGCTGATCTGTTATTTAATGTACTTGGAAAGTAGGAATTCGTAAAGTCCGAGAGGCATAATATAAAAGAAATAACTTGGAACATTAATGCCATGTTTTCAACAATATCTCAAGGAGTGTGAGAGACATCCAGGATTAAAAAATTACAAGTGAACTAAAGGTTCTGTCTTGTTTGAAGAAGATGTTGTAAATTAGTATCTGAAGTTGATAGAAAAAAAAAACACATTTTAAGGATTTGCTACATTTAACTAACTCAATGCACTACAGACCCTCGACCCACATACAATCAATAAATCCATCAATCCATTAATCTACCAAAAACAGGAAAGGGGGAAAGAAGGAAAGAAAACAAGAAAAAATAGTAGAAATAAGTAAGATGGCAGAAATAAAATTAAATATATAAATATGACTGAGTTCATTTCATTGTTTAATAGAGCTTTTTGACACTTAAAATAGTGACTTTTTGACACGTTAATACTTGTATGGGTGGCCGGGTGTGGTAGCTCACACCTGTAATCCCAGCACTTTGGGAGGCTGAGGCAGGCAAATCACAAGGTCAGGAGTTTGAGACCAGCCTGGCCAACATGGTGAAATCCCATCTCTACTAAAAATACAAAAAATTAGATGGAGGTAGTGGTGGGCGCCTGTAATCCCAGCTACTTGGGAGGGTGAGACAGGAGAATCGCTTCAACTTGGGAGGTGGAGGTTGCAGTGAGCTGAGATCGTGCCATTGCACTCCAGCCTGGGCAACAAGAGCGAAACTCCACCTCAAAAAAAAAAAAGAAAAAATACTTGTATGGGTGATATGGTTTGGCTATGTCCCCACCCAAATCTCATCTTGAATTGTAGCTGGGAGGGACCCATTGGTAGATAATTGAATCATGGGAGCGGTTTCCTCCATACTGTTCTCATGATAGTGAATAAGTCTCATGGGATCTGATGGTTTTAGATCCATCAGATTGCCTTGGCTTTCATTCTCTTCTCTTGTCTGCCACCATGTGAGATGTGCCTTTTGCCTTCTGCCATGATTGTGAGGCCTCCCCAGCTATGTGTAACTGTGAGTCCATTAAACCTCTTTCTTTTCTAAATTGCCCAGTCTTGGGTATGTCTTTATCGGCAGCATGAACATGGACTAATACAATGGGTTAAAACTATTTTTAATTAAAATATCTAAGTGGATAAGGAGCACAAATAAAAACCCACAAAAATGTTACAATAAGGAGAAGGACAAAGATATACAATAATTTGACATCGATTTCTGACAACTATACAAAGCAAAAATTATTAAACATGACAAAACAACATGATTTATATTCATGAATAATATTTTATAATGACAATACCTTATGCATTGAATAACAAAGCAAAAATTGTTAAAAAGCAAGAAAAATTCAAAAACTCTAAAAGTGGCATATTTTAATATGTCCTCCTCAGAAATTGGCTGTGTAGTGAAACAAAAAATACAGTTATAACGAATATGAAAAATAAAAGTACCCATGCAGATTGTGTATGCATATGTGTATGTGTGTGTTTGGGGATTTGTAATTACCAAAGAATATATATGTTTTTCAAATGACAGTGGAATGTTTTCAAAATGAGATATTAGCCCATGAAATGCCAATAAAGTATTTTATAATCACAATTTAATAAAGCTATAAAATATAAATCAACAATGAAAATATAAAGCTATCTACATGGGAAAAATCTCATTAAAGATGAAATCAAGATAAGAATATGTTTAGAAAAATAAAGTGAAATTGATTAATATTAAAACCTATAGAATGTCACTAAAGCAGTACAGTACTTAAAGAAAATCGAAATCCATAATTAACATATATAAAAACCAAGAAATAATGAAAGAAAAGTCCTAAGCACTCAACCCAGAATTTAGAAGAAGACCAACACAATAAACCAAAACAGGCTAGAAATAAATAATAAAAATAAAAGCAGAAAACAAACAAAATCAAAGAAGATAATAAAACTCAAAGTTGATTTTTGAAAAGTCTAAAATAAAGTCTGTTTTCAGAAGTAGATGTCCTTTGGGTCAAATCTTTTTTGTCCTGGGAGTTGTTCCTAAAGACTCACCCCAGAACCACCCCTCTATCACTCTTAAAATTGCTTTTGTATTCATTTAATTCCATGTATTAACCCTACCTGTTTGAAATGCCTAGAATGTTTCTGTTTTCTGCACTGAATTCTGATTATCAACACAATATTTAAGGACACAAGACTTATAAATATAGCTATCTAACTTTTCCAACTGGAAAAGAAAAAAAGGAAGAATAATCAGTCCATGACACATTCCTACAAAACAGCTTTTTAAATACTTGAAGCCTTCTGGACTGAAGTGCTCATTGAAGAATTTGACAGACTATGTCGCTGCTGCAATAAAACACTATGATGGGAATAAGAAATACAAGAGCTATGGAATGGGTTGGCAATTTCTCACTTCACTAGAGAACTTAAAGAAAGATTGGATGTCAGCAAGAATGCCAGACTAAGGACTCAAAAAATCTACTCCTCCACTAAAGAAACAAAAATGTTGGAAACATTGTCAAAATCAACCTTTTCAGAACTTGGGAAATTAACCAAAGACTTGCAAAAATCCAAAAAGTATTTATTAAAAATAAATGCTAAATTTCATTAAGAACAGTGAGTTTTGAGGCATTTTAACTGACCTAGCCCTGTCACCCTCTCTCCAGCTCAGTCAAACTTGAAAACAAATAGTCCAATAATCACAGTGAAAAAAGCAGCCTAGCAGACACAGAAGGAAGAACAATAGGTTTCGAGCGACCTGAAAGTACCATTCTGAGAGAACTGTCATTATTTGACCTGTCTGGCCTTTCCATGAAAATCCCTGTTTGCAAGATTTGACTTTATTTAACCAGATTCAATTGTTCTGTCAGTGCAAACCTTTTCCCCAGGGGTATTTTAAAGTCTATAAAAACAGACTTCATAGAATTTATATAGAAAAGTTTCCTTATGCTTCTGAAACAAATTACCTCAAACTTGGTAGCTTAAATAATACAAATTTATCTTACAGTTTTATAGGTCAGAAGTCCAACATGGCCTGACTGGGTTAATATTAAGGTGTCAGCAGAGCTGAATTCCCTTCTGGAGGCTCTAGAGAAGAATCTGTTCCCTTGCCTTTTCCAACTTCTAGAGGCCATTTCCTCCATCTTCAAAGCCAGCAACGGGCAGGGCATGTGAGGAAGTGTGTGGAACATTCTTCTCACATTATATCACTCTGATATGCTGCTTCCCTTTCCCACATTTAATAATCCTTATGATTACATTGGGTTCATCCAGATAATTAGAGATTATCTTCCTACTTTAAGGTCAAATGATTAACAACCTTAATTCCCCTTTATGATGTAACCTAACATATTAATAAGTTCAAGGATTAGGATATGAAAATTTGGCAGGATGCCAGTATTCTGTCTACTCACTAATGAATCAAGACACAACGATGAAAACCAGCAACAAAAAAAAAATGACAATAAAAACCATGAGGAGAGAAGGATATGATTTCCAGAGTTGCCAAATTATGTTATTTAAAATATCTACTTTTTCAACAAAAATCACATATTCTAAGAAACAAGATAGCATGGCTCATCCATAGAAAAAGAAGCATAATAGAAACTGTCCATCAGGAAACCTAGAAACTAGATATTGTATTTACTAGACAAAAACTTTAAATCAGCTATTTTAAATACAATTGGCCCTCTCTATCTGCAGTGTCAATCAACCACGGATGGGAAATTTTTTTTAATAAAAAATAACAATACAACAATAAAAATTAATACAAATAAAAATGTAGTATAACTATTAATTACATAGCATCCACATTGTTTTGGGAATTAAGTAATTTAGAGATATTAAACTATACAAGAGGATGTGCTATATACAACTACTATACAATTTATGTTAATGTTTATCTCAATAGTTTTTGGGATACAGGTGGTTTTGGTTACATGGATAAGTTCTTCAGTGGTGATTTGAGATTTTAGTACACCCATCACTCGAACAGTATATGCTGTACCCAATATGTAGTTTTTATCCCTCATCCCTCATCACACTTCCCCCTGAATCCCCAAAGTGCATTATATCATTCTTATGCCTTTGCATCCTCATGGCTTAGCTCCTACTTAAAATTGAGAACATGCGATGTTTGGTTTTCCATTCCTGGGTTACTTCACTTAGAATACTGGCCTCCAGCTCCATCCAAGTTGCTGCAAAAGACATTATTTCATTCCTTTTTATGGTTGAGTAGTATTCCATGGTGTGTGTGTGTGTGTGTGTGTGTGTGTGTGCGTGTGTGTATATCACATTTTCTTTATCCACTCATTGGTTGATGGACCCTTAGGTTGGTTCCATATCTTTGCAATTGCAAATTGTGCTGTTGTAAACATGCATGTGCATGTGTCTTTTTCATATAACGACTTCTTTTCTTTTGGGTAAATACCCAGTAGTGAGATTCCTGGGTTGAATGGTAGTTCTACTTTTGGTTCCTTAAGGAATCTTCATACTGTTCTCCATAGTGGTTGTACTAATTTACATTCCCACCAGCAGTGTTAAAGTGTTCCCTTTCAGCACATCCACACCACATCTTTTTTTTTCTTTTTTTTTTTCTTTTTACTTATGGCCATTGTGTTAGTTCGTTCTCATGCTGCTAATAAAGACATACCCAAGACTGGGTAATTTATAAAGGAAAGAGGTTTAATTGACTCACAGTTCAGCATGGCTGGGGAGGCCTCAGGAAACATAATCATGGCCGAAGGGGAAGCAAACACATTCTTCTTCACATAGTAGCAGCAAGGAGCAGTGCAGAGCAAAGGTGGGGAAAAGCCCCTTATAAGACCATCAGATCTCATGAGAACTTACTCCCATGATTCAATTACCTCCCATCGGGTCCCTCCCACAACACATAGATATTATGGGAACTATGACTCAAGGTGAGATTTGGGTGGGTACACAGCCAAACCATATCAGCCACTCTTGCAGGAGTAAGGTGGTATCTCATTGTGGTTTCAATTTGCTTTTCCCTGATGATGAATGATGTCGAGTTTTTTTTTCATATATTAGGTTGGCTGCTTGTATATCTTTGAGAATTGTCTATTCACATCCTTTGCCCACTTTTTGATGGGATTATTTTTTTTTCTTGCTGATCTGTTTGAGTTCCTTGTAAATTCTGGATATTGGTCCTTTGCCAGATGCACAGTTTGCTAATATTTTCTCCCACTCTGTGGGTTGTCTGTTAACTCTGCTGATTATTTCTTTTGCTATGCATAAGGTTTTTAGTTTAATTCATCCCATTTATTTATTTTTGTTTTTTTTTTGTAACAAATACTATATAATTTTATATAGGGAACTTGAACATCAACAAATCTTGGTATCCATGTGGGGTCCTAGAATCAATCCCCTGTGGATATTGAGGGATGACTGAATGTTCCAAGAATTACAGGAAACCATCTATAAAGAACCAAAGAAAAGTAGCTGAATTATCACTAAATATAGATGTTAATCAAGAGACAGAAATTACTTTTAAAAGCCAAATGAAAATTCTAAAGTGTAATAAAAACTCAACACCTGGAAGAAGAAAGCTGGAAGGTGGAAGAAGAAACAAATCAACAAATTTGAAGATTGGTCAATTGATAATCCAATTTTAGAATCAAAGAAAAAAGAATAAAGAAAGTGAATAGAGCCTCTAAGACTTGTGGAAACACCATCAAACATAATGGGAGTACCAGAGGAGAGGAGAAGGAGAAAGGTACAGAAAGAATGCCTTAAAAAGTAATAACTGAAATGTTCCCAAATTTGAAGAAAAGCATCAATCTATATATCTAAGAAGTTTAAAAAATTCTAAGTTAGATAAACTCAAAGAAATCCCCACCAAGACATCAAAACCAAACTGTTTAAAACCAACAACTAAGGAACAATCTTGAAAGCAGTAAGAGAGAAGTGACTTATGTACAAAGATCCTCAGTACAAACAACAGCCAATTTCTTATCAAAAAAGACAAAGGCCAGAAGGTAGTAGGATGACATACTCAAAGTGCTGAAAGAAAATGACTACTAACCAAGAATTTCATATCCAGAAAATCTGTCTTTTAAAATTAAAGAAGAAATTAAGATATTTCTAGAAGAATGAAAATGGAAAGCAATGAATTCTAGGAAGAATTCATTGCTAGACCCCTGTTCTATGAGGAATTCTAAAAGGAGTTCTTCAGGTTGAAATGAAGCAGTAATTCTAATACACACAAAAGAATAAAGTTCACTGGTAGAGGTAACTACATAGATAAATATGTAAGATGTAAAAACTGTATATTTTGCTCGTAACTCATTTTTTCTCCTATTGATTTAAAAGATGATAATATAAAGCAGTAATGGGCACTTTAAAAAATGTAATTCGTTTAACAATAATAGCACAAAAGAGGGGAAAAAGAGAGCTAATTAAGAACAAAATTTTTGTATACTGTTGAAATATCCAAATACTATAATTATTAAGATTCTAATTATAATACTGAGGAAAACTACTAAAAATAGAACTCAAAAAATGTAAAAGAAGCAATAAGGGCAATAAAATGGCACCCAAGAAAATGTTAGCAATGGAGAAAGAGAAAAACAAAAAATGACATAATAAATATTAAAATATATAACCAATGACAGACATAAACTCTACCACATCAGTAGTTAAATTAAATGTAAATGGATTAAATACTCCAATCAAAAGGCAGAGATTGGCAGAATGGAGTTTTTTAAAAATTCAACTGTATGTTGCCTATAATAGCACACTTTAGATTCAAAGACAAATACATTGAAAGTAAAAAGATGAAAAACAATATATGATGCAAACAGTAATGGAAAAAGAACTGCAGGGGCTATACTAACATCACAAAAAATAGACTTCAAGAAAAACTGTTACTGGCAACAAAGTAGGACTTTAAAAAAAATACAAAAGGTTAATTCATCAGGATATACCAATTATAAATACATACGTACATAACAACAGATCCCCAATATACACGGAACAAAAATTGACAAACTCAAAGGGAGAAATAGACAATAAAACTATAAAAGTTAAGAGACTTCGATATCCCACTTTCAATTGTGGATACAACTACACAGAAAATCAATAAAAAGATAGAAGACTTGCACAACCTATAACGCAAGTGGCACACATAGACTACTCCACCAGAAAACACATTCTTCTCAAGTGCACATGTCATAGTCTCAAAGACAGACTATATATAAGACTATAAGACAACTCTTGATACATTTAAAAGGACTATAATCTTACAGTGTATGTTCTCCAGCACAATGAAATTTAGGAACCAATAATGAAAGAAAATTTGGGAACTTCACAAATATGTGAAAATGAAGTAACACAGTCCTAAATAACTATTGGTCAGAGAAGAAATCACATGACAGATAATATTTTGAGAGGAATGAAAAATAAAAACATGCCAAAACTTGTGGGATGCACATAAAGAAGAGCTTAGACTGATTTGTAGCTGCAAGCATCCATATTAAAAAATAAGATCTCAAATCAATAACCTAACATTCTACCTTAAGAAATCAGAAAAAAAGAAGAGTAAACTCTATCCAAAGCAAGCAAAAGGAGAAAACAAAAAAAATTAGAGTATATACAAATTAAATAGAGAAGAGAAAAACAGTAGAGAAAATTAACAAAACCAAAAGCTGGTTCTTGGAAAAGATCAACAAAATGAAAAAGACTTCAGCTACACTAAGATAAACAAAAGCGAGAAGATCTAATTACTACAATCAGAAATGAAAGAGGGGTCATTACCGCAATCTTACAGAAATAAAAAAAAAAAACTTTAGGAGAAGATTACAAACAGTTGTATGCCAACAAATTAGATAACCTAAATAAAACAAAAACAATCTTAGAAAGATATAAACTACTGAAATTGACTGAGTTGTACACTCCAAAAGGATGAATCTTCTATTATGTGAATTATATGTGTGATCTCTTTGTGAATAACAAGCTCAGAATTTTTAACGTTCAACTCAAGAAACAACTGGGATCAAGAAGCACCCATAACTGACCTACAAAGATCTCATAATAAATCAGATAGTCTGATTTGATGCTCACTGTATTTCAACATAATTTTAATTTATAGCCTCAGAAGGTTGAAAAAAAATAAGCCAATTGCTTTTCTACTCCAAAGAGTTAGAGAAAAAAATTATTGCTAAGCATTTTTTTTTTCTGAAAGACTTCTATTAAGTCTTCACAGCCAGACTTAGCAAATATAAAGATGTTATCTTAGCTAATTTTTTCAGATGTCCTCAAGGTAGTTTCCATATAAAACATATGCTTTTATATGGCCAGGCACAGTGGCTCGCCCCTGTAATCCCAGGACTTTGGGAGGCTGAGGCGGACGGATCACGGATCACGAGGTGAGGAGTTCGAGATCAGCCTGGGCAACATAGTGAAACCCCGTCTCTACTAAAAAGACAAAAAAATTAGCCAGGAGTGGTGGCAGGTGCCTGTAACCCCAGCTACTCAGGAGGCTGAGGCAGGAGAATGGCTTGAACCTGGGAGGCGGAAGTTGCAGTGAGCCAAGATCGCGCCATTGTACTCCAGCCCAGGCAACAGTGCGAGACTCCGTCTCAAAAAAAAAAAAAAAAATATGCTTTAGAAATGTCAAAACATAACTCAGTAACTAAAAGAGGAAAGCTAATGACTAAAGGCCTTGTACAGAGAAGCTCTTTGGGTATAGTCACTAGTACATGGTATTTGACAAACAAGTGGACCAGAAACCCACTGATTCTTGGGGGGATTGTTTGCCAAATAATTATAATCCTGCCTGCAAAGCACGTAATGGTTCAATGCCTCAAACACCAGAAAGGCTCCAATGTAAGTCCATATAAAAATGTTTTAAAAGCCTGATTTCTTTCTCATTTTGAGGTTAAAAGTAAATACAAATATAAATTCCATTGCTCCCTTCTAGCATTGAAATGCAGTCTTGAAATTTGGGAGAACATTGTTCTAGATAGAGCAGCAATAAAGTAACAATATCTTATGATCTTATTTTAATAATAAGATGCCTGCATTCTCCAAGAAGAAGGTTGAATTCCATTCAATTTGCTGGGTTTTTTTTCCTTTTTCCAAAAGCTGCATGTACATATCATGCCAAAACCAGAATACCTTCTTCTTGACACATTGTGTGCTAGATTTTGCCTATTACTTCAATCACGCAGGTCATGAGTAGAGTCTTTCAAATCCTGGTTAAATTACAGGTAGTACATAAGCAATCTAAATGTAATTTTTGTGAGTTAATATTCTCTATCTAGTGAAATTGTGAAATAGTGAGGAATAAATTAATCTATACCAAGAAAATCTTAGAGTCTTGAACCGAAGTTACCCATGAAAAAAGAAAAAGGTTCCCTGCAACATTCCCGAGTCTCCTTTAAGCCACATTTGAGCTATTAAACAAAACACAGAAAACGACAGAGGAACCATTTTTGAGTGGGTGTTAGCAGATGTTAGCCAAGCAAATACTTTTCAAAAAATAAAAAAATAAGGGGTGCTCTACTAATGTTTTTACCAGACAACTAATACAGACCCAAGAGAGTTCCTGGCCAAGAGTAAAGGCAGGAGGGACTTTACAGATATTTATGAAAATGGTGCAGTGAGAAGGGCCAAAAATCAAATATGTGTTTTGCCAGACAGCCTTTATGCTGTCATTTACAGATGCTGACTAGGAGCCAGGCACCAGGCTAAGATTTTCACATGTAGTCTTTCATTTAATCCTCACACAGCCTCCATAACTGTGGTATACTCTCTCTATCCTTCCCATTTTACAGATGAGGAATGTACGTTTTTATCCTGCAGTTATTAATTGGCAATATAAAAAAGTAAATTTGAAGCCACAATATTTTACTTTTTCTGGGTGTTTCACCTTGGTTAATTTTTTTCCTGGGAAATAATTGTGTGCAGATAAAATGAATGCTTGGGCTATTAGACTCCAAATAATCATTTGTTTGTGGAAACATCTGTCGCACTTGGCAAATATCTGAGGTTTAGATGTAATTTCATAGTTTGGTCTAGGGAATAAAAACTTCCAGAATTATTAAACTTTGATGATCAAAAAGACCACCTACTGAGGGCTCCTGCCCTTTATAAATGACAGAACTCCCCACCCTGGAAAACCCCATGAGAATGTTCCTCTTTTCTTGATCATGACGTGGTCTCCTAGTCCAGGAGACCAGGCACCCTTACTACAGCTTTGAGAAACAGCCTTTGCTATGACTAAGAAGAATGGTAGCATCTAAGATATTTATATAAGAAAGGAAAACATTAAACAATTGAAACACTGAATATTTTAGGATCAGACATTTCTGGATGACAACTGTAGTAAATGCACATTTGCTGAATGTGTTATCCATCAATAAAGATTGAGATTAAAAAAAAAACCTGGGCTGGGCATGGTGGCTCACACCTGTAATCCCAACACTTTGGGAGGCCGAGGTCGGCAGATGTCTTGAGCCCAGGAGTTCAAGACCAGCCTGGGCAACATGGTGAAATCCCATCTCTACAAAAAGTACAAACATTAGCCAGGCATGGTGGCATTTGCTTGTGGTCCTCCCTACTAGGGAGGCTGAGGTGGGAAGATCACCTGAGCCTAGGGAGATCCGGGCTGTAATGAGTCATGACCGTACCACTGCACTCCAACTTGGGTGACAGAGTGAGATTTTGTCTCTAAAAACAAAAATAAAAACAAAAAATCCTGACTTCAAAAGTAACTACAGGGTTGGTTGATAAATTAATAACTGAACCTAATTAAATGAGGATTGCTTCCCCATGGGTTTTGCAATGCCCTTTTTAATACATAGAACAAGAATTGTATGCAATACTTTGGGAGCATTCGAAGAGCAACAGTATTAATTGGGCTAGTTCCTCTCTTGTTCCTTATACTGTAACTTCTGCTATTGGCTGCTAAGTTTGATTAACTTTTTTATGAAACTAAATTCTCATACCTACAGTAATTGGAACAAACCAAATCCAAATTCAAATACTCAAGTATTTCAATGCATGGTGTCTTTTAAGCCATGCTTTTCACATCCTATTCTTATATAGTTTTCCACATTAACTTGTCATTTTAACCACTGAGGTCTTTTTGAAGTCTATCATCAACCAGTCTCTTAGAAATTCCTACATTTTTTAACATCTCCAATTATCAGTAAAGTTATAAATGCAAGTATTGAAGAGGACAGAGTCAGGTTTGGAGACTTATGTGTCCAATGTGATGTTATTGTCATGAATGTCAAAGTGAAATGCCAGTTTTCTGTCTAGATTTCTAGATTCCCATCACATGCACTCAGCCAACTGCTTCTTCCAGGCTGATCACAATTAGTATCAGATTAGAAGTGCACTTCATCATTTATTCTCCCTTCAGGGAGATGAACTGTTATGTACACAAGTCATGATCATATTAGTTGAAATGTTTTAACCTACTACTATACCTTACTTTTATCCTGTGATTTGTATCAGGAAGATAGTTTTATATTCTCCCTCTGATTGAGCAATTTTTAATAAGCTCTTAAAATGACTAACCTTCTGCTTCTCTTTCATTTCACATTAACCCATATGTTTACCAGTCTGCCCCCTTCTCTTTGATGATTTTCCATGTAGAGGTGCACCCTAATTGCATCTCCCGTCAACCAACATTTTGCTATAATATTCAAGTTTAGAGACTTGTGCCTTCTTAGGTATCAATTATGCTTTTTCTCTTCTGTTGTTGCTCTTTATTTGATGGGATACTTGATTTCTCTCACAGACTCTGGTTTTCAGTCAGTCCTGACTACACTGGCAAGTCTTCAGGCCAGTCTTTAGTATCTAGGCCAATGTTTTTCCAAACACGGGCTCACAGACTACCTACATTAGAGGTGCTGTTTCAGGAGATCTGGGACTAGGCCCAGGAAGCTGTATGTTTAATATGTAACTTACATGTCTTTTAAGAATACTGAAATTTTAGAGCATCTGTTCTAGGCAGATACTTCCAGGACTGGAGACATACACTCTATTCTTTATTATACAGCAGGGGTCCCCAACCCTGGGCCACAGACTGATACCAGTTGATGGCTGGTTAGGAACTGGGCCACACAGCAGGAGGTGAGTGGCAGGAGAGCAAGCATTACCACCTGAGCGCTGCCTCCTATCAGATCAGCAGCAGCAGTAGATTCTCCTAGGAGTACGAACCCTATTGTGAACTGTGCATGCAAGGGATCTGGGTTGCATGTTCATTACGATAATATAATGCCTGATGATCTGTCACTGTTTCCCGTTACCCCCAGATGGGACCGTCTAGTTGCAGAAAAACAAGCTCAGGGCTTCCACTGATTCTACATTATGGTGAGTTGTATAATTATACCATTATATATTACAATGTAATAATAATAGAAATAAAGTGCACAATAAATGTCATGGACTTGAATAATCCTGAAACCATCCCTCTCCCTAGTCTGTGGGAAAATTGTCTTCCAAGAAACTGGTCCCTGGTGCCAAAAAGGTTGGGGGCTGCTGTTATAGAGCATTCATTTAAGTATTTTAAAAATAGTCTAGAGAACAAAACATCCTTCTTTTTAAAAACACCTCAGGAAGTAGAAGTTAGCAAAGTTAGCTGCTAACATTTATTTAGTGTCTATGAAGTGGGAGATGTTTTATACCTATTATCTCTGAACCCCAAAATCACTATGGAAGTCAGATACTCATAGAAATTAAGTAGTTTACTCAAGGTAACATACATCATGTTTAGCATAGAATTTAAACCAAAGTTGGCCTGACTCCTAAGCGCCTAAGATGATTGTATCATGCCATTGTATCCCACTTCACTGTTTCCTCTTAGCCAGTAACAGAGACCAGACAAGAACTGAACTTGATGGGAGAGGGAAGGCAAATAGCTTGCAGAAGGAGAAGAGAACGAGCCTCAGGATAGGGAAATAAGAAAGAAGAGAGAATCCCCCCCAGCATACTCTTAGATGGAAGTGTAAGTCTAAGCAGATGCTGGAGACAGCTGTAAAGAGCACTAGGAAGAGATAAAGGCCTTATGGGGAACGAGGCAAATGCAAGGCACCTTACAGTAGAGCAGGGTCAGCCTGTCCCCTAACCCCACTAGCATTGTCAGCCAATTGCAAAATGGTTACATTCAGATATTCGTCTCCCAACTAACGATCCAGTGAAAGAATAAAGACCCACATGGTTTACGTATGTTATGGTATGTATGTAGACATCCCTAAGTTAGGTGTTCATATTTCAGGGACTGGGAAAAGAATAAATTGATATATTGGAAACATTTAGGAAACTGATGATTTGAATCTTTTTAACCAGTTTATTCAAATGGAAGAAAATGTACGAAGAAGCAAATTAGAAGAATTTAATATCCAATGAAAACTTTTTCATTCACCTACTATTTACTCTTTTATTTGTTAAATATTTTTGACTGCCTACTATATACCTGGAATTAAGCTAGGTGCTAGGACATTATTCTAGGTTTAATTGCTTGGTAAATGTGAAGTGAATATATGAATGAATAAATTAATAAAAGGCTGAAGAAGAAATCATGTGAATTAGAGAAAATGAATAACGTGTACATGAAAATCTTGAACAGTTTTCTGCAAATATTCTGGCTAAATTAGGAAAGTCCAACCCTCTAATTATTGGCCTTTTCTGATGAGCCTCTAGAGATCTGAAGTGGTATATTCAAGGTTATGTAGTCTTTCAAGTTTACTGTGAAGCTATGATTTTATTGAGGTGCTCTGTGGCCACCCAGACTTTTTATTACAGCACATTGGAGAAAATCCTGAGCCAAAGATGGCTTCTACTCACTAAATCCTTCTTATAGGCAGGCAAGAAAAACGCAGACAAGATTAAGAAACAATGCTGTCAACTTCTGTCTTTTCAACAAAAGTTATCTGTAGAAAGCTATAAGTTAACAGAATACAGTTAACTTAAAACACATGGTGTATTTAATTATGAGCTCCAGTATATCCTGTTTGACAACCTGAAAACAGAAGATCCTAACACGAGCAATGAAAATTACAATAATGTAAAAAAAAAAAAAAAACCCTAGGTTTTTTTTATACAGACTAAGAAAATAAACACCTGTTTCTTTTATACTGTAATTCAATAAAAATGAGCCCACTATGTTTTTAAAAAGTGATACAAATATTCTTTTGTTAAGGTGTAGAAATTACATTACCATGAACATGCAGTTGAATGTGCTGTTGTGTTTCTCCAGCTGCGTTGGTAGCCACACATGTGTATCTGCCAGCATCTTCCAACAGGGTTTTGGCAATTTGTAGAACTCGACCAGAAGACTGTATCTAATTGGGAGCAGAAAGCACAGAGGATTTTTGTATCTTATACTTGGATTTGAAAATATTCACTGAGACAGAAAAATTCATTTAAATTTATAATATCTAACAATATTTTCATGCCAATATCTTAATAAACCCTTGATAGACTAGAGCGAGTTCACATCATCATGCACAAGACAATAGACTAGTTTGATTGAAAAGCCTTTTCTTATTCATTGGAAAACACAAAATAAAATAACATAAGGCCAGCTTACTGGTATAGTCATACTGAATAAAAGACTTTAGCACTGAACTATGAAGTAAGTGATGAAAATTTAAGCTATTTGAAAAAAAAACCTGGCCACATTTATATAAAAATTCATAGTTTTAAAACAATGACTTTTTATTAAATGATCATGGGAACCAGAAAAACAATAAAATTATAAAATATGAATTATGAGAATGCAGATAAATTTCTTCCTATTTTTCACAATTTCCCTCTTAAACCTACTGCAACTGGCCTCTGCCATTTTGAAACTGGTGATTCAGAGGTTATTCTTTGAAACATGCTATTCGGAGGTTACTAGTAACTTCCAGTCACAATACCCACCAGCCTAGGTAGTAAGCTCATACTCTCCTCTACCATCTATAGCATTTGGTGTGGTTGACTACCAACTCCTTGAAACTCTCTACTTTCTGGGTGTTAAAGATAAGCATTCCCTCAGTTCTAATTCTCTGACTTTCTTAGGAGATTACTTTTCAGAATCTGCTTCCTCTTCCTGTTCCACACCCAAGGAACATAGCTGTCTGATAGTTTTTATCCAAACTCATGGCATCAGTGAAAAACTCTAATGCATCCTAAATTTACAGGATAGCCTCACTGTCTCTCCTGAGCTCTACATGTGTCCTTCCAGCAATCTGCTGGACAGGTAGTACATTAAATTTAACATCAAATTCACTCGCACAAAATTAAGCTCATATATTTTCCCTTGTATTTCTAAAGTCTACTTCTGATTGCATGTTCCCAGTCTTGTTTAATGGCACCCACTATTTTTCCAGTCATCTAGGTTTTGGAACCTACTTTGAATCCTATTAATTATGCCACTATATGTTTCTCAGATCCCCTGTTTTCCATTTCCACAGCCACTGTGGGATTATAATAGCTTCTTAACTGATGTTCCAGTGTCTCCAACCTCCCCAGCTGTTAATCTATCTTGCATATTGTTGCCAGAATAATTTGTTTAAAATTCAAATTTGATCCTTTAACCAATTTCCCATCAAATTTCATTCATGGCTCTCCACCTTTTCCAGAATGAAATCTGAACTCAGCACAGCCCTCCAGGCTCACCACATTCTGACCCCAAATGATCTCTCCAAACTCTCCCATGTAAACTCCCACTTAACCTATTCTCCATTCATACTGTTATAAACATGTTAAGCAACACATTCATACATTTATATTCATGTCTGGACTATTATATTACATGGTCTTTAAATGCCATAATTTTTAAAGATCGAACTAGGTCAGTCCTCTCTTCTTTTTCATCTTACCCTTTACTCTCTCCTTGGATTAACTCATCCATGCCCATGGTTTCAAATATTGTTAATGTGCCAATATGTCCAGCCAGAACTCTCCTTTGAGCTCCAAGACCATATACTCAATGATCTACTGACATCTCCACTAGTTGATCTCATAGTCACCTTAACCCCCCAAAATCTAAAACTCAAATCAGTTTTCTCACCTCAAACTTGTCCCTCTCCAGTCTCTTATCTCACTGTATGGCAACACTAGCCATGCAGTTGTGTACGTTGGAATCCTAGGAGTCTTCCTTGCCACATCCCTCTCCTTCACTTTTCATAAAGAATCTTTCCTCAACCCCCAGTGATTTAACTAATAAATACCTCACCAATCTATCCAAGTATCCTCATCTGCATGGCCAACATATGAGTCTAAATTTCTATCTTTTCTCTCTCCTAGACAAATGTAACTAGGTTCTAATTGGTTTCTACATATCTATTATTGGCTCCTCCAATTTATTCTTTGGAATGGGTCTGGATGACTACTTAAAATGCAAACCTGATCATGTTACTCCTCTCTTAAAACTCTTCAAAGGTCTCTCATTACCTTAAAGTAAAAATAAAATCATCAACCTTACTTAAGTGCCTCCTACCTAGTCTCCAATCTTTAATACCACCTCTCCCTTGGTCTCTTCCTCAGCCCACTGGCTGGCTTTCTGGTTCTCAAGAGGTGCCATGATCACCTTTGCTTTATTTGCCCATGCACATATTCTTGAACCACTCTACTCCGTTCTCTTCCATTAATTCACCCATTTAACTTCTATGGAGTCTTCTGAACTCTAATCAGGGCTTTTCCCATAAATTTTCCTCATTCTAGAAGGCTTTGCTTTTCTCATTATATGTTCTTACACCTCTAGGTTTTCTCTTAGCATCATTCATTACGGTTTGCAATCCTACTTTTGTATGATAATATAATAAATATCTGTCTCCCAGGTAAATAATTGTTTACCTTCACTATGACTGAAGGCTAAAAACTGAATCTTTCACTTGCACAAAGATGTGAGATTATTTCCATTGGATTTGGAATAGGAATTAAAAATTAACAGATATCCACCACGTCTACTAAAAAAGGAACATAACATATCTCTCATTAGGGAACTCACAAGTAAAATTCAAGCCCACATTAGTCAATTAACTCGATCCTATTAGCAAAATCTATTAATTCTGATTTCAAATGTATCCTTTAGATTATCCAGATTTGAAATCTATCATCTATCTATCTATCTATCTATCTATCTATCATCAATCTACTAATTTAACAAATATGTACTGAGATACAGTTATATGCCAGGGACTATACTCACTATGAACGATAAAAAAGTGAACTTTTCAATTTTTTTTAAATTGAGTCTTTGCCCTCTTGAAGCTTATAAACTAATTCTTAAAAATATTTTTCAAGACTTATGTTACCTACATTTATGTAAATATGACTGTATCTTAATTTTACTCAATGGTGAACATTTTTGGCTTATTACTGATGAACATCATTCATCTGTGAGACACCAGTTTTTTAACAGCTAAATTAGGCATAAATCAAAATAATATAAATAATGATCACTATCTTCAAATCAGTATCATTGTTAAAGTTAGTCTTTAATTCCATTCTTCAAATCAAAATATTGTTAAATTCTTAAAAACTCTAAGAAAAATGCATATTATTTTTAATAAATTTTCTGCAAAATCTGTCCAACAGGAAAATCTACAGTTAAGAAAGAATAACTTGATATTTCCAGGAAGATATATGTAGCTTTCCCAGTTTAGGCTGAGTAATATTTACACTTACTTTAAGGTTTCCTTGGGCAGTGTTCACAGGCTGGTCATCTTTTAACCATGTAATGGAAGGATTTGGAATCCCATTGGCTATGCACTGCAAGGCGACAGGCTTGTATTTTACCACAACTCTCTCAGAAAGGCCTGAGGACTTGATTGTTGGAGGAACTATATTTAAGGAAGGGGGAGAGGGAATGAAACCATAATCAGTGAGGTCGAACTTAAAAATATGTATGCAAGAACCTGAAACCTTAAAATTTAGAAAAAAAAAAAGCAAATCCCTATTTTAACAATGAAATACTTTCATCATGTGCATTTAATTTATAATTTTTTAGCAAGTTTATAGATTAGTTACTTCTTAACTATGGATTTTTAAATCTCCAAAGAATAAGTAAATTGTATTTATGGCTACCGTAATCCACATGTATATTTGGCTTATATCTTTTGGTGTGTTTTACTAATCTATAATGACCCTCCCTTTCTCTAGAACTACTTCATTAAGTCAAGGTGGATTTCTAGCCATATTTATACTGCATGACTCTGCCCCCTGCAAGGCTGATTGAATGTGGAGTGGTAACTTTATTTAAACTGGGACTGCCAGATTTCCTCCCTCAGGAATTGTGACTGAGACTGAAAAACAGGGTTATCTATATTCCATCACAGGACATGGGACTAAAAATCAAGAAAACAGCAGTCTGCAGAGACAGAGGGAGAATAAAGTTGACATTCATAGATACTCCTTGTGGTTTCCAAGTGGCTCTCCAGTTTCTCGTTCCAGTCCTCCCTTCCCAAGTTCTGCCAGCAAGTGAGACACATAATACCCTGGCAGAGGGTTGCTTCTGTCGTTAGAGTAATGGTTATAATCCTAATGTGCCAGTTTTGTGAATGTACTTATGTCCCTCAGATCCTTCAATTACATCTTTAGCCACCATTTCTGGAAACTACTGTATTCACCATCCCTCTTGTTTTGGCTAAACCCTTAAACGCTTACATAACCCCTTTACTTGGAACTTGCTCCGTGCCTCTTCTATCTTATTTGGTCTAATTCCTCAGACCTTGGCATTCTATGTAGAACACACTTCCTAACGTTTAAATTCTGTCTACATTTATTTATTTATTTATTTCCCAGAGTTATTTTGGCTACTGTCTACATGTATTTACATGATACATCTTGGTTGAGTCTCTGGGTCAATAAAGTAACTAAAAATTCTGGCATACAACTGAAATTCACATCCTTTACACTACCTTCCACAACTCAGGATTTATTCACATTATTGAGCTACAATCTGAGTTAGATAATAAAACAATGCATAAATTAATTTAAGATGCAAAGTTCCTGTCCCTTCTTCAGCATACCATGAACAGTCACTTCAAATTCCTTCTTGTGGTCTCCAGCAGTATTTGCTGCCATGCACCGATAAAGGCCTGTGTTTGACACTTGAGCCTGAGCAATAACCAGTTTGCGTCCATTTAATAAAATCTTGAATCCATCCCTTTCATCAATTAACTGGCCATCCTTCAGCCACCTATAGAAAAAGGCAAAAGGAAGTCTGGATAAATATTTTAAGTAAATCATATCCTAGAAGATATATAAAGTTTCTATTGTATATTTGTCCAATTTCCTAGTTGCTTACTCTGTAAAATAAATTGTAAATGAAAAAGAGAAGCAAAAAGGAAACCCGGCCTAACGCAGAGCTGGCATATTGTTGGAACCCAATAATTATGGGTTGAGTTCTTTATTCTTCTACTAATTTTAGGCTACAAAAAAGGGAGAAGTATTGGATTGTTTGTAATACAAAGGATAAATGCTTGAGGTGATGGATATCCCATTTACCATGACATGATTATTACGCATGCATACCTGAATAAAAATATCTCATGTAACCCATAAATGTATACACCCACTATGTACCAAAAAAATTAAAAATTAGAAAAATTAATTAGAAAAGAGACAAGTGCTCCTAAATATTACTCTCTTCAATGTTTAAATAATAACCAGCAAAACATACACAATCTTAAAACAACTATAGACAAAACTTTGAAATCATATAGCATTATATTTTTACATTTCTGAATTTCACATTCCAGTTAGTTTTATAATCATGTGTGAACCTATCTCATTTCCTTCACTGACTAACTCTTCCTCTGCATATCCCATAGTGACTTGGAAACAAAAGCTAAATATTCAATACATGCTTTGAAAATTAAAGAAGAAGAAAAAAAATTGGTAAACACATACTCATGTTAACTTTCTCTATTTACCTACTATGTCTGGTATACTCCTTTTTATTTAGTAGTCTGTTAAACATTTCAGTACCTCAGGAAAGTCTGACAATGCTGCTTAATAGACTGTCTCTGTGAATTAAATATGTAATTTCTATACCATACAATGGAATTCCTCAAAATTTGTAATTTCTAAGTCCATACAATGGAATTCCTCTAATTGAGCAAATTTAGGTGCCTTTGGACTATCAAGTAGACATTGCCTTGTATATAGAGCATGTCTTTTAAAAGAGGAATATAAAGAATACAATTTCATACAATCCTTTTTAATGATACAGAACAGCTTTCAAGATAGCTCTAAAACACTCAAAACAAAAAGCAGGAGGTATTTAGAAGACATACCAAAACCCTTACATGATAGTTGGTGGGGGAGAGCCTGTCACATGACAATCTAGCTCCAGTAAGTTATTAACCATCACAATGAAGTAAGATGTTTCATCTCCTCCTTCTATAGCTGGTGGCACTAGAAAACAACAGGAATGTAACATGCAAAGAAATGTATACAACAAAAAACACACCATCATATGAAGCAATAATACATAGCAGTTCAGAAGATTGATAGGTATCATAGTGGTTTGATACATGAAGGGGACTTGAAATGCATTGTAAATACATTTTACAATAAAGCCTTGTCAGGATCAATAAACATACTTTTAACATATCATACCTATTCCTCCATCTAGTACTATGGTGCCACTGATGCCAGGTGAATATAAAGTTGATTCATATTTTATATTGTTTATTTTCATAAGCACAAGAGAAAGAAACCCCCAAAATTGGGCATCTATTCAAAAGCCTTCAATTTATAGATAAAGATACTGAGTTTCAAGGTAAGATGACTTTCCAAGGCCCAGAGACTGAGTTTCCTGTTATCTGGCACAATGCTTATGACAAAAGACCATGTTGTTGCTCATTGCGATTAGACATTGTCATAGACGTAAAAATGTATCTATGCACTTGCAAATATCAAGTATACTTATCAAAATCAGTGGAAGATTTATGTAAGATTCTAGAACCTGAGACTCTGGTGACAAATCCACCCCTTGGTAATGTGCAATCCACAGTTGCACAGAGGACTATACCTTCTTTTAGATTGTTTTATTATTGCATGAACAAAAAAGTATTTAACAAACTAATCAGGTTTTGCTATGAATCTGAGAACCCAGGCAGTGGCATCCTTATTTACCCAAGACATCAACTTCATATTTGATTTCCTTTTCTCCTGCCACACTGGTAGCCACGCATATGTACTGTCCTCGATCAATTTCTTGGGCACTCATGATTTCGAGTTTCTTCCCACCAGCTTCTATGCGGATATTGTCATTAGCTTTCACAGGTACACCATCTTTCAACCAGGTGAGAATGGGAGAAGGGTTTCCAGCAGCTTTGCACTCCAGTGTCAGAGAATGAGCAATAACTACTTGCTTATTCAAAGGCGTGGCCAAGTTGCCTTCAATCATTGGAGGAACTAGGGAGAAACATAGCAATATTTCAGGCAATTATTTGTGTGGTCACAAAATACATTCTAATGAAATAAAGAAGAGCTTTTGTTTTTTCTCACAAAGTTTGACCATTAAAATCTACCTATATGCCTGTCTCCCTCTAAGCTATTGAGGAAAGAATTTCTTGGTTCAGCTAAACTGTAACTGTCCTAATTATTCTGGAAACTCTGGACTTTCTGGCTTATAAAGGACAAATAGTAGAGAATGATTTTTGTCCCAACAACTACTTTGCCTTTTCAGTAATAGCCAAATTGTCTAGATGCTCCAAGTGCCATGACAAAGGTTAGTTGAATGAATGGACACCTTCTTGCTAACCTTAGGTTTTAAAAATATTTTTCCAAATCATGGAACAAATTCTTCCAATTCCTATCCATGCATATTGAAAAAGACAAACCCACCAAGGACTATTAGTGAATAAATTCGATATTTGCCTATTAGAAAGCATAGGTAGAAAGGTATATAATTAAAGCATATGTTGTTCCTCACCATAGACATCCACATGGAATGATTTTTCAGCAGTTCCAGCAACATTGGCTACATGACACGTATATGTTGCTGAATCAGAGACCTGTGCTCGAGGAATATGAAGATATTGTCCTTTATCAATATAAAGTGCTTGTGAGCTGGACATGATTGGCTGCCCGTCCTTATACCAAGTAATGGCAGGCATTGGAAGTCCCCGTGTTTCACATTCCAGTTTAATAAGGCTGTTGATCAATACTGATATGTCTGTGGTGACATTTCCTCCTTTAATACTAGGTGGAACTACAAAGGATTTCAGAACAAAAACAAGTCATCTAAGTTTCAGCATCTTCATCAAAATCTTAAATGCTATAGATGTTTAAACAATGCATTTAAAGTAAATTAAAGACAATTAGGAAGTCTGTGGTTTATCTCCTGATAATGAGTTTCCTCTATTGTCAAAACCATCTTTATCATTCCCCTTTTGGGTTTCAGATTTCAGTAAAAACAGAAAGTCACAGATTCCATTTCAGGGAGTCATTTAGGTTCAAGATCACAGTAGAATAACTAAGATAGTTATGTTTAACCAACAAAGCAAAACAAAATAAAACCCCACTCAAAGGAGACACAGCAAGTTTCAAATCAGGCCAAGGGAGCAAAAATGTCACATGTGGTACAACTGTATGCCCTCTCCCCAATACTAAAGGTCTAAGTGTTTTCAGAACCAGCTATTCATAATAGCTGCAGAGTCTTCAATTTTTGCTTCTTGCTATTTTTTTCTTTTTTTGGGGGGGAGGTGGGGACTGCCAAGACTCCATTCACTCAACTTTACTCATCCAATTGTCTACATGTATATCTCCTACAATTCAGCAACCACAAGTCTGGCCTCTCACACTACATAAGGGCTGTGCTGCTAGGAAAACAACTCAAGTCACTCAGTCTCTCCTGCAAATTCTAAATATGGTCATTCCAGGATCATGCTATCATTGCAACAATTTTAAAAAAATCAAATGGCATGTGTATGAATTTGAGTATCAATATAATCTTATAACCAGCATGGCACATGTATACATATGTAACTAACCTGCACAATGTGCACATGTACCCTAGAACTTAAAGTATAATAAAATATATATATATATAATCTTATAAACTTTTAAGTATCAATATAATCTATATAAGTATCAATATAATCTTACAAACTTTTAAGTTTTAGAATAGAATATTTGATAGAATGTTTTTCTCATGGTTAAGCTAGGATTATGGATTTTGAGAGGCAGCCCATACAGGTAAAGTGCTATTTTCATCACATGCTACCAAACGTACATGCTATCAACATGACTTATCACTGAGACCTGTGCTAAGTTATGCTGACAGCATGTACCTTTGGTAACCCGGCTAAGGTAGTGTTTGCCATATTTCTCCACTGTAAAGTTACTCTTTTTCTTCCCCTTTCCTTTGAAGGCAGTCCTTATTCCAGCCCATAGAAATGGAGTAAGGAATTATGTTCTACTTCTATGAGTGGGGACTACCTACATAATTTATTTATAATTCTTCTCTATGGAAGATGTGTCTCTGCTTTTCACTTTATTTATTGAGTCAATCACTTATTTATATCAATATGGACTCACAGAAACTTAAATGCCTTGGGTTACATCCAGTACTACATTACTTATCCAGTTTTGGCTATTGGGAGGTCTTTCAATTGGCTCTTAAGTCGCTTCAATATACCCTCACTATTTTATTTTATTATTTTATTTTGTTTTGTTTTATTGTTTGCACTCACTTCCTTACTTTCGGCCTTACTACATGCTCCAGCATCATCTTGTGTATTCCCTGCCCCAGCTCCAGACTTAACCATTTCTCCAAGGAGCCTGGTCCCTTTTAATGGAAAAGGATATTAGAAAACAAGATCTGGATGCTGAGTGGTGTACCTTAATATTTTCTGGTAATCATTCTTAGAACTAGTCCATACTGACAAACATTTATGTACACATATTTTTCTCACACATAACTTAAGGCAAGATCTACTATACTTTGAGGTGAATTCGACGATAGAATCATTTTTATCTCAGGAGGCTTACTATAAATATCAGCGTCAATCAACTGTGGCCCACAGGCCAGGAGATGCTAAGCTAAAAATGGCTTTTATATTTCTTAATTGTTGACAAAAATCAAAATAATAACATTTTGTGACATGTAAAAATTATATGAAACTCAAACTTTAGTGTCAATAGAGTTTTGTTGGGATACAGTCACATTCATTCATTTATATATTGTCTACGGCTTTTACTCAACAGTAGCAGAGTAAAGAGTTAAAGCAAAAACCAAATACGGTATTCTCATTGCTGCTACCTCTGTTCAGCTTACTGTAAATTTTGGTGGCATAGTTACAACTTGATAGCATTTTTATGCTATGCATATCACCATACTGTGATATTTTATTTAATTTCATCACCAGTGAATACTCCTCATGTCAGAACAAGAAAAAAATGGTGAAATATCTAATTTTTAAAGACACAGCACAGTGTGGAGTATTTAGTTATCAAATTAAAGGGCAAAATACTGTGTTTATTTTGTAACACTATACCTGTTCTAATAAACACTAGACTAAGCAGCCACCACAATATTCCCGATTTTTCAAAATCAACAGTTTGAAAAATTAGAAAACATAAAATTAAATGTTTTATCATAGCAAATTTCTTCACAAAAATAAAAAGCCAAAATAAGGCTACAACCAAACTAAATTTCTGAGAGGCTCATTTGTTAGCCAACCAAGGAAAGCCATTTACCAATGGTGATTTAATTAAATCAGATATGATCTCAGAGGCAAAAGAAACGGGTCTAAAGAAAATAAATGTGTTAAGGATTCTTAGCCTTTCAGCGAGAATAATTGCTTGAAGAGTTGAGAACACTGGGAGCAACATCAATAGTAAATTTTTTTTTAAGACAACTTTTTCCTCAATAGTATTCTTGACTTTTGACAAGTTGACAGATGTTACTGACACTGCTCACCTGTTCTTGTTTATTTGAGGAACCAATGAAAGTACAAAAAAAAAATACCAAAAAAAACCTGAAGGATTAGCCTCTTAGAGCCGTCTGTGAAACAACTACAGTCAAAAATATTTTCAGAAAATTTGAAAAAAACACTAATTTATTATAACCTGAAGCAGAATCTTTTAAGATTTGTTACAATTGATGTTGGTAAAAATATACGTTGAAGCAAAAAAAAAAAGGCTTAGACAAGTTTACAAAGCTTATTACAATGTAAAGTGTTAAAAAAAATCTATGTTTTTTCATTGTATTATTCGCCAGCAAGCACTTTGTGTAAAAGATCAGGTGTCATTGAACCAGTAGTGTTAAATGGTGTATTTTGTTTGCTCTCATATAGTTAAACATCATCAGTTCTATGACTTTTTGTCAGAAGTCAAACTGAATATCCTGACTGGCCTTACCACACAGCAGGTCAATGCGTTAGTGGTGATGAAGTTTCATTGTACTTTTTTTGAGTTCAGGGCTGAGACTGAACTTCTTTCTGAATGAAAAGAATCATTCTTAAACACTCTTATTGAATACTGAATGCTTTTGGAAATTAGTTTTACTGTAAACTTCATAGTGTTTCAAAATGAGTCCAACCCCAAATTACCAGACCAAAAAAGTACATGTATGCAAACTATATACCATGGTAGTCATTGTGTTGTTTTAGTCACAAGTAATGTCAAGCAGCTTTATGCATTCTCCATGCTGTCAAAAGTTCAAGCAAAAAGTGAGATCTAGATTCCTTCACAAATTTGCAGTGGATATATTTTCTGAGCTCAAATTACAGTTCTAGCAGTGTGTCACACCTTGAGGCAAATGCAAAGAAAATTTTCACATTCAAAATTTAGTTATCTTTGAAAGTGAGGGCTTTCCACCTAACCTTCACCTAGAATTTATTAATTGGCAGTCAAATATCAAGAGAATAATATAACAACATTCTGTAATGCCTTCCAAGCAATGAATATGCACAATTAAAATAATATGCCTGTGAAATGATATCAGTACTAGGCAGTACTTAGCTGTATGAAGAAACATTTTCAAAGACGAAATAGGTAAAATCGCATTAAAAATCAGCAGTAGGCTGGGCGCGATGGCTCATGCCTGTAATCCCAGCACTTGGCAGGCTGAGGTGGGCGGATCACGAGGTCAGGAGTTCGAGACCATCCTGGCTAACACAGTGAAATGCCATCTCTAATAAAAATACAAAAAATTACCTGGGCATGGTAGTGGGCACCTGTAATCCCAGCTACTCGGGAAGCTGAGGCAGGAGAATCACTTGAACCGAAGAGGCGGAGGTTGCAGTGAGCTGAGATCACTCCACTGCACTCCAGCCTGGGTGACAGCGAGACTCCCTCTCAGGGGAAAAGCAAAAACAAAAACAAAAAAAACCAGTAGCAGATGAACATTTGCAATTGATTTTGATGATAGAGAATACTAACTTCAAATGTTTCCCCACAAAATAACTCTATTTTTCTCATTAGTAGATTTGTATTACAAAAAGTTTATAATTTAAAAAAACTATCAAATAAATGGAATTTCACAAACAAACAATTTTGTAGAAATTTGTTTCTTTCTTATAAGTATCTATATTATCTCCTTTATTTTGCCTAATGGTCTGCAAAGCCTAAAATATTTACTATATTGCCCTTTATAAAAAAGGTTTGCCAAGTCCTGCTATCGGTAATTAATTAACAAATTCAAGCTACTATTTTGAAATCCTAAGAAAGAGCATTTTACTCATGTTTTAAATTTTAATTTTGATTGAGATTATTTATATCATATGTTAATCTATAAATGCCTATCAAACTTTGGCTCAAATTGCATAAATCGCTGGCCAGCCTAACCACTTGGATAATATATTAATGAAACCAAGAACACAGGTTCAAACAAATCCACATACTTTGTGAATTCTTTAGAAAGGATACCATTTGTATCAGGAAGGATCTACTTTAAAAGTTTGTATTTACGAAAATGAGAAAAATTACTCAAAGAATATTTGCAATTGATGGTGTAATAACATAGCATCCACTGCTTAAATTTGACAAATACATAAATATTTCACTTCCTCTTCCATTTTAATTCATACATATTTGCCAGAGAACTATACTTCCATTTGGGGGAAGGGAATACAAATAAAAATTATGAATACACTGCTCATTAAACTGTACATATATATGCATGTATAGATACACCCATGTACCCCCACACACACACATATATACACACAGACACAGACACACACACAGACACGCACACCCCTCAAGACTTTTATGCAATTTAGGGCAGGAGTTCCCAACCCCTGGGCCATGGAAGGGTTCGGATCCATGGCCTGTTAGGAACTGGGCCCTACAGCAGGAGGTGACGGACGAGCAAGCATTACCACCTGAGCTCTGTCTCCTGTCATCTCAACGAGGGCATCAGATTCTCATAGGAGCGCGAACTCTATTTTGCTGGCTTCTCGTGAGAATCCAACTAATGCCTGATGATGTTCAGTGGAACAGTTTCGTTCCACAAAACCGACCCTGGTGCCAAAATGGTTGGGGACTGCTGACTTAGGGAAGCTCTCAAACCTCCAAAACTCATCTGTGGACCACAGTTTACAAATCTTTGCCTCAGAACTACTAGTAAATCTGCACAATCTCCTGATAGGATATTAAAACTTCATTTACTTTTTTCCCTGTTTGACATTCTTCTTTTTCTTTTTTATCCTCCATCTCTTTTATTTTTCTCTTGTATTTTGTCTCAGTTTCTTTCCTTATTCAGGCACAATGTTCATTTATACCTTTTAAGTGTATCAACCCACCTGCTTCATTCTCATAGCAGTAAGTAAGGAAAAGGAATGAATCAAGTGTAGTATGAAACACACTCTCAATCTGAAATCTACATATGTATTCTTCACAGTTAGCCAAAGCATGATACCTGTTTTACTTTTTTTTTTCATTTTAAGAACAAAAGCATTTTCACAAGTGAAATAAATTTAAGCCTAAGAGATGCAGGCGAGCATTGCTAAAGAGGAAATGACACTATTTCCTGAATTATAATATTCAAAACTTTGCTACATGACAATGCCTTTTATCTCAGACAATCTCAGAAGGTTTAATCATTATAGAGCCCTCTTTTCTGGGTGCCTGGGGGCATCATACAGAGTGAACAAGAGGATCTAAAATGAAAGAACCCAAGTCCCATGGAAATAAGAGTCTTATTGAATCACCAAAATGTATTCATCACAGATCCTGGCAAAAATACAATAGTGCAGAGAAGACTACTCAACAGCTTGGGAAAAATATTGCACCTATTGTTTAAAAGTCTGGCTCTGGTGGGAAGCCAATGGTACCAATAGCACTTCTGTTTAACTTGGATGCTTGTATAGTTAATCTTTCAGCAATGTTATTCTTTTTTAGAGAACATGTCTTTTCATGACTAATTTCTTCCAAAGGCTTTTATTTATAGATATAAATGATTTAAAAGCCTGTATTAAATATAATTTCTTTGATTCAAGAAAGCTATTTGAACTTTACATAAAGACAGTAACATTTAAAAAGGGAGATTTGGAAAGCAATTAAATTACATAGAAATCAAGCTAGATTCTATATGTACATTAAGTTTTAAGATGATACAATCACTAATTAGATAATGATAAATGAATAACATTTATTGGGCTCTTACTATAAGCTCAATAATCCACGTAAAGTATCTAGCATTTGATCTTCACAATAACACTACTGCATAGGTGCTATTATTATCCCCATTTTAAGGCTGAGAAAACTGAAGCCCAGAGGGTTTAGGAAATTTATCCACAGTTACAAAGCTAGTCAGTGGCAGTGGTTGGGCCTCAACACAAACTCTTATTAATTACTCAACCAGTGTTGTTCAATAGAAATCAAATGCAAACTCACATATGTAATTTTAAGTTTTCTGGTAGCCACATTAAAAAATATGGAAAGAAACAGAGGAAATTAATTCTAATAATACATTTTACTTTGCCCAATATATCCAAAATAACATTTTGGATATAATCAATGTAAAGTTATTATTAGATATATTACATTTTTCATATTAAGCTTTTGATATCTGGTGTGTAGTTTATATAACAGTGCATCTTAGTTTGGACTAGCTACATTTCAAGTGCTCAATAGCCTCACGTGGCTAGTGACTACCATATTAGACAGTGTAACACTAGACCATTCATTCATTTAGCAAATATTTCTTGAGACTTGCTATGTATCAAACATTAAAGTAGGGAACATGCAAAACAAAAGCCTACTCTTATCAAGTTTAAATTCCTGGGAAAGAAATAGATCATAAGTAAATAAACCTATAATTAAGCAATCAAATATCAGATAGTGATGTGTGCTGTGAAAACAAGAGAGTAAGTAGGTGACTGCTTTTAATGGGAAGATCCTATGAGAAGGTGACATTCTAAGAGGTGTCTAAATTTTCCTTGAGCATCATACACCATGGAAAGACAGAAGATAGTGCAGTGAGCACTACAGGTCTATTGAGTTCCATTCCTTTCTATTGTATAAATCTTTGTGCTGGAAACATAATATTCATGTGCCTACCTATGGCTCCACTGGTAAAAATTAAAATGAATTTGGCAATCACGCTCCTCAGAAGAGGCTGATAATGTTACGGAAAATAAGAGCTACATATATTTGGTGGGGACATAGCTGGGAGAAAACAGTAGCACAAACACATAAGGCATTTAAAAGATAATCACATGGTCAGGATAACGGCCACGATGGAATTCAAATAGAATAATTGAATTGTCTGCATATCATCAACTTCATTCTATTTCATAAATCTCTATAATTTTTAAAGTTTGTTTTGTTCCTTTCAAAGATACAGACATTTGGTTTGTGTATATACTAACCAATTAGGAAATTCTTGCTCTCTCTAAGTGAGATTATATAAAAATCACTAGATCTTTTGAAGACAACCATATTTAATGAAAAAAGGCATTAAAATTTGATCCAATATTCTAGCCTTTTAAAACACATGAAGATAAGCTCCTTCTTCTCTTGAAGTATGTAGTATTCCAAATTATTCAGTATGAAATAAGAGTGTAGTTACCAGTAAACCCTGCTTGTCAACTTATAATGAGAGCAGACAATAAAAAGCATAAGACAATCGCACTTACTATAGATAGTCAGTTTTATATCCTTGGCTTGTTTGCCAGCTGCATTAGACACAGTACATTGGTAGCGCCCCTTGTCATTTCTCCGTGCATTCTTTAAATGTAAGACTTGTCCTCTGTCTAGAAGTTCAACATTAGGATCGCCCAAAAATAAAGGCCTAGAAAAAATAAAACTTTATTCCATGGGTCTATTTTCAGTTTTTCACATTTCTTATTTATCACAACAAAAATCATTAGTACAGGCTAAAAATACAAGTAAAAGTTAATTTAAAAAATAAAATGATATGATTAGCACTCCAAGAATAAAAGTTTTAAACCACTTTGCTAACAGAAGTTAGGTAATCATAAATATCTCTTTGAGATGAAAAGTTCCTCCATTTCAAACTTAAATTATATAATAATATTAATAGAAATCCAGTAGTGTCATTATTTGTTTTATTCATTCATCCATTCTTATTCTTTTTTCAGCTTTTTTTAAATTTTTTGGTTTGCATAGCTAAAATTCTACCATTATCTGGAAAAGAAAAATTAAGAGTTTTAAATATTACAGTATAGATTTTGGACCAAATAATATTATTTTTAAATAATATCATTATAATATCTAGAAGAGTATTCACAATATCATGAATGGTTATTTTTACTAAAGGCAATAATCATACCAACTTCTCTAAAAATAAGTATTGTAATAAATACAAATGCTTACATAATCATAAATATTGAAAGATATTTATGTCAAAAGAAGCTCGTATATGATTGTCAAGGAAGTCTTTTTCTACTATACAGAGTCATTTACTGACTACTATAAAACGCTCAGTTTATGTAATTGGCAGCAGTTTTATTTTAAAATTTGGTTGTTAAAGTCTATGATATCCTAAGACTCATACCTTTAAAGTCCATAAATATTTTTTCAGGAATATCCATAGCTAGTTTTTTAAAAGTTGCAATGACTTAGCCACATAATGAATAATTAGATGCACTGCCATATTCATAATACACTAGTAAGACTATGAAATTAAACAGAAAACATTTCACTTCCTATGGTAGCATATTTTACTATTTCTTAGTATGACACTTTGTATATAGCTCTCAAAAGTTAAGAGAATAAAGTAGCTTCATTTAGTGTGTTTTAAGGTTTTTTTTTTTTTTTTTGAAATGAAGTCTCACTCTTGTTGCCCAGGCTGGAGTGCAATGGTGCTATTTCAGCTCACTGCAACCTCTGCCTCCTGGGTTCAAGCGATTCTCCTGCCTCGGCCTCCCAAGTAGCTGGAATTACAGGCACCTGCCACCACGCATGGCTAATTTTTATATTTTTAGTAGAGACGGAGTTTCACCATGTTGGCCAAGCTGGTCTTGAACTCTTGACCTCAGGTGATCCGCTTGCCTTGGCCTCCCAAAGTGCTGGGATTACAGGCGTGAGCCACGGTGCCTGGCCACATTTTAAGTTTTTAAAGAAATAATTGATAATATGCTGCTCGAATTTAAGTAACTTTGAAACTTTTATTGATTGTCAATTGTGCAAGTAACATAAAATTTTAAACAAAAAAGTAAGCATTATGATGAGAAAAAGTATCCTTGGTCTGTGGCCCCTAATGTGAGTCTGCTTTCCAGACTTCTCTTTATCAGTCTGATTTGTATTCTTCCATGTTTTTTACATTTATGAACATTTTTGTTTTTAACAAAATTAAACACATTTTTGTTTTTATTTTACATTTATAAACAATTTAAACAATTAAAAAATTGTTTATAAACATTTATAAACAATTTAAACAATTAAAAACTTGTTTATAAACATTTATAAACAATTTAAACAATTAAAAACTTGTTTATAAACATTTATAAACAATTTAAACAATTAAAAACTTGTTTATAAACATTTATAAACAATTAAAAACTTGTTTATAAACATTTATAAACAATTAAAAAATTGTTTATAAACATTTATAAACAATTAAAAAATTGTTTATAAACATTTATAAACAATTTAAACAATTAAAAATTTGTTTATAAACATTTATAAACAATTAAAAATTTGTTTATAAACGTTTATAAACAATTAAAAAATTGTTTATAAACATTTATAAACAATTAAAAAATTGTTTATAAACATTTATAAACAATTAAAAAATTGTTTATAAACATTTATAAACAATTAAAAAATTGTTTATAAACATTTATAAACAATTTAAACAATTAAAAAATTATTTATAAACATTTATAAACAAAAATGTTTATAAATATACTCCCAAAGATATCTAAAGTTTTAATATATCAATGGTGTCAGGTTATTGTTCTGCTTTTCTTTCACTCTATAACAGGTATGGAGATATTTTTGGTACACATAACTTGATCTTATTCTTTTTAATTGGTGAGCAGTGTTCCATAATATGATTATGCCGTAAAGTATCTACCTATTCTCCCAATGTTGGGTTTTAGCCAGCTTTCCCATCTTTGCCATCACAGTGTTGCAGTAAATATCAATGTACAAGCCTCTCTGTGGATATGCATGACTACTTCCATCTCCTGGATACTGCATCACAGTGTATGTGCATCAAATTTTAACAGATATCAACAAGTTGCCTTTTAAGGTACTAATTTACATCCTCCCCATCAGAGCACTGTATCTTGCTTTCCCATACTCTAGTCAACATTTGATAATTTCAAACCTTTGCTTTTTTGCCTATATGAGCTGTAAATAACAAAATTTTATTATTCATCAAATTATTGATGGTATCTTTTAATATGTTTATTGCCTTAGTATATTTTAACTGCCTGTTCATATCCTCCATATATTTTCTATTTTGCTGTTTGTATTTATTAGTGATTTATAAAAAGCTTGAATACAATCTTTTATTTTATATACCACAAATCTTGACTATTTTCTACTTAGGCCTTAGATATCTGTTCCCAGAAACTATAATACACAAACTGTAACCACCATTTGAGAAATAAATTCTCACAACCAATACAGACCACTGCAGCCATTTCGATGTAGGCACACCTCAGCAGTCCTTGAGATCTGGAGTTGGAGAAATATCTGTAGTTCCTTTTTGCCCATACACAGAACTAGCTTAGTATTCATTTTGCTGTCATAAACACATTTTCCTTTTTAATAAGACAGTTCAATGTAAACAGAAAATCATCTCATGTTTAGATCTTACATTTTTCACTGTCTTTAGACAGAGGATATTTAGTGTATATTAAATTTGAGTTCCTCTATATTTCTAAAATGAATTCCCAACATTCATAGGGAGCTTTGAATTCAAAAGAATGAAAAAATTACAAGACTTTCAGACTAGCTTTTGAGCAATATTGTTTTTCCTGTATGCTCATTTAATAATATTCTATGTAATAAAATAATTAAGAGGGAGAAAATCCACATGCATTTTTCACATCTTTTTCCTATCATTGAAACCTTGCAACAAATACAGAAAAGATACTCACTTGCCATCTTTGAACCAATGAATATCAGGAAAGGGAGTGCCTTTGACCTGGCATTCAAGGGCGACGTCACGGTTGAGGACAACTGAGACTTCATTTGGGAAGTTGGTACCTATTATGGTGGGTGGAACTTGAACAAAGACAGTGTATTATGAAACTCTGTTACTCAGCAAAAAGAGCAGGCATGGGGTTAGAAAGCAGTCAATGATTTCTATAGTATTTCAACAAGATCTTAATGTCAAAAATAAAATACCACACAACAATACTTTTTCATATCATTTCTGTGTACCCAAATGTTAAATTTAAATGTAGAAACATATTTATAAAATATTTGCTAGCAAGACAATTACCTTCAAGAATTATGACAGTATAGGGTTCATTTTTGGGTGTATTAAACTCATATGCAAAAGTAGTTTAGAATGTAAGTGATCAGTGATGCAAATGTAATTTGCTACTGCTATACATTTTGGATAATGAATGACAATTAACATCACTCTTATAACATTCAAATTCTACATATAGTGTGGTGCTACTTGAAATATATTACCTTTGTCTTTTAAACAACTAAGATGGTAAATTTGGTATGCAATATAACATGAAAAATAATGTGCTAGTTTTTATTCTCAGGATTATCAAGCTTATTAAAGAGCTTCTGGATACTTCCCTGTCTAGTCGTCCCCTTTCACACCATGTTAAAGTGCTTGGTCTTCATCCTCAGAAAAATGACCAGCCACTAAAGGATTTCAGTAGGGGAGGAGTGGGATGTAATCATATTTGTGTTTTAAGACCACACACTCCTAAGTGAAGAATGGATTACAGTAGCAAAAAGTGGATTCAGGTGAGCCCTTAGGCTATTACATTGATTCAGCTCATGAATGATGATAGACTTTCACAGAAGGATGAAAAGAAGTAGATCACCAAAGAATTAGGAAGTAGACATAACAGGAAATATGTAGATTTGAAATGTTGGGGAGAAGGTAGTAGTGAGAACCTGGAGGTTCTGGAATAACCAAGTGAGTGGATGGAGGTACCAGTCCCTAGACTGGGGATCAAGGAAGGCAACCAGAACTGGCTTTCACTGGGACCTTTTTGTTTGATATAAAACTAAGGTATTCAAGTCACAATACTATGGAGAAAATTAGCTATATATCCCTAGGCTCAGGGAAGAAGTCTGAACTGGAGATAAAAAATTGGGAGTCATCAGCACACAGATGGAATTCAGTCAAGGGAGCGGACAAGTACCAGGAGAAATAATGTCAGCAAGACTCATGATAACAATGATTTCGTAATTTGTTTTTATAACTCATACTTAAATATAATAATGGTGATTTTGTGGAAGAAAAATTTCAGGCTTTGAGAAGCCTAATGGGAGGAATTATTTGTATGTTATAGCAGTTTATGAATATAATTTTTATGCAGTATCATTCCTCCACTCACTTCTACTCAAGACTTACAAATTATGTGCCCATTGTAAGGAGCAAAATATTGAAAAGGGAGAATGTCATTTTATCACAAAGTGAATTTTAAATGGCAAATATAATTTCACAAACTAGAATTATAAAATTTTAAATTTATGATTACCATTAAAATGTCTTACATCCTAATTTATTACAGCTGCTACCTACTTAATTAGAATCAGGACTGACTTAGTTACAAGAGTTAATTAGAATGCAGGGGAAAGTGGATTTACTACCTTTTCCAGTTCAAGTACAGCCTAGCAGCTTCAGGATATGCACAGCATGAATGTAATATATTCTGTATCACCCTGTTATAGCCACTTCCCAAAGAATGTCGTGCCTACTTAACTGGAGAAATTGACAAGAGTAATAATTTCTTATTTTACACAAGATAGCAGTACCACTTTTGAGTATTTGATACTACTGTATATATGATTCAAAGGCATCTCTGTATTATAAATAATGAAACCCTTTAAAATTTCTATATCATATGGTTCTGGTTAACAAATAATAAGGACAAAAATAATAGAATGAAACTATAGTTTTTCTGTCAATTTATCTTTTTCTCTTTACTTTTTCATATAGTCAGCTCTATTTTAGGTAAGAAATGCTTCTGAATTGTAGTTTTTTAAAAGGATGTATTTCTTACCTAGCACATCAATGTTAAAGTACTTCTGAGAAGTGCCTGCAATATTAATTGCTTTGCAGGAATATCTTCCTGCATCCTCTGGAGTGGCTCTGAAGAGCTTCAGTATCTTCCCATTGTTCACAGTCTGAATAGTGCTGCTTTCAGTCACCTTTAAGGGCCAAAATGGTCAGTGTTATTTCCAATCCTAATAAAAATGCATAATTAAAAATTGAAGTAGAATGTTTATATTATTAGTAGTAAGAAATGAACATCTGAACAACCTACTTCAGATGCAGAGGCAAGGAATTACACGTATTTGGATGACTCTATTTACCTGGACATTATCTTTATACCACATAATGATGGGAGATGGAGTGCCTTCCACTTCACAGAAGAGATTGGTCAGCTGATTTAACAACACCGACACATTTGTAACTTGTTCTTTATCTTTAATTACTGGAGGAACTGCAAAAAGAGAGGAGTCATAGCTAGCTAGTTTCATAATAAATATTATTTATAGAGTTTCTTTATAAGGGCCTTTATACAGCAAATTCTGAAATATTTGATGGCTAGAAAAGCTAGACATATTTAAGCATATGCTTTGTTATAAAATTAAAAAGTTTTGACCAATGTATTTATAATAACAACCCTTATTGGATTTTTATTATTTCAAGGTTTTAAATTTAGGATAAAATTTGGGATAAGCTTAAGGGAGAATCTACTTTTATTTCACATATTACTCAAAATACAAGCTTATGGGGTCTTAATTAAGTCACATGAGACTCACTACTTTGTTGATGAGGGTGAATATTGCCCAGTGTCTAAAGAAACCAATATTCATCAAATTTTAAAATATATATACACTTTCACTTTTGCAAAATGGCATATATACAGTATTTTCATTTAAAGTTAATAAAAACAACTGTTAATAACCTACACGCTCATCATTAACAGAGGAAGGTTAAATAAATCGTTGTGTATCTACACAATGAGATGCTATACAGTTAGGAACATTAAATAAAATCCAAGATAGATTGTTTAGTGAGACAGAGAAGGTGAAAAATGTGAATATAATGTTCTATTATATGTGTACGTTTTATAAATAAAAAGAGGATAAAACATTGTATTTCTTTCTATATTCATAAAATATCTCCGGGAAGACACATACATACACACACACACACACACACACACACACACACATACACACACACACACACCCTACACGCTGATAACTTTCCTTTATCCCAAATAGAGGATAAGTAGATGGCTCAGCACAGGGTCAGGAGACTTTTTACTATGTATCTTTTTCTACCATTTGAATTTTGAATGATGTAAAGTCACAATAAAAAATTACATGAAAGTTTAAATCAAATAATAAATGCAATCATACCACCAGATTTCTGTTTGGTAATACTGCTATTCACATTAATATTAAATGATATTACACTGAGAGAATAATTTAAACATTTAAGAACTGGAGACTGGCAAACAGTCAGTTACATGATTTTAGCTACATTTACCATGGACTTTGAGGTTATATTTTCTTTCTGTGGTTCCAGCTTCATTGACTGCCACACAGATGTACTCCCCATTGTCATAGGGTGTAACAGAAGCAATAACCAGCAATGTGCCATCTTCCAAGATAGAAATGCCAGGCTCTCTGCCTGTCAACTCTCTACCATTGTGTAACCATTTGATGGTTGGTTTAGGGGTACCTAAATAAGAAATTAAAGTCTTGTGATATTTTACAACAAAAACAGAAATTATTAAATATCAAATATATCAAAGAGAAATAAAGTTTTTGTTATGACAATAATTTATAACCTTAGGTCCTATGCTACCTTCAAGATATTTCTCCTGGCATGGAAATATGAAGATTATGTTAGTTAATGCCTCTAAATCCCGGTGGGTCTTAAGAGACCTATGGTAAAGTTTGAACAAAGTTGTTTTTATCTAAACATTCAGATGATAGTAAGTAAAGCATTTTCCTAGTGAGTTCACAGTGATTTGTTGGCAGGGCAGGAACTATATTAATCCTACGGACTGGATGTGGGGAGAGTTTTAGGGTGAAATAAAGACAGAGCAAAAATAAGACACCATCACAGAAATACAACATGAAGACTGCCAACCAAATAGAGTGTATATATGATATGGAGACACGATGTTTTATAATTCCCTTTTTTAAAAAGGCCTGATATTGCAAAGATGAGGAAACTCTACTGTTCATGCATCTTTTGGAGATCTGATTCTGTTAAACAAAGGATAATAGCTCAATTCTTGAAATGGTAGTTGAGAAATAGCTTTCCTGGATTCATTTATGACTAACAGAATGAATGGAAATGATGTACTCTTGGAGAAAAAAAATGATACAACAATCTTTGAGTGTATAATAGAATCAAAAGGAATATTGGAAATAAGTAAACATTAAATCTATACTAACAATGTATTTATTTAGCAAACATTTTGCCAGGTATTATTCTAAGCATTTAAAAAAATTATTTAATCTCCATAATAATAATAAAAAACATTAAATAAAAATTACATGATTACATAAGACATTGTTAATAATCCTGTATTAAATGACAGTAAAATATTAAAAGATGAACATATAACCCAGGATATATATATATAAAAGAATAGCAGAAATATGTAGAATATGTCATTGAAGCTACACTTAAATTGAGTTAAAGGCTTAAACAGTGACTATGAAAGTTATATTTATGGAAAAAAATTAAAGATTGACCTATTTAATTGTGCTCATAGTATAATGTTGACTGATGAGAACAAAAAGGTTAAACTGATAGACTCCAGTTGCCTGTCCATGTTGTCAAGAAAAAAGGAGGCTGTAATCATCTCCTTACATCTCAGTCATTCCTTTATGAACTTTAATCAGACTACTTAATTAATACTTGTTAATAAAAATGTAAATGAACAAACAAAAGAAAGAAATTGCATTGTCTTTAATTTTTAAATGATAGAACAACCATGAGCAAGATGAAAATCATAGTAAAAGATAATGAAAACGATGTCTAGTAACTTTAAATGAATTCAAGCATTATATTCCAGGTGAAAATGAGGAAGTAAGGAAGAGATGTTTTTCTAGGTGGAAAAGGGAAGTCAAAACAAGAAATTAGCTTGGGAGTCAGGAATCCAGTGGGGAACAAGAAGCAACACTGCCACCAGCGGGTCCAGTGGGAGTGAACACTCATGGTACTTCCCTGAGCTTAAACCCTTCTAAAGAAGGCCTCCTTCCAGGCTTCACCTCCCTAATTCTCAGTGACTCTTGGAATAGTTATTGTTAATTCTTTAGGTATCTGAAAAGCTTGTTAAAGACATTTTTGTTTTAATATAGGTAGAAAATAAAGTAATCATGGCAGCTGCTGCTGAGATTGAAAAGCTTGCCACAGAAACAGAGACAGCCATGAGGGCCTTCAGTTGCCGCTGCCCAGGAACAACTACTAAAAGGCACATGTGGGGGCACAAATGGTACCAGCCACCTGGAGGCATTCAGGAGGTTATGGAAAGACTACTGCTTGGACTTTGCCAGAACTCATACAAACCTGCTTTAAATCACTGCTGATGAATACACACTTGAAAGAGAGGATGTTCTTAATTACCTACTTGGCAGAGTTAGGGTGAAAGTGACAGTCCTTTTCACATTCCCCTGAGGAGAAATAATATCAATCTCCTGGCAGAAAACATGGTAGGATAGAAAGCCCAGAAATTCAAGGAAAGGAAGGGCTTGAATAAACCTCCAAGTGACAATTTACAAGCTGGCCCTAGAATTACCAGTTGAGAGTAGATTTAGGAAAAGAGGTTTTTAGAAGTGTCCAGAACAAACAAAGGAATAGTCCTAATTATACCTCTGCCTGGTTGAGATAAATATGGAATATTTTGAATAGCTCCAGCTATCACATTGTAAAGACAAAACCTGCCAAAAAAAAAAAAAGAATGAAATAAGAAGTAGCAGGAAGGATCTGAACTGGAAAACATGTGAGACTAGGCAAGTTTGAAAGAATGGAAAGTCTTTACATTGAAAGAAATAAAATACCTGCAAGGAAAAAAAATACTTATTCAAAGAGCTGTTATCTGAAAAATGGGTTAGTTTCTATTATGCTCAAATGTTCTACCAAGGATTGATGTGGAATTTTATAAGGATGACAATTTGGGTTCAATATAGCATTCTGAAACCATATAACATTATGCCAATGCCTATATCTTTCAGTATTACGTACCTTTTGCAGGACATGGAAATTCAATGCGTTGATTGGCCACTCTTTCTTGGAAAGTAGTGTTATATGGAGGTTCTAGATCTTCCACTGTGGGTGGTTCTATTAGGAAAATAAATGCATTATCACAGGCTTTCTTTGAGCAATTTCAAACTCTCCTAAGGCACAATTAACTACCTGCACTGATGAGTTGCTATCTCTGCTGATTCTTCTTTTAAATATGATTCCTATTTCCAGTTGCCAAACATTTCTACCTAGACGTCACCCAGTGCCTTAAACTCAAAATTCTCCAAACAAAATTCATTATTTTATGCTTCCCACAATCCTGTTCTGTTCCCTTATTCCCTCAATGAAGGCACTATGGTCCACCCAGTCATTTTTCTTTCTCCCTTAAGCTTGACCTCCATATCCAATCACATAGTACCACATATATTCACATATCTGTGTCTTCCTCTCTATGCTTAAGACCATTGCTTATTTCCAACCCTTATTTCCTCTTACCAGGCTATTCCAATAGACTTCTTATGGGGATCCTTTTCTCAAACATGTTCCCCTTTAGATTGATATTCTGCACAGTTCCCAGAATACTCTCTCTGAAACACAAATCTCATCATTGACTTATCTAATTCAAATCATTACTTGTACTCATTTTGTCTATAAGATAAAGTTTCAGACCTGTTCTTTCCTAAGTGCCCCCTGTCAGTGCATCCCATGTCTCTGAACAGCTCCATCATCCATTCATTTCATGAAGAAATTTGGGAGTTATTCTTGAGAACTCTATCTCCTTCACTCTCATATCCAATCCGTCACCATGTCCCGAGTATTTCCTTTCCTATTTATTTTTTAGCCCATTCCCTTCTTTTCCCCATTCTAACTACCATCATCTTTTACCTGGGCTACTACAATAGTCTATACCAGTTTCCCTTGTCTTCTCTAGCCGAATGATTCCCTCCCAAAAGAGTGACTTTTAAAACTGGAAATCTGCCACATCACTTTCCCAACGATAACTTCTTAAAGTCTTCTTATTGCATTTAGAATAAAGTCTAACTTCATTAGTCTGGCTTCCTAGGTCTTGGATAACCTGACCCATGACCACATCTCCAGCTTCATCACATATTACTCAGCCCTCAGTCTGGAATGCAGCCAGCTGGCCTTCACTGATTGATGACTGATCCCAGTGTCTCCAAAATATTACATGCTCTTCTCTTCATATTCTATGTCCTTCTCCTGGAAAGTTCTCTCCACATTATCTTGGAAGGGCTGCCCCTCACTTCTACCTACCCTTCAAATCTCAACTGACATGTCCCTACCCCAAGGGAGGCCTTGTTTGATTTGTCTTTCTGTTAAAAGCTCATATAGAGTTTTCCACCATTTCATGAGGGCATAACCAATGTCTAATTACATAGTCATGAGACTATTTCATGAATTATTATCTGTCCCATTCAACTATAAACATGAATATGTAATAAAGTTTGTGGAATGAACAGGAAAACTTCTTCATTAGTGTCCTAGCCAACCATCCAACAAAACTACAATGGGCCAGGTACCTTAGTACTGTACTAATACTTAGAACAGTAGTAGTACTAATTAATACTAATACTCAGTACAGCGCTAAGAACTATCTAATACTGTGCTAAATACCATACCTGCTTATCTTTTCTTCTTGTCTTTGTACTAGTATTCCCTCTGACAAGAATGCTCTTCCCCCTGATTTTCATGTGGCCGGTTCTTTCCAGTCCAGAGGATCTCACTCTAAAGATCACCTTCTCAGAGAAGTCCTGCTTGATAGTCTAATCTAACATAGGCAACTCTCAGGACCATTGTCTTATTTTAATTTCCCACAAAGCACTTTTCACAATCGTATTTCTTGTTTATTTGTTTGCCTGTTTTCTGTCTACTCACACTATAACAGCTCATGAAAGCAGGGGTTTTGCCTTTGTCACTACTTTCTCATCACCGCCTAAACATGACAGATGCCTGGCAAGAGCTCGATCAGTATTTGTTGCTTGAAGAAATAAACATTGATCTTTAAATCTTCAAAGCAAATACAGTATTAATAGAGAAGTAGTGGACCTAGATTTCCTAGGGCTCTATTTTGAGTGCACCCCAGCACTGTGAGGTGACAACCTACTCCAACTCACTCTTCCCACAATGTCTCCCAAACCAAAAATAGTGGGTGGGGCATCATCTAGGATTGTTTCTGTTTTCTACATGATCCATGGCAACTTTGCTTCAAAAGTAAACATACAAAAATTGATGCAGGTTTAGAAATGGTATGTTTCATTTCTTTTGGGAATGGTTCTTTCAAAGTTAAAGAGTCACAAAAGTTATATAGAACTCTTTCTGAAGTCATTTAAGATTATCGAAGATAATCTATTTAGCTCTAGGGCTTTTCTCTCACTCCCCACCCTACATACATATATTTTCCTGTGTCAAGAATCACCTTGGACATGTAGCGTTATCTCTGTTTCATCAGTGCCTGCTATGTTAGTAGCAACACATGTATATATGCCAGCATCTGAGGGCGTGGCTTGGTCGATGCTTAAAGTTCCGTCTGGATTGCTAACATGGTGCTCTCCATCAACCAGCATAGTGCTTCCACCTTTGGACCAGGTGATTACAGGAAGAGGAGTCCCTTGAGCATTACATGGAATATCCACTCTTTGACCAACTTGGACTTTGAGATGTTTAGGTCCACGCTGTATCTTTGGAGGAACTAGAAATAATAACTGGGTATTAATAATCCAACTTTCACAAATTCCTTTCTTTACTCACTTTAAACGAGAGCTCCTTATCAACAGGCAGCCATGGAAAAGTGAAATAATTTCAGAATTTGGACCTAGGCTCGGATCATTCACTAGCTAGGTGATCTAGGACAAGTCAGTAAACTTCCTGAGGCCTGTTTCCTTGATAATCCAGGGAAAATAGCCTGTAATGCCAGTACACTGCAAGGATTACAGGAAATAATAAATATAAAACTCTTAGTTCCAAACTTGAGGAACAGAAAGCATTTTAAAATATTAGGCTTCTTTTAATTTGTAAATAATTTTAGCTTAAAAACTCCCTTAAAAGGCAATGCAGATAATTTCTATAATATAAGGGACAAAAAGCATTTCTCTCCATGTACTCAGTTTCTGTTCTCTTTGTAGAAGGATCAGTGAAACAATAAGAAAAGTTTCTCATGAAATCTTTTGCTAATTTCAGATGAGAAAACCACAAAGAGCCTCTATCTCTTCCTTTTATCGACTTCCTTCAGAAATTTAAATGCAGTAGTTTATCAAAACACCAGCAAATGATTCCTGATTTCCACATACTTGCATTGTGCACTGTAGAATCAAGTTGAGCCACAAGGACATAATTATAATTAATGTACCATACATCCTTAAAAAGCACAATTTCTATGTTTTTTTCTTTAACTTAATATTTAATGAACACTTTCTAAAGGTTGTCACTAACAACCTTATATAGTTTATGATAATATTATCATCATTTTATGAAAGGGAAAACTAAAAATAAGAAAGGTTAGTGAATATGCCTGATGCCCTAGAGCTAGTAAATGACAGAACTCTGGTGTGACTTCACACCACATAATCAATGGGGACACAATTGTGGTGATTCATCTGAGAGTGAAATCAGATCAATCCTATCTCAGCTAATTTCTTCTGATATTTGAATATCTTTCATCTAAACAATGCCTGGTGTAGAGTATGCACTCAGTGTGTTGAATGAATGAAGAACTGGATGGACTATGTGGATTGGAGGAATAAAGCAAACTAACTAGGGAGCTGTAGTCAAAGAGTCCTAGGAAACAATTTTTTCAGTTGCTGAGATCTTTAAATATTGAAAATTATCATTTAAATACTAATAAATTATTATTTGAAATTTGTATTAGCTTCTATAAAATGCTACCGGCTTAAACACATTTTTTTCTACTGTATATCAACAATAATAGCAATAAGTGACTGTTGACCAGTAGAAAAATTGAGATCCAAAAATTTAACATAGTTTATTTGATAAAGGAAGAAACAGAAGATTGTTTATAAATAGCAGGAAGACTTTTCAGAGTAAACAAAAGAAAATCACAAGTCTCAGATTTTAGAGAATTTTTTTCTTTAATCACTCTATATACAATTTGGAAATTAACTATCAAATAAACTAGGATTACGGGTTTTTGTGTGGCCAGTCCACAGGGTTGTCATATGTTCTCATTTCAAGACTCACCATGGACATTTAATTTGACAGCCTGAGTCACATTCCCAGCAATATTTGTGGCAACACAAAGATACATCCCACTATCTGAAGTGCGGGTTTCAGTGATCTTCATTGAACCAGAAGGGAGGAATGTGTGTCTAAAAGAAAGAAACCATATAGTAGACCATGGAAGAGGAGAATTTAAATATCCCCTATGCAGCTACACTTCAGTATGAAATTACTACTCTGCAAGTAGTTTTTTAAACCATTTTCCCATCTGCAATGTACATCTATACATCTTAAAAGCCAGGACTTTTCATAATTATCTTGTGTATGATTTTCCTGCAAACATAAAACAGTTTTATTTTACTTTTAAATCTTAATGGTCTGAAATTCCCAAATAATTGTGCTTCTTTCTGCTCTATAAAGCAAATGTATATTTGAGTTAACTTTGTATTTATTTTGAACGTTTTATTATTATTTTCTACAATGTTAAAGTAAAGGAAAAAGAAGACATACATGTTCTCAAAAATAGTTGAATACATTCCTCCTATTGAGTAATAATGCAGCTGGGTGAGCCAGACCTACATATAAAAATGTTATTGCATTGTGTTAAAATAGTTTTAAAGGATAGGGGAGGCTAGGTAGACCTACCTAGTACCAAGATTTCTTATACAGCTAAGTCAAATGCAGAGTGCTCTTGGCCCAGAGACATGCAAATGAATAAATAGTTAAGGACAGAGTCCTCCAGAAAGACCTAAGCATATTTGAAAACTCAACATGTAATATGTAACATCAGAGGTGATATTACAAAAAGTAAGGAAAGTATTGACTATTCAAAGTGATGTCGGGCAACTGGCTCTCCAAATGGAAAAATAAAGATATAAAATTAGAGCACTACCTGATATTATTTACAAAATTTAAAATTCAGATAGATTGAAGTCCAAAATGTGAAAAAGAAAACTTAAAATATTAGAATTAAACATTGAAGGTTATGTTTATAATTTTCTTCATGTTAAGATACAAAAAGTGCACATCTGAAAAAGAACAGATTAATACACTGTGCTCCTTAAAAACTGAAACCTTCTGTACAACAAAAGACACCACACATAAACTTGACACCACAGAAATAGACTGAGAGAAGATATTTTCAACACATATAAAAGACAAAAGATTATTATCAAAAATAAAGACCAAATTTCTACATTCAATAAGAGAAAGACAAGTCACCAGAAAACTGTGCAACAGATTTACAGGTTATTCACCAATACCACAAATGGCCAACAAACACGTAAAAGTGTTCTCAGTTCACTTGAAGTTAATCACATGAAAATTAAAACAATTACAAGATACCATTTTACACCCAACAATTGGCAAAAATTCCTCAGTCAGTCAATACCATGCACTAATTAGAACATGGAAACAGGTACACTTATATTCTGTTGGTGGATGGACAACCAATACTGTCCCTTTGGAAAGCAATTTAGCAATGCCTATAAAGCTGGAAGCAGGAGTTTGCTTTGACCAGGAATTGTAGCTCTGTATATAGGTCCTAAAGAAAGTCATGCATGAGTATACAAAGAGAAATATACAAAGCTATTCACTGAAAAGCCTTGTTTTTTTTTTTAAAAAAAAGAATAAACAAACCAGAATGTCCATAAATAAAGGAATGAAAAAATAAAATGTAGAATATGCATGTAGCAGTTAAAATGAATAAATGGAATCCCTTTGTATAATAGTAGATAAATGTTGACTTAATAAGGCAAGTAACAAAATAATAATATACCATTTGTTACAATGGCAAATTGAAAACAGACACACAAAACAAAATTGAAAACACAGAAAACAGTAATCTACATTGTTTAAGGATGTATGTGTAGAATGCATACCAAGCTTGTGGCAGCGTTTGCCCCTGGGAAGAGGGAGGAGAAACTGCGACTGTGGAAGGGAACAATAAAACTTTCTGATCTGTATTACTGTAATTTTTTACTAAAAAACATTCAAAACAAATATTTTTTTCAAACAAATAGTAAAATTATATAAAGTCCTTCTTAATTTTTTTCCTTCACTGGCAGTAGGGAAATGACACTAGCATGAATTTATATCTTCATAATTATATATCAATGATTCTAACAGAAAGTTAATTATAGTCTAGTGACTAATTCTTATTTCACCAGTAACTTTTGCCTTGATGTTGGGTTAAAATAGTAACCAAGAACTAGAGACAGTGAATGTGAAATGTACATTATCTTACATAATTCTCTCAGGTAAGTATCATCCCCATTTTATAAATAGGAAATATGAGGTTCAGAGAGACCCCTTAAAAATTGCCAAAGGTTTCAGGCAAAGTTTAAGTGTAAGAGAGAAATTTAAACTTATAGCTGGTTGGCAACAAAGGTTGTGCTTTTAAAGCTCCAGCATTCTTCTTGTTATGTCACTCAGCCTATCAAATACAGTATGTTGTCTCAATGTGCTCATATTTGTATAAGGGTTTAAGCAAGAAGACTTACAAAATCATCCAATGAAAGCCAAATCCTAGACATTAGAGTGTGCCTATTGTATTTTATTGCTCTTATGGGATTAATGGAATTCTATGTGTGCTTACACATTGGGCTAACAGGAATCTCATACAATTCTGCTCCATTTTAATAACTACCTTATAAAATGCACCAGGGAAAAATTATGGCAAAGCTGAATGTTAGCATTTCTGACATTAAAGATGTCAGAAGCATGATTCAGTGTTATAAATACTTCCTGTAGACTCAGATGTACATGTGAATTATCTCAATTTTAAAGGTGATTTTTTGAGACGTTTGATAACCTGAATAGGCATGGCCATCTGTCCCAAGAGGTTGATTATGTTTTCATGTGTTGCAATTCATCCCAGATCTCCTACCTTGGAGAGAACGGTGAGATGAGCTGGGTTTCTTTGGCCCAAGTAATTATGGGTGGAGGTAAGCTCTTCACTTCACATGGAAGTGTTACCTCTTCCCCTGCAAGGACGGAGATCTCAACAGGCTTATCCTGGGACAGTCCTCGTTGATCTCCAAACACTCTGGGCCTTACTAAAATAAACACATGTTTTGGAAGGGAAACAGTATATTGAAAACAAAGCACAGTTTAATTTACACTAAAATGTGGACTACTAATGTTCTTAAGTAATTTATAAAAAGATGCTATTCAGGACATAAGCTAAAACTTTCCATTAATACATTTATTGTGAGAACTAAAAGAGAAATGACGAAAAACTTTCTCTAGTCAGTAATTCCTTTTAGAACACAATGAAGAGATCAGCTGCAATGCCCTCTCAGAGTCTAACATCTGTAAAAGTAAACCCTCAAGGCAGACTCCTACCCAAGACATAGCTGAGGTTTGGCTTTGCTAGGAGTGTTAACTAACTGGTGTTACTGAAGAGGGTTGGGTGCAATAAGCATACTTCTTGGGAAAACACCATAAAATTTTTCCGAAAGACTATACAATTGCATTCCTTAAAATCAGAATCTAAGTAGAAGTGATTTTGGTTGGCAGTAAAAAATGCATTTCTGTAAAAAAAAAAAAAAAAAAAAATAGAAATCTGGGGGAGCAGTTCACTTTAGGGGTACATGCATCTGGTAACAGTATTGGGGAAAGAACTGTGAGTTTTGGCACAGATAGACAATGTCAATAAAAACCATTCCTCCACCAGCTCTCACCATAGACTGTTAGCTGCACTTTCCTTTTGGCGTAGCCGGCTGTATTGGTGGCAGTGCAGACATACTCCCCACTCTCCTCTCCTCCAGGTGATACCACATACAGACTACCATCAGCTCCTGCTGAAAACTTAGCACTGCTGGTTGAAATCAGCTCTCCTTTCTGCAAAACACGGCGAAAAGCAAAGGGTTTTTTGTTTGTTTGTTTGTTTCAAGATTATAAAAGAGTGACAATGTCTGGAAGAGGAATAGAGAGAAAAAAACATCTCCAAGAGGGGAATAGAGTAAATTTTAAAATGCTAACTTGAAAAAAGTTATTTATGAGAAAAATTAGACAAATAAAAGTACTAAAATTGGGCCAGGTGCGGTGGCTCACACCTGTAATCCCAACACTTTGGGAGGCCAAGGCGGGCAGATCACAAGGTCAGGAGATCGAGACCACGGTGAAACCCCGTCCCTACTAAAAACACAAAAAATTAGCCGGGCGAGGTGGCAGGCACCTGTAGTCCCAGCTACTCGGGAGGCTGAGGCAGGAGAATGGCGTGAACCCGGGAGGTGGAACTTGCAGTGAGCCAAGATCGTGCCACTGCACTCCAGCCTGTGTGACAGAGCGAGACTCCATCTCAAAAAAAAAAAAAAAAAAAAGTACTAAAAGTGATATTTCTCCATACCATATCATGTCATTTTCATTCCAGAGCTACTTAAGAAGGCAGAGAACAGCAATGATAAGGATGGTACAGTGAATGCTTATGCTATGCCAGACTCTGTTTCGAGCACTTTACCTGAATTAACAATTTTAACACTCACATCAATCTTATGAGTAGCAACTACCACAACCCTCATTTTGCAGTTTAGAGTATCAAAGCATGGGAGAGGGGAGTAGAGTAATTTGCCCAAGATCACAAAGCCCATCAGTGGTAGAGCTGGGGTTGAAATCCAGCAGCGAGGCTCTAGAGCCCAAGTTCTTAACTACTCTGTGCTTGGCCACAGCACAAAGATCAACCTGGAAATATTTCACTTTTACATTTTCCTTAAAATGCATTAAACTTCTACTCAGTGCTAGTTACTGCGCAGTTCAGGGATCAGCTTCACTTCTGTGACTTTTCTGTCCAGAATAATTTTTTTAAAAAGCTAACTTTTTAATTTATTTACAAATGTCAACACCAACTTCTCCATATTTCAGAGATTTTTAGATAGATAAAACTAGATGGTATGGCAAAACACTAGTAGTGCTAATTATACAAATGCCATACTTCATTAGCATGTCATTACTTTGTATTTGCTGGGTTCAAATTCATTTACAGAAAATGTGCCATCTTTGTGGCTGTTCAAGGGTGAAAGGACTTCCTCAGGAAATGGGCTTTTCTTTACTGCAAGAATACAAGTAAAAGCTGAACAACATGACAGGGACATAGAGGGGAATAAATTAGTTTGTGTAAGTGTCTTACAATTTTTAGTCATACATAGAATTTGTGACTATACCACAGAACTTTATAAACAGGAAAATCCATGCAGTCATATCATTTAGAAGGAACCTTAAAAGGCCTTTAGTGAAATCACCTACTTGAGACTTGAATGGTATTAGCAACATTACAGTGAACACGTCCGTAGCATAACCTGTGTGCCGGGAACTTTTCTAAGCACTTTACATCTCATAGCAGTTCCTTTTTTACCCCGTGCCACATCCCTAAGCCCTCTTCCCTCTTAATTTCAGCGCAGGTCTACTGGTCAGTTCCACATGCGCCACCAGGGTCATCCTTCTTGCACTTAAGTTTTTTGTTTTTTTTTTTTTGGACCAGGGCTTTATCCAAAGCCCCAGAAGGCCACAGCCAGCAAGTGCAGCAGTGTAAGCTTCTCTGGGGAGTGGAGGAAATATGTCATGTATAAATACCCAACTTCCTGTCCCTCCGAGGGAGCCTTCTGAGGTGCATCTATATGGTTTCTTGGAGGGTTCCTAGCACATCTGTCCAGCCACATAGGAAATCCTTTATTAACTTATCTTCTTTCCATGCCCCACTCCTGAGCCTCCTGCTCAAGACTAGGGATAACTTGCAGGTGAACTTCACACTCTGCTCTTCAGGAAATATAACTAGATGTATCATTTACCTTGGACCAGATGACAGACGGTTTGGGATTTCCACTTGCTTTGCATGGTAAAGTTACTGGAATGCCTTCAATTGTACTGAGTATCTGCTGCCCATGCTGAATGGTTGGCAGAACTGAAAAGGTAAGTAGGATTTGGAATCTGAGCACCTGTTCTTCCATTTAAAATCATCTATTTAAAGTTGAACATTTTCATTACAACATCAATGTTTGTAAAAATGAGCAATTATTTAACATTTTCTGATAAAAATGTAGGATAATCTCTGTAAAGGAGTGTGCTAAACAAAGACAATAAAGTAGTTATGATCTGAAAAATGAAATAAAAACTTAAAATCAAGTAGTAAGTTATGTCTAATAAGCTGACTTTCCTAACAAAAATAAGAGAGGACTGAAGAAAATTCTTTTTTTTTTTTTGCTGGAAACCCAAGACAGAATTGCACTCTAAGAGCTACACATTTAATGCATGTCTCCAATCACTGTCCTTTATTCATTAAGCTGCAATAAGCTGACATAAGCCTACATACAGAGAAATGGGCTGTTTAACCACTACATATTAAATATCTATCTATACTCAGGAATCACTTAGTGAGTTACTACATTTAACCTAGATAAAAAGTTTTGTTTTGTTAAGAAGAATTCATTGGTAAAACTCAAATCTTAAGAGTTTTTTTATTTTATTTAATTTATTTAATTAATTAATTAATTTTTTTTTTTTTTTTTTGAGACAGGGTCTTGCTGTGTTACCCAGGCTGGTCTTGAACTCCTAGGCTCACGCAATCCTCCTGCCACAGCCTCCCAAAGTGCTGGGATTACAGGCATAAGCCACCACGCCCAGCCAAGTCTTTTACATTTAAAAGACTAAAAGGATTCTAAGTCAATATTTTTCAGTAAGAAGAATAACACCTTTGACTTTAGAAAGCAACTGAAGAATTAACATGAGTAGAAGCAAAAGGAAAAGGAAGGTTAATCCCTCCATTCTGTGTAAATCATAATCAGAACCAACTCTCACAAACAGAAATCATCAATACTCGATGTTCTCAAAATAGTGGTGATTTTGATTAAAGAAGCTTGCATATATGAAAGTTCCTAACATAGTGAGAAGAAGACAATAAAAGCCCAATCTATAACAGGCGTTTCCTTTCCATCCTCTGGAAAGATGAGACTGGAACTGCTCCCGGGAGCTCAATCACTCATCATTTCTCTTCCTTAAAATCAGATTTTTCAAGGATTATCATAACTACTCTGGAGAAGTTTTTTAGAACTAGAGACACCAGAAACCTCAGTGCAAAAAAATCCCTTGGAAGGCTTAGATTAGATATGCTACATACTCATATTTTCCTATGGCTGGGTTCACTCTTTAGATAATTTATTCTTAAAGAATTGCCAGCAAATCCCCAGCCCTAAACAACAATGCCAGGCTACTCTCTAAAGCAAGAAAATTAATTTTCAGAATCATCATGGAATATTCATCTTTCAACTATGCTGTCAATTTGTGGCAACATGGAATAAGCCATTTTGATACAAACATACTGAGTTTGACAGCAATAAAGAAAAGTGGCAAATTTAGGCAACAGTTTTGAAATCTAATGACATTTGGGTGTGGAAGAGAAGTTTCTTTTCAGATTGTCAATCTATATAAACCAATATGACAATTAAACTGTTTTGTCATTTTAATTTACACTTATACTTGTATTCATTCATTATTTTAAGAATTGGATTGACAGCCTTTAATGAGTATTCTTAAAAATGGAGACACAGAATGATGAAGGAACAGCACTGCTAATTAACATAAATACAGAGGTATAGAGAGCTGCTAGGCTGCATCACATCCATCTGCTAAATGTCTGCAAGATTTAGTTAATGCCAAATGGCTGCACTAATTTTTTAACTCCATTGACTAAATTAGTTACTCATTTTGGACTAAAATGGACAAATGAATTTTGTGAAATGATCTCTTAATTTTTAATATTAAAACTTCTTGCATCACAATACACCATATCATTCGTTTGTCTGTATCCTCGCCCCTCTGATAGGAAAGACATCCTAATTAATCCTGTCATTTTTTTCACCCAAGTGAAAATTCAGCCTCAGAATCCTATCCAACACAATATTCTAGGCAGTCACTAGAAGTCAAAGAGAGATAACATGAGGGCACTCCCACACTAGATTCTTAAACTAGTCTATAAGCACTGTTCAAGAAATCTATGGTCTGGTCTTCTTGAAAAATAGTTACACAACCATATCCAATCTGTCAGTATGCATTTATTCCTCTAGGTTATAACTAATTTAGTGTTGCTTTAGTATTTCTTCAAAATAATATTTCTCCAAGAATATCTAAGGTGATGTGGTGGATACTTAACGTAAAACTGAGAAAGGTGGAAGAGGCTGTTTAAGAGAAGCAGACATAACAAAAGAAAATGGTCTGCATTCAGTGATATTGTCAATAGACCAAACAAAATTGGAAAACTACTGGACTCTCCAATTCACACTCTAAATAAAGAATAAATCAACTACTAAAAATAAGTATTTTGTAGTACTTTCTTCCCTCAGATATTCAGCTCTGAACACAAAGCTATTTTTAATGCAATGGTTTTTTTTGTTTTTTTTAAAAAAGCAATGTTGCAGAGTCTTTAAAAAGTATATTAAAAAGTTATGACAATTTCTTAATCTATGAAGCTGTCAATTATTGAGATGTAAAAAGCTGGTTACTGTTAGTCACGAATGGAAAAAAGATTGCTTCTGGATCTTCTTATTTGTGACCTTTAAGTTATTTAACATGCAAGAAGATTGTTTGGAGCACATGAGGTGACCTTTAGAAAAGCTTAGGTCATTTCTAGCTCAAGCACAAAGGGGTCATTAGTAAGGACATGCTGGTTGCACAATCCAAAAAGAAAAGGCAATCTGGAGGGTATAATGAGTTCAGCTTGTCTGAAATTAAAATGTATTTTTAAACATAATTCTTTGAGAGCCAAGGTCACTTTTAACAATTAAGAAACCACTTACAAAACCCCTTGGCCAGACTCAGCTGGTGACTCCCAAGAATGTCTTTTTGTGTACATAAAAAAGGGAAATCTGGAAACAACATTAACAATGTAGATATTGTTCAAGAAATAGGAAATAACAATTAAGAGAGATATCTAATTGTAATTAGAGGAACAGAGTTATTTGATTAAAATATAAGAACAACTACTTTGAACACAGTTTCGAAACAATAACATTGGGTGTGTCTCTTACCATGCACAACCACAGAGGTAGTTTTGTTATTGGTCCCAGCAACGTTACTGGCCACACAAGTATATTCACCACCATCCTGAAGCTGAACTCTTTCAATATGGAGGCTCCCATCACTGCGCACAGTGATGTAAGGATTTTGGAGCAACTTAAAGGAAAAAAAAAGGTAATTTTTATTTAAAAAGAAAGGATTTGTGAGAGTCAAAAATGAACCTGCTTTTTCTTTTTTTCCCAACTGGGTTACTAAAAGTCTATAAACAAAATATTCTAATGTCCTTAAGTGAAGAACGATGAGCATAAATGTTACCAAGAGTGTGATTGTACAATTTAATCCTGATATACCTCCAAATATTATACCTATTAATATTTATCAGAGAGTTAAGCACAAGCTAAAAAAAGAAAGATATAGACATCACTTGTTTAATGTTCCTGTAAATTTTGTCATCACTCAAAACCCAAATTTCACTATAATATTTACTTTTGGCTTAAAGTGTTCTTTTCCAAGAAGGCCTTATTACCACTAGCAAGCCATTTGATATTTTTATTTTGGCACATAGGCACTTACTCATGCCAAGGGAGAAGGACTTAACCTCAACACCCACCCTTGTTAGGTAACAGATGCAAATATTAGTGGACAATATGTGACATCTGAATTGTGTCAGGGAGGGCTGGTAATATTTTCAGTTAAGAATGATCACCTCTAAATCTGTATCATCCATCCACACTGCATATAAGATACTTGTGTGCTCAAATACTATCATTCTGCAAGGACATTTATTTTTAAGTGAGGTTTGCTAATTTTTCCTCAGGATTTTATGCAAATATGAAATTTTACATTTTCTTAGATGGAGTCAATTCACTTTTTTTTAATTTTTATTTTTTATTTTTTTTGAGACGGAGTCTTGCTCTGTCACCCAGGCTGGAGTGCAGTGGCACGATCTCGGCTCACTGCAACCTCCGCCTCCTGGGTTCAGCATATTCACTTCTAATCAGTACTTCAAGAAGAGAGTGAGTCTCAACATTCTGGAAAATGGAAAGAAAAATGCTCTGAGCCAGAAGAAAATGTATTGCCATAGATAGCTTATTTACAGAAAAAATTTCATAGAACTGTAAACATTTTTCACATCCTTTCATAAAAAAAATTTTACACCGAAAAACAATGACAATATATATCTACATTTTTATATAGTTCATAATGAGAGATATGTTTAAAGTTAATAATAATAAAGATTGATATATAAAATGGAAGAATTTTATGGGAATATTAACGTTTAACAATGTACTACAAAGAAGAGCACAAAAATATTTAAGTACTATGAAAATAACAATATTTGCTTCAGTTCTTCTATATTCTGAAAAAAGTTCACTAGTGACACTGAATTTAATATAAAATTATGAAAATTACAACACTATTTCTCCATTTTATTAATGCCAAAATAATATGAATAACAAAAATATGTCAATAATAAAGAAAAGCTTTGATATACTTATAAAAACATATTTTTGTATATTTATTAAATCGATACTTTTGGTGATTGGAATACATTACTTCTTACTCAAGAAAATTAGGAATGTGGGCCAGGTGTGGTGGTTCACACCTGTAATCCCAGCACTTTGAGAGGCCGAGGTGGATGGATCACTTGAGGTCAGGAGTTTGAGACCAGCCTGGCAAACGTGGTGAAACCCCATCTCTGCTAAAAAATACAAAAATTAGCTGGGCATGGTGGCGGTCACCTGTAATCCTGCTACTCTGGAGGCTGAGGCATGAGAATCCCTTCAACCCAGGAGGCAGAGGTTGCGGTGAGCCTAGATCCCACCACTGCACTCCAGCCTAGGTGACAGAATGAAACTGTCTCAAAGAAAAAAAAAAAAAAAGAAAAGAAAACTCACAAAAGAATGTGAATGCATGCATTTAAAATGTTCTTACCATAGCTGAATTCTTAATCCACCGACGTTCTGGAATGGGATTTCCAGCTAACAGAGTACAGGGCAAAGTAAGCTGCTGTCCTTCAATAACATTGGCCACTGAAGGGCTGATTCCAATAAGTGGAGCAACTAAATCAAGAGAGAGCACAGGCACTTTCAACTCTATTTCACCCAAAAGAAAGGTAAGCCACTTCACAGGCCCCAAAGACTGTTAGTTATGCTATAAAAGTTTGAGTTTTCAGAAACAAAATATTTACATGAAAATGGGTATGATTTTGAAAGTAAAAATTAAAGTCTCCTTCTAAGTAGGGGGAATGCAAAAGGACAGGTAATACATTACTGCAGTAGTAAAGAAGGTAAAAAAGAATGCTTATGGCATGGAAGGCCTGAAATGTCAAGCCAAGATATTTGCAATGTATTCAGTAGACAAATGGAGAGTAACTGAAAGCATTTATAAGTGGAAAAGTGGAATCATCAGGATCATTTTCTGGGGAAATATTAATCTGAAAACTGTAAGTACACTGGAAGAAATGGGATCAATAAGGATGCTGTTGTAATATCTCAAGCAAATAATATGAGGTTGACTCTCTTAGATGGAATGGTAAAGGAGTATTGTAAATATGCCCTTCTCTAAAAATTAATGAATAAATTTAACATAAAGTAAAATCCCTAAGAGATTTTACTTGGAAAACGTGTATGTAGACTAATGAAGACATATTTTAAAAACTGTGTAAAAGGGTATTAATGAGAAACATGTACTGACAGATATAAAAATCATATTAAATGCTATAATAATTTAAGCAACGTAGTACTATTTCAGAAATAGAATTCTAAGGAATAGACATGGGGACATAAACTTACTACATGATCAAATGGGTATTTTAGTCAGTGGGAAGAGAATATTCAATAATAGATATTGCATCAAATGTCTTACTTGGAAATAAATGATATTATATTTTTACCTATCATACACAAAAATAATTCCATGTTGACTAAAATAACAAATGTAAAAAAGGAATCAGAAAAGACCACAACTCTAATATGTGTGTGTGTGTGTGTGTGTGCATGTGTGTATTCATATTTAGATTTGAAATAATTTATTTAAATTGCCCTTCATTTTGGAGCAGATAATCTCTAAGGTTATTTCCAGGACTAACATTCTAAGAAATATGAAGTGTGGCAGGGAAGGGAAGGCTGGTCTAGTAATTAGTCATTTATCTTTTGTTTTTTTTTAAGTGGCACAGGCAAGAGATGACATAGTAAAAGAAGTCTGATGACTTTGAAGACCATGGTATGTAGACATTCAATTGATCTTACCAAGTCCGGTCACTGTTACTGTTGTCTCTGACTGGATCTTTCCAAACTGGTTTTCAGCTTCACAAATATAGGTTCCTTTATCACTTGCCCATAAGTCTAAAAGGAAGAACTCATTTACTCATCCAATACCATCTATGGAGAATTAACTATGTGCCAGAAACAGTGCTGAGATCTGTGCATGGAAAGTGTGCACTGCCTTCTGGTTGAAGAAGGGACATACACAGAAACCAGCCATCACACCACAGTGAAATAAGTGCTAACAAAGAGTTCCAGACAGTGAGCTCTGGAAGCAGAGACAGAAGTGACTGCATGAAAGGCAATTGGAGAAGGATTCACACTGAGGTAATATCTGAGTGAGTAGAATAGAGGACGGGCAGTCCAGTTCTAATCGGTTACAAAGGCAAGAGCATGACTAGAAAAATCATGGCCTGTACAAAGAATGGAAAGCTGCACCATCAATGGTGGTGCTCTGCACCACCACCCTGTTAGAAGTTTGCAGGGGAGATTTTTTAGTTGATGCAATGACTGGAGAAGTCTGCTGGCATTCAGTGGGTAAAAACTAGAGAGGTGAAACATGGGCCAGATTCGCAAAGAAACAATTATCCCAAGTCCAGCACGACTTTGAAGCTCCCACTGAAATGTGTGTATTTCATAACTTTGTTTGTAACTACATGAGTCTGCAACCTAATTCTGTATGTGCAGAAGAAAGACAGAACTTTAGTAATAATTGCACATCATCTTAGAAAATCACTTCACCAGCTTGGAGTTTTTGAGTCATCAATCCTATACTCCTGCATGAGTCTGCATTTGAGCTATTGAATTCATAATGATGCCACATAAATGTATCTTCATATTCTGTAGACAATGCCAGAGTATTTACGTATTGAAATATGCATTATTTTAGTATAAATTACTTTCCCTCATTTTTCATTTGTATGTGTTAGACATTAAAATAATTTTTATTATGTAGTTAGATCAAATATATAGAATTTTTCAAGATAATAAAATGATATTACAAAATATTTGTAATTAAAGAGGGTATTGGAGCCATGAGGATGGGGACTACTGAGTTATAGGTTGCGTGGGGATAGTCAGGAGACTGAAGTTGAAGAGGTGGGCTGGTACATTCTCAAGAGTATGGTTTTGTCTTGTGAGCAATCAGGAAGGAAGGAGAGGATTTTAAATAGGGGAATGGGTATAATCTTGTAAATATATGAACCAAAATGAGCAGTTTAATCTATTGATAAGATTTGAACAGAGAAAAGTGCAGCTTTCCAGCATCCATAGTCCCATACTATCTCAGATAAAGAACCATGACAAAGTTTCTACTCCTCTGCTAACCATATGCATCTAATTGTAGAACTGCATCTGGTAAATTAAGGTAGCATCTACTCTAAATAGCAAACATTCATTTGGAAATAAAAATTCAGCAAACCACCCCATTAATAAATCATACATTAGTTCTAACTGGGATATTTTTCATATTACGAATTCTTGGGCTAATTTGTGTAGAAATACAACATACCATGAGAACCAAGTTTCTAATTACTAATTTCCTTCCAGACAATTTAATTTCGACAATTAGGCAACTGTTGCTCAAGATATTGAGCTCTTTTATTCTTCCTTTTCTTTTGTCTCCTTTAATCAATTTGTTTTCAGGTCTCACTTTTTATCAACATCTGGGTTGTTTCTCATCATCACTCTTTGAGCTTTTCAATGTTCCCTTTCTCTCATCTCTCTTCCTATCTTGTAGCGGTGTTGTTCTGAAACAGTACTTTCATGTACCTTTTCCTGCCTATCAAACTTGGAATGGGGCTCTCTAACTTCTAGCTCATCAAATCCATTTTTTCACCTGGACATTCAAGTCATGCACAATCTGACCCAATCTGATGTGTACTTCCCAGTAGCTCCTTTCATGGGCATCCACTCAGAGAATGGACTGCAAACTACCTGAGTGAGGGACCCTATATCTGAATCTGTCCACCACAGAGCTCACCACAGAGCTGAACACTGAAGCACTTGTTATTAGACAATTTAATTTATATCTGGAAGTTTAAGTGGCCAATGTATATTTAATATTGTTAATAAACTTGGGCCAGACATGGTGGTTCACGACAGCAATCCCAGTACTTTGGGAAGACGATGTGGGTGGATCATTTGAGGTCAAGAATTCGAGACCAGCCTGGCCAACATGGTAAAACCCTATCTCTACCAAAAATACAAAAATTAGCTGGGTATGGTGGTTCACACCTGTAATCCCAGCTACTCAGGAGGCTGAAGCAGGACAATTGCTTGAACCTGTGAGGTGGAGTTTGCAGTGAGCCAAGTTCATGCCACTGCACTCCAGCCTGGGCAACAGAATGAGAACCCGTACCCACCCAAAATATAAAAATAAAAATAATTAAAATAATTAACTTAGCAGTAACTGATTAAAAGCTTTCTATAAAATACCCCAAACATCCCATTATTTTTAAAAATGCAATTAATTATCTAAATGCTTTTCCTCCTCTGGTAACACCATGCAATTATTCTTAGCATTATTTGAAAAAATAGAAGGTGCTTCCAAATATCTGAATACTGAATAGCTTATAAAATTTTTAGATAAGAAAGTATTTGACTTTTGTGGGGGTGGCAGGGATCTTTTGCTTCAGGTGGATACAGCTTTTAATAAAGGAGATTCCAAGGCATCCCTATGTTGTTATGTACTGTTTGACAAAATAAATAAAGTTAACTAATAGTAATATTTTATCTTTCTATACAACAATTGTTACAAGAATCAAGGTAATGTGACCACTTATCTATGTAAAGGCTCAGATGACTCTATTTGCAATAAGAAATGGTAAGATATGAAGAAGTCATATTGTTTCATAAGCCCTTATGATAAATTAATGACATACATTTGAATAAAATATAACTCATTTATGACAATTCCCGAATATAAAATGCCAGTACTATTTCAAAGTAAAATGCAATGAACATAAAATGTGTTGGCAAGATTAATATACTATTTTAAATAGCAATACCTATGTATAAAACATAAATATATAACATAAAAGTACATATTCGTACAAAATATATTTCCTTCAACCTACTTAAAATAAAGAGAGCTCCTGTTCTTAGTTGGCTGATGGAACTAACTGAAAAAGGTCTTGAGAAAATTGGCATGTTGTCTAATCTTCGCCATTTGATTGTTGGTTCTGGATAACCCTGAACATAACAAGGTAATGTCACATTTGAGCCAATTTCCATAGACACATCAGCAGGTTCTTGTATGAAAACTGGAGGTGCTGGAAGACATTACAAACAACAAATAAGTCATCGGTATATTATACAGGCATATTAAACATAAACTTAAATATTAAACTGTCAAATCATTGAATTTGAATTATTGTTCATATTATATTGTAAATTTACCCTGTTGATATTCCTCTCTTAGGTAAAAACAGTGGGTGTTTCTTTTTTGCTTTATAAATGAAGAGAGACACTTAGAAGCCCAACCATTTCCTTAAGGTGATAGATGATAAAAAGCATGGGACTTCAAATTATAATAACCTTAAATAAAGAGAATCTTTCACTCTAAAAATTTGTTTTCAATTTCAGTTTATGTCAAATTGCTCAAACTTTAAGACTATCTTATAAATAAGTTGGCTTTATAATAAGATATTTTTGACACTTTCCGTAACTTACTCCTTTGGTTGAATTTTTAAATTAATTTATACCAGAGTTCATTATTCTATAATCACTATATAACAAGCTAACACTATTTACTCCTAAATTATATCCTTGTTCAATATCATATTCTTGCTTCTCATACCTTTCACATTTTTGAATTAGAGAAATTTAAATATTAGAATAAATAATACGAATCAAAGTAACAGAATGTAGTATTTGATAAAAAGAGAATAGGAAGAGTTTAATATCTTAGTCAGAATTAAGAAATGATTCAGAAACTATAAAAATTATAGATAAGAGGCTACAGATATCCACGTAATTCAGGTAACCACAGAGATCAGGGAGGAAGACATAGAAATACATCAGAGGCACATCTTGGAAAACATAGGAATCCTGTTTAGGGAGGATACTGTCAGCAAGTTCAAATAGATGAGGCTCTCAATACATCCTGGAAACTTATGGGTGATGAGACACCAGGCAAGGAGAAATATACAGGGTACTTTTGGAGGCAATGGATGAAACCTGCTCATATAGGATTCTAAGAGGTGTACCCTAGGGAAGGCTCCTTGATAAAGTCAAGGTTAAATCTTGGTTAGAAATGATAATTACCACTTACAGAGTCAGAGGTTGTGTTAAGTGCTGTCCATTATTACCTCATTTAATCTTCACAATATCTCTATGGGGTAGGTATTGTTATTACTCTGATTTTATAGATGAAGAAACTGAAACACAGATAGTTAATTTGCTAAGTGTCACATGGAGTTGAATTATGGAAGCAGGCTTAAAAGCCAAGTCAGTTCAACTTTGGAGTCACCATTCTTTGTGATTATATTAACTTCCCCTTTTCTATGGGTTCTCACAACTGCTCATAGTCACACTAGTTAGCAGGCTCATAAATATTCCTACAGAGATCACTTTTCTTCCCATGGGAATTCTGGAGTTGATGTACAGTTGTCTCTCAAGCAGCATTAATGCTTTTTTAGCATAGGTTAAAGAACCTCCTCCAACTTTGCAGCCTCATCTCCTATTATTTCCCTTTATAAATGTTACTACCTGGGCAATCAACATCCCTTGTTCTTCTCCAAGCAAGGACTGACCTTTCTCATATCAGTACCTTGTTATTACCATCTCCCACAAATGTAATGTCTGTTATTGATCTCTGGCTGTTGAAATATTGGCAATCTTTAATCTGGTTTAAAAGGCCCCTCCTCTATGATGCCATCTCTTACCAGTTGAGATGAGCATGATTTCTTCCCTCTCTAAAGTTTCAGAAAACTCACTCTCTACCATTCTCATAGCAATCACCACATTCAACCTGTTGTTAGACTACATTTGTTTTTTATTTCCTAGAGAGTTTATATTTGTAACCATATTTTTATCTTTTACAGCAGCTAACATAGTACTTTGGGCATTATTCATGGCCACTGGATATTTGTCAATGAATTTTTGAAATCAGTATGACAACACTTCAGTAATAACACAGTGTGTGTGTGCGTGTGTGTGTGTGTGTGTGTCTGGTGCATAAGTGTGTACAGCAACCTTCACCCAGTACATTGAACTTTCACGTGGCAATTTCAGAGCCCTCTTATTTATTTATTGAACCTAAACAAAATTAAATTAGGTTAAATACCACAATTGAACAATATATTTTTATAAATAAATCGTGTATCAGTGTTTAGATTTTTCTTAATCCATCTATATGGAAATTTGACTTATAAAAATAATAGGCAAAATAAACATATTTTAAACATATTTAAACATAGTTAATAGAATAGCTCATAGCTTGCTTATTCTAAGTGATACGGTTTGGATCTGTGTCCCTGCCCAAATCTCATGTTGAATCGTAATCCCCAATTTTGGAGGAGGGGCCTGGTGGGAGGTGATTGGATCATAGGGGCAGATTGCCCCCTTGCTGTTCTCGGGATAGTGAGTGAATTCTCATGAGATCTGGTGATTTAAAAGTGTGTATCACCTCCCCCTTTGCTCTCTTCCTTCTGCTCTGGCCATGTAAGATGTGCCTGCTTCCCTTTTGCCTTCTGCCATGATTATAAGTTTCCTGAGTCCTCCCTAGCCATGCTTTCTGTAGAGCCTGCAGAACGGTGAGCCAATTAAACCTCTTTTCTTCACAAATTACCCAGTCTTTGGAATTTCTTTATAGCAATGTGAGAACGGACGAATACACGAAGTCTCTAAGACCTAGTTACTTTTCTCTGGATAAACGGAAATCATTTATTCTAAAGCAGATGGCTGTTCTGAAAAATGGAAGTTAAGTTTAAAAGTTTCTGGATATGTTAGCCTCAGAGTATGGGCAGGTAAATGCGGTGATGGACAGAAAACAAATTCCAGAACAGCACAAAGATATGCAGAAGCCTGGAATCAACCAACTGCTTGGAAGAATACCCAGTTTACTGACACATTACAACACAGGCATCAGTGAAAATGAAGGCAGATTTCAATTTTCAGAACTAAGAAAGCCAAGAACAAACTGGAATTAAAAAGGATAAACAAACCTCAATCTGTACCAACAAAACTCAATTAAGACAGGAGAAGTCATCCATTGTAAAGCAGCTTTGAGAACAGCATTATGCACAAAACAAGCACAAGGTCAAAGAATATATGTACTGGTATCACAAAACAAGGCAAATGAGAATACCAGGCACTAGGTAAGCAGCCAAGGCAGCATCAATGACAAGCAAACTTCAAAAATGAAGCAACTCCTAATACAGCCAAGAAGCTTTTTAAATACTTCCTACTCCTGAATGTAGCCAACATGAACTCCAAGTGAATTACAGTGAGTAGATGGTAAATACATTAATGAAACTATGGGGAAGAAGAACAGCAGTGAGTGTAGTACGGTGCACGGTGCTTCTACAGAGGAGGCTGTTTGCTTAGAGAGGTGAAGAGCACACTAAGTGGCTTCAAATGGCAACTCTAAGCTTGAGAAAATTATTTTACCTCCTCCAGTTAAAATATCCCCATGAACAAAAAAGGCATAATAACATTTCCTATCTCATGTTGTTAAAAGAGATGATCTTATTAATCATTTAGTATATAATAATCACTGAGATATAAACACTCATTAAACATATTATAGAGTTAACTTATTAAATCTCAACTGGAGTTTAATAAGTCTATGGTTAATTTCTGTGGTTAGTTTAATGTATCTATGGTTAATTTCAATTTTGGCTTCTTCACAGAGTCTGTTAGGATGATGTTTGATCCTCTGAGATCCTAAGTATTTGTTTGCAAGCATCTTGAGATCTGCACAGGGTTAATGCCACAGTATAACTTTGCTGTAACTTACATATAGATATGGCTGTGTACACACATTATTCTGCAAATATAAAAATCACAAACAGATTGACCATCTTGCTGCAAAAATTATTCCATAAAATTATTCTAGTTCCCTTAGGGAAAATTAAATATATATATACTCCATGTGGTGACTCTTGCATTATTTTAGTCAGAGATTTTCTTTCCTAAAATGACTGGACACATTGTTTTGGTTCCACCAAACCGCAAAGCATGAAACCACAGTCTAAGTCTCAAACCCTGTGTGGTATGGAATGCTACAAATAAAATCACTGCCAAGCCAACTTTTTGTTTGATGTAGCCAGTCCTCTTTCCTTCCAAATGACTTCACAGTCCACTATCCCTTTTTACAAAGGATAAAAATCATTGGTAACTTTCCCTGTTGACCTGAAATGTCCATAATTTAAAACCATGATAATAAGTAATAGGAAAAAGGGCACTCACTACAAGAAGCTAGAACTCAAAAATCGTATTAAATAGCCTTTTCATAATTTTTTGATCTAGTATTGTTGATATGAAGTAATATGCCCACAAAAACAATCTGAAAGCTCAAATAGCTAAATGATATGGATAAAAGCATGCTTTTCTTCCTAAGTCATAAGCTACTTAAATTTATGCCCAATAGTTTTGGAACTCAAATGAACAATTTTATGCACTACTAAGCTTAGTACTTAACTTGTCTCAAGCCCTTTCTTTAAAAAATTAAGCTGAAATGGTGACTTTCACATTAAAATCCCAATGCTTAATCTTAAATACTAAGCTGCTATTATATAGGCATTTCCATATGATTTTTCAAGGTTCAAAGAATCAAAATGACCACTTAATTTGTGAAGTTAATATTCATTTACATGATACATGTTTCATTAAACAGCTTTAGAGGAACAGCAGTAACAGCTGATATGCTGGGTGTACGTTAGGATGATGTCTCGTTTTATCTTTACAACCAACCAGTGAGGTAGGTACCACTTAGATCATTATTTTATAGATGAGGAAAGTTTAGGCAGAAAACCCATTCTCTGTCAGAGTCCACCATTTACTTAACCACTACATAAGTTCTGGGGAAAGTTTTGATTTGATGTGTGTTTACCTTTAAACCTAATAGTGATAACTATAATTATCACTGCAACTGTGATTTGCATGGTTCTTAGCATTTACATATTATATCTGCTAGAATATGTAACAATAGTGTGATGTGAACAGACAAGGTCTGTTCAACCTTTGTTATTCAACAAAACAAGCACAAGGTCAAAGAATATATGTACTGGTATCACAAAACAAGGCAAATGAGAATACCAGGCACTAGGTAGGCAGCCAAGGTAGCATCAGTGACAAGCAAACCTCAAAAATGAAGCAACTCCTAACATTGTGAGCTACAAAGAGAAAGATCTAACAGCGAATATGGAAATAGTTAATGCATAACAGAAACATGAATGGTACTGACTTTAACACTAAGTTATTTGGCAATTGTGAACAATGGTCAAGGTTACAATAAACAAATAATTTGGCTTATGTTGATGGTTCTGTCAGGACAATTACTAGAATAAAAGTTGAAAAGCCATTGTTTTAGAAAGGGTCACAGAGAATGAAGATCTTGAGTATAAGTGAAGATAAAATAAAATTCACTTCTGTTCAAGAAATAAAGCATAAATACGAAACATTTGTTAGGTTGTTTCCTAATCCAATGTAAGTCACCCCAACACAGATAGTGTGAACCCTTATATGGTGTATCACTGGATGGAAGAAGGAATCTGGAAATTCCAGAAGCTAAAAGGGATTACCAAGAAGGCAGCAAGTAAGCAAAGAAGCATGTGCAAAAGATTCTTAGGATTTCTACAAACTTTGAGGGGACTGAGGGTGCAATTACCTTTTTGTTGGGAAAAATTACTGAGACTGTTTCTCTCTTCCTCTAGAGCCAGACAAGTCTAAAAGAATGTTGAGTAAACATAAAATATCTGTGCCGGAAGGAGGTAGAAGGAGAACTAGAAAATGTTGAGAATTACAATGTTGTACTCAGTATATTTCTTGTAAACAAGAATTCTCTATGTAGTGACCCTCTTTATTTGGGCCTTACATGTCTAAAAGCATTACTGTGTTTTACATCTTGCTTGCTAGTAGATTCAGAGCTACCCTCCACCCAGAGGTTCCAATCTTATTTTCAAGGCATTTCTCTTAATAACCACAGAGTTTAGTCATGGTTCAAACACGTGTTACAGTGTCCTAGACAGATTCTATAGTGGTCTTTGTGGTCATTTCCAGCTTTGTTGATTCTCCCCCAAGGGCATAATCACCAAGAATGCAGAGTGTTCACCAGACAGTTCAGGGGCAAGGGGATCATAAAAGATCCCAGAAAGCAAAAATTTAGCTTACATGAAACAAATATCAAGTTAGGAGGACATAATTTTCATTTAAAGACTTAAAACAGTGGAACTAAAATGTTTTGTGTTACTATATTCTAAGAAAAATAAAAAGCATTTTCTTTACAGTTCTAACTTTTGCTTTAAAAAAAACAGTCTGGCATGAATATCATCATATACAAGTGAAAATAGAGGACAATTGAATGCAATGTCATATTTTATAAGTTCTAAGTGACACAAATATTAAATTATCTTAAAAATTAAATGCCAGGTTCTATTTCATACAAACTGAACTCTGTTTTATGTTTGACTACAATGTGAAGAGACATGAGGTAGACAAAAAAGGGAGGACCAAACTTCTTGAGTAACCTACATATGGTTGTCTTGCATACACTGTATCTTCATTTTATGATTGACATTTTTTTGTAGTACTTTATTTCATACACTGAAGAGTAATTGCTATTGAATTTTTTTAAGTAAAAGCACAATCTGATACCTTTGCTGTCATCAATATCTTCAAATTATGATCTTGGGCCAAAGTATAATTTCTGGCCTCCAGATGTTGATACTTAGAAATTCGGTGGCAGAATGGATGACTCTTCGTAGGGAAACAGCAACTTGAGTTCAAATATCCAGGTTCTGCACCTCCCTAACTCTGTAACTCTGATCAAGTTGCTTAGCCTTTATAAGCCTCAGTTTCCTTATCTATAAAAAGGAGATAATTTTAGGATCTTTCCGTATAAATTTTTTGACACAGCGAACGGTACCTAGAAAGTGGCCCAGTGTGGTGGCTCATGGCTGTAATCCCAGCACTTTGGGAGGCTGAGGTGGGTGGGAATCACGAGGTCAGGAGTTCAAGACCAGCCTGGCCAACATGGTGAAACCCCGCCTCTACTAAAAATACAAAAAAATAGCTGGGCATGGTGGCAGGCGCCTGCAATCCCAGCTACTCAGGAGGCTGAGGCAGGAGAATTGCTCGAACATGGGGTGCAGAGGTTGCAGTGAGCCGAGATAGCACTACTGCACTCCAGCCTGGGTGACAGAGTGAGACTCCGTATCAAAAAAAAAAAAGAAAGAAAGCACCTAGTAAATGCTAACTACTGTTATTCTATTAATCTGAAATGCACCCTCTAATTTTGCCATTCTGATGAATAATTCTACCAAACCATTTCAAGGTTATTAAACATGAAAAATAACATATCAATTTCTAAACAAATTGGCCTATAAGATCTGGAGGCTTACAGCCAACATCCAGAGTTATCTTGCCAGTTGCTCTTCCAGCCTCATTGATGGCTACACAGGTATAATCGCCAGCATCCAGATCTTGTGTTTCTTGAATCTTCAAAAGTCCCAAGAGAGGGTCAATAATGAGGAATGTTGAGGGCCTCAACTCAAGATCTCCTAAGTCAAAACAAAGGGGAGAACATTAAACACTAAAGTATTAAAATTGTTTATGCAGCTATTGGTTTAATTTCAAAACTTCCAAATAAAGTTGATTGCAAAGTTTTTAAACACAAGTGTTTGGCACAACATAGACACTTTCTACAGTCTAAAATTCAGACCTGTAATAAACTGTGTATGAATATTTTCTATTTATATCTGTATGTGTAACTAAATAAAAAAGGAGGAGCTCTTTGAAGATACCTTGGGGAACCGGGAAAGCCTGGCAGTCATAACCAAAGCTTAGGTAACAAGGGAGTGGGGAAATGAAGGTTGAAAGGAAGTTTCTACCATCTTTGTGGCAGGATGCATTTGGTTACTCAGTAGATGTTTGAGAGACCAGAGGAATTTTATTTCTGCTAATGACCAGTGCCTTGAATTTCCCAAGAATGACTTTTATTTGAAGGCAGAAGATGTCTCAACAAAGCTATGATTTAGGTTAGGCTTTTCCTTATGCTTCCCCTCCTCCTCCTCCAGGGCATCTCCTTTCCAAAGAATAGAATTAATCAGGATGACCACTATCATAAAAAAGTACATAGTACTGTACATAGTACTGGATGTTTAATGCCAGCTCAGTGTCCACATCTTTTTTGTTTGTTTTTGTAAAGGGTGACATCAAACATGTCAGGATTTTAAAAACTTCCAGGAATCTTGAGGGCCATTGTTCTTAGAGTTTCATAGCATTCCCAGATGTCAAGCCTGAAAAGGTATTCTCCAAAATATCATACACCAGCCATCTGACCTTGGAATGAGGACCATGGAAGTAACTGTCTTAGCTTCTAAGAAGCAAACACAACTCAGGAGCTAGTACTAAAATTCTCTAGGAGACTGCAAACAGCAACAGCCAACAGACTCGGGGCAACAAATGGACAATTCTCTTTCTGCTTATATAATTTTCAAAGGCAAGGAGGTCACAAGAGCTCTAAATTTGAGAAAAAAATTACATCAGCAACCGTCAGTGCCTAAAATGAAGTATTTTTCAGCATTCCAATATTTAAAACCTCAATCATGCTTTTAAACTCGCTACTACATACCACGTGAAAATGAGAGCAGTAACTAAAGCTGTGTCGATATGCCTCTGAGAAATTTTTATAAATAAAAGCAGATGATGTTGACATAAACTTTCCTCACACCACAGGAGGATGCAATCTGACCTCACTGGTCATCAAGTATTAAAATGTTTGGACTAAAATGCATTTAGATTTTTGGAATTCACTTTCCCTTTATATTTCTTCTGTAAATGTCAGAGGACATTAACAGGATAAAATAAAGACTTTTTTGCTAGTAGCTTTCTATCAAAATAAAAATGTTTAAAGAATAGCAGTCATGAAACAAAATATAAATTGGAAAAAACTAGTTCAATTAAGTTTCTGTTTTAATCACATTTTGATAGATTCTCCTTTCTTGATTTCTACTGAAAAGTTACTCATCAAATTATTGAGAAGCTATAAATACAGAACCTTTCAGATGGAAGTAAAATAGTGACTATTTACTTTTAATATTAGGTAAGACTAGAAGAATGTTATACATAGTAAAATATATAAACTTTACTGACAATATATCCTAGGGTTTACAGTCATTACCATTGAGGAGAGTTCTCTTTTTTCTACAGTTTAAATTCAATTTGGCCTCTGTGGATATAAAGACTAACAGAGAGATCATTATCTCTGGCATAAGATCTTTTCAAATAATTGATAAGTAGTTATCAAAAATGTTTGTTTAAAAACTTCTTAACTGTACTGTTAAAAATTAATGGGGACCCTGGTGAATTTTTATGTGGATTATGTTTATTTGTAATTTATATATATATATATAATTTTAGAAATAAAACTGAGAAATTAAAAACATGCATTCACTTATTTTTAATAAATGCATGACATTTTAGCATAATGAACATATTATATTTTTAAAATTGTATTTTCAAAACATGAGAAAGTTAGTGAGAAGAGTGGCAGTGTTTCACATTTTGCAAATCTCTATAATCTCTAATGTAGTGTAATACAAGACAGCTGAATGCTCATATTTGCTTCTCCACTGACTCTATTGGACATCACACATCACATAGCCTCCAGAAACTCCATTATTCACTTTTGAGATAATAAGAATGAAAAAGGCAACATCTTAGTATTATTATGAAAATAATTTTGATCTCATGAATCCCCTGAAAGAATTGTGGGAACCCCTAGAGTCTCCAAACCACATTTTAGGAACAACAGATCTAAATGAATAAATCTAATTTCTTTAATATTTTACCATACATATACTTTTTATAAGATTTCAGTAGTGTTTTGATTCTCCTTTGAACCCATTTTGTATTGCTCATTTCTAAAAATAAAAGATCTAAAATTTAAGAGAGCATTTGTGCTTATGGAATTCCTTTTCTCTGATGGTCTGAATGGAATACAGTTTGTTCATTTTTTTCTTTCAAACACCTACTTTATTCAATCAGAATCACCTCAAGGAAGGTATGAGGAAAAAGATATTCTTATGGTGAAGGCAGGAACTCTTCCTCCTCACCCCTATGGTTTCCATAAGGTAGCATTTTCCCAGCCTTCCTGGTGTCTTGTCCTCAGCAGAGGTGGGACTGGAAAGCCCACCTGCTCCTAACCCCCTCCATTTTGAGGCCAGTTTGCATTCACAGGAGTTTGTCCCCTAGATTTGCTCTTGGTGGTCCTAACTCTACTCTGTTTATGCATAAATTGTCTGCCTGTAACTTGGGAGGGTATGTTAGTTGACCTGATCCTGGAGGTCAGGGCAGCTCTGCCTATTATTGATGAACCCAGGGAACACATCTTACAATGTATCAAATGCCCATATTCTATCTCTGTTGGTTCATAACTTGGACAGCAAAATGATAGATTATTGAACCCACTGAGCGGTAATATCTATAGTTGAGATAAGAAACAGAGAGTAAATTCTAGAATCTCTCATGTAGTGGGTACCTAGTTCCCTATTTCCTCTTTTAGTTTCCAAGCTATTTCTGGGTTTAAGATGGGCATGAAGACTAATTGATTAAGGAGCACAGTCCCAGTTTGGGGGAATAAAAGACTGTTTGTGAGACTCTGCTATATACACATATATAGAAGTTGGCATTTCCATTACTTTTTTGAATTTTTATTTTCATGATAAACTATTGAATGACATTTAAAATAAAGAAATACTGTCTATAACATATTTTCTTGATATATTTAATTATGATGTAAATTTGAAATTGGTACTGATTTCTTTGGCAATTCAAAAATTTAAGTATTTTAAGAAAGTAAAATTAGTTTATGTTAACCAACATAAACCTGATTAAGGAGCAAACTCAGAAATGCTTTCTTATCAGAGAAAACATGAAGACTAAAAATCTTTCAGTATGGACAACCAGGAAAATGGCATTACTTCCTAGTTTCCACCTTGCTTTTGATTTATATTATTTAAAACTATTTATTTTCTACATAAAGCCTTTCTTTTTCACCTCATGTTCCCTAAGAGTTTGAACTTGAGGTGAATTCCTAATTTTGTGATTATGACATCAACCTGTTGCTATGGAAATGTTTGTGATTTAACAAACAGAATCATAACAATAGTGCTTTGTACTATTTAACACTTTTCATCTGAAAATTTAAAAGTATTTTGCAAACAGCATCTCAATAATCCTAGCAACCTCCCAGTTAGGGTGTTTGCAGGATTTTTTTTCTTTTTCCCGTAACTGGAAGAACTGAAACAGAAGCAGAAGCAGGGCTTTTTACACAGATATCTACTGTCAGCATCTGAGCGGGAACCAGAATCCAAGTGTATCTCACCAAGGACAAGTGGCATATAACTGTTATTTTATTATGGAATCACAGAGGTGCAATCTTTATGACACAAATATAGAAAGATAATTTCTATAGTTGAGACAAGCATTTACCATGTATGATGTAGCTGACCTATCAATAAATAATTTGTCTTTCAACTATCTGTAAGCTTCAATGTGTATCTTTATTTGAACACTTTATAGAAAGTATCCTTGTGAATCTAGAAAACTTTTTAATAGTGAGAGCCATCATCTCTAAGAAAAGTGAACTAAAATCAGCGGAGCTATTTTAAACGTTAACTGAGTATTCTTGGACAATTTTCTTCAGGAAACAATCCTAAACTAACAAAGAGAATGTTCAGCTGGATTAGCAAAGGCGAACTTTTCCTGCTTTGATTTTTACAGTCCTGTAATCCATACCAGATGTCAAATCCTGAAATTCAGAGTTGAGAATTTTGAACTATTGTCTCCAGTGAGATCATAAACACATTTTATGGGGCTGCTAAGTCACACACCAAAACAAAGTTTTAACAAATCATTTTTTTTAAAAAGAAAACAAAACTAAGTGAACCAGACACAAACATATTGAAGAAATGTACCTTTGAACCATTTAACTTGAGGTGGAGGAATACCAGAGGTTTTGCATTCCATAACGGTTATATCCCCAAGGGCAACCAAGAGCTCACTCTGAACTACCATCAACTTAGGGGCTTCTGAAAAAAACAAAAACGCAAATAGTCAACATTTAGCACAAGACCAGATGGATTTTGTTTATGTTTACTAAATGAACCAATTTAAAAATTTATGTGCTTGTGGCCATTTCAATATTTATAAACCGAAAGAAACTCTTGTAATGCACATGCACATAGGTGTATGTGATAAAAAGATCATTTATCAAGGTCAAAGAAATGATATCAGGAAAAAAATAATGACTAAAACAAAAAATAATTATCATAAACTCCAAAAAATTTAGGAAACTAATCGAAAGTTCTTTATGAAAAAGAGTTATACAAGGAAAGAAACATCTTAGAAATCAGAATACATCTTAGAGAAACAATACTAAAAGAACAGAGAGAGGAATAATTCTAAGAAAAATATAGTCAAAAGAGGGATAATGGTAAGACTGACAGCTAAATTAAGACTTGAGGATGATACAACCGTAGATGAATTTGTTAACATTTTCTACGTCATTTTAAGGATATTCATGTCTAACTACAGGAAGATATTTGCAGTCCAAGCCTAAAATTTGCATTTACAAAAAGTAGAGTCTCCTGGTTTTGACCCTTCTTTTCCCTGTGATGCTAAATATAGACATTCTCTAAATTTCTGTTCTTCACTCCGTTTGCTTCACTTGCTTGCCCAATGGTTCAGTTTACTTAAACATTTTCTCTTAACGAGATATTTTAGGACTTCCTAGCTTCAGCTGAGGTATTTTTAAACAAAGCTAAGTTAACTTCTCACAGATCATGTAATTTCTCTGCTAGAATACCTTCAGTGATTCCTACTGCCTTCAAAATTCCATAGACTCTCTTTCAAAAATTATAAATGGGTGCATAGCTTTTTTTTTAACCTTACCCTGTTACAGTTCCTCACTTATCACAAGGTACAGAGCTTCACTGATAGCCCAAAATACAACAGACTTTTACTCTCCTGTCTTCTTTGCCTTTCCTAAAGCTATTTCCTCTTTCTAAAATGCCCTTTGCCACAACCTTTCAAATCCCACTCATTCCTCCAGACTGAGCCTAAATCCTGTCTCCTTTGAGAAATCTTTGCTAATTCCTCCGTCTGAATTAGTCTTCCCCTCTGCCAACCTCCCACTGTAGTACTTGTCTGTCTGCCTTGTTATATTTCCGTATATATCCACCCCCATTATGTAAATTATGAGACCACTTCTTTCCAGGCTCTCAATTCAATACTTGTGACATTTTGGTTCTCTCCCTCACCTATACCTTCAAGTACAATTCTCTATCTTTATTATCTCTTTTGAATCCTTGCTTCTCTACTGACAGTTTCATTATCTTACTGTGAATGAGACTGAATAAGAATGAATGAAAGGGTGGACTGCTAGCCATTGATTATTCACGATTTATAACCTGGATCTGAGTATATTATTCCTTTATCCTTTATTTGACTAAGAAAGACAAAATTAAATAGAAATATTCTGTAGAATAATTTTCATGAAGTACGCTTCCAATAAATGTTTAAGTTTGGAGAGGGAAATTGAAGATAAAAAGTAAAAATTATATTATACACAGTTTTTAATATAAGTAGAAATTATAAAATGGAAGTTAAGCTAGAAAGGAAATAGAATTTATTAATTTAAAAGTAAAATATTGCAGAGAACAGATGAACAGTGGAAAGATAGAACTTTGTGGACAATATGAAATTATTCCATAACCTGGAAGCTTCCTTGATTTCTGTTGACTAATGAAGCTTTTCACTCTATGAACTTTTAACTTAAATTGGTTACAATATTTGCTTCAATCAGTGTGTGAAATGAATAATAAAGTATAATACCATGTATGCATTACTAATATTAATATTTCAAAAAAGTACTTTTGCATTGCTTGATGTGATATTCATCCTATTTTAATTGCCTTTTAAAGTGATTATACTTGCCAATGTATCTGAGAGTAGAATTCTGTTTATCTGTTCCAGCTGAATTACTTGCTAGGCAACCATAGATCCCTGCATCTTTGGGAGCTGCATTTTTGATAAATAAGGTACCATCTGAGGTCATCCTATACCTATGAATAAAAAACAAAAAGAATATAAAATTGAAAATGCCACAATAGTAATATCAAGATAATATAGTGCTTTCCTTTAAAATATTTTCAAACGTTGTAGAGTTATATTTTTGGTGTCGATTGCAGAAATGGTTACCATCATTATTTTATAAGCAGAAATGCAATAATAATAATAATATCATGTATCCAATATTGACTACATACCAGCCGCTGCTCTAGAAACTTTACATTTATTTTAATCTAAAAATTTTCCTCACCCTAATGAGTTAAATACTATTAATATCTCTGTTTTACAGGTGAGCAAAGAGGTTACATAACTCACCCAAAGCCAGAGTTAGTAAATGGAAGAACTGGAATTTGCACCCCGGCAATCTTGCTCCATGTGGTGGATTGCTATAGTAAACGGTTCATCACAATGAAAACCTTAGAGATGTAATGTCTCATGTCACACAGTGAGTCTGTAAGGCGTTTAGGAATAGAATCTGGCTCAACTGGCTGGATCACACGTATGACTTCTTCACTGCCAAACCCAGAGTAATGGAAGCCCCATGGCTGGATACTTTGTTGTTTATATTCCACGTGTTTATTATACTGTAGGAGCATGAGTGGATTCAATGCTTTTAAAAAGCACCCAGTGAAATAAAATACTTCCCACTGTAGTTTGGCAAAAATGGAAGTAATGACAAAGAATGTCTGAACACATTTTAATTAGAGCTACTGGTCTGTTCTTGACCTCTCTCTTCTGTTAAATCCAGGACAATGTCTTTAATAGATTTGTTGAAATTCTATGTTATTTTACCTCACAGAAAATTTATTACCCTCGTTTCAATTACTCAAGTTAAACTAACTGATTGGTGCTACATTTGCAGCTCAAAGTACTGGGAAGCACTTGGTCCCAGCTATTGAATTCAAGACTCAATAACCTCAAACTTTATAAAGTCATCATTTATATTATTTTTGACATTCATAGCCTGTTTAGAAAATGTAAAGCTAAGTATTGTGGTCAAACCTCCCTTAATATTAGGGATTTGGTCATATTAGTTTGGTCCAGAAGTCTCATCAATTTTTCTCACTCAATAAAAACAAAAACATGATACAAACCCAGTACCTGTGTGAACCCACGATAAACATATCGTTAACGGTCCAGGCAATCTTTGGTTTGGGATAACCTGTTGCAGAACACATGATGGAGACCTCAGACCCTCCTGTGAAAGACTGATTCTTGGGCATCACAGTGACTTTGGGTGGTTCTGCAAATAAAAATATACGTATGTAGAAAAATGCCAATTTATCTTGATGTTAGAAGCTTCCTATGTTAGCAGATTTGTAGGTTTCTCACCACCACATCTTTATTGCCTTCCTCTATGGATGAACCCCATCACAGATATGGCAGGAAAGAAACCAATGGTAATGAAAACAAGGGAAGTAAACTCTCTTTGAAAGTTAAATGAATTTGATCCCGATGTTATATTTTTGTGTTTCCACTGGTTACCATGAAGCCCCTTGCTGGCTTGCCTCCACCAGCTGACCTACAGTTTATGCCACTAATCTGACACTTCCCTATAAACCTGTTCCCAGGCAAAGTCTCTAAATAGAGTTTTTGGCTCTTTCTAGACAATGAATGTAGGATTGGAGCCACAACTTGTCCTGACTATGCTGTCTGCTTTGTTCAACCTGATCTTTCTTTTTATTTATTTGATCATAACTTTGTTATGATAAGAAACCATGTACTCATATTATTCCATATTCGATTATATTCTACAGCATTTAACATCCCTTGCATATCATTGCAGTGGCTTGTATATAAAAGACACTTAAAACTTTTGATGGAATGCAGTTTCCTAAACTGTAACTTGGCTCTGAATTGTAATGTCTGCCTGCCCCTCCCAAGATCCTGCTACACTGGTCATTTGACTCATGTCCGTGCATGCACAGGACCTCAACTTAAAAAAAAAATCAGTTATTCAAACTTTCTCTTTCATTACACTTCTATGGCAGGAAAAAGACTTTTGAAAATGGAACACTAAATCAGGAATTTATCATCAAAAAGAAAACAATTCTCTGAGATAATTCTGGGATGTTGATATATTTGTTTTAATAGATTACATGTTTTACATCTATATTATTACACAATAAGAATTAATCTTCAAAGAAGGTACCATCAAAGAGATATTAAGTAGCTCCTAATGTAAATATCTACCACTTAATAAGGTAAACAAAAGTAAATTAATTTCCAGTGTTTGAAACAGACAGCTTTCATGAGTATTAACAAAAATAAATAAATTCATTCAATGACATCTGCTTTTTGCATAATTATTATGTGCCAGGCACTGTGCTAACTTGCAGGGACACACAGATGAACCTAACAGGCATGCTGTCTGCTTTCCATTTAATTTGGTTTTTACTATAAATAAAATTGAGAAATTCAGTTAGCCAGTTAGATGTGAATATATTTATGATATATCTTTCCTGTAAGTTAGTCTGCAAATTGTGGCTTAGTTTCACTAAGAAACCAACAGCTTGGGGAATCTATACATGTGAGAGATACAAATGGTATGCTGGGCGGCAGCAGCTACACAACTGAAGGAAGCTAATTAGTGCCTAATTGCTAGCAGCTTACAATTGTCCCCCTCCCCTTTTTTTCCTGTTTACATTGTGTTTTTCAAATTATGGTCTAGTCTTTGAAGTTAATGTTTAAAGGATTTTTTCCGGTCCATGAACTTGGTTGATAGCCTCATTATTCCACGGATTCTTGTTGGTGAGCATAGGGCTAGAGAAATGTGTGAGGTCAAGGGCAGACTGAATATGGCCAGTAAGTTCAAATTGTGATTCCATCTGGAGTCCATCAATTCTGAAATTCTGAAGGACTACACATGCTGTAGGGATGATGCAGATAATCTTCAGGGGATAAGTGGGAAAAAAAATGAACAGTTCTTTCTCTTTGGAATTTATTGAAACACACATTTATTCAGTCCCATCTTCCTAAAATAAAATGCTTCTCGTGTCTAGCTATTGACATGGAATTGCTGCAAAGATTCAAGCAACTCTCAGAATTTTTGTCCAAACTTGGTGTCTTCCAATGTAGTCTGCCAGAAATGGCCTGGCATCTCTCCCAGCAAGAATCCCACTGGTAGGCTCTGTATTTCAGATATCAAAGTAAAAATAAGTCAGTTACCCAAACCAGGATGCAGAGAGCTAAGAGGTCATTGAGCAAATACAGCCTGGACATAGGGTGCTACTCAGGGTCATGAAATAAGTCTGTGTGCAACACACAGATGGGATGACATCATCCCACAGGAGGTGAGAAATTTACCATTGCCTTAGAATATTCCTGCTGATTGCCGGGCATGGTGGTTCACGCCTGTAATCCCAACACTTTGGGAGGCTGAGGCGGGCAGATCAACTGAGGTCGGGAGTTTGAGACCATCCTGACCAACATGGAGAAACTCTGTCTCTACCAAAAATACAAAAATTAGCTGGGCGTGGTGGTGCATGCCTGTAATCCCAGCTACTTGGGAGGCTGAGGCAGGAGAATTGCTTGAACCTGGGAGGCAGAGGTTGCAGTGAGCCAAGATCACACCACTGAGCTCCAGCCTGGAGAACAAGAGCAAAACTCCGTCTCAAAAAAAAAAAAAAAAAAAAAGAATATTCCTGCTGATAAGATACTTAGAACATGAACAAATACAGAGGAGCAAAATTAGATTTCTACCAAATAACAGTTGAATGAAAATGGTCAAAATGAATTAGACTTTACTTAATCAGGTTAAATAATGATATAGTAGATTTCACTAAGTTATTTCAACTGCTAATTTTTTAATTCCTAGAAAAACCTCCTCATTTTAATGAAGTAGTTTCAATGGAGCAAGAACATGGAATTAAAGAACCACAGTTCAACTCCATCAATGAAGTAACATCATTTGCCAACTAACAAACTGAGTCTACATCTCTTTATTTGCAATGTAAAACCCCATCCTGTTAGGGGAAAAAAAAATAGTACTAATGTTGGATTTAGAAGTCCGGAGTTCAATTTTAGGCTTTGGAGAGAAGTAATCCACTTTTACTTGAGATTTCCAATCTCATATCACCACCATCATCATTATCACCATTATCATCACCACCACCACCACCATGAGCAACCAACATCATCATCATCAAGAACAACTTGCTTTTGCTAGCCAAAGCAATGGGAACACAGCACTCTATTAGGGGGCAAGGTATTAATTTGCTTTTTATTTAATTATAACAAAAGCGAAATACATGTTTTTGTAATTTCCTATCAATAATTTAGAAGAATTAAATATAAATATAAAATAAAAACCAATACTACTTTAAGAATTGGGTATCTTAATACACTATTAATGGTCAGATTAGCAAAAATGAAGTGTAAGTGGCCATGAAAACAGCCATCTCACTGCCTACAAAAACTAGGGAAGAAAAAGTCTCACCTAACTCTTGGAAACTGCCAACACTATCTTCAAGCTCAGGAGACACATTTCCTGTCAGCTGGGTCTGATTTGTTGCTCTTAAGCTTCTGGTAAGAAATTTCTCAGAGAAAATACCTAAGGACTTTTTCTTCAAGGTTATTTAATTACCACCAACAAATTAATTAGATAATGCAAATGATTTAATTACCTAAGTCACAATTAGCAATATTTGTCACCACTGGTATATTTAGAGTACTTGGGCAAATTTCTGTGTGTTTTCATTTTTTCAGCCAACAAACATTTACTGAGTACCGACAATGTTTCAGACACTTTATGCCTTCAAAGATCTCACAGACACTATAAAGTATATTATGTAAAATTAGGAACTAAATCTCTTTCTAGTAGTCAGTTCATTGAAATAGGAAAGTGGTGCTTTCCTTCCGTCAGTGCCTATTACATGCCGGGTATCTAACTCTAGACCCACCATTTATTTTCCACAATAATACTATGTAGCAAGTGTTACTGCCATTTTACAAATAAACTATGGCTCAAAATGGTTAAATAATTTGCCTAGTCACTCAAAGGTGGAGCTGGAATTCAAATGCAGACATTGCTTGCTCCATGGTGTCTGTCTATACCTTAATGGGAAATAATAGTACCTACCTCATAGCATTATTATGGACTAGCCAGGTTAATATACATAAAACACTTAGAACAATGCCTGGCATGTAGTAGGCACGATGTAACTTTTGCTATTATTAGCAGTATTCCTCTATATAGCAACGTGTGACAAAGCATGACCAAATAAAGTTATAGCATTTAAAATACATCTGTGCATATGTACTATCTAGACATTTACAAATGAAATTTGATCACCACAATCCTCACACTTACATACGTCATTTAGATTATATATCCTATTTCAGCCTGTACGTGGTGGCTCACGCTTGTAATCCCAGCATTTTCGGAGGCCAAGGCAGGAGGATCACTTGAACCCAGGAGTTCAAGACCAGTCTGGGTAACAGGGCAAAAACCCGTCTCTACTAAAAATAGAAAAATTAACCTGGTGTGGTGGTGCATGCCTGTAGTCCCAGCTACTACTTTGGAAGACTGAGGTGGGAGGATCACCTGGGCCCAGGAGGCAGAGGTTGCAGTGAGCCAAAGGTTGCAGTGAGTCAAAAGTTGCAGTCAGCCAAGATTGCATCACTGCACTCCAGTTTGGGTGTGAACAAGACCCTTTCTCAAAAAAAAGATTATATACCCTATTTATAAACAATATTTGTTATATCTTATTTAATTCTTCTGAAATCTGAAATATTTCTAGATACTTAAAATTTACTAGAAATTTCAATAAAATAGATAAAATTAGATTTTTTTCCTCTGTTTTACTAATGGAAAAAGCATGCTACTTACCATGTCACGTGGCACATGTTAAAAAGAGTTATAATATAATGAGCATGTGGTTATAATATTATTTTCATACTTAGTGAAGTAATTCTCATCATTAAATACTGACTTCATCAACCATCTTGAGAAATATTTCCTTTTTTGTTGCAATATTCTCTCTGGTGACGTGGCCTAATTAATGACAGACATCCACCCTTTCCTGATACCATAGAAGACAAATTATTACTTCTAATGTTCATACAGAAAAACATCAAGGAGAAAAGGAGGCTTTGTCTGGCACTTTGATTTCCATGTCACAACATGTGATTATGCAGGAGATGTCAGCTACACACTGAATATGCTCAGATTGAACAAGGACTCCTGGGTTGATCTCCAGCCTCAAAAATCCTCCTCATAAGGGAACAACTAGTGGAATCAACAGAAAACTATTTCTGTTGTCAGATAAACAGGAAAACAATCTTAAACAAAACCTTTAACTCCTACTATATATATAAAAACGTCCCCTTCTCTCCCACACTTATGTAACCTTTACTCAGAAGCAGTATAAGCATTTGAAAATTAAGCAGCCACTGTATCAACTCAACAGTGACAAATTGCTTTAGCCTATTTTGTAAAATTTTGCAAAACTCACTCACATTTTGTTTCTAAATTGGGGTGAATTAATATAAACAATACTTTAAAAATAACAACTATGAATTTTTCATGAGATAATTACCAGATTTTGTTCTAAAATATGATTTTAAATGCAAGCAGTAATATGCTGGCTTGTGCTGGAACTGGACAAGAAAGTACTTACATAATGACATTTCTAACTGCTGATGTGATTCAAATAACCCATTGAAGTTAACATGGAAACATGATAGATAAGGGTAATGACCCAGACTTCCCTACAGTGTTATTGTTACACTGAGGTTTATTCAGCAATTAAGGAATTATACATCTATTGGGTGCAATTATGTTTTTCCCTCTGTGCAAGGCACTATGGGTTTAAAAAATGACAATGTGATATCGTGAAATATATATTTTGTCTTTGTCCCATTTCCTGACATACAGCTACTAAAATCCTTGGAATCTCAGTAGTGATAAAAGTTTCTTTTGCATGCTAATAAGATGATTGGTGACTGGGGGTCCCCAGAGGGCTTCAGGATGGGGCTAATTCACCAGAAAGATCAAGGCAGGATGGAACTTCCAACCCCACCCTCAAAATCCAGGGAAGGGAGAGGAGATGAAGGCAGCGATGATCACTGATGGCCCGTGATGTAATCAATCATGTCTACAGAAGGACATCTCCATAAAAACCAAAACCAAAAAAAAAGCCAGGGTTCAGAGAGCTTCTGAAATAGCTAAACATGCAGAGAATAGCTGAACACATAGAGGTTCCTGGAGGATGGTGTGAAGCTCTGTGCCACTTCTACCATACCTCACCCTATGGCTGTTCATCTGTATTCTTTGTAATATCCTTTATAATAAATGAGTAAAAGTAAAGTGTGTCCCTGGGTTCTGTGAGCCACTCTAGCAAATTAATCAAACTCCAGGAGGGGGTTGTAGGAACCCTGATTTATAGCCAGTCAGAAGCACAGATCACAACCTACAGTTTGCAATTGGCATCAGAAGTGGGTGGACCATCTTGCAGGACGGAGCCTTCAATCTGTGGGATCTAGATAGTTTCAGAAATGAATTGGAGGATCACCTGGCTGGTGTCTGCTGGAGAACTGCTTGGTGTATGAGGGAAAAAAAAATCCCACATATCTGATGTCAGAAGTGAAGTTCGGTATATGGAATGGGAAAGATACACTTTGACTTTTCCTGTATCTCTAATAGACAATAAGTATCTCACAGTGTATATATAATATGATTAATAATGACTAAACACGTGATTAAGTGCAAAATTTTGTGGCAAAAATAAGTTCTAGAGGATAACCGAACAAAGAGACCAATATCAGAAAGGCAGTGGTTTATGAGATGCTTCACATTATAGGTAGAATTTAGATAGGGATAATAGAACTAGAATAAGAATGATAACATTTGGAGGCAGTGAGGATACCTCTATGACTCAAGTAATGTAAACTGGAGTTGGGACAAATCACGGAAGGATGAAAAGTAATGAAAGAAGGGCTAGGGTCAAGCAGTAGGAAACAGCACACCTTTGAAGGTGTAATGGACATAGAGGCTGACAGAGAAAATGTTCCGTGGCCATCAAAAGTTCAGCTCTGGCAGCCAAAGACAGGACAAGAGCAACACCTATCCATTCTTTTGAGAAATTCATTACTGAGAAAATTCAAAACCCATAGATACCCAAAATTACCTGCCTAACAGTAGTATGACTATAAAATTAGCAGCATCAATAATATTTTATGATATGAAAGAATTAATCTGACAACTTGTCTACCTATAATTCAGAATTAGTTACACATAGAGGCTTAATATCAATAGCAAGTTCAAATATTCAGTTACCCATTTAAGGAAACATGCATAAAGAAAAGATGTATGGCTACCTTATTCTTTGAAGATACATAGTACTCACATATTGAAAGGAAAAATTTTTATTTCTTTTTTTTCTCTATGCATTGCTTTATGAGGATACAATTCAGGATTAAATGTTAAAAGAATTGTGTAGGAGTTAGTTTGTGGACAGAGGAGTGTAAATTTTATTCTGGGGTAATTAGAAAAGCACAAAAAGGTTTTCAATGAATGAACAGTTAAAACAATATTTAGGGAAAATTCACTCGGTTGCCCAGTGGAAGATGGATTGGAATGGGGGAAGAAAGTCCCCATTCTAAAAGAAAGTAAGTCCATAAAAAGAGGATTCTAATAGCTTAGTTTGAGTTGGATGAGCATGGTGTCAGTGGCTATGAGGAGGAAAGGAGTGATATGAGAGACAGAGAAATATTGACCTAACCATGCACAGAAAAAGGGGAAGGGACCTTAATCTAAAAATACTATTACCTGGGGGATAGTTCCACTGAACTCTAAATTTTACAATAGCTCATTTACACTGATCCCTATCAGCAATGCCAAGCACCCACTGATTCAAGCATCAGTCCAAAGAAAACGTCTCCCATTATGGACATACATGTCCATAAATAAAGAGGGCATAAGAAATTCCATTTTTAAAAAATTGATATATTGTTAGGTGTGGTCTGGGGAAAAGAGAGTAGAGAGAGAGAAGTAAGGTATGATTACTGAAAAGAGATCCTAAGTGCCCTGACTGCCAGTCTAGGGCTCTTTCATTACCCCAAGAAGCAATTAACAAATCAGCAACCCAAGGATTTTTATCTCCATAGCTGTCAGTATTTTTTTAAGTGGGGTCATACATTTTTAGATGTTTTTATTTTCCCTCTAAAAGGATTTGTGGTCAAAAGGAATCTAGAGGATCAACAATTGTTGATTGTTGTTTAAAAAGGCCTTACCTTTTGGAAAAAAGCATCTCACAGCTGCCTATTGATCTCTGTGGTGGAAAATTCTCAAGCTTCTCTCAGTGTTCCTAGTGATACGTTTATGCAATAAGGAATTGACAGTACTCAGGAGAAGAAAGATACTCCATTGATTAATATTTACTGTTAAGTTTTTTTCTTACTTGAGTTCTCACAACGAAACCTAAGTACTCTAATATGGAGACAGTTAAAACCCACATTCAACCAAACCACCAAATTAATTTATATTTCTGAAAACATAATAGGAACTGTTATTATGTTCACAAATATATTTTTCATTATGGGTTGTCAGGCCTCTGAGCCCAAGCCAAGCCATCGCATCCCCTGTGACTTGCACTTATATACTCCCAGATGGCCTGAAGTAACTGAAGAATCAAAAAAGAAGTGAATATGCCCTGCCCCACCTTAACTGATGACATTCCACCACAAAAGAAGTGTAAATGGCCGGTCCTTGCCTTAAGTGATGACATTACCTTGTGAAAGTCCTTTTCCTGGCTCATCCTGGCTCAAAAAGCACCCCCACTGAGCACCTTGCGACCCCCACTCCTGCCCACCAGAGAACAACCCCCCTTTGACTGTAATTTTCCTTTACCTACCCAAATCCTATAAAACGGCCCCACCCCTATCTCCCTTTGCTGACTCTCTTTTCGGACTCAGCCCACCTGCACCCAGGTGAAATAAACAGCCATGTTGCTCACACAAAGCCTGTTTGGTGGTCTCTTCACACGGATGCGCATGAAATTTGGTGCCGTGACTCGGATCGGGGGACCTCCCTTGGGAGTTCAATCCCCTGTCCTCCTGCTCTTTGCTCCGTGAGAAAGATCCACCTACTACCTCAGGTCCTCAGACCGACCAGCCCAAGAAACATCTCACCAATTTCAAATCCAGTAAGTGGCCTCTTTTTACTCTCTTCTCCAACCTCCCTATCCTTCAACCTCTTTCTCCTTTCAATCTTGGCGCCACACTTCAATCTCTCCCTTCTCTTAATTTCAATTCCTTTCATTTTCTGGTATTTTCTGGTAGAGACAAAGGAGACACGTTTTATCCGTGGACCCAAAACTCCGGTGCCGGTCATGGACTGGGAAGGCAGACTTCCCCTGGTGTTTAATCATTGCAGGGACGCCTCTCTGATCATTCACCCACGTTTCAAGGGTGTCAGACCATGCAGGGACGCCTGCCTTGGTCCTTCACCCTTAGCAGCAAGTCTTGCTTTTCTGGGGAAGGGTCAAGTACCCCAACCCCTTCTCTCTACCCCTTCTCTGCTTTTCTGGGGAAATGGCAAGTATCCCAACCCCTTCTCTCCTTGTCTCTATCCCTTCTCTGCTTTTCTGGGGGGAGGGGCAAGTACCCCTCAGTACCCCTCAACCCCTTCTCCTTCACCCTTAGTGGCAAGTCCCGCTTTTCTGGGGGAGGGGCAAGTACCCCTCAACCCCTTCTCCTTCACCCTTAGTGGCAAGTCCCGCTTTTCTAGGGGGCAAAAACCCCCCAATCCCTTATTTCCACACCCTGACCTCTTATCCCTGTGCCCCAATCCCTTATTTCTGCACCCCAACCTCTTATCTCTGTGCCCCAATCCCTTATTTCTGCACCCCAACCTCTTATCTCTGTGCCCCAATTCCTTATTTCCGTGTCCCAATCCTTTCTCTGCTTTTCTGGAGGGCAAGAAACCCCTACCCCTTCTCCGTGTCTCTACTCTTTTTCTCTAGGCTTGCCTCCTTCACTATGGGCAAGCTTCCACCTTCCATTCCTCCTTCTTCTACCTTAGCCTATATTCTTAGGAACTTAAAACTTCTTCAACTCTCACCTGACCTAAAATCTAAGCATCTTATTTTCTTCTGCAATGCCGCTTGACCCCAATACAAACTCGACAGTAGTTCCAAATAGCCGGAAAATGGCACTTAAAATTTTTCCATCCTACAAGATGGAAATGGGCAAATGTCATAAAATGGGCAAATGGTCTGAGGTGCCTGACGTCCAGGCATTCTTTTACACATCAGTCCCTTCCTAGTCTCTGTGACCAGTGCAACTCGTCCCAAATCTTCCTTCTTTCCCTCCCACCTGTCCCCTCAGTACCAACCCCAAGCGTCGCTGAGTCTTTCTAATCTTCCTTTTCTACAGACCCATCTGACCTCTCCCTTCCTCCCCAGGCTGCTCCTCTCCAGGCCGAGCTAGGTCCCAATTCTTCCTCAGCCTCTGCTCCTCCACCCTATAATCTTTTTATCACCTCCCCTCCTCACACCTGGTCCGGCTTACAGTTTCATTCCGTGACTAGCCCTCCCCCTCCTGCCCAGCAATTTACCCTTAAAAAGGTGGCTGGAGCTAAAGGCATAGTCAAGGTTAATGCTCCTTTTTCTTTATCCCAAATCAGATAGCGTTTAGGCTCTTTTTCATCAAATATAAAAATCCAGCCCAGTTCATGGCTCGTTTGGCAGCAACCCTGAAACGCTTTACAGCCCTGGACCCTAAAAGGTCTAAAGGCCGTCTTATTCTCAAAATACATTTTATTACCCAATCTGCTCCCGACATTAAATAAAACTCCAAAAATTAAATTCCGGCCCTCAAACCCCACAACAGGATTTAATTAACCTCACCTTCAAGGTGTACAATAACAGAAAAAAGTTGCAATTCCTTGCCTCCACTGTGAGACAAACCCCAGCCACATCTCCAGCACACAAGAACTTCCAAATGCCTGAACCGCAGCAGCCAGGCGTTCCTCCAGAACCTCCTCCCCCAGGAGCTTGCTACACGTGCCGGAAATCTGGCCACTGGGCCAAGAAATGCCCTCAGCCCGGGATTCCTCCTAAGCCACGTCCCATCTGTGTAGGACCCCACTGAAAATCGGACTGTTCAACTCACCTGGCAGCCACTCCCAGAGCCCCTGGAACTCTGGCCCAAGGCTCTCTGACTGACTCCTTCCCAGATCTTCTCGGCTTAGCGGCTGAAGACTGACACTGCCCGATCGCCTCAGAAGCCCCCTAGACCATCATGGACACTGAGCTTCGGGTAACTCTCACAGTGGAAGTTAAGCCCATCCCCTTCTTAATCAATACAGAGGCTACCCGCTCCACATTACCTTCTTTTCAAGGGCCCGTTTCCCTTGCCTCCATAACTGTTGTGGGTATTGACGGCCAGGCTTCTAAACCTCTTAAAACTCCCCAGCTGTGGTGCCAACTTAGACAATACTCTTTTAAGCACTCCTTTTTAGTTATCCCCACCTGCCCAGTTCCCTTATTAGGCTGAGACACCTTAACTAAATTATCTGCTTCCCTGACTATTCCTGGACTACAGCTATATCTCATTGCCGCCCTTCTTCCCAATCCAAAGCCTCCTTTGCGTCCTCCTCTTGTATCCCCCCACCTTAACCCACAAGTATAAGATACCTCTACTCCCTCCTTGGTGACCGATCATGCACCCCTTACCATCTCATTAAAACCTAATCACCCTTACCCCACTCGACACCAATATCCCATCCCGCAGCACGCTTTAAAAAGATTAAAGCCTGTTATCACTCGCCTGCTACAGCATGGCCTTTTAAAGCCTATAAACTCTCCTTACAATTCCCCCATTTTACCTGTCCTAAAACCAGACAAGCCTTACAAGTTAGTTCAGGATCTGCACCTTATCAACCAAATTGTTTTGCCTATCCACCCCATGGTGCCAAACCCATATACTCTCCTATCCTCAATACCTGCCTCTACAACCCATTATTCTGTTCTGGATCTCAAACATGCTTTCTTTACTATTCCTTTGCACCCTTAATCCCAGCCTCTCTTCGCTTTCACTTGGACTGACCCTGACACCCATCAAGCTCAGCAAATTACCTAGGCTGTACTGCTGCAAAGCTTCACAGACAGCCCCCATTACTTCACTCAAGCCCAAATTTCTTCCTCATCTGTTACCTATCTCGGCATAATTCTCATAAAAACACACGTGCTCTCCCTGCCAATTGTGTCCGACTGATCTCTCAAACCCAAGCACCTTCTACAAAACAACAACTCCTTTCCCTCCTAGGCATGGTTAGCGCGGTCAGAATTCTTACACAAGAGCCAGGACCACTCCCTGTAGCCTTTCTGTCCAAACAACTTGACCTTACTGTTTTAGCCTAGCCCTCATGTCTGCGTGCAGCGGCTGCCACTGCTTTAATACTTTTAGAGGCTCTCAAAATCACAAACTATGCTCAACTCACTCTCTACAGTTCTCATAACTTCCAAAATCTATTTTCTTCCTCATACCTGACGCATATACTTTCTGCTTCCCGGCTCCTTCAGCTGTACTCACTCTTTGTTGAGTCTCCCACAATTACCGTTGTCCCTGGCCCAGACTTCAATCCGGCCTCCCACATTATTCCCGATACCACACCTGACCCCCATGACTGTATCTCTCTGATCCACCTGACATTCACCCCATTTCCCCAAATTTCCTTCTTTCCTGTTCCTCACCCTGATCACGCTTGATTTATTGATGGCAGTTCCACCAGGCCTAATCGCCACACACCAGCAAAGGCAGGTTATGCTATAGTACAAGCCACTAGCCCGCCTCTTAGAACCTCTCATTTCCTTTCCATCGTGGAAATCTATCCTCAAGGAAATAACTTCTCAGTGTTCCATCTGCTATTCTACTACTCCTCAGGGATTATTCAGGCCCCCTCCCTTCCCTACACATCAAGCTCCAGGATTTGCCCCACCCAGGACTGGCAAATTAGCTTTACTCAACATGCCGAGTCAGATAACTAAAATACCTCTTAGTCTAGGCAGATACTTTCACTGGATAGGTAGAGGCCTTTCCTACAGGGTCTGAGAAGGCCACCACAGTCATTTCTTCCCTTCTGTCAGACATAATTCCTCAGTTTAGCCTTCCCACCTCAATACAGTCTGATAAGAGATGAGCCTTTATTAGTCAAATCAGCCAAGCAGTTTTTCAGGCTCTTAGTATTCAGTGAAACCTTTATATCCCTTACGGTCCTCCGTCTTCAAGAAAAGTAGAATGGACTAAAGGTCTTTTAAAAACACACCTCACCAAGCTCAGCCACCAACTTAAAAAGGACTGGACAATACTTTTACCACTTTCCCTTCTCAGAATTCAGGCCTGTTCTCGGAATGCTACAGGGTACAGCCCATTTGAGCTCCTGTATACACGCTCCTTTTTATTAGGCCCCAGTCTCATTCCAGACACCAGACCAACTTAGACTGTGCCCAAAAAAACTTGTCATCCCTACTATCTTCTGTCTAGTCATACTCATATTCACCGTTCTCAACTACTCATACATGCCCTGCTCTTGTTTACACTGCCGGTTTACACTGTTTTTCCAAGCCATCACAGCTGATATCTCCTGGTGCTATCCCCAAACTGCCACTCTTAACTCTTGAAGTAAATAAATAATCTTTGCTGGCAGGACTATGCTGAATCTCCTTAGGCACTCTCTAATCAGATATCCTGTGTCATCCCAATTCTTAGACCTTTTATACCTGTTTTTCTCCTTCTGTTATTCCATTTAGTTTCTCAATTCATCCAAAACCGTATCCAGGCCATCACCAATCATTCTATACGACAAATGCTTCTTCTAACAACCCCACAATATCACCCCTTACCACAAGACCTCCCTTCAGCTTAATCTCTCCCACTCTAGGTTCCCACGCCGCCCCTAATCCCGCTTGAAGCAGCCCTGAGAAACATCGCCCATTCTCTCTCCATACCACCCCCCAAAAATTTTCACCGCCCCGACACTTCAACACTATTTTGTTTTATTTTTCTTATTAATATAAGAAGGCAGGAATGTCAGGCCTCTGAGCCCAAGCCAAGCCATCGCATCCCCTGTGACTTGCACATATATGCCCAGATGGCCTGAAGTAACTGAAGAATCAAAAAAGAAGTGAATATGCCCTGCCCCACCTTAACTGATGACATTCCACCACAAAAGAAGTGTAAATGGCCGGTCCTTGCCTTAAGTGATGACATTACCTTGTGAAAGTCCTTTTCCTGGCTCATCCTGGCTCAAAAAGCACCCCCACTGAGCACCTTGCGACCCCCACTCCTGCCCACCAGAGAACAACCCCCCTTTGACTGTAATTTTCCTTTACCTACCCAAATCCTATAAAACGGCCCCACCCCTATCTCCCTTTGCTGACTCTCTTTTCGGACTCAGCCCACCTGCACCCAGGTGAAATAAACAGCCATGTTGCTCACACAAAGCCTGTTTGGTGGTCTGTTCACATGGACACGCATGAAATGGGTAATATATTCCTGAAAATGTCCAATGCTCTAACATCAAGCAATGCTACATGAGAAACTGAAAGAACATTCGAATTTAATTAAGGGAACTAATTTCTATTGAGTTGTATAGCCTGTAAATGTGTTTTACAGGATCTCTGATCCTTCTAAGTATCTATATTTCCTATAGAAAAAGTTAACTTCAAAAAGTTACATAATGACTATCATTGAGCCTGCTGATAATTGTAATTAGTAGCTATATCCCATCCTAACAGTGTGCCTACTGATTTAGGTCAATCAGCTTATTTAAAACATTGACATTGTTTTCAAATGCATTTTCATTTCTGATTAGGGAGGTAAGTCCAGCAAGTTCTAGTGCTAACTTTTCCACGTGAAACTAGCACAATGAAAAATACAAAATCTCACTAAGAATGATTTACAATGGACAAATGTGCTTGTTCACATAACTTTTCTGTAATTTTCAACTAGCGTAAATGGCAATGAATACATTTAAACATTTTTAACTTTTCACATGGCTCTAAAGAGTTCCTCTTAAGTGGCCAGGGATTTCTTCCAAAGAGAAAAAAATGAAAACTAAAACCAATCAACCAAACAAACCAAAATAAACAACAAAATATCAGTTGCCTTGGGAAGGAAGCAAGGGCCACTGAAATCCCAAATGGAATCAGATGTGACATTTGCAAATGATATCTCATCAATGGGAATACGAGAACCACCTCTTCAAAATGGTGGAGTTATTTCTGAGTGGCAATAATTAAGTAAATTATGATCATGGTTTATCAATGTGGCAGTTGCAGTAAGTTTCCTAAAACTTCTTCTCTTGTTATTTCTGCCTTTCTTCTTTGTATAGAAGACTAGAGCTGTACTGTCAAATATGGTAGCCACATCTGTATCCACATAGGTTTACTTAAATTCAAATTTACAAATCAAATTCCAAATGAGTTCCTTGGGTACACTAGCCATATTTCAAGTGTTCAATTGTGAAACGTAGTTAGCAGCTGCCACATGAGCAGTACAGATGGAAAATAATTCCATCATTGCAGAAAGTCCTATTGGACAACCCTAAACTACAAAGGTCTATTAAATCTCAGAGGGAAGATTGCTAATTGCCTTACCAGTAGGTGGGACATTGGCAACAAAACACCCAAGCAAAGAACTACGCAAAATCTATCTTGGCAGTTATATGCTGGATTTACCCGCCCCCCACAACCCCTGCCAACAAAAAAGAATTCCACATTTCAAACACCATTATGGTTATAAAATTCAGTTAATAAGAGAAGAGCAACAGTTTCAGGGATATTAATGATAAATAAGTGCTAGATTAGATTTTAATGACAGACTCTTAATGGCAAATATGCATCAAGATTTCTTTTCTTAAGAATCTAGTTTCTGTTTCCCCAGTATAGGTTGTAAGGATGTATATATACATGGCAAAGGTTTGCCTCCTTATTATCCATTTTCAGTAACTCTTAGTACAAAATTTTGTATGTCAACAATGTTTCCACTTAATACTATTTTTTCTTTCCTTAACAAAAAAGTCGTGAACTTAGCAGCTTCTTTGGGTAATTAGCCAAAGCAGGTGAAGACAAAAAATATGGTTGATAGGAAGAATGAAATTTTAAGAAGTCTTGTTTTTTCTCACTTAGAAAACTTTCAACTAAATGATGACAAGCACTGATTATCACACAGCCTTTTCTTTACTGCATCTGATTTATAACAATTTCCCAAAATCACAGAATTTTCAAATAAGACAGAAAGGCCAAAGTTTAGACTTGCCTTCCCATTTGGCTTAGAAAAGAGTGGCAAATCATAATTAGCACCATTACTTCCTGGCATATTAGAAGGAGACTTCTGAAGTTTTACACATATGTACATGTGTCTCCTAATACAGACTGAATAACAGCAACATATTTTGCCTATCAAAAGTTGGTTATAGTGCTCAAAAAAGGGATAATTTCACATAAATACGTAAAAGTCCCAGAATCAAAATCATATGAAAGTGGATCTACACAGCACTTCTTGAAGGAAAGACTAAAAAATCTAGCCTTTAACGTATGTTGATAGATAAATTTATCTGCTACCTTAGTATCTATCAGGGAAGCAACCATAATGTAGCTGGAAGAACGCTTGCCTTGGAAGTTCAGTCTGAGGTTCACAATCTCCCATCCTTCCAGCTGTCATTCCCTGACTCCCACACTTCTTCCTTCAACTTCATCATGGTCACCACTTTGAACTTCCTTTTTTATTCCAGTGTATCAGACCATGCTTTTAGCCTTTTCTTCCTTTTTCATCCAGCCTAAATCTCCCAGAGCATAACTGCAATCACTGTTTTTTCAAGTTACCTTGTCTTTTTGCTGAACCAATTCCACAAAACCACAAAACCAAATGATTCCTCCAATTCTATATCAAAAGACTACTAAAGACAAGAGTGAAAAGAAAATCACATCATTATGGGTTTGGATCTCACTGTTCTGCTGGGTCCTCCACTCTTAGCAAGCCCATGTGTCTGTGTTCTCATTCTTTTGTTGCTTTGCACATGTAGTTTTCTCCATCTGAACAGACTGTCCTGACTTCTTCCTAGCAAAGACTTCTACCTTTTAGTCATCTTCTAGTGGATACCTGAGGCATAATCACCTCTGCAAAGCCCTTCTCAATCTCTACTCATCACTCTGAGACAGAATTAAAAGCTCCGGTAGCACCCTAATATGGCTCTTATGACATCGTATTGTAAATATTTATTTGTGTTATTGCCTAATTTCCTTTATTACTTTATAGGCTTTTTGAGGAGATGGATGTTGTTTTCTCCTCATTTATATCATCAGCAAGAAGCACAAAGCCTGACAATTTTTTTTGTGAATAAATAAATGTACAAACAAATGAACAAATAAGACACCAGCTCTAACCTTTTCTAGCAAGGGTTTGTAATGTTAAACACTTCATGTGTTTAACTATTTGTTTTGTTATTATGGAAAAAATATATTCCTACTACATAGTATGAATGAGGTAGTGCCTAGGGGCATAGCATAAATAAAGATCTCATTGTCATAATCCTTATCTACCAGTTTTGCATTCTCATTAACCAAATGTTTCTGACATATCACACCTTTCTTCAGATGCAGTAAATAAATATTCCTCCTTTGTAATATTAGCTCTAATTCAATTTTTATTTATAATAGTCAAATATCATAGCCCCTTCATCATATATTAAAAATAACAAGTTATTTATGTTATTATATACAACAAATATCTAATCTTTAGTAATATAATTTATTTCTTAGTTGGACAATTAATTTATAAAATAGCAACACAAAAAATATTAAACAATGTTTAGGGGAAATTTGAACCAAAATTTTTTAGTACACATTCGGACATAAATAGCTTCCATACTTGCAAAAGTTCTTACGCCTAAACACTCTGCTTCTCATTGTCTTCCCACAGACATGCACTGCATGCAATATTGGGTACTAAGTATTATGTTACACACTGAAGACACAAAACTGAATAAAATCTAGCTCTGACTTAATGGAGTATACTGTCTAGTCATCTTATATTTTGTCTGCATGCTTGTTTGGGTAGCATATTTACAGCTCCCTCTCCTCCAGAACTCTCCTTAGCAGCTACTCTACCACAGTTTAAGTCAAAGGATTCACCAAACTGTTGCCATATACCTGGGCCATTCTATAAAGCTCTAGAGAAAGGAGGAGTAAGAGTGGTAGGGAATTAAAATTGAGCTGTGATTACACACAATGCTGTCATTTCCATCTTCTTTACTCACAAGATAGGGACTTGCATCCACTTTGTACCTTTTCTATTTTTCTTAATTAAGTTTTACTTCAATATTTTTTGGGGTACAAGTGGATCTCTGTTACATGGATGAATTATACAGTGGTAAATTCTGAGATTTTAGTGCACCCATCACCTGAGTGTTTTTATCCCTAGCCTCTCTCCTACCCTCTCCCTTCTGAGTCTTCAAAGTCAATCTTATCCTTCTGTATGTCTTTGTGTACTCACAGCTTAGCTTGCACTTATAAGCGAGAACATAGGGTTTTTGGTAAGTACTCTCATTTATCTGTTAATACCCAAGAACCCTTCATTTATTTTCTTTTTTTTTTCCCACTTTCCTTTATCTACCTGTTCTTTAGAGCTGTTAATAGCATATCTAGAAACTTCTGTATACAATGCAGAATAATGGAAATAACTAGCTCAGATATGTACTCTGCCACTTGCTGGCTTTGTAACCTAGGAAAAGTCGGTAATCCTTCAGAGATTCTATTTCCTTGGGGCAATAATGTGATCTTGTGATATAAAAAACATATATCTGGTCTTTGTCCTGATTCCTTGCAGAGTTCCTAAAACCCTTGGAATCTCCTGAGTGATGAGTGTCTTTTGTATGCTAATAAATGACTGGGGGATGGCGGGTTCTTAGATAGCATTAGGATGGGTGCTGGTCACCAGAAAGACGAAGGGTTACAGGGTTGGAAATTTCATCCCCATCCCCTCACCTCTGGGTAGAATACTGAAGCTAGAGATTGAGTTAATAACCAAACAGCCAATGATTTAATCCTGCCTACATAATGGAACTTCTATACAAACACTAAACTATGGGCTTCAGAGAGCTTCTGGGCTGTTGAACACATTGAGGTGCTGGGAGGGTGTAATGGCTGAAGAGGGCATGAAAGTTCCATGCTGCCCACCTCCCATATACTTTGTACAATGCACGACTTCCATCTGACTGTACCTGAGTCATATCTACAAGGAAGGAAAAAACTATTTTTTCCCTCTACTCTAATACCACTCAACAGAATATTTCTGACACCAGATGTATGGGGGTATTTCCTTACACACCAAGCAATTCTACAGCAGACAACGGTTGTGTATCTTCTAATTTAATTCAGTTCTGACACTATCTACCTGGAGGTAGCATCAGGTCCCACAGGTTAAGGGCTCATTCCCACAAGGAGTGAAGTGCCTCCATTTCAGATACCAATCATAAGTCATAGTTTGTCGCCTATACTTCTGACCAACCAGCTGTAAATCAAGAGTTCCCACAACCGCCTTGTCAGGTTCAATCAATTTGTAGAGTAGCTCTCGGAGCGCAGGAAAACACTTTACTTAAGTGCCAGGAGAGTAGCACAACCCAACTCCATGGGGACAGAAGCTCCTGCCATCCAGATCCTTCCAAGACCCTGTCTTATGTATCTCTTCCTCTGGCTGCTTCTCTGTGTCCTTTATGATATCCTCATTAATAAACTGGCAAACATCCTATGTCAGAAATGTTGTATTGAGTGGTATGTGAGTAGAGGGAAAAACAGCTTTTTTTCCCCCTCTTGCAGTATCCATTATTAAAAAAAAAAAGTAAATAAAATGCCTCTTGAGTTCTGTCAGCCATTCTAGCAAATTATTGAACCTGAATAAGTGGTTATGGGAACCCTTGATTTATACCTGCTTGATCAGAAGTATAGGAAGCCCAGGGCTTGTGTTTGGCATTTAAAGTAGGTGCAGTTTTGTGGGATTAACCCCTTAACCTGTGGGGTCTCATGCTAAATGAGTTGATTTCTGAATTGAATTAAATTGATGGACACCCAGTTGGGGCCTAGAGAGTTGGAGATTTGGTTGTTGGTGTGGAAAAAAAAATTTACACATTTAGAAGCGCTGTAAATTGAAATTGACCATAGTAAATAACAGCCGTCTGTGAGAATTAGATGAAGTTAAGTATGATATGAACTCCCAAAATTTTAAAAAAGTTAGTTGGTAGCTTTCTTTAAATAATTCAGTGGGTTGATATGTTTGCTAACTGCCTATTAGACCTCTCTTCCCAGCAGTCAATGCATTGAGAAAGGAGTATCGTTTTCCCTGCTACTGCATTCTATCATTTAACCTCTCCAACACCTAGACATCTTTTCCACTAGCTCACTTAAAGCCATCAGACTTGGCTGAATACACATATTCACATGGTCTATTTTTGCTGAAAATTAAAATGTCCACAGTGTATCACTTTTTTATAATAATTTTCTTACATACTTGAATTACTTATTAAGTCATTCATATCCTTTTTTTCTTTTTTGATTTTTTTTTTTTTTTTTTGAGATGGAGTCTCACTCTGTGGCCCAGGCTGGAGTGCAGTGGCGTGATCTCGGCTCACTACAACCTCCGCCTCCCGGGTGTAAGTGATTCTCCCGCCTCATCCTCCCGAGTAGCTGGGATTACAGGCATGTGCCACCACGCCTGGCTAATTTTTGTATTTTTAGTAGAGATGGAGTTTCACCATGTTGTCAGGCTGGTCTCGAACTCCTGACTTCAAATAATCTGCCCATCTTGCCTCCCAAAGTGCTGAGATAACAGGCATGAGCCACCACACCCAGTCCTTTTTTGTCTTTTATAATCTAAATAAGTCTAATTCTTTAGTCTTTCCTTATAAGTTCTATTTAAAGACACTTTAATATTTCTTTTCTTTAAGTTTTAGAGAGATCACTCTTTTCATCTAAAATTAAAGTTCTCTAACATCTTTATAGTACACAGATTTCTTAGATGAAAGGCAAAAGTAACTGAAACATGATATTCATTCATATATTTTATTGCATGAAACTGGAATGTTTTATAACAGAAACTTGCCTCTAACCATGGAGACAGTAGATTACATTTGGCAGAGAAATTACGTGAATACCAAATTTTTCCTACAAGAAAATCTAATTTAGTTATCAATTGAAATTTTGCATTTATTCCTTTTCATAGACCTCATTTTGGTTCAGAAAGAATTTAAAGGACTTACTCTGTAACACAGTCCTACAAAATTCCAGATCTTTAAGCTTTCAAATATGAATGTTTGTACAGTCAGATGTTCTAACTTAACATTTTAAGTTTGACTGTTTTATGACACTCTTTAATTTAGAAATAACTCCATGTGGTAGATGCTTGTTAAGTACCATATAGATTTTTAAAATATGTAGAATAACTTCTGACATGTTATAGATATGAGATAAACTTCCCAACAAGTGGAATAGTTATAAGTAATCCATTCTGAAGACCAAGCGAGGTCATCTCAACACTAATGGTCTTAAAGTAAATTCCATGAACTTACCATTTTTAAATACATCTCATACTCTTTAAAAAGTATTCAGAGGGCCAGGTGCAGTGGCTCACACCTGTAATCTCAGCACTTTGGGAGGCCGAGGCGGGCAGATCATGAGGTCAGGAGCTCGAGATGAGCCTGGCCAGCATGGTGAAACACCGTCTCTACTAAAAATACACACCTTGGGAGGCCAAGGCAGGCAGATCCCCTGAGGTCGGGAGTTTGAGACTAGCCTGACCAACATGGAGAAACCCCGTCTCTACTAAAAATACAAAATTAGCTGACGTGGTGGCACATGCCTGTAATCCCAGCTACTGAGGAGGCTGAGGCAGGAGAATAGCTTGAACCTGGGAGGTAGAGGCTGGGGTGAGCCAAGATCGTGCCATTGCACTCCAGCCTGGGCAACAAGACCGAGACTTTGTCTCAAAAAAAAAAAAGTGTTCAGAGAAGAAAAATATGTAGCTTGATTAAAGAAGCTTCTAGATGACTAGCAACTGTAGGAAATAAATCACATTAGCCAGCCTTCTCAAAAGTAAACTTCTCTGTCAATAGAATTTTGTTAAAGTTAAGTTCTGCCCCAATCATGATTTGGGAGTGTGCTATAATATTCTTTGAAGGCAAAGGCCAAGTTTGCACAAAGATGGAAGAAAACAGCCAAAGAGAAAGAAGGTCTATTTTTTTCTACATATGAAAACAGCAACTCAGAGAGACTAGCTCATTAGTAACCAGAATTAAAACATATCCTGCACAAGCAAGTTAAAATAGGTCCATCTCTAGAGGTGAAGCAGTTCATAGATTATTCATGGGAGAAGAAAACTTAGCCATGACAGTTTTTTTTTAATAAGTGAAATGGAACATGACAAAGAAAATCAAAGTACTAATACATGAAAGCTAAAGTTAGTAAGAGATGCCACCACAGCATGCTGAGTATCATCTTATTTTATGTTTACATAAAGTGTTAGTTTCTCTTACTGTTAAGATAATATATTTAAATAAGCTTTAAGTCATTTTAAAAAGCAATAATTTTGTGGCATAAGCTGATACCATACCTCAGTTATTTGTACTAAAAAAGCACTTTTACCACTCTACTGAAAAGAACTTACACCACTCAACATGCAGTGGTGAAACTGTTGTCATATTTTTATACCTAACAGAACTAGAGCTGCCTACAAATAAACCTTGGGAAGAATTATTTTCTCTAAAATAAACTTTTTAGAGCTCAACTTTTTAATATTTAAGGGAATATATCACTAGATCCTTACTTTATAATCTATACTTCCATTTATATAAAGCAGATAGGAGATGTTTCTTCTTATAAATTGACCTAAAATCTATTTTTATCTTAAGTGCTGTTGCTTTTCTTTTTGAGAGGCATTATTTGTTAATTTGTGTTCTTAGTTATTTCTTATTTTTAAACTGTCTTTTATTTTTTCAATTATTTTAAATATGAAAGCGATAAGGCACATTCTCAATATCTAGAAAACAAAGAGAAGAAATTACTCATGCATAATTCAACCCTCTAATAAAATTAACATGAGCATTTAAGAAAATTTAAATCCTATTTACACAAAGTTTAAAAATAATCCATTTAAGTAATTTTTCAAGTACAGAAAAGTATGAAATGATTTATGAAAAATGCAAATTAACTGCCTGAATTTGATCTTAAAAAAGAAAAACAAAAAAACTACAAGTCAAAAAGTCACTTATAGTTCTGCTGCCCCCAAACAATCATGTACACGTTTTGTATACATCAATCTAGACATCTTTTTTCTCCTAGCATAGCAGTGTTTGCTTCCATTTGTTTGTTTGCATAGCGGGACTTCTGAGTCTTGTGGTAAACCCTGCTTGAGGGGATTCCTTTCCTGGGGAATTTCCTGTGTCTAATTGTACCATTATCCTCGTGGTAAGGAATTCTCATAATGAAATAAGCATATCAATTCATTCACATTCTCACATGCTCATCAGTGTGGCTGATTCAAACAGCCATAGTTTCTGAGGTTAGCTTTGCTTCCCAAAGCTTTTTTGATGAGTTGGTAATGAACCTGATAATAGCCACTGAGGGAAGTTCACCAGTTCTTCATACCATGGCCTCTCCAATTTTGATTTTTTTGTTTTTCCTTTTTAAGATCTACTTCAAGCAGTTAAGTTGCATTTTTAATAAATCATTTTAAGAAAGCTATATGTTTGGTATTTTTCCTGAACCCTTGAATATTTGAGAATGTCCTTTTGATGGCTTTTCATAGGAAAGACAACTTAACTAGATTAAATTCTTGGATTCCTTTTTTTTCAAAACTACTTGCATCTTTCTTATTATTGTGTCAGTTGGAATTCTCAATTGCAAACAACAGGAACCAGGCTGGCTGACTTAAGCAGAAAAGGAATTCATTGGGAAAATTTTTTTTGAGGTACAGAATCAAAAGGAAACTGGATATCAGGTAGAAATGGTATGGCTAGACCGCTGAGAACACAGCCAACATCAGTCTGTTAAAGTGATGGTGAAGGGCCACTGGGACATTTGCTTCTGCTGTTGGACTCTAAATTCAATGATGCTGCCAAAAATTGGAATTTTTTAAGTGTTCGTGGTCTTGGCAAGAGTCCAAGTCCCACTGGGAGCATATGAGTGGCTGGCTGTGGGTCATGAGATCTAGGGAATAAGGAAAATGAATTATCTGACCTCACTTGTTTTCTGCTTCCCACCAAGATAATAAATAATTCCTCCACAAATTAGGGAAAGTATTCAGACCCTAAAAGCAAAACTATAACAAATATCCACTGCAATTATCATCTAACTTTTAGCATAAGAAGTCAGACACAAATCTGATTTTATCTTTCTGTTTACAATGGGTTTAGTCATATGCTTATGGGGAATGAGCAGATTCTTCCTACTAGTAATATCAAATTCAGCCAGGATGTGTCTAGATGAAGTTCTCCCTTCATTTACCTTGGTTAATCTATTCACCCAAGACAACTTTTTCTCCCTAGAACAGTTTTCTTCAATTATATCTTGGACTATTTCTTTAGTTTCAATCATCTTTGCTTCCTAAACTCCTATAAATTTTAGATTAAACTTCTGTTTCTAATTTCCACTTAAAAAATCATATTATTCAACTGTTAGTTATTTTCAATATTCTGAAAGACTTCTCAAATTTATGCACCACATCCATGATTTTTTATATAGTATAAATTCTCCTCTTTAGTGCCTCTATTACATATTTGCACTAAAATATTGCATTTTTAAAATCAAATCTTTTCTGACTTCTTCCATTCCACTTATTATTATTACTATTATTATTATTATTATTATTATTATTATTATTATTATTTTGAGATGGAGTCTCGCTCTGTTGCCCAGGCTGGAGTGCAGAGGCGTGATCTTGACTCACAGCAACCTCCGCCTCCCAAGTTCAAGCAATTCTCCTGCCTCAGCCTCCCAAGTAGCTGGGACTACAGATGTGTGCCACCAAGCCTGGCTAATTTTTGGTATTTTTAGTTGAGATAGGGTTTCACCATGTTAGCCAGGATGGTCTCAATCTCCTGACCTCATGATCTGCCCATCTCGGCCTCCCAAAGTGCTGGGATTACAGGCGTGAGCCACTGCGTCCAGCCCATTCCACTTATTATTGTCCTTTTATCTTAGCCAGTTCTTGCCTTATGTTATGGTTTGAATGTGTCTCCCTGAATTTGTGTGCTGAAAACTTAATCTCCAATGCAACAGCGTTGGGAGATGAGGCCTCATGGGAGATGTTTAGGTCTCTGTCCACATGAAAACATTAATACCCTTATAAAAAAAGCTCACAGGAGTAGATTTGCTCTCTTGCTCTCTTTGTCTTTCTGCCTTCCACCATGTGCTGATGCAAGTGGAAGGCCTTCACTAGATGCCCCAGTCTGGATCTTGGACTTCCCAGCCTTCAGCACTGTGAGCCAATAAATTTCTGTTCATTATAAATTACCCAGTCTCAGGTATTCTGTTATGGTGGCAAAAAACAGACTAAGACACCATATGAATACACACTGTCATCTAAAAGAATTGAAGTCTTTTTGAAAGACAATGGGCAGACCAAATATTTTTTCCCCTAGTCTCTAGAATAAGCTGCTTTCAAAGCATCCATTTCTTCTAAGTATTCCCTGACCGCCTTGTTTTGTTCCTCAGTATTTCTACTTAAGTCCTATGCTTCATTTTCCCTCCACTGTTTTATTTATTTTGATAGTTTTCTGTTTATTCATCTTCAAATGAGGTGACACTCATCCAAAACTAGTGTCTTTTAACAAAGTGTTTGGATGGACTTGACTTCATTCTCACTCTGCTTCTGTTCTGGAGGAGCTGAACCCCCTTTTCAGCTCTGCAGCTGAGTGAGAGTCTGATGTACATGGCTCCTTGCCCAGTCCTCATCTATGGAGCTCTTTTGGCTGAGATGTGATGCTCCCCTCTGCTACCATCTGTTTCTAAAATTTCTAACTGACATTCATATCGATGTTTCTCTTGCTTTCAAATATTTTCATTGGTGGGAAACATACATCCCAGGTTACATATATCCAAGGTTACAATTTTCTATCTGGAACCAGGTTGCCTGTTCATTTTCTGTCCTGCTAGTTTCCTAATTTGGATAGTTAGAGCTATTAATGAGTATGAGAAAATAGCATTCTGGCTTCTTCAAAGAGTAACATTTTCTTTTTGGAGCAAACTACGAAACAGGGACAAAGATATTTCCTACTTTCATGTGAACAGAAAAAGGATGGAGCACTGTCAAGATTTTCATTCCAGTGATCTTAAAATATAGATAAATGTTCTATATACATATTTACATAATAAAAAATATTTATATGTAATACATATAAAATTCCTCCTAGGATTTTTGCTGCTGTTAATTGCTGCTAGTTTTTACTATTCTTTAGCTTTGTCTTTTTGAAGTCTTTATATATAATTTATTGTCAGGTAAAGAAGGGCTGCAATATTAGACATATACTATCTTAAAGAAGAAAATTCTTGCTAATTATATTTTGTAAAATTACTACAAAAAACTTGTAAAATCTAGATTTTTTAACTCTTAAAAGTATTCCAGATAGAACTAGTTCCCAAACACACCAGTGGAAGCATAACAACATAAATGAGGCTGTGAATTAAGCTACTGATTCCCCTTTAAACAAGAAAACTATTCCTAAAGTATGTATTCAATCCAAGTATTATTTTGTCTTTTAAGTTTTCTAAAACTATTTGTTATTTCTGCTTTTAAAAAGATTTAGCTGCATTAAAGTGAAATTAATTTGTAATGTAAGCTTTAATCTCAACAGTTTATCATTTCTCATATTATCATAAACTTTACCTCTAGGTATGGCAGTTTACTTCATCAAATACCCATAGCTTTTCTATAGTACATTCAACCATAAAATAATACATTTAGATAGCCACAATTAGCAAAAGTCTGTTATTGTTACTAAGCAGTATTATCAATTCTAGACTATATTTTTGTTAGATTTTTGAAATATCCCTTATCATCAAAATTGGCCCTTCAAACTCAAGGCCAACTAGACAGGCCATAAAATAACACCTCTAGACAGATTTACACCACTAGTACAGATTACCCAGTAATAATGTACTGTCATATTTTTTTATATTTATGTTTTGTGTATTATATAACATCTTACCTCAGCACTTTTTAAAATTGTTGGATAATAATGGCTTTATTTTACCAGCAAGAAGAGAGTCAAGAGCTTCCCTTAAAGATACACATTTCTAGATCATATGGTTCATTCTGCAGGATGGATGTATATGCTGTTTTCAGAAAATGTCCATGGAACTACTTGAGAAGTCTGTTAAAATGCAGATTCCCAGGCCACACACTAGACCTATGGAAACAGAATCTCTTGATGTGGGGTTAGAAATCTGCATTTTTAAAAAAGTCCTTGGGTAATTCTTTACTCACAGAAGTTTGAGAATCACTGCTCTAATGCACTAAATAGAAAAATTATGGACTATAACGTTAACGTGGAGAAACAAGGAAGGCTCTGATTTTATTTTACAATCTCATTCTAAGGGACTTCAAATAAAGAACCAAGTTCAAATTTCAGAAGTCCATTAGCACTTATTTTATCTGAAACAATCAGTTTGGTAAAATAGTTCCAGAGTTCTAGTAACCCAAGTTGCTAGAACTTGGATCGACTCATATTATCTAGGCAGTTTGATGTGGAAATGTGGTGAATCATTTACAAAAGCAACATTTCCCTAGACGACTCCCCAGATCAACTAACAAAAGACACACATTCTGATTGCAGCATATATTTCAACTACCAAGGAGAAAACTATAATCAGATGTCAACCATTTTGTTAATTCTCATGGTAGTTTCGCTTTTCTGTCATTAATAACATTCTAAGATTTAGCCTTGAAACTGAATGGTCATTTTCTTAGGTAACCTTGCTAAAAAGTTACCTGAGAATGTTACTTCAGGCATGTTATAAAGTTGTTTCTAATACCACAATCAAATAGCTAGACCCAATTCTGATGCAATCAGTCTCCCACATCAAGGAACTGAAATAAAATATTCTGCTGAGGCAGCAACTGAACCTTTCAGCTTAACAGTGAAAAACCGCCAACAGTAATTTGTTCATTACATTAAGATTCCCTGCTGGTCTTTAGACTTTTAGAAGCCAAATATGTTTCCACTGAAAGAGAAACTTTGGAGTGGTTTCTGATCGTCATTTCATGGTCCTGAACAATATATATTTAGTAGCCATTAACCACATTGCTCATAAACTTGTTTTCAACTATTGGAACATTCAGTAGTCAATGTATACATAATTCAAAATTGGCTCACAATTAGTTTATTTTCAACAGGCACTCGCGTGTGTATGTGTGTGTGTAAGACAAATAAGGTTAAAAACCACTCTGCTTATGTTTCAATAAAATTTCACCAAGATGAGAAGCATCTTAAACCTTTATTTTAAAGGCATTAGTGAGAGATTACTAAACAATTGAACAATAAAAGGCAAGTTAGTTATGTATGCAAAAATACAGTACTTAAATTGGGAAGAAATTGTTTTTTGACCAATTATTAATAAAATTAGTATTTTTTAAAAAAATCCACAAGATGGATTAAAGAATTTAAAACTATTTATCCAGAGACAATTTTTATATTGTTTTAAAATAAACATCTTCAACTACTATGATTAGCTGTGATTGTATTAAAGTTACCTATTTGTTAGTGACATTTTAGTTTCCAGTTTTGTTGGCTGTAGACCACTGAGTATGTTAAGCATTCTATCACTTAAAACTGTAATTATTTGGGTAGATACTCTCACTCTCAGATAGCCAACTTGGGAGGACAAAAATTTTAAAAATAGAGGACAGAAAGATGTCATAATTCAGAAGTTACCAAAGCACTGTACCTTGCACTGTGAGGAAAACTGAAGCGGCTGATGATCCACCTTCACTAGAAACCATACAATGATACTCTCCAGCATCGTTGAATTTCACACTCTTTAGCTCCAATGACAGATTAGCCAAGGTCCTAATTCTCGCTGGCTCTGCCAGTCTGACATCTCTGTCATTCCTCTGCCAGGTTAGATTGTAATCCACCGCACTGATGATGAGACATGTTAAAACTGCTCTCTCTCCAGGAGTGACTGTAACATTGTTAGGCACTTGGATGACCGGAGGGGGCTCTGTGTGAAATCAAAAAATTCAAATCAAGAGACCTAAAAGCCATTTTGCTCACTTACAGATGTGGTTTAAAAACTGAATAAGTATGTACTGAACATCCAGTAGGAAAGATGCAGTGCAACAGAACTTACTCAATTAATGCATATGTCTATGAGCCCCCTCAAAATTACCACTTAAAGGATGCTTTAGAAAGTAGTACACATTTACATACCAAAGGATACTCAAGCCAAATCTATAAATTATAGACATGAGAGTCAAAGAGCCATGGCAAAAGAGTATAACTTGACTGACTGAGGATTGTGAAAGGAGGCAAAGTTTTTATAGATGAAAGCAGCATTTGCAAACTTTTAGATTTTAAAAATATGTATTTAGCGTTGTAAAGAAAATAGCACACAAAGGATAATAGACATGAAAATGACAGTATCATCTTTAAGGGGGGTTACAGTCTCATTAATGAAACACAGGACAACAGAAGAGTAAGATAAATGTTCAAGCAGAAATGGGGAACAGTTTGATTTATGAAGTTCAGGTGAACAGTAGGAACAGACCATTAATAAAATTGTACACATAGAGCCATATACACAAAAGGCATTGAGTGACACATGTGTTTCAGATATGGTCAAAGGCCAATTACTAATTAAATATTTAACCAACATTTCTGCAGAGAATCACATGTTTCTCTAGTTAGTTGGTTCTTTTTATTATTTTACTTTAAATTCTGGGGTACCTGTGCAGAACGTACAGGTTTGTCACATAGGTATACGTGTGCCATGGTGGTTTGCTGCACCTATTGACCTGTCCTCTAAGTTCCCTCCCCTCATCCCCCACCCCACAACAGGCCCTGGTGTGTGATGTTCCCCTCCCTATGTCCACGTGTTCTCATCGTTCAACTCCCACTTATGAGTGAAAACATGAGGTGTTTGGTTTTCTGTTCCTGTGTTAGCTCTAGTTAGTTTTGAGAGTGAATCTAAATTCTCTCTCCAAAGCTCTCTCTGCTCAAATGCTTTAAAATGATCTCCTGTAGCAATACATTATAAATAATGCAACAATAAAAACTGCAGTGATCTATGCTAGCTAGAAATTCATGTGTCTGTTTTAGTTTAATATGAAAGTGTGTCAAATATTCAAGATCAAACTTTATCCCTGTGCTATTTAAAACTATATATGAGTGCAGATTAATATCATAAGCCTAGAATGAAGACTGGAAACAAATATACCAAAACCACAGTGGTTATCTCTGAGTGATATATGTGTTTTCCATATTTTGTTATATTTATCATTGTTTTCCAAGCTATTTCTAAGTAGTATATGCTATTTTAAGTTATAAAAATAATGTTTAATTATTTTGTTATGTTTTTTAAAAATATCTTATGAAAATAGCTAGTGAATCCATTGGAAAGAATACAGGTAAAGGAAGCTTTGATTGGAGTCTGGCTAGGGTTCCCAGGTAAAATGCAGGACACTTTGTTAAATCTGAATTTAAGATACAAATACAATAATATTTTAGTACAAATATGCCTCGTGCAATATTTGGGTCACACATATGTGATATTCAAATTTAACTGGGCATCCTGTATTTTTAATTTGCTAAATTTGGTAATAATAGGCCACCTAGTTCTACCCCTAATTAGTTGTGTGACTTTAGATAAGCCAATTTAGTGAAATTAATAGTTCAGTTTTTCTATCTGAAAAATAAGATGATTACTTTATCATAAAGACTCCTTCTAGCTCTCAGATCCCTATGAAACAAACATGCTGAAGGTTAGACCCCCCTTTCCAGTGCTGCCCACATCCAATTACTTCTTAATGAAGGAAGAAAGACCCAGCTCTCCTGGCTCAATTCAGGGCCCTCCCTGTAGGCCCTTACTGCAGCTGTAGCACAGTTCCTCTTCTTCCACTTCCTTCATCCCCTTACAGGTGCTTTTCCCTAGAGAACTCTCCAAAAACCCTCTTGCATGCAAACTCCACCCCAGATTCTAGTTCCTCTTCAGATATAAATTCAAATAAGTACATGCCAACTTTCTACTAACATACATGAGCGGATGAGATTTGAAATAATGGCATACGACACCACCACTGCCTAAATACCTCAAGACAATAAATATTATACACATTGAAATATTTAGGCATATGTGAATAAATTTGGTAGGAATAGGGGAGTGATGCGGGAGAATTACAGCAGTTTGTGAAGGAGGCCAAGATTACAGATTATCAGAAATAACCTGTTCTAGGAGTACAAAGAGCAGCCATTCCTGAGTGAAAGCAGACTAGGATTAGGGTAGCAGAAAGGAAACCTCAATAATGAGGGAGGAAAGATGACAAGCATAGGCTTGGGACATTAAGTAAAGACCATGAGACTGAGAATCAGGAGGCCAGGAACCTACATCTTATTACCTATCTACCCATTTGATCATAAATGGGTCACTTGCTTTCTCTGGGTTCTGTTTCTTTAGCTATCAAATGATAAGGTGGTGTAAGATTATTTCCAAATCTTAGCCTTCTAAAAGAATATTCTGTAATTATAATTTAAGGTTTCCTGTCACTGACATGCCCTTGACAAGTTTTCGCTCTTCAGAATTTTACCTAAACTCAGAATTTTAGTACTCTGTGTGTGTGTGTGTGTGTGTGTGTGTGTGTGTGTGTATTGGGTGAAAGTCATTGTGTTAGTAAAACAATTCAGTACAGATAATTAATATAACTTAGTATCAAACTAAACTACCAAATGTAATGAAAAGAATAAGTTTTTCATGCTTCTGCAGTTTTATTCATTAGATTCTATGTGTTTATATTCAATAAAAGAGAAGAACATTGCTTTCTACACCTGTTGTGCATTTAAAACAATCAATAACCCAATAACCAACATTTCAATTGAACCAAAAGTCCTCAAACACGTCAACTAGAAAAAAAGTGCTGGCAAAAATTGAGGCGACATATTGGTAGAACTTGGGCTTTTCTTTAAACTGCTCTTGGGTGTTCCTTGACTTTATAAAATAAAATAATATCCATAATGGCATGAGAATATTAGTATTAAATAATGCTTTATTTCCTAATATCCCTTTAAAAATATAAGATCGAATTATCCTGTGAATTTGCACCTGATTCCAGTGTGCTGATAAGTAGTTACAGTGGGGTGGCTGAGCTGGGACCTCAGCCTAGGCTAAGGGAAATTCAGAAGTGAGTGGAGCTTAAAGGCTGGTGTACTAGGCAACAGCTAACCCAGAAAAAAAATGTCCTCTCTTTCAAGTTCAAAGGGGCACTCACTTGTGACTTCTGCTGTTATAGTCATTGCCCTTGCCATCACCATTTCCACCGTATTCTTTTTAAATTGACTGAGTGGAAAACAATTCCTGAAAATCAGCTTGGGCACAGTACAATTTCCTAGTTATTCCATTGCCTGGCTGGCACAGATCACAGATGGCTACTAGAAGGGCATGTGTAGAATATACATATGGAAGTTCCTGACACCGTCAAGCCCAATTCATGACAGTCAGTTCACAAGTTCTTCCTGGCACTTCCCAGTTATTTATGCAAGATGTCTGAATCAACTCACTCAAACCTCTTTCCTTGTTGTCCTTCTCCTAAAAAGTATTGCTGGGAAAAATACTCAAGTGTTCAAGTGTTTGTTTTCCCAGGAGCTGAGGAATGTTGACATGACTCCAATGCTTTTCATAATTACTGGACATGAAAAAATGAATAGTTTGTGATGTATGTCAACTTGCTAAATTGTTTCAGAAGACAAACTTTATTTTTCTAGCAGTAAGAGAATACAAATAGTTTAACTGCAAGAACATGCTTGTCTGACTTGCATGCTTCTGCTTTAAGGTTCACCTTAAACTTACTGATAGTGAACAACAAATCCTAGACTTCTAAATATATGATATACCTATAATTATAAGCTTCCTTTGTCTTAAATTGTCTGAAGAAAATGCACATCAGCACTAAAAGCAATATAGACATTGTAATAAATTCAACAGCAGCAATATATAGGTCAGAATAGGTTACAGTTAAACACATAGCAACACTAGTCCACAAGGCAGGTAGAAAATCATTCAGCCAAAACAAAATTTCCAATTATAGATAAATGCTGAGTAAATGGCTTAATCCTGATCATTGATTATAAATGGTAGTCTTTTTTCCCCTGAAAATTATGTGAGGAAAAATTATTTTTTTCACTTTAATGTATATAAAATAATATGAACTATATCTCCCATCTATTCATAGGAAACATACTATCTGAATGTAAAATAATTAGCATTACTTCTGCCCGTCTTAGTGCGAATATTGTAGCCACTGAGGTCCTGTGTTCTTAGAATGTAATCATTTTCATTATTATCTTCCATTTAAATGTCAGAATCTATTCATAAAAGTGCTCTGCTCATTATGAATATGGAAGAGGAAAAGGGAACATTTAACCTTGTATTGATTAGAATAGATCCTTCACTTAAACTTTATTTTCTCACGGGAAAATGCTATATGATCATTTCAAAAACTATTCATTAATCCCTGACAATAATGATAATAACAATAATAATAATCACTAATGTCTATTAAGTGCTTCTCTGTGGCAGACTCTCTTCTAAGTGCCTTGCATATATTACATATCATTTAATCCTCACAGTTTCCCCATGAGACGGTTCTTGTTATTATGCTTTCTTTTACAGTTAGGGAAACCAAGGCATTGAGTTCTTAAACAATTAGCCCAAGGAGAGTCGTGTATCTGATACATGGTGAGCACAGGATTTGAGTTCTCAATTCAGTGGAGAGATAGACAATAATAAAATAATCGCAAAGACAATTGTATAAACACAAACTGGTTAACAAACATCCCATTTCCATAGCTGCATTAATACTTGGGCAACTGCAAAGAAATTAGTGGTAATTACCTGATACGTCAAAAAATGTCTGTGCCCGTCCAGTACCTGCACTGCTGACAGCAATGCATTCATAGAAACCTTCGTCAGACAAAGTGACCTTTGCAATATCTAAGTTCACACTGGCAGATTCTCTGGAGGTAAGAAAATGGAAAACTTTTAGTTACTATAAAATAAGACCAAGTTGAAAGCAATGATTAACTATTTCTTTTGAAGGTTCATTCAAAAGAACAATGTAAAGAAAATAAATTGATAAAACTGCAGAGTTCTTTTTAACTTAAAATGACACACCATTTATATTTTACTAGAAAATGAGGCTTTTCTACTCTGAGCAAAAGACACAACATAAACAATAATTATAGAGATTGAAAATTTATTTAGAGAAATATTTTCTAGCTATGTCAAAATATAAGATAACAGAGCTGGCAAAGAAATATTCATTAATCCTCTCTGCTTTTATTTTTTCCAGTTTTTGGTCATGTCAGTAGGAATCTTAGACAAAGCAATTTAATTAGGCAATATACAAATTTGAAGGTAGGAAATCTACTTTTTGATTCTAAGAAGATAAATTCTCCTTAACTTTCTTTTAGATAAGCTCCACTTAGATAAGATATAAGGCCATATATCATTCAACCTACATACACAATGAGAAATGAAAACAAATGATCAGTTTTATAGTTAAACTCTATCATGTAGGTTAAAAAAATCCCTCTACTATATTATGTATTCATTCATTTAATAAATATTTATTATTTGCCCTCTAACACTGTTCAAATTATTTCTCATTTTCCGGAAGTATCTTAGTAATAGATATTTAATCTGTTTCAAAGAGCTCGATGATCTACAAAAATAGGCATTATCCTGTTTTAAAGTGTGGCTGAAATGTCAAAAATGTTTTCATAATTTTTTCTCCCGTATCATCTATAGCTACTTATAACCTTAAAAAAATCAAGATATAGATAAGGCAAAAAGCCCACTGCAGTCAAGAGACTTACCACTGAATTCTGAAAGTGGTATAAAATATAATACCTTATGGTGATATCTCTAGATCGCTCCCCATCCAAACACACCATACTTATCATCAAAAAACCATGAAGAACTTACTGAGCTCTTAACTCGTATTTGGTACAACTAGGGTTTGTAAGAAAAAGTTAAAACAGGTTTCTGTGCCTTAGGAAAGTGAGAAACAAAGCAAGGTCATTGATCCATATGTTTTAGTAGCTGAGAAAATTCACTTTAGTTAAACATTGCTTCCTTTCAATTCTGTAGGCACTACATGCCAGTGGTTCTTCTTGTCACTTTCAGAATAAAAGCAGAATACTGCTTGACTCCATACCACACTGATCATGTAAGCTGTATCTTCGATGCTTAACAGGAGTATACTAAGCACAAATTTGTAAATGTCATCATCTAGGAGGTACTGGTAAGTTTCAGCAAGGTAGGGGTTTGGAATACATACATCTTTGGTGTTTTCTTCAGTGCCTACTTAAAAGCTGAGCATACATTAGAATTCATCAAAAACAGATTGATGGAAATTTTAGAACAGAAACTGACGATTCTTTGGGTTCTGAATCCCTTTTTAAAAATGAGAAAGTTGAGATACAGAAAGGACAAGTAATTTGTCCAAAGACATACAACCAGTTTACTAAATGCTTGAAGAATGTTCTTTACAGTTATACTTGTTCCTTTCTTGATGATGAAATGTTACATGAAAATAATTCCCTTTTTCATGGAGCCTTCTCAGTTGACATTAAGCACTATGTGGACATAATTAAAAAAGTTTTGAAGGGTAGACTTTGGAATACGGAAAAGAACACGTCAAATAAAAATGCACCCTGCTGCTAATGCAAACGGATTCTCTCTTACATCCCCTGGTGACCAAAGTGACTGACATAAACAAACATTAAGTCACATGTTTCATGTTATTAGGAAATCTAGGGCAGGGACATGAGAGTGAATCAGGATTAGGGTATCAGTCTATCATCACTCATGCCTAATTTTGTCTCTAACTTGTCACATCCAAAGAGCTTAATACATGTCAGCAAAGCATGTCATATCTCTGGGCCACAGAGCTGGAAAAATGAGAAAAAGAATTCTCATGGCTTACCTCCCAGGAACTGTGTGGAATTAATGAATTAATGTTTCTAAAGAATCTCATGTGTCTTTGAAAAATGTTACTGTTTAAACATAAAACAGAATTATTTGATTTCACCAGCTAGTTATGTAGCTTCATCATTTTATATCCCGGTCAATTACGTTGCTGGTTATTAAATACACAGCTAAATAAATCATTAAGATATACTATGTAAGGGGCAGGAAATAATACAGTTTAATCTTTAAGAGTAGAAAATGTCCTAGTTATGATGAATATTCCTGCCATAAATTTTTGATTAAAATGACTCCCCATAAAGCGATTGTATAAGCTGAGACTGTCAAACATTTAACATCTTATGGAAGTTATGTTGATATTGAATTAACAGTATAAAAGTCTGATAAAACAATAATTCCCAGAGATTTTCCCAAAATGTTGTTTGTTTCACAGTAAGTTAAAAGGCAACACTTTCCAGAAATATTTTTCTCCAGTTTTCAAGGTTTGCTTAGTTTTTATCATGAAATTACTAGTATTTGTCTAAAAAAGTTACCCAACTTCACAAGGAAAAGTCGGTGCCTCTAGCCTACTCCTGCTGATTGTTATATGCAGGTGCCACACCTGCTGTGACCCACCTGTCACTCACCTGCAGCACAGACCATGCCTCTCTGACCTTCTCTGCTCCCCTTCTCCTCCTGGCTCAATGGGCTTCAGCCATACTGGCCTCCTCCTGTCTGTCTTTCCCACATGCCCAGTCCACTCCAGCCTTCATGCATTTGCACTTGCTCTTCCTGGTGTTTGAATACCCTTCTCTGGATACCTTTTTGATCATCTTTCTTGGCATCTTTATGTCTTTGCTCCAATGCCCCTTACTCTGAATTTTAGGATTTCAAATTGGCCAATGCTACATCCACTCCACCTACCGGCATTATTCAACCCAACTAACCCGCTCTACACTTACCAGATTCACTTATCATAACACTTTAAATCAGATTCAGAAACACTTTTACCATGAAGCCAATAAAGCTAAAGCTTCAGGACCTCTCATTTGCAAGGTCTCCTTTCAAGATTTTGTACTTAACATCATTTTCATAATTCTGTATTTGTCTTAAGAACAGACCCACAAATTAAAAAACATTCAGATTCTATAACACATGAGTCAACATTTGAATATGTTCAAGCATTTATTATATTATTATATTTAGCTTCTGTTTACTGTCTCCATCTATGACAATATAAGCTCCACAACGGCACAGATTTGTGTCCATTTTGTTCACTGCTATATTCCAGACTATGTAGCAAGTGAGAATTTTCAGTGAAAAAGTACACTGCAATAATAGTCTATTTATATTTACATGTTAAATGCTGAATCTTATTACTGACAGAAACATGTACCTACTTCAAATACTGGTCTACTCCAAGTGTAACTCCATTTCTGACAAAGCTCAAGGTAAAGGGCAAAAGACTGTCAACAGAGCAGGGAATTTGGCCCGGCTGCAGATAGTATCCTGGGGTTTTCTCAGGCATCGTAACTTTGGGAGCATCTAGGAAAAAAAACAAAAACAAAAACAAAAAACTTAAGCAAGAAGGTCACAATGATGTTAAGTACTGCCTCTTAATCCATTCAAAATCTTTATACTTAAATTATTCCAGTAAATCCTCTGCATTCCAATTAACCCAGATCACTAAAAATTACTTTTTCTATCTTTATTTGTTCAAAATTGGTTGATTTCTGGATATCTTTATGAGCCCCTTACTACAGTATTCATTGAATCTAAGACATCATAGTTTTTAAGACATAGTATTTTTTTGTACCACCAAGATAGAAAAAATACTACCAAATAAGCAACAATATATCAATTTTAGAATATGTTTTTATTTCAAAAACTTAAGAACCCACATATCTCAGAATCAAATTGTTTTTCCAAAATAAATGTAAAAAATGACTTTTAGGAATCCATCAGATTTTGTAGCAAATTAGGGGCTAAGCCAAATTTGAATATCGTATATGAGGAAATATTGAGGTTGGTTCTATTCTTACCACTCTACAACTATTCAACAATAGCTATAGAATTGTTCCTGAATTTCCCAAATCACTATCTTATGTATAAATGATAAATTTTCGTCCCTCCACCTAATAGCACTAATAGTACTATACAATTTTATAAACAATTCTGTATCTTTATCAGTCCATTAGCTGGGCGAGGTGGCAGGCGCCTGTAGTCCCAGCTACTCGGGAGGCTGAGGCAGGAGAATGACGTGAACCCGGGAGGCGGGGCTTGCAGTGAGCCGAGATCGCGCCACTGCACTCCAGCCTGGGCAACAGAGCGAGACTCCGTCTCAAAAAAAAAAAAAAAAAAAAAAAAAAAAAAAAAGATTGGGTCAGAGTTCAGTCATGAGCCTTGAAAAATAGCTCAAGTACAGCTAAGCTGAAATGCTACCTGATGCTTCCAAATAATATCTCACCTGTAATCTCCTCTCTACATAGTAGCAAATGTACAATTAACTAGCTAACTAATCAACTAGACAAATAAAGGCAGTGATCACCTGTTGTTTACTATGAACTACCATCTATGGAGCAGAAAGTTTCTGACAATTGTATATAAACATTTAGCCAATTTAGATAGTTTAAGCAAATATATCTGCCTGGCTTTTTTAGGGGAAAAGATAGTACCAGAATTTTCCAGTTCCAGCTCTTACACTGACTAATCAAAATTCTCAGATCTGCAATCAGTGAGACTTAACATGAAACTTTGGATGTGCTATTTAACAGCTAAGAAAAACTGTGTTACCGTACATGTAAATATCCATCAATTTGGTGATGCAGTAATAATATGAAGACATTATTTTTTATTTGATAGTCCGTTATTTACCTATGGGACAACATCACCCTCTTAAACTGTCAATATTTCAATGTTGAATAAAATGATGTCTCACCTGGGACAATACTAGAAAAGGAAACACTTGATACTCTCTGGAAGAGGTAATCATCTTTATCATAGCCTGTTACTTTGAGAAAGAAAGCTTCATTTGGTGGTACAAAGTCAGAAATATTCCATATGCCATAAGGTTTTCGATGTGGGTAATATTTAACAGGAATAGTCTTAAGAGAACTTCCTGAGATACTCAAAAGTTCAAGAAGATCTATTCTAGCTGGAGTGGAAATTCCAGAAGTATTGAGCAGTACATAGGTAGGTATTCCTACAAGAGAAAGATTTTGTTATCATTTACAAGAAACAAGCAATTGAAGTTATATATCAAATAAGTATTTGCATGATAATAATATATGAGTACCATAAGGATGCCTACAATTTCTGGATCAGTTGCAGAATTGTTTCTACATAAAAGACAGTTTATGCATGACCAGAGAAACTTAGGAAATCCTAAGAAATAACTTTTATAGTATTTTAACTATGTTTACATGTAAAAAAAATTAGAATCGTGAAAATTGTTATATGTTTGATCACATGAATACTTTTAAAGATAAATTATTTTGTATCTTTCCAGAAAATGCAGCAATAAAAATAAATGAACAAATTTTAACTGTTACATTATAGTTAAGCTTCTTTTCAGCTAGAAAACTATAAATCTCAATGTATGAATAAAATGAGAGGAGGACAAGGTTTAAAAATCAATAATTTTATCTTTGAAATACAATGATATGTGACGTGTTTAATTTTTCAGCTATATACACACATTTTACCTTGACAATAGGTAATTTATAGATTTCGGTAAGGAAAAAAATCTCAAGATCTGGGTTAGTAATTCTCAGAATTTAGTAAGTGTAAGAATAAACTGAGGTGCTCACTAAAGTACATATTCCTGGGCCCTACCTTCCATGGTTCTAATTCAGGAGATCTGGAGTGGGGTCCAGGAATCTTAATTTTTAACAAGCATCCTGAGTGATTTTTATATCAGTGGTCTTGGGATTACACTTTGAGAAAGTGATTAGGCCAAGAGAACAGTCACATTTAAAGCTATGCTTCTCAATTTTATTGAATACTACAAAATTATAAAATTATAGACAGTCTGAGAAATATTTTTCATTTGGATATCTATTATGTCAATTTAAATAATATGCACATACAAACCTTGCACTGGTCTGCTGACTGTTTTTTTGAAGTCCAGGGTGGGCTTTCGAGAAAAGCCAGCTCGGAAATCAATAGTACTGAGGCCAGTAATGCGAACAGAGTGCCTTCCACTGCTTGAGGTCTGAAAATGTTTAATGACAAACCTGGTCAGCAGTTGATCCAGTATGCTGGTCATATGCAACCCTCGCCAGTATGGGAAACTGCACAATATTTAATTAGGATCGATGTCCAAAAACTGAGGCTCTGATCTGATGTTCTCAACATAACTAGGATTCTATATTTTAAATGCAAGTTTCGTAATACATACCCCATGGGGACAGCTCTAAAAAACAATTCAGTAATATGTTTCATGCCTAATGATAAAAGATGTAAGGGTTTAGTCACTAGTGAATGGGCTGGAAATAAATCTGTAAAAGCTCCATGAGGGTATGGATCTTTGTTTTGGTCACTATTGTTAACATAGTAGATGTTTAGCAAATATTGAAACCTTCTTCCACAAATACATCCAGGTTCAATTCTAGAAAATATTTATTTCTTCTTTGCCTCTAGGACATTGCAGCCAGTGCAAGCAATAGAGCCGACCATTTTCAGATTTTGGCAACCTGGCATCCTCAGCTCAGCAGTGTTCTAGCAAAGGCACTCAGCATTTATTAAAAATGCAAAGTCCTTAGCTCCAGCCTAGATTTACTGAATCTGAATATTAGGTCAGGGCAGTCTAGGAATTTGCATTTCAAAAACCACCTAAGACTTATGAACAAGAGTTCACCATTATTTTATTACATAGATTACCAAGATTCTGTCTCAAAATAAAATGACCACATAATTCCAGCATTTAAGTAGAAGTAGGAGATGGGAGTGAAAGAAAAAATTCACACAACTCTAATGTACCAATTATCAATTTCAAACTCAACACTGAGAAGGCACATATTGAGGTATTATAGCAATGACAGAATGCACTGGAAGTATATATATATAAATTTTAATCTGGTAGACAGCCGTATTTGTGTATATACATTTTAATCTGGTGGACAGCCAGATGAATTCACACACCATGGTTACCAGTGGGCCACTTCCAGAGCTGTGCAAACTACGCAATATTCCCTGAATCACTGCAACTCCTTGTTATTTAGCAATGTGGAGAAGAAGGAAGAGAAGATCTGTCCCTGTTGCTACCATGTTTCTTCCTCATTGAGCAGAATCTCAAGAACTCAAAGGGTAGTAAAATGAAGGGGAGAAAGAAGAAAAAAACCCATCATCATGAAAGCTGTTGCTATATTCTTAGCATAAATGATGCAGCTAGTTACTATGGCTCATTTGCATAAAGGTTACAAAAGATTATATGTGTAAGTGTAGGGATCTTAGTACAACCCTTATCCCATTATTTGTCAATGAATATGTGTTATGAATTCCACATAATAAATTAAAAAAGGAAACTATGGATCATGACTCAATTTTAAATCAGGGATTTCCTGTAGGGTTGTATAAAACTTTGGTAATTCTAATGTCAATTTCTTTAGATAATGTAGAGCTTTAGTGAAGACACTATCACCTACTAATTTCATGTAAGTCAGTCAGAATGCTTGATCTTACGGTGAGTTAATTTTTATTTTTTCACTAACATCATATATTACTGTTAGTTGCCTTGCTCCTCAGAAAGTCCCTTATGATGAAACAGCTGTTGAGGTTACTAAGGGCAAATATGACACGTAATTTGCCAAATGACTGCTATTAAGTGCTAATCATCTGCCAAGTGTTCTGTGCATAAATCAACTAACAAAGGTGGTTTTCAACAATGTGGTACTTAATAGCTGAGTGAAAAAAAACAGAAATTATACAAGTGTTTGAAAATATGTTAACATCTATTACTAAATAACACGTTAAAGTAGATTTGATGAAGAGGGAGCCCCTTATAAATTATATAAAATTAATGTAATAAAAATTAACTTTGATCCTTCAAAGACCACACCAAGTAATAAAGTATGCAAAATAAGAATATAGGTTTACTATTCTCTGAGGAAATATGAAGAGTATTTTGCTCTGCTAAAATATGAAGAGTAATAAATAACAAAATATCTTAATTTCATGTGTCTATACTATACTGTAGACAGTAGGAATGTCTTTGATGAATTTAAGTGTTTGTAAATAAAAGATATCTTCAAGTGAGTCCATTTTTATATGCAATTAATCCAACTCTGGGCTAACCAGGGTAACGGAAACAAAGGACATCCCAAATAAACTAACACTGGTTTAAACATACAATAAAAAGAAAAAAAATGAGCTAATTTAAAGTTTTTAAAACAGCTTAGTATTAAAATAGCCTCTGATGTTAATTCATGCATTTATCATTATTTAATTGTTCTCTGAAAAGAATTCTAATACTTGAACAGTATTTTAGGAACACTAAACACCACATAAATTTCTTCATGAGAAAGTGCCAATAGTTTGATATCTATTAAAGTAAGCTATTGTTTTCACCTCTTTCTTGTCTAAGCTCCCTTTAAAAAATATTAGTGTAATAGAAACAAACAGGTTTTGTGTATGAGGGTATAACCCACCAATAAATGGAAAAGGGAGGAGAAAAAAGCACTAATGTGCACAAAATGCACACTATATATAAAGCTTAATTTTTTATACAAATTCTCACTTTTAATCCTCACAAAAGTCCCTGTGAGAGAGTATTATTACCATCTTCACTTCATGAATAAGAGAGGTTAAGTGACTTGCTCAAAGTAACAGATACAGCAGGTGGCAAAGCTGGAGTCTGAACTCGGTGAAGCTCCAGAAACCAAACTCTACAGCTACCCCACGCGTTTCTCATGATGATCTCAATGAATTTAATTATGCTGGTTTGAGGGTAAATGTTGAAATATGCTGAACTGCTTTACACAATAGGAGGAGAGTTATATGGAACTTCTGGGACTATCCAGAGGAAAGAAGCAGAGAAATGTACTGGGGAGGCAAGGGGGTGGTGGCCAAGGAAAGAGCAGGAAAAGCACAAGGTGCTTTCTGACATAGCCCCCAAATCTACGAGTAAATCTACCAAATTCACAGAATGCTTGCTATTGCTAGATTTCTTGTGATATTTTGAAGGGGCTGAGTTTTGCCCTGCATCAAAGTACAAAAAGGTATAATCAACACAAATAATCAGAAGGCAATGAGAACATAAGCAAGAAAGCTTTTAGGAAACTGCAGGAGTGCTGGGAGAAGACTTTGGAGTCTCATGAGTTATGAACCTGATGGGGTTAGAGGAGAACCAAATGACACCAAGGTCTTGGAGGGGCAAAGAAAATTAAGCTAATTCTGTAACTGAGTCAAGCAAAGAGGAGGTCCAGCCATATTTCTTTCCCTTCCCTTCTCTTCCAAATTATGTTAGCCATTTTAATAAATTTTTTATAAATGTAATAAAATTATATATATATATATATGTCCTAAAATTAGTGAGGCCAAAATTACTATCTTAATGTCTTTCTATTTGGTCTTTTTTTATCATCTAGATTCAACCTGTGGGTTATATTAAAATTAGAATATGGCTACAAAAAGCACCTTTCCACCACAGAATGTCTTGAAGTATTACTCCTGCAGAGTTACCCTAACCTCATGGCTTCTGTAGATAAGAAGAGGGAAATCTAGCAGCAGCATTCAGTCTCAGAGAATAACAGGAAACTTTCTAGATATTAGATGTTGAACAGGATTTATCTGAGCTAGGAAGAGTTGTGTTTCAAAGTCAATTTATTCATAAAATTTCTAAACGTACATAATGAGCCACGTTACTCCTCTGAGTGAGTAGTATCACGTTCATTAAGTTGTGAAGGGGTCTGAGTCAGGAATACACAGGCTGCTGCAGTGTGAGCAGATGTGAGGTAAGGTCACGGTTTGGCAAAGATGAGGTTATACTAGTGATACGTTAAAATTAGGTATCAGCTTGATTGGATTGAAGGATACCTAGATAGCTGGTAAAGTATTCCTTCTGGGTGCATCTGTGAGGGTGTTGCCAAAGGAGACTGATATTTGAGTCAGTGAACTGGAGGAGGAAGACCCCCCTCAAGGTGGGTGGGCACTATCTAGCTGGCTGCCAGCACGGTTAGAACAAAGCAGGTGGAAGAAGGTGGGATAAGCTGGCTTGCTGAGTCTTCTGGATTTCATCTTTCTCCCATGATGGATGCTTTCTTCCATTCCTCCTGCCCTTGGACAACAGACTCCAGGTTCTTCGGCCTTTGGACTCTTGGACTTACACCAGTGCTTTGCCAGGGGCTCTCGGGCCTTTGGCCACAGACTCAAGGCTTCACTGTCGGCTTCTCTGCTTTTGAGGGTTTTGGACTTGGACTGAGTCACTACCGGCTTCTTTCTTCCCCAGCTTGCAGATGGCCTATTGTGGGACTTTGACTTGAGATTGTGTGAGCCAATTCTTCCTAATAAACTCCCTTTCATATATGTATATATCCTATTATTTCTGTCCTCTGGAGAACCCTAATACAGAGATAATATATTGGTATCCTAAAGTTGTAAATAGGTAGCCTTGACCTACAATGCAGTAAGGGAAAAGAAGGAGCAGAGTGAACCAGAGTCTAGGTTTCTCAATTGGAGTGAGACTGCCAAGAATGAAGGAGCAGGACAGGCTGAAGGACAATTGAACAAGCACCATGGAGAGCTCCAGCGGAAAATTACTTGCTCCTCTGAGATCTCAGCTTAGATCTTCCTGGTCAGCTCTACTGCAGATGGATTTACTTCTTAGTTTAAAGGCGAAGAAGGCCTGTTAAATGCCTGCCTACATTGAAAGTCCCTTCAAGGCAGTAACTATTTCATATTCATCACCCACAGAATGTCACTCAGCTGGCACGTGATAAGTGTAGGTTTTGTAGGTTTAATAAATGACATGAAAGCCATCCACATGCCTAGTGTTGATGTTTTTTCTTAGATATTCCTCAGACCAGCTAATGCTATACTCATCAAGAATTCACTAAATGTTTCTAGATGCATTATGCTAAGTATGTTCACACGTTATCTCTTAAAACCCTGTTATGTCCAAAGATAATTTTATGGCACTACAAAGAAACAGAGGTTCAAAAAAATGATATTTACCTAGGTGTAGACAGCAACTTAAATGGCAATTATTCCAAGTTCAACGCCTTTCTCAGGTACCTAACTCTGTGCATGGTATTTTAGAATAACATAATTTCTAGGTAGATTTGCACCCTATGGCATAGAAAACAATAATATTCTCCAACTATTTCTTTGCCATTCTATGTTTCTGAGTACCTTTTCAGTTAGGAAAAGTCAGGTCAGTGGGGTGCTAGTAAATTCCCCTCTAACAAAAAAAACCCTAATTTTTGGCATTTTTCAATTTCTGTGGTGTAAATATTCCCATCATAGCTGATTCCTAGCTCCCAACATGATGTTGCTGAACACAGAGCTAGGAAGAGAAATGTATCATTGACTCTCCATGAGTCATTATGAGCTAGCTCTAGTATACCACTAGGCCATGATAACAGCTTGCCTACTGGGTAATAAGGGAGTGAAATGTGTCACTTCTGGGATGAGACAGAAGTAACACAAATTTCTTTTTATTTATTCAATGCCACATCCTCCAGGTTTTTTCCTCATTAAGTGACTGAAGATGCTGCATGTTCTAAATTATGGCAGAGCCTCCATCAGCTTGGGTTCCTGAGTGACTGTGAAGCAGAATACTCTACCAGACCCCATGGAACACAGAACATTAGCGAGGAATTAACTTTCTTGTATTAAGCCAGGGAGAATTCCTCCTAGCACTAAATATGAAACCTTACCTTTTATAAATTGAATTAAAATTTGACTGATAGAGATGGTTTTTCTCTCTCCAACAGAGTTTCAATGTTTTATAAAATAGTAAATGTGCCCAAAGTAAGACAAACACAAAAACTAAAGAAAAATTCAGTGTATATGCATTAAAAGAAAGTAAAGATACAATGTATGATTTACATGTATTCAAGAGAACAACTAATTAACCTGTGTCAGAATTCATGCGTCAACATTTTTAGTAACAACTAATTCATGTGTCAGAAACTGCTGAAGCACTTTACCAATATCTCATTTAACCATGACAATATTGGGTAGCCACTATTTTCCCCCACTTTCCTCAGACTTAGAGAGGTTAAGTAATTTCTCCATGAACAAAAAGACTTTAAGTAATGAATCTTGAATTCAAATAGATGTCGACCTCTTTTCAAAGTATTTGCTCTTAAGTTTTGAATTCTTTACAAATTAAAGAATAGATGGTTTCAATAAAATATTTATTAAGAACCTACTGTGAGCTAGGCATTGTGTCAAAGACACAATCATAGAAGCTAGATTTAAATACCATTATTTTGTTGGGCATTATGCATTTGGAGAAATGTGTGATTAGGAAATGTATCCAAAACATAAATTCTACTTAAATACACACACACACACACACATATGCACACACGCATATGCACACACATATACATAAAAATGTGCATGTGTACCTAAGTGTACACATGTCTTTTTTATAAAGGAAGCATTCTATTTGGTTGACAGTCCGATATTGGAAGGCCAAAAAACTGGAAAATTTTCCAGGAAAAATCTATTATCAAACATGCCACTGACCCAAAACATTAATGCTACACCTAATCTATTTACTTAACACACCTTGTATAGACTACAGGCTTATTCATAAGAGTCACCAGGAAAGACTAATAGGAGGCCAGCATAATAATCTTCATGTGTGGTCCTTTTAGACTCAAGGTTAATTTAATTATGATTCCTAAACAAGCTTATGCCACTTGAGTATGATTTTTAAAATATCCTTACCCAGTAGAAAAGGCATTAGTAGGCTCTGGCTACCAACATAACTATCCAAAACCAAAATATTTCTACTAGTCTCAGAATCCCAGTATAATCATGCGGTTGGGTACACACCCTTCTGTACTTGGGAGATTATCTAAAGACAGTTTATCCAAATGTACTTAATAGAAACATACCCCAGGGGATATGTTAAATTAAATGATCACACTGATAATCCTAGACTAATATAAACATTTGTACCACCTAAACCCATTGGGTGCTGACAATTATTTAATGTCTTTGCAGGGAGTTTCCTTTAAAAAGCAGAGGACAAAATTTGGCTCAAGAGTTTCTGTGGTTACATTCAAATACTCTATATTAGTTGCTGAATGGAAAAATCATATTGCTTCTCAGAAATAAGATCCATGATCTGTAGCTTTCCTACAAATGGAAATTTAGGAGCATAAAACAATCTTCTCTTCTGTTTTTAATAAAACTTTATGTTATTTCCAGTTACTTCTTTTTAACATGCTTTACCTGCATCAGAGGAAACCTAAAATATTTGAGTACTTATGTGAATTATACAAATGAGTTGACTCTTTATCTCTGCTTAGTGAAAGTGCCCTAAGATGGAACAGTAAAGTACTTACCAGAAAAATCACAGAAGAAAAGAAACTGCCACTCTCTTATCATTTTAAATCGTAAACGTATTAGTGTTCCATGCTAGCACCTCCACTACAGGCTAAGTAAACCAGTTCTTCTGCCTGCTTCCCTGGATATCCTCAGAATAAATGTATTAATTTTTATTCATAAATATTTATATAGTTCTTTCTCAGGCACTGTGGCATATACTAGTGGCAAAATCTGGTCTATAGAAAAAGAGACAGAGAAAATATGTACAGAAATAAAAATGATATAAGGGAGAAATTAATCCAAAAGGGAAGTGCAGAAAAATTTAATAGAAAGCCAGAGAGAAAAGAACATTTTAGGGAAAAAAAAATCTGACAAAGTTTGATGAAAGTTTTGTCATTTGAGCTGAACTTTGTGGGATAGTTATAAGTCAGAATGCAAGAAAAGGCATTATAAGGGGAAGGAACAGCTTGAAAGAAAGCATGGGGTAAGAGAATGTGGTGGGGGGAGAGAGACAGTACAAAATTATATTTGACAAAAATGTAAAGACAAGTGATAGAAGATAACTAGAAAGATTGGCTTGAGGCTCAATTGGGTGGTCCTTGAGCCTCAAGGTAAAGTTAAGTAATAGATAGATCGTTCTCCATATTTGGGATAAAAACTGTTATGTGAAACATTCAAAAAGCCAATATTAATTTCAGTGATAGAGCAGACCTTTTCCAGATAGTCCAGTGCATGGGAGATAGCACCAGGGAAACACTATCTAATATCAGACATTTCTCATCTTGAGAAAGTGCACATGTAAAACATTTATCATTCATTAGACATCCAAAAGGGAAATCCAAAGTCAACAGCAATATTTTATGTCATCAGATTCAGTTCAATTTCCTTTGTAACAACCTGATACATTCTTTTGGTATTTCATATAGAAGCAAAATAAGTTTGTTATTTTTAAGTTTCATTATAATGCTTATTCTTTGTTTAGTTGTTGTTAGCACTAATCCTACACTAGAAATGCTGTAAATCTGAGCTGGAGGCTCTTTTGGTGAAGGCTAGATAAACATTTAAGATAAAATAATAATAGATACTGTGTCTTTTTATTGTTCCCTTAATTATAGGAGACTGAGCTTAGAGACTTGTCTAAACAGAGTTCTCATCACCTCATCACCTGATCAAAGGCTCTGCTCACTCATAGAACTAATCCTCATTACTTCTCTGTTCTAATTATCAATTAAAATGTGCGTAATGTCCATTAAGTAAGTAGCACAGAACATGGCCAAGAGCAGTCAGTAAATGTTTATTGAATGCATGACTGAATGAATATTTGTGTGAGGCACAAGGTAAAATAACAGTCATGCAATATCCCTCCTCTGGGCAAGAGTTTTACTAGAGGAAATACCACTGGTACCAGTCCAAATCACCTGGAAATAGGTACAAGTACTGCACAATAAATTGCTACTAACATGGAAGAATGGCCTCACGTGCACGTATTTCACAGTCAATAATGGACTACTTAAGGTCAATATTCAGAAAGCAAGAAAAAATTACTCCAGTGGACTTGCTAGCTCAAGACACCGCTGGCTAAGTCATGCTTAAATTAAAGTATTTGAGGGATGAAGAGACTCGACACTTCTTCTAATTCCTTCCTACTGTGGTCACAAAAAGTCAGACTCAATGCTAGTGATATTTTTGGCAAGTTAGTCAAAATAACCATTACATAAAATTTGGCCACATTTATTTAAAATATTGTAGCAGCAAAACAACTCGTCAATCTAATACACTCAATAAATACCAGGCATTATGTGCAAGGAACTGGGTGGAAAAAAAACAGGCAGGAAGGGCCATTTCTGGCCCATTCATTAAGAAGTTACCAGATTTTCTTTCACATGCCTTTTCACCTATGCCCTTTTATTATCCACCTTGAAATAATCTACACAAGAGTGTCTATTTTTCCTACAGGGCTTAGAGTTCTGAGAATAAAAAACTAGTATCTTAGGATTTGAATGGAGTTACAAGGTAAACATTCATTCTTTAAACTGGGGACATTAATGGAGTTATTCTTTAAAAAAAAAACTGACTGGCATGAAAAATGGCTCTTTGAATTTCTACGGTATATCAGCTCCACATATTTTCACAGCAGCTCTATAATTTGAAGTATGATCCCATTAATTCCATTTTTTATGTAAGGAAACAGACAATGAAAGAGTAAACAATGTACAGGATATCTTCATTTGAGTTCTCCCAGAAAGATTCTAGAGCAAGTTGTTTATTTGACAGCTGGAAGGAATGCTAATAGGAAGAGAGGAGATAATACAGGAATGGGAAGAGGCCCACAAAGGGTGTGTTTTAAGCCTGTTCCCACAGTGGACACCTGGAGTGTGTTCCTTCAGGTGCTAATAGCTGCTCCCGAGGGGTGTTAATTCCTCAGCCGAACAACCTTTTCCTGTTCTAGGAAAAAACCTCCAAGACACAGAAATGCAGATACTAGATTGGGAAGTACACTGAAAAGCCTGAGAAATATGGGCAAGTCACTCAGGGCATCTGCCACAGTGGGACACACACAAAATCTGCAGCAGAACTAGATCTCCGATTTATGGTATCTTGAATTTTGAGTGTATATTTTTTCCTCCGTACTGCCAAAATACAATGCTTTCTTAGAGGAAATATATACCACTTAAGATAAGTTTAGGATATAAATACCACGTTGTGCTAAAGAAGAAAATGAATAGAAATCCACCAAATAAAAAAAAGCCAACACAGCACTTGAATGCTTGCTTTGAAACAGAAATGATACTATTTCAGGTGTATCATATTAATTTAATTCTCAGCCCAATTCTGTAAAGTAAAGGACAGTGACTATCATCTCCACATGACAGAGAAGGAAAGCCATGCACAGAGAAGTTCTGCTCCCCAGGCAGTGCAGCCGTTAAGGCGTGGTGTTAAGATTCAAACCCAGGCAGTTTCAAAACAGAGCCTATGGCTCTAACCGTTATTCTGTGTTGGCTCCATCTCTGATTATTTTGTAAGCATGAAGTAGATAATAAAATAAATCTACAGATTTGATGATAGGAAAACTATCTGAGAATTGTAAGTGTATCGTGTGGCAATGATGACATTCATGGTCCTCAAACTGAAAACTACCAAATTCATGTGATCAAGACACCTACAAACACCTATGTACGTTGCTTTTTATTACAAGCACTCTCCATGATAGCAAGAGTGTATGTTTAAAAAAACCATTGTGTATACTTCATGAAAAATGCCAACTTCAAAATAAAACAATAAACAAACTTTGTGAAACAACCGTACCTTCACTGTCCACATTCCAGCCTCTGGCTCTTTCACATTCACTACTTTGGCAGAGTTATGGATATTTAATAGCTCATGCAGGCCAAATCCCTTTTTTATCAGCTTCCCTGAAAGACAGAACATAAAGGTAACAAGCACAATCCTTCTCTCAGCTATGTATATTAGCTAATTTAACACTACATAAAACTAAGAGCATGATCAAATTTCAAATAACACTGGCTCATTTTTTACCAAAGTGTGCTGCAAACTAACCCAAAGAGTCTTTATTTTCTGTTCTGTGGCTAAAATAAAACACATTCAATTTCCAGTATCTTATGACCTGATTGACACTTATACCCATAGCTCAAAACATTATTTTATTTATTTCTAAAATATACTTAATTTTAAGGTGTCCAGGCATTGGAAACCTTATGAAATAATGGATTACTATTTGTTATGCTGACTTGATCATCAAATGAGAATAACAATTAGCAGACTGTAATCATATTTCCGAAGCCAGCCTAGATAGTAATTACTATGGCTACCAAAAATGTTATGCAGAGTCACTAGAGAGATTTAGATTAAATAGATGGAAAACACAGCAAACCAGAATAAATGTCGTTCTAGAGAGCACTCAAAGTATTACTAACATGAGAGCCCTGGGCATATCTTTACACAAAGTGTAAAACCTTAACCGGTTTCCCATGAAGCACAGGAGAAGGCTTTTATCTGTCATAGGAATAATTAAAAGAGGCAGTGCAATGAAGTAGCATGATACCATTGCCTACTGACCTGACATTTATCTAAAGTGTCTAATAGTTGGAACTTAGAAAAGAGGAAAAGCAAATTTGGCATTAAGCCACAGTTCAGTTTTTCACTTAACTCTTGACTTTCCCATGGACTACTTCTCCAGTTATATAAAGAAATAAGTTAGGCCAGGCACGGTGGCTCACGCCTGTAATCCCAACACTTTGGGAGGCCGAGGTGGGCAGATCACAAGGTCAGAAGTTCAAAACCAGCCTGACCAACATGGTGAAACCCTGTCTCTACTAAAAATACAAAAATTAGCCAGGCGTGGTGGTGCGCACCTGTAATCCCTGCTACTCAGGAGGCTGAGGCAGGAGAATCGTTTGAACCCAGGAGGGAGAGGTTGCAATGAGCTGAGGTCATGCTACTGCACTTCAGCCTGGGTGACAGAGCAAGACTCCATGTCAAAAAAAAAAAAAAAAGAAGGAAGAAAGAAATAAGTTATAAGCATCCTATGTTTGAATCAAAAGTTTTACAATCATTGTATGCCCAGTGACTTTTTAAAGTAGTAGAAACATAATGCAATGGGTACAGGTACTCTGAGTCTCCAGGTAGTAGAAAACACAAGTCTTTCCTTGGTAACATGGATGTTATTGCAGTAGAATGCTACTTCAACAGGAAAATCCATTTATAAGCTCAAACTTGTATAAGTCTTGAGAAAGACGTTGTATTTGTCTTGTAAATTTCAATGTGTTTGTGGCCTCTGAGAACAATTTCATAGGTTGTTTTCTTTTGGAAATTAGTTATTTAAGTAAGAAAACCAGTTATCCCCTTCCCTATTTATAAATATAGAGAAAAAAATGCAACTAAAGCCACAGTGGAAATATAACTATTTTGCAAATATTAGGTAAAAAATATTTCTAAATGAAAATGTTAAGAAACGATTAAAGATTTCTGTCTTTACTAGATTGTTATTTGATGTAAATCTTATTGTAGTTATCAACTAGCAATGGTACCAAACAAATCATATGGTTATAAAATATACTTAAGAGGCAAAGTGAATTATTAAAAGTTCCCTTTACTAAGAATATAAATTTGGTTTTTAACAAATATCTTCTGTAAAATTAAAATTTATCAAGAAAATGATAGAGTGGAAAATTAGTTATTTTAAGAGTTACTTGGTGTGAGCCATTTAAAAATAATGTAAAATACTGAATTTGACAGAGTAAGTTACTGTAAAATATCTCCTCATATAAAGTTTCAGGTTTTATTTAAATATTTTTATTTTGGATCATTTAAATATAATTAGTATACTACATCTGACCTCTTTAAATACGAGAAGTTTTAACTTTTTGCATCTCATGTTAATTCAACAATAGTTAGCACTTTCAAAATGTTACATTTTTTAAACACCTTCCTTAGCCACTTCTGAATTTATTGAATTTATTCATGAAGTTGGCATTAACTTGACAAAAACAAGTGTGTGAAAAGTATTTTACCCTCTATGTATTTTGTATTTTATTATGTGATGTTTGATATATCTCACCTAAAGGATTGCGAATTTCAATCATTGGAGAAGGCCCACTCAAAGACACAGTGACCTCTTTCAGGCTGGGATCAAAAGGAATTCTCCAAGTATTTACAGCCTGTTCCAAATGATCTGTGGATAAAAGGTGAACTTTGGAGGCCTGTACTGCTTCTTCTACCCATTTTAATACCTATAAGAGAGAAAGAGAAGTGTAAGTGATATCAGAAAACATTCGCAGTTTTATATCATTGCTGTTTCAGGTCCTTTGGGTGATCAAATGACTCCGGCACATCCTGGACTGGTGTGAAATTTATTTCGGTCATTACTGAAGATAGGACTCTTTCTAATTCTGGTTAGTGTACATTCAAAACAAAATGCTGGTTTAACCCATGTTCAAATTTCAAGTTTTCTATCTTGAATAATACATTTAAAATGAGACTATAGTGTACAAAACCAGTGAGGGGAGACATGCAGAGATATTATTGACAGTTCGCTGTCTCAAGAGATAAGAACTTATTTAAAAACATAATAGTGCTAACATGTGCAATCCCTTCTTCTTCCATTCTTTCTTTCCAGATTTTATTCTTCCAGATGCAATTTGTAAAAGAAACCCACTTAGCAAATTATCAAATCCAATTTCAGTAAATGGGGCATATTAATTATTGTATTATACTATATTATAATTATATATAGTATATTATAATATATTACAGCATACTAATTATAGAAAAATAATTGCAATGTCACTAAAAGAGTCATTTTTATAATAAAGTGAATAAGTAACAATATAATGGGAAAAGCATTGCATTAAAGAGAATAGAAAAATATTTCAGGTTAGAATTTAATACCAAGTAGTGTATTCTTGAAAAATAGTCTTTAAAAATCATAAAGAAATTGGGTTTTAAAAAGGTGTTAATGCCTCATTGTGAACAAGAAAAACTTTGAATCCATAGAAAGTTTCTGCACTAACAAAGATAATTTCCCTTTAGACAAATGGTGCATGTCTGGGCAGGTACTCCTTGGATGATCTTATAATTTTAGTCATGATAACCTTTGATCACCTCATCTTTCTCTGGTTTACGTATCTTTTAAGACTGCATATCACCATGAAAATTTTCTTTTGTAATGAGGCATAAGACACTGAACAGAGCTGGATATTAAGCTATAGTCAAGCTATTAATGATAAACAAAAACATTTTTTGAAATTTAGGTGTAAGTGGTCACATTTCAAGTAACCAAGCAATAAATACTGTGCAACATTTTTATTTTCTGTGAAAAGTATCCCTTTTTTTTTTCTGTTTCTTTCCCCCTAAGGATAAGGGAAGCATCTAAGACTTATTATCACATAACAATATGAAACAATCACATTTATCATAAAATAAATGTTTTTGTTCAAGATGGTTTTCCAGGTACTAAGTAATGATGACCACACTTTCAGTCATTAGGACTCAGATTTACTGAATGTTTTTGCATTTCTTATTTTTTTTTCATAAAAATTCCTGTCCTTGCTCCAGTATCAAAAACCATATCTCCTACTTCTTTGTGCATCCAAAACAAAGTGTTTTGCTCTACACATAATAAAGGTGGGTATATACTAATGTCAATGAAATTGGTCATAATGGTAATAATACTGATGTTCTTAATAAATAAAAGAAATTCATAATACAAGAAATGCTGTTGAAAAAATGTATGTAAAATGCCCTCACAGTACTTCCACATGGTAATGCCATCACAGTATTTTCACAGTCCACATACTTACACGATCTTAGTTTTCTCCCTCCCCAGCTAAATTCCCTTCTCTTCCCCTAGTTGTTTCAGCCATTGCTGAAGTGTTTCAGCAATGGCTTCACAGGCAAAGTAAAGTAATCTGACTATGAAAGACAGAAATGTTTTCTGTAAATAAAAAAAGAGGCAAATTCAAACCAGACAGAAGAGAGAATCTGAGCAAGAACACTGAGACAGAGACCGAAGTACTCCAAATATGTTGAGAACATGAGTGACTACATCTGGCTGCAGTGAAGTGCTCAGATAAAAAAGAAGAAGATGAGGCTGGAAGCCTGTGTCAGGACCAGACAATGGATGGTCATAAAGTCAGGCTATGACATTTGGATTTCATCCTAGAGATCCCAATGAAAATGACTAAAGGGCTTCAAGCAGAGGAGTGACACACTGAAATGATGTTTTACAAAGAAAAATTTGTAGTGTCATCACGGATGAATTGAGCAAAAAAACAAAATTTAATACAACTAATTGCCCCATAAATCAAATGATGTATTTCCTCAAAATTTAACCTTACAAAGCACATGGAATTTTACATATGAAATAAAACATATTTGTTTAAAGAAGCAGATGCCATTTTTGAAAAATGGGTTCTTAATGATCTATCATGCTTGAAGAGAAGGATATGGATCACTCGGCTTATCAAATCCGTCCATATGACTACAGACCAGACTGACTGTAACTAACATTGACCATATATAGAACACATACTTTAATAATCAGAGTGTTGACATTTTTATGTCAACATAAAACATGGCTGTAAGGGTCTGCCTAACTAAAAAAAAAAAAAAAAAAATAGAAAGGATTGTTGTTGGGCCTCAGAAAGCATTTTATAAATTTAACTGATAATAAATAATTTTGAGGATAATGCCTGATATGGAGACTGAAGAGGGCAAAGGAGAGAAAGTAAACAAATGGACAGAATATCTGTTTTAAGGACAACACACATAATCTGGTCATAAATGATTCTCAATAGAAAAGAAGAAAAAAAAACATTAGAAAACAAGTACCAGCAAGAATTGTGAGATGTTTCAAGTTTAATAATGAAATGAAATGGCATTAATAAAGATGGAAGTCATTTTTTACATACATCCTTCATTAAATTTATAGTCTATGTCTGGGTGGCTCTACAAATATATCTTTCCTTCAAACCCAATGCAGAGAGGTTATGATATATTGTTGGAAAGCTATCTTGTTGTCTGTTAGTTACACATGGAAGTCTCCAAGTCTTGAGTATTCATAGGAAAATGGAAGTCTTCCTAATTTGGTTGCATTTTTGTGAAGCAAGTGTGTTCAAATGGTACAGAATATAAGTGGGCTTTGGTTTACTCTTAATACTGCTTCCAATTCACCAACATTTATGAGGCTTTCACAAAGGGATTACCATGTATCATAATATTACTTGTTGGGAAAGACATAGTGCAGACTTCTGTCAAGAATCTCAAATCACTTTTTTTATCCACTTATAAGAAAAATCAAATTGAAAACAGATGCAACTCGTTGTATTAGAAAATACAGATACTACCAATATGTGAATAAAAGTAGATCACTGCAAGCTACAGAATGTACCATAAGTGCAGTTTCTGGCTTCTCAGGGTGCCAGATACAAGAAAATTAAAAATCTGTAATTGTCTAACTATAAGAAAAGTTCTCATGAGATTAGAAATGATCTTCTATTATAAAGAAAAAAGAATAAAACTAGAATAATGTGAGAGCCTACAAATTATGCATTTTTATCAACACAAAAGCTTTTTAAATCCCTAGATAACTGTTTATATAGTACATTAAATGTTTTAATATAAAAATGGTTCTCTGACAATTTGTAACAGTTTATATCTACAAAGGGCCTCTGAGACCATCTAATCCATCTCCTTAATTTGATAGATGAGGAAACTGATATTTGAGAGTTCTCGTACCTTTAAAACTCTAACAAGTTGGATTCTGGCTCAATAGTTATATTTTTACATAATTCCCTTGTATAGTCTCATAAAGATTTTGCAGCCCATGCTATAACCAATGCTTAAAAATAGTCCATATATCTACTCAACTCTAAAATAAGATACAACTATAGTTTTAAAGCACAAAACCATCACACATTATTATGAATGATAAGACATTAGGAATAGAAGTGAAGTCAATTTTTACATACATATTCGTGAACAGAACTTGAAGAATAGCTTTGTTTGGAAGAGCATTTCTTATGTAATGCATTACATCCAAATGAATTTCCCCAGGACATCCTTTGTCTTCCTGGCAAGAAAGGGGAAGTATGGTGAGGTGTTCAATACAGTTTGCAATTATGCCTTTATTAGTATTTTTGTGGTTGCTGTTGTTATTTTTTATCCGACTTTCCTTCTAAATTGTAAGTTCTATGAGGGCAGACACCATAGCTGATTTGTTCACTACTATCGTCCCTGAACCTAATATAGTACATGAAATATAGAAGATTCCTGATTAAATATGTGTGGGAGGGAGAGATAAAAGAAGAAAGAAAAGGACAAGAGAGAGAGAAAATGGGAGGGAGGGAAGAATTTTATATCAGGTCTTTCCCTGGAGTTAAATGTGTGCTAAAAGGCAGTATTTTGTCCATGTGCAATTGTGACACAGTCCTTTCTCAGCACTGAATTTTCTGCATTGAAGCTGAATAGAGTTCAAACTTGTATGCATGGTTTTAAATGTTAGCATCACATTGTATTTAATTTTTATTTTATTTAGTTGGTTAGCTTAGGATTTTTAAATGCAAAGGAAAATTTCACAGAATTAAGCCAGTTTTTAAGAAATGCAAAAATGCATGCATTTTTCTCAGTCACACTGGATAGAGATTTTTCAAGCTCAGTGATGGTAGAAAGTTGATTAGGTGTAAATGCATCCATCTGGTAAGTGAAGCCTGATCTAGAAAAAAAATTGTGTAAAATTGACACTAACACCTGCAAGCATACAGTAGTGCTTATTAGATGATGGATACTTCTTAAAGTCTTATATTGATCTTCACAACTGCCATTTGCATAGGTACATAGCTACAATTATTTCCATTTTACAGATGAATAAAAATGAGTGATACATGCCAAAGTTCATAAGATATACAGCTAATAAGAAGGCAGCATTTGCCTGTTGATCCCATAATCTTGTCTTTCACTTTCTATTTTCTGAGTTAGCATTAGGAAAAAAATGACAATTTTCAAGAGTGAATCTGAAATAATATCTAGTGAAAAACAAAAATTTAATGCAGGTGTTTTTAAAATGAAATGCATGCCAAACATAATGAATAGATTAGCTGTATATTTTTATCACTATTTTGGCACCAAATTGTTAAGAGTTACACTATATAAAAATATTAAAGCCTTTAAATCTATATGGTATTTGATATGAAAAAGATTTGCCACATTTCCAAAACAATCATTTTGTAGTAAACCCTATGTTATAGCAATGGCAGGCTTTACAAACCTCCAACCTGGCTAAGAGAGATTCCCCTCTGGATAACCAGAAGAGCCTATCTCTCTGGGTTCAAATTCATTCCTATCCTGCAGTATAGCATAGAGCCTATGCTTCCAATTTTGCTTAGAAGTCACTAAGCATTTATTGAGCACCCAGGTGGGAATATGATGGAGGAACTCAGAGATTTGAATCTGTCGTTCATTTGAAAGATTCAGGTCACTGATCTAATGGAATTTAAAGCCATGAATCCCCTTGCAGACCCTGTCCACAAGAACTTAGACAAAGGAAGATATACATCATCCCGTGAAAATAAACTTAAACATCAATATATAATGGCTCAGAAAAGAGCCTGGGAGCAAGTCTCCCCTTGTCCTGATGCTGGCAAATTTCAGATGATGATTTGCTCTTTGTACGTGTGCCTATAGAGAGGAAATGTATTATTTGTGCCAACACAAGTGTTCTAGACTTGCAAGCAATTCGATTTCTCATGGTAGATGAATGAGCTGGCATTCAGATTTTATACAGCACTCCTCTAAGTTTGGTTAGTTCAAGTCTATTCCTGAGGATGGATCCACTCAGACAGAGGCTGACAAATCCAGTGTCATGGTTGGCAGATTTAGCTAATCCACCAAGAAATATCACCACTTGAGACTTTTGAGAGGGTCTTCCCCTGATAATACCCATTTATATTACTCTTTGGGTGTTGTGTACCTATTTAATTTAGAAAATTCTACAGTGAGTTTTAACAATAGTAAGTGCTCATAAACAAGTGTGGCTGGTGATGTGTTGTATAGCCATAAATGCTCATGCTAAAGGTAGGCAAAATAAGAAATAATTTACAGGATTTAAAAAAAAAACAGACTTTCTGCTGGAACTAAAATTTTACTCAGTTTATATAGAGGATAAACTATTCTCTGGAGGAGCTTAGAAATTGGAATGGCTTAGAAAATTTGGGCTCAGTGGGGACTCTAGAGGGGATTAGTGAAAAGAGGAACTCTCAATTTCAACTCAATGAGCACCCAATACTCATGTAAAACTTCCACACCTTCTACATGATCAAAGTTTTATAATACACAACAGCCGAAAAAAATAAAAGCACACTTTAGACATTTATGAACAGTGAAATCATTCCTGCTAGTTATTTTAAAGTGTCAAGGTATATTTCATTAATTTATCTTTATAAAATTTTTGTGTCACAATTTCAGTGTGTTACAAATGAGAGAGAAAATTTAGCTTGCCAGAAAAATATGTTTTATTTAAAATAATACAAATACAGAAAATTAACTTTTGTCATTCATGTCTCTCACTGAATCTTTTTTTTGTTTGCTTGGGTTTTTTGCTTGCTTGTTTCACATGTTTTTTTTTTCTTCTTCTACTAAATACCTATTTTAGAATGGCCAAATCTCAGTGAGTTCAATTCTTCCATTGAAACTTTCTAGTTTTAAAAGGAAAAAAGTTATAAAAATACATAGATACATACATTCATATGCATACACACATACATGTAGACATATGTATATACATACATATATGCCAGTTATGGTCTTATCGCTGGCTACCTGGAAAGCAGGAAAAAACTTCAAACCACACTTAGGCTACGAGTAACAAAAACAACCCCTAGTTAGGGAGGCACGTAAGCATTATTGATATTACAGGTTACTAGCCCTGACTCTTTCTCCTCATTCATACCCTTTATTTATTTACCTATCCATATATGCATACACACTCACACATTTAATAAGGTATACAGGTATAGTAGTTACATAAAACACTATTGCACATATATTTGAAATGGTGAATCTGGACTCCATGAATAGCTTCAGGGTCATCTATGAAATCTCTAAAATCATTTGCAAAATTAGATAGATAGATAGATAGATAGATAGATAGATAGATAGATAGATAGAGATAGATAGATAGATAGATAGATAGAGACATAGCACATGGGAGGAAGGGTCATAGTTTGGCCAGATTTTCATAGGGAGATGGGAGGGACAGTTTAGAAAACAACTTTACAGAGGTATCCTCTCTTCCATAAAACAGTCTTTTACATTACTAAACAAAAAAAAAATTTATATAAAAAAAGTATCTGAATATCTTATTTAAAATAGATAAGTTAGAATGTGAAATAATTCACACTGCAAAGGATTCCTCAATTCATAAATGGATATAGGCTCCTTCCAAGTGTTTTTATAGTTATTAAATAAAAAATTAAGAGAAGAAGAAACTATGAGCTAAAGTATTACAGAGTACTAGAATAATTTTTAATTTTTAATGACTAAGAAAAGTAGATGTTCATATGTTCTAATCTGCTCTTCCCACCCCCAACATATACTGGAAGGATGTAAAAATACAAAATTGTCTGGTTTATACTTGACATGTAGAAATCCTATTAGTCCCTTTTAGCATATATAAAGGTTAGAAAAATCCTTCCTAAAAGACCTCAAAATATAGACCTCATTTCAAAGAACAATTTAGTACAGTCTACGATCTGGTTTTTAGGTTTAGGCACTTAATTTCAACTGGGATTAGGTCTATTTTGGGGAGAACTTATTCTTTGGTACAGATACACATGTATTGAACCCAAAAGGCTTTTAATGTCAGTGAGGAAGAATCATTGACTAACCCATTGGCTTCTGGAGGCAAAGTTATGCTGGAAACTAAAGCATAACTGGATCATTGTTTTGATGGCTACCATTTAAACAGCACTTACATGCTAAGCTCCATGCGAAGAACGTTACAAATTTTACCTCATTCAATTTTTTCTGTATTCTATAAATATTAATATTTACTTTTTCAGTAAATTACAGATTTCTAGTAAGTATAAAACTCAAAAAAGGCATAGGACTCTAAATCTTATTCCCTTAACCATTGTAACATTATAACATGTGGTGAATTTCTTTGTATGTCCATCACCCCTCATTTCTACCTTTGAAAGAAACTTCAGTTCCAACTGGCCCAGAAAAAGAAAGAAAAAAGAAGGAAATAAGGAAGGGAAGAAGAAAGAGAGAGAGTTGGGAGAGAAGGAAACAAATACATTTTTAGATTTTGTGCTGCTAAGGGCCTAGGTCGTAATAATTTAAGGGTGATTCAACAGATTTTGAGTATAATTGTGACTATGTAATTAACAAATTGCGTCCTGGCTTAAGGTGCAACCCCCATTTAGAATATAAATCCATTGTCCTGTCATGTGCCTATTGGGTTTAGAAATAATATAGATGAAGTGATTTAGATGCATTAAACATTTAATAGAATTTTCTTTATTAAATTAATTTCCCAATAGAAGTGCTGGTTGAGGCTCCCTCACTTTCAGACAGAAGTTGGATGGGAACTACCAACATTTACCTTCATGACTTAACTGTTCTTATGCTTTCCTGTTGGTTTGCACTCATTTTGATTGACATACTCTTTAGATACTTTAACATATTCAATCAAGTTTTAGGCAAGTTTCATCAATTTCTGGGCCCTTCGGACAATAAAAGGAACCTTTTGTATATCTCTACTCTGATTATGTCTTGATCCTAAAGTGAAGTTCTCAATATCTCATCATATTCTCTGTATTTCCAAATAGCCTCCTAATATACTAATAATCTCTTCAAAAACAAGGAGCTTTAGGAAGTATACATTCAAATGTCATATAATAGAGCATATAATAGTGCATTGGATAGGCAGATAAATTGGAGGATTCCAAAGGTCCAATCATTTCAGATGTTCCATGAGGCATAAATACTAGTGGCAATATATGTTTTAGGCAGTCTAAAAGATGAGCCATCTATGTGGACTAAAATTATTGGGAAATACTTTATAGAGATGGTAAAAATGCAACATTATATGGCTTTTAAAATCTGGCACCACGCACAAAAATCTCACTAACACTAACTCTTTCCAGATCCCCTCTAATCTTTATAAAGGACATTTCGATTTATATGACAACCTGGATTTTACTGGTAACATTAGCAATAATATAGGTGAATATTCAGCAGTTGCCAGATATCTTTAATAAATTACAGCAAAACTTTATAGCTCTCACAACTAAATCATCACTCCAGAGATGGTAGTTGGAAACAACTGTACAAATCTTAGAAATCCTATGGGAAAAGAAAAAAGTAAAGCAAGAATCCAAATTTTGGAAGTAAATGAAAGCAATGGATTAAATCAGAGAAAGTCAGACTCATCAGCATACCAAAAGGTAATCCAGATGCCTGGAAAAGGGAGAGTTTGAAAAGTAAAGAAGAAACAGAGGCAGGAGGACATTTTCAACATGTTGAGGAAGAGAGGAGAAAAAAAGGAAAAGAAAAAAGCATCCAACCCATAGGCTTGTTAGGGTCTTTGAAAAAAATATTGTTTCTATTTATTTTAAATCTAATTATCACAATATATTAACAACTCAAGAATGAGACAGATGTATGGCCTGTAAAGGGGTTTCATATTAAGTCAATGAACATTTAAGTATGGTCTCACCAAATAGTGGGTTCTGTGCTAGATACACAAAGGTGACAAAGTATGTTGCCTGCCTGTAGTAACTTACAGTGCCAAATTAGAACACACATTCATTTGGGATTTGCCATTAGAAACTAGGATAACATCTTCTCTCTGTTTTACCACTGCTAAACAGTGTTGTGAACAGGAGAACTGTTCTGTATCTCCAACTGGAGGGCAACAGAGAGAAGTCTCAGCAAAAGATAACAGAACATAAATGTTCTCCAAAATCCCTTCTATTCAGTGACAGATCTGGGTTGTGAGAGCCTCAAGCTTACATAACTGGGAAGTCCTTAAGAAATACGAAATTATAAAGAGTTACCTCAAGTGAGAAAATAGTTTACATAAATTTCAAATTGTTAAAAGTCGACAAATACTGCAAATTTCACAAAATCTAGAAATTAAGAACAATTTTGTTAACATCTGACAAGAGTCTATGGCATTTTTTTCGCTGCATTTTTGGTTGTATAATCTTTGAATGTCTATTACTATGACAAAAAAATTGTAATATTCTCTACAGAAATAACAGAAAGATAATTTTTATTCTTTTCCAGGAACCTTCAAAACTTTCAACTTCACCCATAGCTATGCTTGTGTTTATAGTACTGATAGAAATTTGGGTCCAAAAAAATAGCGAACATCGCCCCAGTGTCACTGGACACTAAGGAACATGTACTAGAGGAGAAGTTGAGGGAGATAATGGTCTATCATAGCTTAAATATCTTACTTCTGCAAAATTCCCCCTCAATTTGTAACTCTGTAAACACATTTTATTACCCTTTTTAGAGACTTGGAAGGGGTCCACACAAAAGAAGGGCCCTGAAGCTTAAGTTTTATTGCCTTCACTCAATCTCCATTCACCTCCATTCTTTGGATCACACATTGATTGCAACCCATTTACCACACCAATCAAATGGCAATCATCAATGTCTGATTTTTTTTTTTTTTAGCTGTCTGAAGACCAGTCAATGGTGAGTTTCAATATCTTCTTCACTTTTCAGTAGCTGTAGACACAATCACATTTTTAGACTTAACTGTTGAGTAAATGAACAAGGCCCATTTAAAGTAACTGGCATTAGGTTCTACAAAATCTCTAAAATGAACTAAACTAGATATGTATACCTCTCCAGAGCAGGCTCCGTGGACCTTCTTGTCATCAGAATACTTGCTTCTGGGTTCCTTCCTGAGCTGAAATCTAGGATTTGTTGCTTGGATGCAGGATCTACAAAAGCATTCTGTGCTATTAGGACCAGGGTTCATTGAGACCCTGACCATCTACCAAGACACCTATGAGCTAGGACCCATCTCCCTTGATGTAGGTGGTACTTCTATTAAAATCGCTATCTTTCTAGTTAAAAAAAAAGTCTGCTTACAGTTTAATTGGCATTGTTACTTTTGCTGTTAGCAAATTTCCAAGACTTCATTCTTTTTCAGACAATAGACAGGGTTCTGATCTCCTGACTCTGGAAGTAATGGAGTGAACAGTTCAGGACTCTCTCTCAACTTCCTGACTTGCTCCTTCCTGTGGGTAGTGAAGTGACTAACCTTAGTGAATCTATTGCCCCAGATTAACCAGGAGAAGAGTCACTCCCCACAGTGATTTTGTCTCTGTCTCTCATTAGGACCTAATTAACTTTTAGCATCCCAGCCCCATCCAAGTCCTGTTCTCTGTATTACGCCCATAGGTGAAAGCTCCCTCTACAGGGGGAGGTCCACCACTTTCCAGCTTCAGTGCCTATGTCTGAGTGTTGTTGGGTAAATATGAAATAAGGCGTGAAACAGAAGATCCTTTCAAAACTGAAAAAATTCAGTTTTGCTATTAATACTATTATAATCCTTATTGAAAAAATTCTGCTTATTTCCTCCATTTTATAGGATCAACTGGAAAAATGGGTGGAGTGGATAGGTAATTAGTTTCCTGCAATCTTTAACATGCATAACAAGGAAAAGTAAATGCAAACATTCAGTCTAGAGGGGAGCAGATGAGTTAAATATCACAAGAGGGGACCTTATCTCTTAAAAGCTAGCTAACAATAGGAGAGAGAACATCCTTTGGGATCAAGAGTGGCTAAACTATTTTAGGGGTTTATGGTCTAGTGGGGAAGACATATAAATACATAACAGAAAATGTATGTCAGGTGTAAAGGCAAAGAAGATGGTCAAATCTGGTTTATCTGGAAAGGTGACCAGGCATACTTGAGATTGAAAATTGAAGGATGAGCAGGATGCAAACGGATGAGCAGAGGGAGAACATCTGGGACAGAAGAAATAACATGTTCGAAGGCAATATAATAAGCCATATCAGAAAAGATACTAAAGTGTGTCATAGCTGGTGTGTGTGTACAGTGGTAAGTGATGAGGGTAGGGAGAACTTGCAAGTATGTGGCAGTCCTCACATGCTGTGCTGGATGGCAGATCTTACCCTGAAGATCTATGGAAGTCACTGAAGGAGTTCAGAAACAGGATGTTACATCAAGTTTGTATTTAAGAAGGATTCTACTGGAAGAATGTGGTGGAGGGATTGGGAGGGAAAGGCTGGAAGCAGAATGATCAGTAATGTGGCAGCTAGAACAGGCAAAAAATAAATAAATGATCAATAATGTGGCAGTTAGAATAGGTGTAAAATAAAGAAAAGTAGTAAAGAAACAATGACAGTGGAAATGAAGAAGAGAAAATAGATTCCAAAGATAGCTTAGATTCAGTGTTCCCTAGGTAGCAATTTAAACCAAGACAGAAAAAGAAGAAAAAGTCTAGAATGACTCAGCTTCCTAGCTTGAGAAGCAAAAGGAATGATGATGCCATTTAACTATGACCAGAATTACAAAAGGAAAGTTGGTTCAAGAGGCATCACCTTAAAAAATCAATACTTTGCCAATTAAAGGAAAAGAGAAAATTAAAACAGCATCAAGGTATATTTGAAATTTACTTCAGCCAAAATGTTATAACTGATTATGGATGATCATATTTTTTAAAAACTATTGAGAAGAAAACTCTTAAGTTATAGTATACCTACAAATCAAATAGCAGGTACACTCGTTCATTTTGTATTCCTTCACAACAGAGGTTTGCAAAACTATTCTATTCATGACTATTAGACCCATGTATATATTAGAACGATTAGGAGAATGCCAGTTCCTCTATGATTATCTAACACTGAGATTCAGCTTGACCAAAGTTTTGAGGCATCCGTTCCAAGGATCTTTCTGTTTCTCTGCTTAGCACAAATGAAATACATTATTTTATATTACCTCTTCATTTTCAAATTTTGTATTAAAATGTTTTATCATAACAGTAATAAATTCTATGTAAACATGTAAAATAAAGAATCATAGAAAAATAACACATTATTGTACTACCTGCAAATAATTATCTTCAATATTTTGGTCTTTCTTTCCATACGTATATGGGTGTACACGTGAGTTTTTGTGTGTTCTTACACACAGGTTTATTATACTATACATATAATGTTTACCCTTCTTATTTCAATACATACTTATTAATACTATGTATTCACCCATCTAGTAGACATTTGGGAATGCAAAAGACATTAAAAAGAGTTCATGTCCTAAAACATATTTTGGAATTATTAAATGAGACTGGCCGGGCGCGGTGGCTCATGCCTATAATCCCAGCACTTTGGGAGGCCGAGGGAGGCAGATCACAAGGTCAGGAGATCGAGACCATCCTGGCTAACACCGTGAAACCCTGTCTCTACTAAAAATATAAAAAAGTTAGCCGGGCATGGTGGCGGGCGCCTGTAGTCCCAGCTACTCAAGAGGCTGAAGCAGGAGAATGGTGCGAACCTGGGAGGCAGAGCTTGCAGTGAGCCGAGATTGCGCCACTGCACTCTAGCCTGTGCGACAGAGAGACTCCATCTCAAAAAAAAAAAAATTATTAAATGAGACTATAACAACATATTTAAGGTTGGAGTTAGGGAACAAACCAAATGTGGCAATTTATAAGTTATGAATTAATCAGTGTCTTACTTACCAAGGAAAGGGCAAATCCTAACACTGTGTATTCTTTACCCAATGACAATGTAAGAAAGGTCTTACACATGCTCATTCAGTATGAGGCTCTTAACATGCACTCCATCACTACCTGGTTGTACTCAGCACTTTGAGTTTCCACATCACAAAAGAAATATTTGGAAATTCATCATGGTTACATAAACCTGCACTGATCCCTTGGTGATTTTCTAAGGCCTTGCTTGTTTTGTAAATGAAACATTGTGACAGACAGAAGGGAATAGTCCTTTCTCATTTCTGAGTCATAATTAATTATTATTGTAATTAGCCACACACTCTGTACAAACTTCTGGAATTAAATATACTGAAGTCAGCACCTTTAATTTTAGAACAATTAAGAAATACAGCTTTATGATTCAGTAAGAGACCAAATGTCTTGGCCTGAACATTCCTGAGTAGGAAAGAATATCGCCAAGAAAAATGACTACAGTATTGCTCTCAGCAATCACAGGATAAAGAAATGGAAGTATAGGATAATTATCTAATACTCAAAACCCACAAAATATCTTGGAACATACAAAAAATCACTAAGAACTATTAATTCATTAGGGATTTAATGCAAAGATTTTAAACCATGGCTTTTACTTGCAACATATATTTACAAATAGATAGTTGCAGCATCGGTGAGGTTCAAATGTTTTATTTCTAACTTTATTTTCCAGTAAACAATGCTAGTATTAATTGTAAATATGTGTAACAAAAAATAACAAATAATATTAATCTAAGGAAGTAATCAACAAAATGTTAAGTCACCCCCAACTCCCAGGCATTCACATAACTAACTCGTGACTCAGAAGTTAGGAAAGCCAAATTGATAACTCTAGAGACTAAATAAAATGGTCAGTAGATTTCCACAAAGCTAAAAGTAATTGTAGTTAAATATCAACAGAAAGATATTGCCAGAAACTACCCAAACTACCGTGTCAGGAAAAAAAACAAAAATGAGTAATGGTAACAGCTTCAGTAATTATTTTCATGTGAATCCTATAGCTCAATCTAAAGTACTTGTCTTCTATAATTGTCACCATATTTCTCAAAGAAAATCCAAAATCTTTGTTGGAAGCTTTTCTAAACCTATACAAAAAAAATAAATAAAATAATCATACGATACACATCTACTAGAATGGCTAAAATGAAAAAGACAGAAAACACCAAATGTTGGTGCAGAGGTAGAACAGCCAGGATTCTTATACATGGGTGACAGGAATGTAAATGGAAACAACTTTGGAAAAAGGTTACATGGCATCTGCTAAGGATGAACAATCATGCCCAGTGATCCATCTTTCCCACTTCTAGATACAGATCCAAGAAAAATTAGTACATTTGTATAACAAATGAAATGTCCTAGAATGTTCTGAACAATGCTATTTGCATTAGACCAAAACTGGAAATTACCCATGTATATATCAACAGTGGAATGGAGAAATAGACTGTGGTATATTCATAAAATAGAATACTATACATCAATGAGAATGAACCATCTACAACTATATGCAATGATGTGGCTGAATCTCACAAACTTAATGTTGAACAAAAGAAGCCAGCAACTGAAGTGTACTGTATGATTTCATTTATACGAAGGACACAATTTGCCAAATTAATCTATGTTATTTTTGTTGTTTTTTTCTGTTTTTTTGTTTTGTTTTTTTTGTTTTTGTTTTTGTTTTTTTTGACACGGAGTCTCGCTCTGTAGCCCAGGATAGAGTGCAGTGTTGCGATCTTGGCTCACTGCAAGCTCTGCCTCCCGGGTTCACGCCATTCTCCTGCCTCAGCCTCCAGAGTAGCTGGGACTACAGGGGCCCGCCACTACGCCTGGCTAATTTTTTGTAATCTATGTTTTTTGATGACAGTATAATGATAAACCATGTGACCAGAAGACAGTATGAAGGACGGTTTTATGGAGTCCTGGTAATGTACTGTTTCTCAGTCTGAGTGCTAGCTATCCAGGATATGTTGAGTTTGTGAAAATGTATTAAGCTGTATGCTTATGTGCACTTTTCTGTATGTATATAATTCTTCAATGAAAAGTTTAAAATAAAAGAAAAATAACAATAATTCATAAAAGCACTTTTCTAACCAAGCATGTTTTTTATATTTGTCAAGTTTAATTTAATTAAAATAGTTTCACTAATTGAATCAAAGAAGCTCAAGTACATATCTGATGCTGTAGTGTATTCTAAGGGAGTAAGATGGAAAAAAAACGTTTCCGTGGTAGCAAAATTTACAATGATGCTGGGCAATATACCACACACTCGGGAAACCATTAGGAAACAATAAATAATTGTAATATTAATTGTTAATATAAATATGTTAATACAGTACACACTGATTTTCCAACTCTTAAAACACCATAAATTTTAAAATGCACCATTATTTTCTGTGCCAGTCAGAAAGGCAAAACACTTCCAATCAACCTATATAATACGCCACTGATTGTAAAATAAATTTCAGGCTTTTAAGTCTCCCCAAGTGGAGGAGCCAAGATGGCCGAATAGGAACAGCTCCAGTCTACAGCTCCCAGCCTGAGCAACGCAGAAGATGGGTGATTTCTGCATTTCCATCTGATGTACCGGGTTCATCTCACTAGGGAGTGCCAGACAGTGGGCACAGGTCACTGGGTGCAGGCACCGTGCGTGAGCCGAAGCAGGGCGAGGCATTGCCTCACTCAGGAAGTGCAAGGGGTCAGGGAGTTCCCTTTCCTAATCAAAGAAAGGGGTAACGGACGGCACCTGGAAAATCGGGTCACTTGCACCCGAATACTGCGCTTTTCCGACCTGCTTAAAAAACGGCGCACCACGAGATTATATCCCGCACCTGGCTTGGAGGGTCCTACCCCACGGAGTCTCGCTGATTGCTAGCACAGCAGTCTGAGATCAAACTGCAAGGCGGCAGCGAGGCTGGGGGAGGGGCGCCCGCCATTGACCAGGCTTCCGTAGGTAAACAAAGCAGCCTGGAAGCTCGAACTGGGTGGAGCCCACCACAGCTCAAGGAGGCCTGCCTGCCTCTGTAGGCTCCACCTCTGGGGGCAGGGCACAGACAAACAAAAAGACGGCAGTAACCTCTGCAGACTTAAATGTCCCTGTCTGACAGCTTTGAAGAGAGCAGTGGTTCTCCCAGTAGGCAGCTGGAGATCTGAGAACGGGCAGACTGCCTCCTCAAGTGGGTCCCTGACCCCCGACCCCCGAGCAGCCTAACTGGGAGGCACCCTCCAGCAGGGGCACACTGACACCTCACACTGCTGGGTACTCCAACAGACCTGCAGCTGAGGGTCCTGTCTGTTAGAAGGAAAACTAACAGACAGAAAGGACATCCACACCAAAAACCCATCTGTACATCACCATCATCAAAGACCAAAAGTAGATAAAACCACAAAGATGGGGAAAAAACAGAACAGAAAAACTGGAAACTCTAAAAATCAGAGCGCCTCTCCTCCTCCAAAGGAAGGCAGCTCCTCACCAGCAATGGAACAAAGCTGGACGGAGAATGACTTTGATGAGCTGAGAGAAGAAGGCTTCAGATGATCAAATTACTCTGAGCTACGGGAGGACATTCAAACCGAAGGCAAAGAAGTTGAAAACTTTAAAAAAAATTTAGAAGAATGTATAACTAGAATAACCAATACAGAGAGGTGCTTAAAGGAGCTGATGGAGCTGAAAACCAAGGCTCGAGAACTACGTGAAGAATGCAGAAGCCTCAGGACCCGATGCAATCAACTGGAAGAAAGGGTAACAGCGATGGAAGATGAAATGAATGAAATGAAGCGAGAAGGAAAGTTTAGAGAAAAAAGAATAAAAAGAAACGAGCAAAACCTCCAAGAAATGTGGGACTATGTGAAAAGACCAAATCTACATCTGATTGGTGTACCTAAAAGTGATGGGGAGAATGGAACCAAGTTGGAAAACAGTCTGCAGGGTATTATCCTGGAGAATTTCCCCAATCTAGCAAGGCAGGCCAACGTTCAGATTCAGGAAATAGAGAGAACGCCACAAAGATACTCCTCGAGAAGAGCAACTCCAAGACACATAATTGTCAGATTCACCAAAGTTGAAATGAAGGAAAAAATGTTAAGGGCAGCCAGAGAGAAAGGTCGGGTTACCCTCAAAGGGAAGCCCATCAGACTAACAGCGGATCTCTCGGCAGAAACTCTACAAGCCAGAAGAGAGTGGGGGCCAATATTCAACTTTCTTAAAGAAAAGAATTTTCAACCCAGAATTTCATATCCAGCCAAACTAAGCTTCATAAGTGAAGGAGAAATTAAATACTTTACAGACAAGCAAATGCTGAGAGATTTTGTCACGACCAGGCCTGCCCTAAAAGAGCTCCTGAAGGAAGCACTAAACATGAAAGGAACAACCGGTACCAGCCGCTGCAAAATCATGCCAAAATGTAAAGAACATCGAGACTAGCAAGAAACTGCATCAACTAACGAGCAAAATAACCAGCTAACATCATAATGACAGGATCAAATTCACACATAACAATATTAACTTTAAATGTAAATGGACTAAATGCTCCAATTAAAAGACACAGACTGGCAAATTGGATAAAGAGTCAAGACCCATCAGTGTGCTGTATTCAGGAAACCCATCTCACGTGCTGAGACACACATAGGCTCAAAATAAAAGGATGGAGGAAGATCTACCAAGCAAATGGAAAACAAAAAAAGGCAGGGGTTGCAATCCTAGTCTCTGATAAAACAGACTTTAAACCAACAAAGATCAAAAGAGACAAAGAAGGCCATTACATAATGGTAAAGGGATCAATTCAACAAGAAGAGCTAACTATCCTAAATATATATGCACCCAATACAGGAGCACCCAGATTCATAAAGCAAGTCCTGAGTGACCTACAAAGAGACTTAGACTCCCACACATTAATAATGGGAGACTTTAACACCCCACTGTCAACATTAGACAGATCAACGAGACAGAAAGTCAACAAGGATACCCAGGAATTGAACTCAGCTCAGCACCAAGCAGACCTAATAGACATCTACAGAACTCTCCACCCCAAATCAACAGAATATACATTTTTTTCAGCACCACACCACACCTATTCCAAAATTGACCACATACTTGGAAGTAAAGCTCTCCTCAGCAAATGTAAAAGAACAGAAATTATAACAAACTATCTCTCAGACCACAGTGCAATCAAACTAGAACTCAGGATTAAGAATCTCACTCAAAACCGCTCAACTACATGGAAACTGAACAACCTGCTCCTGAATGACTACTGGGTACATAACGAAATGAAGGCAGAAATAAAGAGGTTCTTTGAAACCAACGAGAACAAAGACACAACATACCAGAATCTCTGGGACACATTCAAAGCAGTGTGTAGAGGGAAATTTATAGCACTAAATGCCCACAAGAGAAAGCAGGAAAGATCCAAAATTGACACCCTAACATCACAACTAAAAGAACTAGAAAAGCAAGAGAAAACCCATTCAAAAGCTAGCAGAAGGCAAGAAATACCTAAAATCAGAGCAGAACTGAAGGAAATTGAGACACAAAAAACCTTTCAAAAAATTAATGAATCCAGGAGCTGGTTTTTTGAAAGGATCAAGAAAATTGATAGACCGCTAGCAAGACTAATAAAGAAAAAAAGAGAGAAGACTCAAATAGACGCAATAAAAAATGATAAAGGGGATGTCACCACCAATCCCACAGAAATACAAACTACCATCAGAGAATACTACAAACACCTCTAAGCTAATAAACTAGAAAATCTAGAAGAAATGGATAAATTCCTTGACACATACACTCTCCCAAGACTAAACCAGGAAGAAGTTGAATCTCTGAATAGACCAATAACAGGATCTGAAATTGTGGCAATAATCAATAGCTTACCAACCAAAAAGTGTCAAAGACCAGATGGATTCACAGCCGAATTCTACCAGAGGTACAAGGAGGAACTGGTACCATTCCTTCTGAAACTATTCCAATCAATAGAAAAAGAGGGAATCCTCCCTAACTCATTTTATGAGGCCAGCATCATTCTGATACCAAAGCCGGGCAGAGACACAACCAAAAAAGAGAATTTTAGACCAATATCCTTGATGAACGTTGATGCAAAAATCCTCAATAAAATACTGGCAAACCGAATCCAGCAGCACATCAAAAAGCTTATCCACCATGATCAAGTGGGCTTCATCCCTGGGATGCAAGGCTGGTTCAATATACACAAATCAATAAATGTAATCCAGCATATAAACAGAGCCAAAGACAAAAACCACATGATTATCTCAATAGATGCAGAAAAGGCCTTTGACAAAATTCAACAACCCTTCATGCTAAAAACTCTCAATAAATTAGGTATTGATGCGACATATTTCAAAATAATAAGAGCTATCTATGACAAACCCACAGCCAGTATCATACTGAATGGACAAAAACTGGAAGCATTCCCTTTGAATACTGGCACAAGACAGGGATGCCCTCTCTCACCACTCCTATTCAACATAGTGTTGGAAGTTCTGGCCAGGGCAATTAGGCAGGAGAAGGAAATAAAGGGTATTCAATTAGGAAAAGAGGAAGTCAAATTGTCCCTGTTTGCAGATGACATGATTGTATATCTAGAAAACCCCATCGTCTCAGCCCAAAATCTCCTTAAGCTGATAAGCAACTTCAGCAAAGTCTCAGGATACAAAATCAATGTGCAAAAATCACAAGCATTCCTATACACCAACAACAGACAAACAGAGAGCCAAATCATGAGTGAACTCCCATTCACAATTGCTTCAAAGAGAATAAAATACCTAGGAATCCAACTTACAAGGGATGTGAAGGACCTCTTCAAGGAGAACTACAAACCGCTGCTCAAGGAAATAAAAGAGGACACAAACAAATGGAAGAACATTCCATGCTCATGGGTAGAAAGAATCAATATCGTGAAAATGGCCATACTGCCTAAGGTAATTTACAGATTCAATGCCATCCCCATCAAGCTACCAATGCCTTTCTTCACAGAATTGGAAAAAACTACTTTAAAGTTCATATGGAACCAAAAAAGAGCCCGCATCGCCAAGTCAATCCTAAGCCAAAAGAACAAAGCTGGAGGCATCACGCTACCTGACTTCAAACTATACTACAAGGCTACAGTAACCAAAACAGCATGGTACTGGTACCAAAACAGAGAGATAGATCAATGGAACACAACAGAGCCCTCAGAAATAACGCCGCATATCTACAACTATCTGATCTTTGACAAACCTGAGAAAAACAAGCAATGGGGAAAGGATTCCCTCTTTAATAAATGGTGCTGGGAAAACTGGCTAGCCATATGTAGAAAGCTGAAACTGGATCCCTTCCTTACACCTTATACAAAAATTAATTCAAGATGGATTAAAGACTTAAACATTAGACCTAAAACCATAAAAACCCTAAAAGAAAACCTAGGCATTACCATTCAGGACATACGCATGGGCAAGGACTTCATGTCTAAAACACCAAAAGCAATGGCAACAAAAGACAAAATTGACAAATGGGATCTAATTAAACTAAAGAGCTTCTGCACAGCAAAAGAAACTACCATCAGAGTGAACAGGCAACCTACAAAATGGGAGAAAATTTTCGCAACCTACTCATCTGACAAAGGGCTAATATCCAGAATCTACAATGAACTCAAACAAATTTACAAGAAAAAAACAAACAACCCCATCAAAAAGTGGGCGAAGGACATGAACAGACACTTCTCAAAAGAAGACATTTATGCAGCCAAAAAACACATGAAAAAATGCTCATCATCACTGGCCATCAGTGAAATGCAAATCAAAACCACAATGAGATACCATCTCACACCAGTTAGAATGGCAATCATTAAAAAGTCAGGAAACAACAGGTGCTGGAGAGGATGTGGAGAAATAGGAACACTTTTACACTGTTGCTGGGACTGTAAACTAGTTCAACCATTGTGGAAGTCAGTGTGGCGATTCGTCAGGGATCTAGAACTGGAAATACCATTTGACCCAGCCATCCCATTACTGGGTATATACCCAAAGGACTATAAATCATGCTGCTATAAAGACACATGCACACGTATGTTTATTGCGGCATTATTCACAATAGCAAAGACTTGGAACCAACCCAAATGTCCAACAATGATAGACTGGATTAAGAAAATGTGGCACATATACACCATGGAATACTATGCAGTCATAAAAAATGATGAGTTCATGTCCTTTGTAGGGACATGGATGAAATTGGAAATCATCGTTCTCAGTAAACTATCGCAAGAACAAAAAACCAAACACCACATATTCTCACTCACAGGTGGGAATTGAACAATGATATCACATGGACACAGGAAGGGGAAAATCACACTCTGGGGACTGTTGTGGGGTGCGGGGAGGGGGGAGGGATAGCATTGGGAGATATACCTAATGCTAGATGACGAGTTAGTGGGTGCAGCACACCAGCATGGCACATGTATACGTATGTAACTAACCTGCACAATGTGCACATGTACCCTAAAACTTAAAGTATAATAATAAAAAATAAATAAATAAATAAATTTCATTTAAGAGCTATTGAATTATTTCACTGTTTAAAAACTGCTGCTTAGTATGGATGAGAAAATGTGTCATAACATATTTTCTGAAGAAATAGTAAGTACTGCAGACTTACTTACTAGGAAGTCAGACTAGGAAAGTGTACACATGGCAGGTGGACACTTGCAGGATTTATATACTAAGAGGGACAAAAGATGACCCTTGAAAGATGGAAAGGAAAGAAGTTAAAAGCTAAAAAGTGACGTTATTTCAGGTTAAGGAAGCAGAAGTGCCGAGGCAGCAAAGTACCCAGCATGTGTGGGGGCAGAAAAAAGCTAGCCTAATTAGAGTGGGGAATGGAGTATTAGGAAATACCTGGAGATACATTTGGATGGCAAGGTGAGGCCAGATTTTAGAAGGGCTGCAATTCCAACAAGAACTATTTGGACACCATTCAACTGGCAGTAGAATCGGTTTTTAGAACAGGGGCAGGGCGTGATGAAAGTGATATTTGAGGAAGCTTATCTTACTGGATTGGGTAGGGAAAAGTAGAAGTCAAGAAAAAATAAATTATTGCAGCAATCCAGGTGTGAAGTGATGAAGACTTGGGCAAGAGAGCTGACATTGGAGTGTATTAAATAAAATTTTCCATAATATATCTTTATGATACATTCCATATGTAAAACTAAATTTGATGTGGTAAACACAATTTTCTAAAAAAAAAAACTACATGCTTTTTCTTTTGCATTAAACATTTGATTTAAGATGAGAAAATCTGAATATATATTTTTATCTATAAATACAGTTTGTGCAAGTAAGAGATGAATTAAAAAGACTTATAATGAGAAACAAGTATCCTCAACCTTTTCAAAGGAGATGCATTCTAGCTTTATTTTCAAGTTTCATAGGACCTAAAGTTTCTTAAACACCTAACCAAAGAATCTCTTAGGTATTTATCTACTTAACTATGTATGTTGGATGTTTACTTCATTTAAATTATACATGACTATTAGTCATTCAGCATGTACACAATTGGGCTTTTCTTTCTGCTGTCTCTCTGTTTCTCTGTTTCCACCCACTCCCCTCATCTCTTTTTTTTTTTCTTCCAATAGAACACGCAGTAAAAAGGCTATAAGTATTTGAAGCTCTGAGCCCTGCATATTCTATTGGAAGAACACTGTAACCAGAGCAGAAAAAAGAGAGAGAGATGGTACAAAATCTGTAGTCTTCATCACTGAGTTATGTAAATGATGCTTATCTGTCTTTAGACAGAATATCAGGGACACAATAAGCATTTAGATACTTTTTTTAATTTAAAAAGGTAGATTTCCAATTGGTGAATCCTTATAGAATGTCTACAAAATTGTAAAGAGACTACTTTTAAATTAAATTTGGTATCATATACATGCCATGGAATCATTCCTTTGAGCCATAATACTATGAAAAGCACAGTATTACTGGCATAGCAGAAAAGACAATTGGAATCAATTTTTCCTTGGAAGTGTTATGAATTGCAGGGTAGATGACTGGCCACTATCCCTCCTTTATTCAGGGTAGATAATTAAATGAGATAATGTATCTGGCACTGGGAAATCAAATTATCTACTTCTCCAAAATCTTCTGATTCACCTAGTTATAGACATACAGTGATGTTTATAAATCTTAGTAACAGAGCAATAAGCAGTAAGCCTATACCTTAAGAAACCTAATTTAGAGGACTGAATATAGAAACATACTCCCTTACTATAGTGACATGTAGTGCAATCATACTAGTGGTTTAGAGAAAAGGAAAAAAAAAAACGTCAGGAAATTTGTCACTAAAGTAATTTTTAACACAGGTAATAAGGAAATAATATTTACCTATGTAACATGATAATTTCATAAAATAATTGGATCATATTATTCAGTTCTCTGCTTCAACTATAACACTCAATGGACATAAATATTGCCTAATGATTTTCAAAAACCATATAATCATGGTCTTTATGTCTGTATGCCTTTATATGAGCAAACTAGCTATTCTTGTACTTCCTCGGATGAGTTTGTGGAGATATTTTTCCTGTACAGTATCTTTATGAAGTAACTTAGTAATGTATCTTCATTCTTAAGAATAATGAATAATTTGTTTCTAATATACTGAATTCTTAATTCCTTTAATAACTTTTGCTCCTCTGAAATCCTCCAACTTTTCACAGTTCTCATGACAAACAAGGACCACTACCAAAAAAAAAACATAAAATGAAGGCATGTCCAAGGATGGCATTATAAACCTTTCCAAAAGATATATTAATGTAATTTTTCTTTTTAATTATTAATGCTCAACTTGATAACATTTTAAGAGTATACGTCTTCTGTTATTTGTAACTATACTATTTTACCAGTTTATACAAAACAATCATATTTTTGTCTCCAAAATCAATAATGTTCAATCCTTTGATACGATCAATGCCATTCTTTAAGCCATTTTTTCAGAATAATCAATATATAACGTAATAAAGTACAACTGCTCTGATTTTGAGATATCATGCTCTTTGCACTTTTCGCCTTCAGTCCCCCATGGGTCCTCTATAAAATATTCCTCACAAAGTGTGATCACCTTTCCCAAACAGGTAAATTGACTTAGTAACCTGTTTCAGACACATTCAAATCAATTTTGTTTCATGAGGGACTGCCAAGTTAGAAACTACCCTCCTACAAATAACTAAAGCCATTAGGCAAAATATAGAAAGTAACTTTTTTTAGACATAAGAGAGAGAATAGGATTGTTACCCTTGAGAGATAACAAAAAAGTGAGATGAGTTCAGGATTTCTAGCTGGAGGCAATTTCCAGCCTGGAAATATAATTGAGTTAAAAAGACAGAAATCTGAGTTAGGGGAAGCTGAAGCAGTTAGATTTTTAAGAGCAGAATTATAGATAAAAGGGAGCTATGAAGACAAGAGCGTCCAGATATCTGCATAAGGAGCTTTTTGATTCTTTGTCTAAATAACAATCTGTGCATGCAAAAGGTAAGCCCCATGAGGTTAAGAGAGAACCACTTTCTACAAAGGAAAAATTACATGAGATAAATAAGTTAAAAATTCCTAGAGTTCACACAGGACCAGTAATTACATGAGTTCTTTTCAGCCTCATTGAAATAATGAGACCTCATTGAATACATGGTGAAATTAGAGGAGGCCACAAAAGGGCCACATCTTATAAGTAGAACTAAATTATCCATGGAATAAAGGTATTTTTTAAAACTCATTCTATAAGAACTTTCTAAAAAGCCTCAAAGGATCAACCAAATCTACAAGTAACCCACTCCCTGTCATATAAAGTCCAATGATTTTTAAATGAACACAACAAAATCCAATACTCAACAATAACTAATATCTAGTCTACAATCCAAAATCACTAGACATACTAAAAAGCAAAAAAAAAAAAAAAAAAAAAAAAAATCATGACCTATATCTATTAATTGATTAACAAACCCTCAAGTGACAGAAATGATAGAACTAGCAACTAACAACATTAATTATGAGGGGAATCCAAATTAAAACCACAGTGAAATTAAAATACATTAGAATGACTAAATTTTAGAAATTGAAAATGCACAAGGAACCATACAGCAATGTTCATAGGAGCTTTATCCAAAATAAATAAGCACTAGAAACAATTCCAATATCCAACAACAAACAAATTGTGGTATAAACAAATTGTGGTATATCCATAAAATCAGATGCGCTAAGTAAAATGGAACCAACTAATGATACACACAATAACTTGGGTAAATTTCAAAAACATGATACTCAATTTAAAAATCTAGACCAAAAATTTCCATTTATATGAAATTTTTTAAAAGACTAAACCAATCAACTGAAGGAAAACAAATCAGTTGTCAACAGCCTGAATGACAGGGAGCAGAAGTGAGTGAAAGGGGGCATAAGGGAAGTTTTAAGGGTGGTTGAAATGTTCTGTATCATAATTGTAGTGGAATACATAAGCATATACATTTGTCAAAATGCACACTTAATATGAATGCATTTTGCATTTTAGTTCATGCAGCCAAATAATACTGGTAGAAAGTATTTTGTGAGTATTTTAGCATATATTGAAATCTGATTTATATCAACAAGAATACAAAGATAAATGTCATAAGCATGCTTTCTTTGTGTTCATAATGAAGTGAAAGACACACAAACACATATATATGTATATATTGTATTCACTCACTCATTCTTTTCATTATTCAAAAGCATAGTAATTGAACGTTACTTTAGGGTAAATTACTACAAGCATTTAAAGCAAAACCCTTGTCCTCCCTGCCCTTAGGAGCTCACAATCTGGCACTATAATAGAGATCAGAGAAATAAGACAGTATGATGAAAGAAAAGATAGATTCACGTAGGCACAAGAATTCAAGAGTCAGCTATGATGGAGGACTCTACCTTTTGCCATCTTTGTAAATGCTCTCCCTCACCAGCTATAAATAAAGTATACATTTTTAGGCCTTGATTTTTGTCAAATATGAGCAAAAATTGTCTTCTTATAATCTTTGAAGAGTTGAATACATTATAAATAATTATTTCTCATGGTTGAAAGCCCAAGGTGATGGCATCAGATGAAAAAAATTCATAAAATATACTTCACTTGCTATTTCCATCATAAAAGCTAAGTATTATTTTTATCATTCTTTATATTATAATTTCTGAAGTGGGAAAATGGTGACTTCCAGGCTTACAGCTTTACATAAATGAATTCCAAACAATTTCATTTTTTTGTGGCAACTACCCATATCAATGTTTTTCAAACTTTTTTAAAAAAACAGGATACTTTTGTCAAATCAAATGGTACACAGAAAAGAAATGTAAAACAGGTAAAAGCCAAACTGTTCCAAGATCTACCCTAAACAAACTCTGTAGAGCTCTGTTTAAAACCACTTAGCTGCAAAATCAAAGAATAACATTAAAACTGAAAAAAAAAAAAACATTCATTTCTTTGACAACACATTAATTTCCTCAATATTCTATCAGGAAGGCAACAATAAGCTGTGAATGCTCCATGAGAGTTTCATTAGCATTGCTTCATTCCATAACTGCATATAAATCAATGAGTATCTGTAAAGTCTACTATGGTCAATGCAGCTAGCCCCATAAGTTTATGTGACCTTTAAAATAACTCTTATATACTAATCTCCTAAAACAAAAATAAATGTAATTTTCTCAAAAAAAGTCATTAACTCTGATAGATCTTCAAATAGGAAATGAATAGTTTTCCATTTGGATGTTAGTCCTTTTTACATCTGTTTAGGGTAGACATTTCTAAAAGAAAAAAATATCTTATGAAATTCAGAACTTCAACTTTCCAGGCCCCATCTAAAAGAGGAAGTACAGGGAAAATCCAAAAAGAGAAAACACTAAGAGACTTCTCAAAATACTTTTGAAGCTGCAAAAATATTCAGAACAAGTTTGGATGTGAGTACAAATGAGTTTTTATTTTATAAAAACTGGCTATTTCTACTGAGCTTACTTTTGAAGCTTCACCTGAAAATGAACTTTATTCTGTTTAATATTGCAGACTGAATTCATAACAGACTTTGTCTAAATTCATATGTTCAGCATTATGTCTTGTTCTACATTTCTAATAAAAATGATGGACACTGTGATAGGGGCAGGAGGCAGAGAAATTCTAGGCAGAAAAGGGTAGGTCCCCAGCAAAAATCCCAAGCCAAAAAGCCTGAAACCACAGCCCAAAGTGAGAACTTATATCCCTGTTTTCCCACTGGAATGTTGTCCTTTCCTAAACCACCCATGGCTCCACCCTACCCCGTCCTGTGCCTATAAAGACCCCAGACTCAGCTGGCAGAGAGAAGAAGAAGCTGGATACTGGGGACTATGCCTGGACGTCAGAGAGCAGCAGCTTGACTTTAGAGGGACAGCTTGACAGTGTAACTTTGGAGAAGAATTTGACCAGAGATGGCTGGACTTCAGGGGAAGATTGCCTTCCTACTCCATCCCCTTTTCTGCTCCCCTTCCCATTGAGAGCTACTTTCACCAGCAATAAAATCCCCCACATTTACCATCCTTCATTTCGTTCATGCAACTTCATTTTTCCTGGATGCCAAACAAGAGCTCTGGAGCCATGAGTGCAAATATGAAAGGCTGTCACACTGGTCCTTTGCCCTCACTGGCAGAGAGGCAGCCACCTCATGCAAAATGGCATAGGGCCCACTGAGCTGTTAACATTCAAGCCATCTGTCAACAGCAGAGCTAAAAGAGCAGTGTAACATGCCTTCTGGGACTTTGGGAGTCGCAGACACCACTGGCTGGATGCTGCCGCAAAGATTTTGCTCCTGCTGGTGCCCAAAAGCACTCGCTCTGGCTCCTGCACATGCTCACCTGCGCGCTCCCTCCCTCGAGGGGTGGATGTCATTATATTTGGACACAAGGCCACCCTGCACATGATAAAGCTATCAGAAAGACAACTCCTTTCTTCTTCCATTTACATGGGGGTTATTATAACTAACACATAGCAGTAGAGCTGAGATTTTACTCCAGACTCTTCTGGTCCAAATCCCAACTTCATTCCCCTATTTCATTCCTTCAAACATTCATTCAACAAATATTATGTATCTAGAAATCTACTATATGCCTGGCACTCTGGTAGGCAGCAGAAATATTAAAAATTAAAGACAGAAGCAGGTCTTTCTCTTGTGGAGTTTACAGCCTGGAACAGCAAATGCATTGTTATTATTATACAACATGATGATATGAAGAGAGAAGGACAAAGGTCAGGCAACTTTCTCAAATTTAGTTGGTGGTTGGCTATTGCAACAGAGGCTGGAAAGTTTTCCAGGATTAAGGAAGAGCCCATTCAAAGTATCAGAGGAAAAAGCATGATATATCAGTGAAAGTTAAAACAAACAGACAAATAAAAGACATTATAACTGGACCTACCATGATTCACATCTACATTAAATTTGGCCATCCCCTAGTATGGAATTACCTGCAATTATCAATCTCCTTTTTGTACTTTTGCTTTATGTTCTATGCTTTTTTTCCATCAATCTGAGCTTTTATGGATTCTTCTAGACCAAAGTCTTCACCGTGACTTCCAAAATGTCCATTCCAATGTTGGACTCCTTATGCCAAATCTTTACTGGAAACTCAAGATACTTCCTAACCCCAAGGAAAATATATCCCTCATCTAGGCTAGTCTCATCTCCAACAACTCTATTTGATGAAAGTTATTCATTATCCTGCACCCCATATATCTTAGAGATTGAACCCAGGGCAGCCTTTTCATTCCCCACTCCTGCCTGCTTCACAATGGATACAGCTCTGCTCCTTTGAGACTTGTACCATCTCTCTTTATTGCTGCCTCACCACTATTTCCTCATTTATTGAAGATTTTGTTACCTGGCTCACTTTCTCTCCATAGCAAGTCTTACTGTCACTACAGTGTGAATTCCACATTCAGATAGATGGCCTATCCAACTCGCTGACCTCTCAATGACCTCCTCAACTCTTGTAACCCTCCTCACTGCTCCATTTCGCCCACACATTCCCAAGGCCAACCAATGAACTTGCCATCAACTGGGTTTGCTCCAGACGTCTTACTTTCTCACAACAATCTGCAAATCCTCCAGCCTCTTTACTCAGATGCTCCTCTAAAACACTTTTGCTCCATAAGAACCTGCCCTAATCTACTTTTGCTCAATATTGAATCCTTAAAGTCTAACACATAGTAAGTAGGCCTCAACAATGTTATGGAATGAATAAATAAATAAATGAGTGAATGAGTGACTTAATAGTAAAAATATAAATAAATAAGATAATGGTAAAGAGACAGTCAAAAGATCACATGAGTCAGGCAAGGTGATTCACACCTCTAATCCCAACAATATGGGAGGCCAAGGTGGAAGGATTGCTTGAACCCAAGAGTTTGAAACCAGCCTGGGCAACATAGAAAGACCCCCTCTCTACAAAAAAAATCAAAAATTAGCTGGGCATGGTGGTGCACACCTGTAATCCTAACTACTCAGGAGGCTGAGGTGGGAGAATTGCTTGGGCCTGGAAGGTCGAGGCTGCAGTGAGCAGTGATCACAACACTGCACTCTAGCCTGTGCAACAGAGTAAGACCCTGTCTCAAGCAAAACAAAAGGCCATATGGTCAGAGACTAAGCAAGATACTAGGCAAGGAAGGGATTGGTTGACTGGGAAGGCAATTATGAAAATAGAATGGAAAGCATTTTACCAACTAACTAAATGTGGACAGCAAACAAAGAGAGGATGACTCAGGCCACTTGAGCCTGGATAACTGCAAGAAGTGTGCTAATATCAAGAGCAAAGAGGAGTATTAAAGAAGAACATGTCCAATGAGGAGCTTCTATCTTACAGGTGTTGGGAGAACAGTCAGATCAAGATGACCAAAGGACAGTCTGAACATAGGATGATGGCTGAAGAAGCAGTCAGGGCTGAAGACTTGGACATCATCCGCACAGAGTAAAAAGGAAAGCAGTAAGATCCATTCATTCAAAACATTCAGTTAATAACTATTAACTGAGTACATGCCAAATGTCAAACACTGTTTTAGGCAAAGACAAAGGATATGTAATATAATATTAGATAGAGAGAAGTACTGTAAAAATGAAGTCGATAATGGTGTTGAATATAGACCCCAAAATCCTCTACAAAATATTAGCAAATCAAATCTACCAGCACACCAAAAAGATAATACATCACAATCAGGTGGGTCTTATTCCAGGGATGCAAGGGTGGTTCAACATCCACAAATCACTAAATACATAAACAAACAGAATTAAAAACAAAAACCATGTGATCATCTCACAGATGCAGAAAAAGCATTTGACAAAACCCTAAATCCCTTCATGGTAAAAGCCCTCAACAAACTAGGCATCAAAGGAACATACCTCAAAATAACAAAAGCCATATGCAACAGATCCACAGGTAACATCATACTGAATGGGGGAAAGTTGAAAGCATTCGCACTAAGAACTGGAACAAGATAAGGATGCCCACTCACCACTCCTATTCAACATAGTACTGAAAGTCCTAGCCAGAGCAATCAGTGAAGATTAAAAAATGAAAAGCATCCAAATTAGAAAAGAAGTGAAATTACGTCTGTTTGCTGATCACATAATCTTATACCTAGAAAACTCTAAAGACTCCTAGACTTGATAAGCAACTTCAGTGAAGTTTCAAGATTTCAGAATATGAAATCAATGTACAAAAATCAGTAGCATTTCTATTCATCAATAACATTAAAGCTGAGAACCAAATGAAGAATGCAATCTCATTTACAACAGCCATTCAACAGAAAAACAAATACTGAATGTTCTGACTTATAAGTGGGAGCTAAATAATGAGAACCAATGGGGACAAAGAGAGGAACAACAGACACTAGGGCCTACTTGAGGGAGGAGGGAGTGAGCAGGGAGAGGATTAGGAAAAAAAACTATCAGATACTATGTTTAGTACCTAGGTGACAAAATAATCTGTATACCAAAACCCTGTGACACAAATTTGCTTATACAAACCTGCACATGTACCTCTGAACCTAAAATAAAAGTCAAAAAAAAGGAAAAAAATAGCCATACAAAAAGAGTAAAATACCTAAGAATATATTTAACCAAGGAGGTGAAATATTTCTACAAGAAGAATTACCAAACACTGATGAAAGAAATTATAGATGACATAAACAAATCAAAAATCATCCTGTGCTCGTGGATTAGAAGAATCAATATTGTTAAAATGCCCATAATGCCCAGAGCAATATGCAGATTCAATGTAATTTCTATCTAACTACCAATGTTGTTTTTCACAGAATTAGAAAAAAAATCCTGAAATTAATATTGAACCAAAAAAGAGCCCTATAGCCAAAGTAATCCTAAACAAAAAGAACAAAACTAGAGGCATCACATTACCTGACTTCAAATTATACAACAAGGCGAGCATGGTACTGGTAAAAAAAAAAAAAAAAAAAAAAAAAAAAAAGAAAGACACATAGATCAATGAAATAGAATGGAGAATCCAGAAATTAAGCCACATACTCCCAGCCAACTGATCTTCAACAAAGTCAACAAAAATATACAATGGAGAGAGGATACTCTATTTAATAAATGCTCTTTCCAGGACTGTTATTAAATAAATAAATATTTAGTAATAGTCCTGGGAAAATTGGATAGCCATATGCAGAAAAATGAAATTAGACCCTTTGTATCTCTTACAATATACAAAAATCAACTCAAGATGGGTTAAATACTTAAATGTAAGACCTGAAACTATAAAAATTCTAGAAGCAAACTTAGGAAAAGCTCTTCTAAACCTTGATCTAGGCAAAGAATTTATGACTAAGAACTCAAAAGCAAATGTAAAAATCCAAAAATAGATAAATGGGACTTAAACAAAATACCTCCTGCAGAGCAAAAGAAATAACTAGTGGAGTAAACAAGAAAACCAATAGAAAGGGAGAAAATATTTGTAAATTTTACATCTGACAAAGGACTAACATCCAGATTCTAGAAATAACTCAAACAACTCAACAAGAAGAAAAAAAAGTGGGCACATTAAAATGTGGACAAAGGATATGAACAGATAGTTCTCCAAAGATATACAAATGGCCAACAAACATATGAAAAAAATGTTCATCATCACTAATCATCAGAGAAATGTGAACGAAAACCAAAATGAGATCCCATTTCTGACCAGTCAGAATGGCTATTACTAAAAAGTCAAAAAAGAGCAGATGTTGGCAAAGATGAAGAGAAAAGAGAACGCTTACACACTGTTTGTGGGAATGTAAATTAGCACAACTTCTACAGAAAACAATATAGAAATATTGCAGAGAACTAAAAACAGTACTACCATTTGACCCAGCAAACCCACTACTGGATATCTACCCAAAGGAAAAAAATTGTTATACCCAAAAAAGACACCTGCAATCCTATGTTTATCATAGCACTACTGAAAAAAGTCATGGAATAAACCAAAGCGTTCATCAATGGATGACTGAATAAAGAAAATGTGGTGTATATACACTATAGAATACTATTCTGCTATAAAAAAAGAGTGAAATCATGTCATCTGCAGCAACGTGGAGGGAGCTGGAGGCCATTATCTTAAATGAAATAACTCAAAAACAGAAAATCAAACACTGCATGTTCTCACTTGCAAGTGGGAACTAAACAATAGGTGTACATGAACATACTGAGGGGAATAATAGACACTGAGGACTACAAAATGTGGGGAGGGTGGTGGCGAGGGTTGAAAAATTACCTACTGGGTATATGTTCACTATTCGGGTGTTAGGTACACTAGAAACCCAAACCTCACCATTACACAACATATCCAGGTAACAAACCTGTACACGTGCCCCCATAAAAGTAATTAAAAAATAAAGTAGGATAATGTGAATAGGACAGAAAATGAGGGGTGTTCTTTTAAATAATGCTATCAGGAGAAAGAGGCATTTAAGTAGATAACTAGATGACTCAAGGAAAGGAGTTATGACCAGAAAAAAAGAAATAACTGAATCATGATATCAAGAGATAGAGTAAGTACAGAGGCTAGCCAAAATTGGGAAATACATTTGGGATAAGAGAAGTAAAGTAAAGTAAAGGAGGCAGAGAAGGAATAGAGATCTGTCAGGGGAGAACATCATATCACAGATGCTCAGGGCAAGAGGATTTCAAAAAAGCAAAATGATCCATAGTGTCAAATTTTACACAAGGAAATGAAGACTGAGGCAACAGTCATTGTAATATATGAAGAGAACAGTTCTAATTGAGTGAAGAACAGAAGGCCTGTACTTAAGGAAGAAGCAAAACAGAAAGTAGAGTTTGGTTCATGATTTTGCTTCTGGACAGGGGAGACTTGATCCCTCTCCTCAGAGATTCCAAAATCTGGCATCTTGAGACATCATATCTATGTCTGATTTGTTCTTACATCCTCATAGCTCATAGCATAGAGTCTTGCTTATAAACCTGTAACATGAGTATATGAGGTGTGTTTGAAATTTTTTCTGTTAGTGGAAATGGCTTCACTATTTTCCTTTATTTTAAAAACAATACCTACACAGTAAACAATAAGATAAGACATAAAAGAAAAAATATTAAAATTATCCATAATCATACTATCCAGTGATTGCCATTATCAACATTTTTAGGTATGACTTTTTCATTTGTCTAGAAATATGCATACATAAATGTAAATGAATATATTTTTAAACTGCAATCTTACCAGACATATACTTTTAAGAAACATTGTTCAAATTAATAATTTTACTTACTTGTTTTTATTTATTATTTAAATTTATTGTATTCATTATAATATTACTGCATTAATTTGTTAATTTCATAAATATTATTTGAATAAATAATGGCCAAATTTTCACAAATGCATTCACTAGTTCCTGAAGACTTTCTCCTTTTTTACAGATGATATTGATATTCAAATTTTAAATGATTTAACTATATCATGTGTCTTTTTCCTAAGTTCATAATAAAAAGAATTTAATGAAATAACCCAACAATCATATTTTAAAGTAAATAAATTTCTTGTGTCTATTTAAAATTATGACTAGAATTCTGAATTTTTTTTCCTTTCTCTTCATTCAGTCACTTATACCAAAGCTGTTTAAATTATGTGGTATATGACTTTAAAGTACATTTTTCTTCTGGGGTCTGCAGCAAGAAAGAGAAAGCCATTTGTAATTTTTGTCACAAAGCCAAATCATGACCAAAATATTACAAGGGAGCTCTCAAAAGTAGCTCATACCATCTCTCAAAAGATTTTGCTTTTATAACCCTATTACAGTCAATTCACTCTTGGAATGCATAAGGAAACCTGGAAAATATATGAAGCATGGACTCTGTTTCCATTTATTTATCCTGGGCCATAAGGAAATTTCTCAAATAAAATTTCCTGTACTTTGACTCTTAACTCTTTCATCTCCCCTTTGCTATTGCAGAATCAGAAGCCAAAACTATATGGTCCTTGACGAATATTTTTAGGTTGAACCAAATGCAAGCAACGATAAATCATGATATATGTTTGGTATTTAAATGGCATTTGCAACTTAATATTTTCATGGAACTGCTTACTGCTTCATTAGATAAGCTCACTGTTTTCAAAGCCATCCATTGGTTCATAATATACAGAAATATTTAAAATAAGACCTTCAATTTTCTTCATACTTTGTATACTAAATGGTTTAAACTACTTAAAAAAAAACAATATTCATATGTTTTTTCCAAAGGTTTAAATTATCTTTAATTGATACAATTATTTCTTCTAGAGATAATAGCCAAGGCTTTTCTACTTTAAAATAATATGTACCTGCTGTGTTTAGCACAAAAGTTATAACTTTTTCTTTCAGATAGATAGTAATTATGTAATGGAGTTCCTGGGTAGGTAATTATGAAAAGTAAGTTAGACAATTATATAAGATCTTCTATGTCTAGAGATTAACAACAGCCAATTACCTTGGCCCAAATTATTCAATTATCATTATTAAAGAAATAATACTATTGTGTTTTCCTCTCAATTACATAAATGTAAGGGCAGCAGGCAATTCTTGTTCTGCAGAAAAGATGTAATAACAAACCTTTTGCATTTTTCTATTTTCTGTGAGAGTTAGTTGCTTATTATTCAATCACAGGTGCTTTTTAACAAAAAAAGCTTTAAAAGGAATATCTTAAAATTAAATATATAAAATATGAAAGGAAATATCCAAATTGTTGAGGCTGTGTGAAAACTGCTCAACAGAATTTTATTTGTCTCATCATTGCTGATTTTTTGCATGTTCCCTTGTGTTCCTTTGCAGTTCCCAATGGGTAAACTTCAAGAGATCATGGTCAGCAATTTCAAAGGCTAACTAGTTGTTTCAGTTTTAAATATCAAGCATCTGGGACAATTTTTCTCAATTCAAATCTTTAGTTTCCACCACAACTCCAGTAAAAATAAAGACCAAATGAGGAGAATAGGTACTGTCTTTCAAGACAGTGTGGATTTTTAATGAGTTTTTCAAAGACTTTGAGGTTGACACAGTAACTTTTTGGTAGTTAAGATTTTTACAAACCCAGAATTAGCAATGCAGGTAATTGACTGATTCAGTTATCTCTAACATCTCATAGTCAAACTTGATATTTTATTTAGCTTCTAATCAAAATAGAGTCAGCTAAATAAATAGGTTTATTTCTTTTTCTATTTCATTTGGTCCTGTTGAAAGCATGCAACTTATTGGCTAGTGTTTACCCTTAAGTAACATTTCTTTCTTTTCTAAGAAATATTCCTTGAAGCATTATATAAGCTTCTTTTTCCTTAGATATAGGTCTTCTGTGCTTTTTTGGTATTTTAGGAAGAAGTTTTAATGAGTGATGTCCATTCTGTTTTCTGAATTTTATACTAGGGATCAGATGCCATGATTGTCTTATGGGATAATACTTTCATAGTGAAACTTACATTTCACAGGCAATGAGTTCTGTTGTGTAGAGATGATCCCACTGCACATTACAGAATCTATTGCTGCAGTTTATAACTAGTGCTTCAAACAGTTCCCAGAGCCCATATACAAAATCATGAAATGAAAGACAGGCACTCTCATTTTGCAGGGCTTATCCTTTTAAATCATGTATTCCCCACTTCCCATCCCATATCTGGTCTCATCCCCTGCTGTTTCAGACTGCAGGAGAGCTCTGCTTGACTTTTGGTATATTTTTTCTAAATGATATTCTGTTGAGAGCAGTCATCTCCATCCATCCTCTCCCCCCAACATTTGTGAGAAATATTATGTACTATGTACTCTTTAAATGTCATTATGAGAATTGTTCAATGCTCAGAAGCCTACAGACAAAGATAATTTTTAAGCAATAAATTAAGGACTTCATTTTTTGTTTTATCTAAACAAATGGAAAGTACACATGGCTTCATTTAAGCATATTCCTGACCTATAAGCACTCCCAGGTGCCTGGAAGTGAAAAGGTAACTATGTGACTGGAACATTAGCATTCCTAGCACATACTCATACAGACAACATGTCAATCTTAGCACAAAAAAAAAGAGAAAGAAAGCATTCCATTGAAACTAAAGTTCAGGTATGCATTCCTTTTCTGTTGTGTTTGTGGATGTGGAGACCTACATTTATTTTAAGGAATCGGCTCTGAACATCTCCATTCCATTTTCCACAGGTGAATTCAAAGAAGGGATAAGTGGAAACATTTACACATTGTTTTCACACATTTCCTGTAGCTCTCTAGAACATTATAGTTGTCCCTGATACATTTTCAAATTTCAGAGGAAACACCCGTTTCTACTTATTTTCAAGGTCAGCAGTAAGGTTTTGTTTTTGAAATAATTTTTGGAGTGAAACTCAGGAATGGGGAAAAACAAAATGGCAGATTCCTAATTTTAGAGCACTAACTGTCCAAAACCCCAATTTTCAGAGTCTCATCATTGAGCCCATATGCAGAAAGCTCATGGTCTAAAGTCTAGTCCTAAATGGCCATTAGCCAAAATAGCGGGAAGAGGCTGTGCCAGATTCATACTCCAGCAAAGTTTACAGTTTTTTTTAAGTATTGAACTCAGGGAAAAAACTAGCAAGAGAAATAAGTCCAGTAATCTCTAATCTATGAGGCTTTTCATTGCCAGGATTTGAATTTTTCATGGATGTGTTGCAAAATTGTCACTTTATTTTCCTGGGTTCAGTTTATTTCCTTTGAAAAACCTAGTAAGCTCAACTTTCCTCTGCCTATTAGAAAACCAAAAACGGTCACTAGAACATTTTGACTAGCATGTATCACTAAATAAAAATAATAGCAGTTAATATTTATCGATATGTTCTAAACCCAACAACACTATGAGGTAGAAACTATCATTTTCTCCATTTTACAGATAAGGAAACTGACACACAGAAAATATCTGAGGTCACATGGCTGGGATATGAGCCATGGTCCCAGAGCGTTAGTCTTAACTACCACACAATACTGCTTGTGCTGAATCTTTTCTGTTTACCCCTCCAGCTTCATTTTCTAATAATCATTTCCATCTGGCTTTGCACCCTGGGATGCTGACTTTTTTTTTTTTTTTTTTGAGACGGAGTCTCTCTCTGTCGCCCAGGCTGGAGTGCAGTGGCACGATCTTGGCTCACTGCAACTTCTGCCTCCCAGCCTCAAGCGATTCTCTTGCCTCAGCCTCCTGAGTAGCTGGGACTACAGGCATGCGCCACCATGCCCAGCTAATTTTTGTATTTTAGTAGAGACAGGATTTTACCATGTTGATCAGGATGGTCTCGATCTCTTGACCTCATGATCCGCCCACCTTGGCCTCCCAAAGTGCTGGGATTACAGACGTGACCGCAGCCAGGGATGCTGACTTTTATGGAACACCTCAACAGGGCTCCTTGGTTCCCTAGCTTCCAGTTGGATTTGGGAAAATGAAAGGCACCAGGAAATACGAAGGGGTTGGGCACATATTCCCCTGGTTCTATTGTTATAGAGCTTCAGTTACTGATACCCTGCCTCTGTAAGAGAGAATTACAGAAGTAATTATTTATTGAAATGCTATTTATTGCTTAATTGTACATTTGAAAATAACTTAAAGAGTGTAATTGGGTTGTTTGTAACTCAAAGATACATGCTTGAGAGGATGGCTACCCCACTGTCCATAATGTGCTTATTTCATATTGCATGCCTGTATCAAAACATCTCATGAACCCCATAAATACATACACCTACTATGCACCCACAAAAATTTAAAAAATAAAAACAGAAATGTTTTTATTGTAATGGTAACATCTATTAGAATCGGACCAATACAACAGGCTGGTAAGTTTTTTTCGAGGGAAGGGAATGTTACAGGATATGAGTTGGCGGAGGTGGGAAAAAGGATAGGGAAGCTCAGGACAAGCGAATTATCTAAATAACAGTGATCTTTTGTGTTAGCTTCTTTGACACAGGGATATAGCATCTGTGAGAAACTTTGAGATTTCCAACTTGGACTTTTTCTTACACCAAAAGGAAGCATTAATTAAATCAGCTGACAACCCACCTAGCATATAAATAATGGAATAATACTGCAATAGTTTAGTTCCTTGTCTGTATTCAAAGGTGAATTAAGGACATCCTTGAGAGGTATTGTAAATTGTGTTTCCAAAATGTAATACCATACAGTGATTTATAGACCACTGATGCTTGGCCAAATAATTTCTTCACTTTGGTTTCCCTTTTATGTTAAATAAAGATGAAACAGTCCTAGATCTTCTACTTAATCATTGTTTTTTTTTAAAAAAAAAAAAAAACAGAACGCAGTAAAAACTTCACTTTAACTCAAGAGTGAGTTTATATAAAATATATCCCCCAGGTTAAGAAACTGATTAAATAGGTTAAGAGAGTAAAATATAACACTACACTTTCCTTTAGAAACAGTAGATGAAGAGTCTTGAGTAAAATGAAAGGACTCAGTGCATGTGTGGCTTCCTTGAAGTTCTTATGTCTATTAAATGTGAAGACACCAGTATAGCATCTGTTTTCCCTAGAGTTCGTAATGTTTACGTAATAGAATAATTTGGAACAGTGAGAAAAAAGAAATGACTAAATTACATGCCAAAAATTTTGCAAATCCAATTTTAACACTGTCACAATGCTTCCTATTAATAAAATCTTCTGTGGTGGTAGCTTTCTTTAAGGAATATATTGACTTGTACAGTTCCAGTAGGAGCTTCACAATATTTTTTTTTCACACACAGTGAAAAAAGAAAACTGTCCAGCCTCTTCCTGGATTCTTCTACTCAGATTTATTTCCAAGTAACAATCAGACATCTAATTTCTAGCAAACATGATGGCACAGTTTTCCCCACTTTAAAAGCATAATACCAACACTACCAGTGTTATAATAACACTAGTTAATATTTATTGGGCACTACTCTGTGCCAGACCTTGTGTGGAACATTTAAGTGCATTATCTCACTTAACCTCAGAGCAAATTTCTGAAAAGGATAATTCTATTATCTCCATTTTACAGACAGGGAAACTGGGACTCACAGATCCCATGTCACAAAGAAATATACAAGTTTTATCATTTAAGATGCATTTACTTTAAGGTAACTGAATACTCAACTCAAATTGGCTTGAACAAAAAGATAATTTCCTGAACTCTAGAGGTTTAGCAGTAGGATGGGTTTGATTGTTGACTTAATCCAAAATACTCCTAGCTAAAATTCCTTTGGTCTCATTAGCCCAAAGTAAGTGAAACATCCTTTCCTGCAACAATTGGTGAGGTGGTTAGAATTGCTATGATGGATAGATAAATAAAGCCTCAGCTCTATTGTTGGCATCAAACTCTAGTTTATAAAAATGGACAACTTTAGCAATGCTTCTCTCTAGTGCTATTCTGCAATAGCTAAATTTAAAGATTAGAATATCAGTTGATGATCCAGGAGAGAAACACTAACAACAAGCCAGTGGGTTAAGTTTCTCTAATATATCCATATTTATAAAATTTTCTGAATTTACATCAAATTTTTATAAAGTATTCTTCTTACAAATTATCTGGTAATTGTCAGAATTATTAAAAATTATTAGAAATATAAAAATTATGTATAATATCATGCTGTATTAGTGCTTTCTCATGCAGCTATAAAGAATTGCCGAAGACTGGGTAATTAATAAATGAAAGAGGCTTAATTGACTCACAGTTCTGCATGGTTGGGGAGGCCTCAGAAAACTTATAATCATGACGGAAGGGGGAGTGAACACATCCTTCTTCACACAGTGGCAGGAGAGAGAAGGGCTGAGTGAAGCAGGGAAAGGCCCCTTATAAAACCATCAGATCTTGTGAGAGCTCACTCACTATCATGAGAAAAGCATGGGGGAACTGCCCCCATAATCTAATTACCTCCGATTAGGTCCCTCCAATGACATGTGGGGATTATGGGAACTACAATGTAAAATGAGAACTGATTGGGGGGCAGTGGGGGGAGACACAGCGAAACAATATCACATGCCATTTAATAAACGCTCTAGGGCTTATAGTTTCTCTATAGGGCTTAGTTTCTCCATTTAAGGCACTATATTATTTCAGTTTTATGTAACTCAATTTTCCTTGGGTATGTGGATATAAATGGAGTCACATTCCCAGGACACACTTTTGTTGTTGTTGTTGTTGTTGTTTTTCTGGCTCTGAAACCCACTACTAATAAAGTCCTATGGTTCTCCTTAAATTTAACCCAATTTGTTTTGGAATTTTTTTTTTTTAGATGGAGTCTCACTCAGTTGCCCAGGCTGGAGTGCGGTGGTGTGGTCTCAGCTCACTGCAACCTCCACCTCCCGGGTTCAAGTGATTCTCCTGCCTCAGCCTCCCGAGTAGCTGGGACTATGGGTACGTGCCACCATGCCCAACTAATTTTTGTATTTTTAGTAGAGACGGGTTTTCACCATGTTGGCCAGGCTGGTCTCGAACTCCTGACCTTGTGATCCACCTGCTGCGGCCTCCCAAAGTGCTGTGATTACAGGCGTGAGCCACTGCGCTCAGCCTGTTTTGGGAATCTCTAAGTGGTGTCTGACTGCTCACAAACAGGTCCCATTGAGCAACTATTCTTTCAAAAGCTTAGGTGCCAGCCATGTGTCTTCTTGCCTCTTCTGTAATACTTCTCCTGGGAATGACCATGTCCACTAGCCATGGCATATTCAGCATACTGGCCCCAACACTCTATCTCTGTGCACTGCACACCACCACCACCTCCCACCCAGAAACTCATAAAACTCTAAGCAAGTGATATACAAGCTGATGTAAGAGAGAATGCTATTCTTCCTCACTTAAGTCCCACTTAATGCTGCTCACTGTACCCTAGAGTCTTACAGAATTCCAGGTTGAAGACAATTTCTATGAGCAGTTTTTCCTTCTTTAGGTTCAAGTACAGTGTATGAGATAGGACAAGGAACCCAGTGTCTGAGAGACTCCTGCACTGTTCCCCAATCCCTTTCTTCCCAGGTTCCCAAATTCTCGTGCAAACATTGAGGCAAATCAACTGTTGAGGGCTCCCTGTGTAGTCATCAGACCCTTCCCAGGAATTTCTGAGTCACTAGAGTGCACACAATATAAACCTAAGGCATAACCCTCTCTAAAACTGTTTCTTCCAAGAATACATTTTTAAGATTAATTTTATAAATCTATCTATTTCAATATGTTGATTAAAAAAATTTTTCGCTAGATTCTTTGCTCTAGAAATTTGTAATGTCCTATTAGTTCCACCTTGATATAATAAGAACTCTTTAGCTATAAGAGAACTACTGAACCATTTCATTTAAGACACAAAGGAGTCTGTCATGAAATTAATAGAACTTGTAGAGATACAGTGACCACATGAATCAAATATGAATTATGCCATGGCACACGTTTACCTATGTAACAAACCTGCATATCCTGCACATGTACCCCAGAACTTAAAAAAAAAAGGACTAAACAAAAAATAAAAATAAATTTTAAAAAACCCTTATCTTTGTATTGGTATGTTCCTAGAAACTTAAATGAGAGTCAAATACATAAACAGGTTTAAAAAAAGGTCATTATGAGTGAGGCCAAGGAAAGACAGCAAAATGGACAAAGAAGAAATTATGGTCCAGACGCGGTGGCTCATGCCTGTAATCCCAGCACTTTGGGAGGCCGAGGCGGGCGGATCACGAGGTCAGGAGATCGAGATCATCCCGGCTAACATGGTGAAACCCCGTCTCTACTAAAAATACAAAAAAAATTAGCCGGGCGTGGTGGTGGGCGCCTGTAGTCCCAGCTACTCGGGAGGCTGAGGCAGGAGAATGGCGTGAACCCAGGAGGCAGAGCTCGCAGTGAGCTGAGATTGTGCCACTGCACTCCAGCCTAGGTGACAGAGCGAGACTTCACCTCAAAAAAAAAAAAAAAAAAAAAAAAATTATGACAAACCTATCTAAAGGACTTTTTAAGAAAATACTAAATTTTCTTACAATATAATTTATAAATATTATCAGTTTTTTGATAACTACATAGTTACTAGTTAGTCATAGTTTTTTACTTTTAATCTTAGAAACCAAACCTCATCAGAATTTTGCTCAATAATTAACTTTTTCGCATTCTACTTCAGTAACCAGTTTAGCCTCATTTTAATAGCTATATGAAAGTTATTCATCAAAAACACAAATTGACCTTACTGAACAACTACAAAAATTTTTGATTCCAATAAAATTAAACAGTTAAATTCAATTAAATTTAGCAGTTTGTTGCTATAAGTAATACAATCTAAAAATTAACATTAAATAAATATACCTATATTTCTTCACATTATTCAATGCCTTTATTGAACTGTGGCCTTGGAGTTATACCTTTTGGTTAAAATTGTTTTTGAAATCAAATCTGTCATAATTAGGCTGGCCTAACTGATTTTGATAAGGCAGCTGGTAATAAAGTAGACTCCCTTTATTAAACTGACCTCATTAACTTGTTTTTTGTCCAGATGGAACACTTGACCAGAACTTGTAGAGGCAATTTCTTCATAGACTTTATATCCAATATGGGTCCTGTCATCACAATCTCCAGTCAGAACAAATACGACCTATGATTAAAAAAAAAAAAAGAAACAGTGTAAAGGGTTTCCAGAAATAAAAAAATATGTGTATTGACTACCTATTGTGTTACATTACTGGGCAAGTAGAATATGTGAATGTGTGTGTGTGTGTGTGTGTGTGTGTGTGTGTGTGTGTGTGTGTGTGTATGCTTATATAATTATTGACTTTATACTCTGTTTAATAGTGAACCCAGATAGGAACATGGTGATTTATATTTTAGAAGTGTAGGCTAAAAGCTGTAGAAGTAGAAGTGAGACCATGACTATGCTAGATCAGAGAATGGCCTCAATTCCTCACCCCTCCCTGTATCACTCAGTCAAAAGATTCTGAGTTCTTCTTATAAAAGAGGTAGAGCTTATTTTGTCATCTGTGAATCTAAGCTTGTCCATGTGACTTCCTTTGGCCAATAGCATGAGGCAAAAATGACATTCTACAAGTTCTGGGCTGAGACCCAAGAGGGCTTGTGTATTTCCATTTGCTCTCAAGTGTTTCTGCCATGGCCATGAGAAGGACATGCCTAAACCAACTTACTGGTCTCAAAAAGAGGGTAAGACAACTATGAGGCAAAGCCAGGTCTCCTGACAGTCAAGCTTAGATAAGCAAAACCCACACTATTCCCTAGACACACCAGTGAGCAAGCCTGGCCTAGATCAACTGAGCTCTGTGAACATGTGAGAAATAAATGCTTATTGTTTTAGACCATTGAGTGTTTGAAAAGTTTGTCATGCAGCAATAGCTGATACAATGAGTAACTCTGACTCAGGCGTGATTCCACATCGGAGATAACATTGGAATATAAGCCTTTTTTGGTTAGGCCTGTGTTTTGTCAGTTATAAGGAAAAGATGATAACAAGTACCTTAATTAATCCCCAATCATGTCTTCTCCATACTGAAAACCAAGACATTCATATGGTATGTATAAATATCACATATATGTTTAATATGTTTAAATCAGATGACATATACATATTGGAGAACATACATGTGGATAGATAGTTATAATTATTGTTATTGACCACACATGGAAGAGTCAAAGAGGACAGGCAATCTCTTACATACTGCATTTAGACAGAGACGTTTGGGGTTGATTCTTACTCACTTGTGACTGTTTCTGTTGGATAAGTTGCAGCACCTCATGGGTGAGCCGGTAATCTTTGGACCGAGCATCAGTGAAAACATAGATGAAAGAACCAGGAAGAGAAATTTCCAAGGCAATTTTTATAGCTCCAATACTCATTTCTGGGCAATCACCACCACCCTGTTGAGTGGAGAGAAAAATTCAATTACGTCATCATCAAAAACAATTGAATATTTTGGTTATAACAAGGTGCTTTGGGAGTTTTAGAACGAGCAAGTTTTCCTTTTTATTTTCTGTCAGTTTGACACTTTGTTCAAGAAGGGATGGAAGATATGTAAAGTGATATGAACTAGAAAAATGTGTACTTAAGGATAAGTTAGAAATTCACCCAAAACACACAAAATAATAGCTATATATTTATAAAATTAAATGTCTATTCACTCTGCCTTCTCTTACACGATGATCTCATACACCCCCTCTTCTCTTACTTTTTCTCATTCTTATTTGATGACCTTGCTTATTGTATTGAGAAGACAGAAGCAATCAGAAGAGAATGTTCATAAGCTCCCACCACAATACCTGTTAACCCATCTGCAGAAGCAGCCAGATGCCTGCCTTAATCGTGAAGCACTTGCTTGCACTCATGGCTATGGACCCATGGCTAGGGCTAACTACTCACCTGGGAACTAATCAAGGTGATCTCTCTACTCCATCACACTCTTTACTAAATCATTCCAGCATGGCATGTCTCCATACTCCTTCAAACTTCTGCTCACTTCATACCTGCCAGAGAAACTTTCCCTGACTATCTGACATAAAATGCATTCTGTTTGTCATTCTTTTCACTCTGACTCTGTTTCATTTTTCCTATTAACCTATAATCTCTGTGTTTTATTTTCTACTTGAATAGGCTCAATATGTTTTCCTAAACAAAAACTGTTCCCATCCTCAGAGCAATTCTTGTCACATTTATTTCCTTCATAATTATGTGGATTGGTACATGAAATTGTGAGTTTGCTGTATTTACACTTTTATACATTATATTTTAGATTCAGAATTATATCCTGTTTGTTTCCATGTCATCAGCATTGTTTAAAACCACAGGTTTGAATAATGGCATAACATTCTATTATGTCTATATTCCATACTTTAGTCAACCATTTCACTGCTGTTGAAATATTAGTGCTCTTTCAAATTTTACTTCTCCATTATAAATGGTAGATAGACAAACAGACAAACTGATAGCAATAACTATAGGGCCAAGGGAATGGACTTTTGATCAATATAATTTGAGCAATTAATACATAATTGCTGAACACCCTGCTGAGATTTGGGCATCCAACAACAAATAAGCTAAAATACCTTGTCCTGAAGGAGGTCAGGGCCTAGAATAAGCAATCACATAAAAAGCAGGGCAGCTTGGGATCATGTGGGCTTTATGGCAGCAGAGTGCAACAAGTAAGAGCTCTTTCTCAGAAAGAAAATAGTTATTCATGAAAGGAGTAAGGCTTTATCATTAAACTCTGGAAATCCTATTTGATTTTCCTATTGGGTCTTTCAGCAGGCTCCAACAGTCTCATATTCTGATACAGATACCGTGAACACCATAGATCTAATCAGGGTCATAAGAACCAAGTATTAGAATAGTTTACAATGTAGCTAGCCTGGATGAAGTGGAGAATCTTTTCTTGTACTGGATCCCGATCAAAACTTACAGCCTTTGAGCATTATTTGTTAAATAGGTTGAAACAGAGCATCAGCTGTTAAAAATTGACTCTAAAACTGAGAGACTCATTAAATATTAGGTCACTTTCTTAATTGCATGGGGCTAGAAGATGTAGTAACCTGATCTTCACTTTGGAAAATATACCAGCCATAGATTCCCCAAAATGTTATCGAGTTAGCAGTCCTTTCTCTTTTTGCAGAACTTATCTCCTACCTCCTATCACTTATATGCATTTTTGAGGCATTTAGTTTAACAAATAACACCGCTCTCAACAACTAGTATATTTGTATCTTTTGACCATACTTATCTCTCAAGTTCTAATTTTACATTTTCAATTTCTTGTTAGACCTCTATTCCTGGGTGTTCTATATGCCTCTCCAATTTAGTGCATTTAAAACAGAACTCATATTTTCTGCTGTGTCATCCCTATTTTTGTTAACCGTGCTATCTGCATAGATATTTGGTTTCAAAACCTGAGTCATTTTTGACTCCTCCTTCTTCTTTCATCTAATCAGTGGTCATTCATTCGACTTCCATAAATCTGTCCCTTCCCTTTCTCTTCACTTCCCACTAGTCACTTTTCTTATCACTAATTTTATTACATGTACAAACTCCTATCTGATTTTCTGCTTTTCCTTCCACTTAACTTTATTTTGCCTGCAGTAAAGAGGTATATACATCACGTTCCTACTTAAAATATTTCACTACTTGTGTTGGATCAAATAATCTTTCTATCTTTCTATCTCCTGTTGCTCCTTCTCCACAAATTGCTCCCTTTAAGCTGAGATTCTTTTTTTATAGAATTTTTAATATTATAAATGTTTAATATTGAAATAGGGAATTTTTAATATTCCCCTTGCTTCACACCTTAATGCCATAACAATTTTCATTCAAGTAGTCTTTCTACTGTTCTATCTCTACCATTAAACACTTCTCAACAAAATATGCATGTCTAAATTCTTCCATTATTGTATAAGCTCACTGATGGCAAGGAACTGTGCTTTGCTGAGTCCTTGAATCCTCAGTTCATAGCACAGTGCTGGCTTAATCACTGAGTAAATATTTTTCAGATTAAACTATTATCTCACAATGGTTGAGATAATATGCCTTCCCCTCTTTAAAGCTTTGTTTCCAGTCAAATGTGCTTACTCACTCTTCAGATGTATTCTACTATGCTTTACACTTTAGTGGTACTTAACATATTTCCTTTGCATAACAGTTATTTGGAGGGTTATCATGTGCAACAATGACCTTGAATGAAAATTTATGTAATAGGAAAGTGGGAAATAGACAGACATGTTAGTAATTTTGGTATATTGGATAGAAATAATCTTTACTTGCAGCCAATTTTGTATAATCTGTAATGGATATTCTGGGATGCTCAAAAAAATTTAAATTCCTATTGTATATTCAGAAGCTTAGAGAAAAACATTCCTCAACTGCGCATGACACTGTGCACCTGAGTGTGAACCACAATATAATTTATCCATTCTACAAGCATTTGTTGAATGGTCAAGTACACAATACAACTCCATGGTAGTATAATTCTAAGGAGAGATTAAATGTCTTTTACTAATTGTCATGTGTGTACCAACACACTAGGAGAAGTTTTCTGTCTATGGGCCAAACATGAGGACAGCTAAGAAATATCTGAAGGCACATATTAGGAATAGAAGGAATGATAAACCTTGTCCAGTTATTGAGTGAGAGATCCTCTCTGAGCCGTTTGACTTGGGTATAAATTTGCCCTAAGAGGACCTATAGATGCCTACTTCCCTAGGAATCCTGAAACATTACCCAGGAGTAGACTGTAGAGACCACTAGAATCCTTGAAAGGACTCCAGATGAATTAATCCCATTGGAATCTCCCAGGAACTTCAAGCTCAACCTAAAATTGAATGCAGCCCTAAAAAAATCATGTACTGAAATAGGGTCTCTAAGACTACAAACATTTTTCAGCCTATAAATTTGAATAAAGCAGTTTAACCACATATTAATAAAATCAAGATGGTCAACAACCTTTTCTGTAAGTATTAGAACCACCTTATTTTCCTGGAAAAAAAAAGCCACTTTGTGAAACATTGGAGCTTTATGTATATGAGGCTTAATATTGGTTAATAATCAAAGGAAAGAGTTTGGTGAGCTGACACAACTAAAACCCCACAGAGAATTTCACAAATATCCTTTTATTTCTTGGACTTTTATAATATCATATACTCTAAAATGAATTATTTGACTTTTATGAAAGAACTAACAAAAAGTCTCAAAGCAGCCAGGAAAATTGGAGAATGTCAAGTAAAAAGAGAACATTTTAAGCCAGGCATGGTAGCGCATGCCTGTTGTCCCAGCTACTTGGGGGGCTGAGGTGGGAGGATCCTTTGAAACCAGGAATTCCCTTCCAGCCTGGGCAACATAGCAAGCTATCTCTTAAAAAAATAAATAAATGTTTAAAAAAGAAACACTTTGACTCACACATGTCAGAAGCCAAGACTGGATGTGCTTATATATCCTTTAGGAGTGCTCTATGCAGCTTAATTATATTTTTCCTGCTATGGAAATCAGTGCAGTCTTTATAATAAAAATGACTATTCTGCCCCAAATTTCACATTTGCAATATAATCTGCAAACACAGATTATATTGTAATCATATTGATTATAAGTGTTCTCAGGAGTAAAATTCTTCAAAAAATAATACAGTATATTTAAATTATTACCTTTCTGCTTCTAGCTAACTGAAAATTAAAAGTAAATGTTAACTAATAATTCATATCTTAATAAAGCTATGTGTTTATCTCATTGTGGATAGAAGGTCCTGAAAAGAAAAATAAGCTTATTCTTTTTCCAAAAGAAGTTAACATACAGTATTATCTTGTTATAAAAGCTCTCTATCTGATATTTCAGTTCGGTTTTCTAATAATTTTAAATCACAAGTGGCCATTAAAATGATCTATGAGGCTGGGTGCAGTGGCTCACACCTGTCATCCCAGCACTTTGGGAGGCTGAGGCACACAGACTGCCTGAGCTCAGGAGTTCGCGACCAGGCTGGGCAACATGGTGCCCTGTCTCTACTAAAATAAAAAATTAAAAAAAAAATTAGCCAGGCATGGCAACATGTGCCTAGTCCCAGCTACTCAGGAGGCTGAGGCAGGAGAATTGCTTGAACCCAGGAGGCGGAGGTTGCAGTGAATCGAGATCGCACCACTACACTCTAGACTGGGTGACTCCCAGCGAGACTCCATTTCAAAATAATAATAATAATAATAAATAAAATGATCTATGGAAGAAATGCTTTACCTCTGCACTAACACAGTAGCCACTACCTGGCCTCATGTGGCTATTAAGCACTTGAAATGTGGCTAGTGAAAATGAGAAACTGAATTTTTAAGTTTTATTTTAATTAAAATTTAAATTAAAAAACTAAAGCAGTGCTAATTTTTATATTGATAACATATCAAAATATTTTGGATATATTCAGTTAAGTAAATAGATTATTGAAATTAATTTCAACTTCTTTTGAAATTACATACATAGTTCACATTATTTGTTGGACAGCACTACTTTAGAATGATACATTTGATTGACTTATGTAGACTTAATTTTAGACTGTTAATTGTAAGGTTGTTGCTTTGATTAAGTCTTTCATGAACTTTCTTTCCTGGCAGAAGTTATTAGAGGCAAAATTTAAATTGCTTTAATTTACTAAGGATCAAGAATCAAGGTACAACTTACTCCAAAAATCTACAAATTATTCCCTTTGCTTATACACACACACACACACACACACACACACACACAAAGTTTATAAACAAGGATTATATATATACACACACATATATCAAACTTTATCATATATGTATACATACACACACACACACACACACACACACACACACACACACACACATCTTTAACCCACTGGTTTCTTTATAGTGTTTCTCTCAAATCATCAACGGACTTTCTGATCTTTCAGTTTAGCTTTGGCAGAACAGGACTAGGCTGCAGAAGCATTGCTAAAATTGTTCATTTTTATAAATAAGCCTCACAAAGTCAGAGACTGTAGGTTGATTTGTGTCAGCTGATTTAAAAATTGGAAGTAATGGAAATGTGACTGAAACTATAAGAACAAACTCTTGTAAGTTTTATTTCCAAACTTAAGAAAAAAAAATTACTGCTGGCCAGGCATGGTGGCTCATATCTGTAATCTCAGCAGTTTGGAAGGCCAAAGAGGGCAGATCTCTTATGCCCAGGAGCTTAAGACCAGCCTGTGCAACAGAGGAAATCCCCGTCTCTAAAAAAAAAAAAAAAAAAAAAAAAAAAAAAAAAAAAAAAAAAAAAAATTAGCTGGGTGTGGTGGCATATAGGCATATAGCTGGCACGTGGTCCCAGCTACTCAGAAGGCTCTGGGTAAGTGGAGACTGCAGTGAACCATGATTATGCCACTGCACTCCAGCCTGGGCTACAGAGTAAGACTCCGTCTCAAAAAATAAATAAATAAATAAATAAAATAAATCCTTTAAACGTCTGCCGCAGTTTCATTTTGACCTGAATACCAAATAGAAGAAATGTAAAATCATAATCCATAAACATTTATGATGGAAGAACTTACAACTGAAGAACTTAAATCTATAGAAGGTCTTCTTGATTTAATCAGTACTTTTCTCGGTAATAAGACACTTTACCTGTGTTAATTCAATAAATGTCTACTCTGAGCCAAGTGCTGAGAGAGTATTGTCACAAACACTATGTTATTTATTCTTTACATCAATGGATAAGGTAAGTATCACTTTTAACATGTTTTATTGACGGAGTACTAACTTCTGAAAATCCTTTCTCAGGGTCACACAACTAGTAAGTGAAAAAGCAGAGATTTGAACTTAATTATGCCTGGCCTGAAAATTCATGCAAACTCCTGTGAGGCATTTTATTATCTTCTTGAACTTCTGTGACTATAAGCAAGTAGCTTTCAGAGACACTGTATAATCAGAGGAAGAAAATTCCATTCTTCTAGATACCTACAGAATATTGTTTATTCTTCTTTTGTGGTATTCAATAAGATGTATTATAATTTATATTTCCTCCTACTAGATCTCTGTTTTTTGAAGTACTTAGTAGGTGTTCCATTGTTGTTTGATGAATGAATGGATAAATGACTAGTGAGTACATGGGTGAAAGATTTTGCAAAGCAATCTTGACATATTCGAGGTACACTTAACATACTCAGCCTGAGCTTGACTTAAGCCTAGCCCATCCCATTTCGAGTAATACAATTCCAGAACTAAACCTTCTAAAAGTACAAGTGTATAAAGCTAACTCCCCCTATGTTTGATCTCTCCCCCACACCCCTCTCTGTCCTGGCATACAGTCAGGATGAATAATCAACATGATAAAACCAACATGGCTATGTAAATATATTTCCTAAAACCACAGAAACATGCACACACACACACACACACACACAAATGAAAGGTATAATGGAGATGAACTGTATAATGCATAGAATTAGACAGCTCCCTAAATACATTTTAGAAAGGGTCTGAGTTTGTTAACCTGTGCTTTTATTTGAACCCTGAAATATAGATAATTAGTATCAGTATGCACAGTCCTGCTCAATATTTTGATTGACATTTTATCTTTATAATTCTACTGATACCTACAATTTACTAAATTGCCAAAGACCTTTCAGATAGAAAAACGTGTACTAAGAAAAACAGAAGCATGTGAGCTTTCACAGTAAATGTTGCTCCTGGAATAAAAAATATTTTTAAAAAACTGTAACTTCAGAGTTACGGTGATAATTATGTTTACAAAATGAATTCCTGGAAAACAAGATTAAATAAGAATGAATAGAAATCTTATCATTCAAGGGAGTAGTAAAACACAGATTATCTTGCTGTCTTTTCTAAATACAAGACAGTGTAGGAACGGCACTGGAATAAACTGAAACTTTAAACTGTGAGAGGAGTTGGAAAAAAAATGAAGTCCCTGTTTGAATCCTAATGGGAAAATCTACATCAAATGATGGACCAGAGAGACCCAAGAATGTTAATCTCAGAGCAAGCATGCTCCCATGCCTTATCATTTATCTTCTAGTCAACCTATTTCAATTCTTCTATTCTCGTCTTTTCATTGAACTCGTTTTTATATCAGTTGTTTTCCAGATGCCTAAGTCTAAGCAATAAAAATTGAAACTTTTTTATAGACTCATGACTAAGTTCAAAATAATTCTTATTGGCATTACAATATTTACCCTTATTCTAACATGAGTATAACCTACTAGAGTTTGCGCTTAGTTTCAAAGTCAGACTACATCCTTTTCACAGGGAACACCCATGTGTGAAATGTCTTATTTGTGTAATCTGTCCCTTACCTGTAAAATTTAGGTATGCAACTCAGTTTCAAGCTGAACAAAAAAAAATTTCCTTTTTTTTTTTTTTTTGAGACAGGGTCTAGCTCTGTCGCCCAGGCTGGAGTGCAGTGGCGCGATCTCACTCACCGCAACTCCACCTCTGGTGCTCAAGAGATTCTCCTGCCTCAGCCTCCCGAGTAGCTGGGATTACAGGTGCCCGCCACCATGCCTGGCTAATTTTTGTATTTTTTAGTAGAGACAGCGTTTCACCAGGTTGGCCAGGCTGGTCTCAAACTCGTGAACTCAGATGATCCACCCACCTCAACCTCCCAAAGTGCTGGGATTACAGGCGTGAGCCACCACGCCTAGTCTAAAGCTGAACAAAATTTTACAACTCTCAGCTCTCTTTCTTAAAATACAGTTGTGCAATTCTTTTACCAAGAAAACAGGATGTACATGTGAAAACCATTAAATTACATTGAATCAAATTTAAAGTTGCATCGAAGCAAATATAAAACAAATTAGAATAATTACAGAGTTCGTCAGTGACATGTGCTGGCTTTTATTACTTGTAGAATATATTGCAGGGATGTACTGAGAGACAATCAGAATATTGCAGAGCCCAAACCTCAAATCTCCAAAATCTAAATAAAAGATGTTACATCCCAGACAGTCAAACTATGCTGCTCTTTGCTACACATTCACTGATGACCAAACAAGCTCAAAGAAGGTGAAATCCAAATTAAAGCATCAAAGAACTGCTGACCACAATTCCAGGCACAGTAAAGGTAACAATTACAACAATGTCCATGCTTTCAGATTATCACCTGTCACTGGTAAGGATTTAACTCATCGGCAACTGATCTTTCAACTCGTTGGACCTTCTTTCAAGGGAGCTAGTAGAGCTTAGGTGGGTCTTCAGGGGACATGTTTTGTTGGGTCTTTGGAGAAGGTTCAGTTTGCTTCAAATAAAATATTTATAAAAACTGCACTATGTACCAGGCACTCAATATCTTGATTAGCAAATTAGAAAATGTTGTGCCTAATACATTAAAAAAAATCAAAAGTTTCATAATTCACATGAGTTATAATGGACAGTAAGTGGTCCTTTGAAGAGGGAAATAGGATGGAGACAACCAAGAATAAAAAGAAGAAGCAGGCAGGGTTAACCGTAGGCAAAAATGGGAAACTAACAAATTATATCTCAGTATTCTCAGTCACCCTTCAGTAACCATCCTCTTCTCAGCTTCTTAGAGAATTCTTTCTTACCCTCTTCAAGGATTCGGTATCTTTTTATTGTGACCTTCAAAATTAAGACACTGCCATTGCCCTGGTTGGAATGGATTCCTGGTCCCACCTAACAAGTGGTTCCCTTGTTTGCTTAGGGAGCAAGAGCCAGAGGGGGCAGGGACAGGGTCTAAGAAGGTCTTACTAGCCAATCATCATTTGCTTATTCGAGGAGGAAGCATTCACCATACCTATACTTGCTCTGAGCAGACCTTCTTGCTCCCAGTTCTTCCTCTCTTATGATCCTTCTCTGTTTTTCCTCTCTGCTAGTCAAGACTCTACCTAGCCATAGAAATTTCTCTCTTCCTTCTGCTCCAACACTCACATATGGATTCTGCATGCCGTCTAGCACATTTGGTATTATCTTTGTTATTAGCTAGTTAATGAAGATTGGAATGCTGTGATTATTTAATGTGGTAAAAATATATTTATACTGCTTGTGTAATTTCCTCTCTTGGCAAAATGGAAAAATGCATTTTTACTAATAAAATCATTATGATTTACAAAGACATCACATTATAAGAAAGTTTGAGGTACGCAAATTTTACATTGTTTTTAGTAGTCATTTAAAAAATGATGAAATAAGATCTTAAAGGCAATGACTACATATATGATAGAGCAAATAAATCAGGATTTTAAAAAATCACCATGAATATAAAAGGATAGAGACCTAGTTTAAACATTTATGTAAGGAAACCTGAGGGACTTAGCTGATGACAGAATCAGTATTCAATAATGTAATATGCCTGCCAAAGAAAGCTGATATCAGCCTCCAGCATTAAAAGAAGCTCCCCAGACATTGCTCCATAGGAGTCCCCCAGGTATCATCTGGTGACAAAATCCAGTGCTATCAAATCTTTAACTAGTGTTACTCAGGTCTGGGGTACTGACAGGTTGCTGGAAGGGATTCCAACATCTGACGGGGTAACTGGACAAGTGATATTCAAAATCAATTCCAATACTAGGACTCCACAATTCTCCTGAATTTTTTTTTAAGGTCTAGGAATAAAAAAAGATGCTTTCGGAGAACTAACTGCTCCTACCCAGTTTGGATAGAGAAAAAATTCTAATTTTCCTTTATGTCCATTTCACTGAAAATGAGTTTGTTTTTTAGCTGCAGCTGCTAGCAACTCTGAAAAAATGAGATTTATAGTTTTCTCTAGGAATCCTGTCTGTAGATCAAGGACAATTCTCCCAAGGAAACTGTTTTGATCTCCATCCTTACCATCACCTAAAAACTAACAAAATCAGATTTAGTACTTATTGTGGGGAATAGAACAATCTGTTGGTTGCCTAAGCAGCACATATGGATTGAATCCAGGCATCATAGTTTAGTGTATTCTTTCTCTTAAATGTTATTTGGCCACAGGAATCTGCAATATTTGCCACGCAATGACTCATGTATTTACCCTTAAGGATATTCCCATAGATGCACACTTTTAAAAGAAATTCAAGAAATTTCCCATTATAATATCCACCCCACTCTAATCACCTGTATATTCCATTTTGAAAAAGTAATCCAACAGTCAAAATAGCCTTCAATATTCTTTGTCCTTTGAAGTTTACACAAAAGATCATTACAATATCAACAACGTATTTGCTTCTGGATAGGGTACCTAAATGGATACCTAAAAAAGGGTCAAACATTCCCATTCCTGTCCTCCACTGTCTTGTCGCAGTCTCTATTCCTTGTTCTCTGGGGATGTAGGATGGTTTGTCCCTCAGAGAATTCTTTACTCTAGCAGAAACTCTAATAGAAAACTCGAACTGCAAACTAAAGTTTTAATAGATGCTTCATTCAGGCCCAAAGGAATTTCAACACTAAACATAAAAATCAAAACACTACCTATGAATGTACCTACAGTAGATATAGTACCTTTCAATATCTTAAACATATTTTGTTCTTGTTTCTCCCCAAAGTGTGCATGAGTTTAAATAAGCTTATCATACTTAGTACCAAGAACATTTGCTGAGGAAAGCCAGTGATTTTATTATTAACTTTGTCATTTGCTACTTGGTAATTTTTGGTGGGCCAGTTACTCAAAGTGATTGGAGATAGGAATGAAGTAAAAATATTTGAGAAATAAATTCATTTTGTTGAGGATGAGATCAGCCCTAGACATACATCTGTCTTTAATTCTTTACTTTCCTACTTTGAAGTAACATACAAATTATATAAATAAATATGTTAACTTGATTAGATCAATAAGGTTATTTAAACAGATATTTAGAAGGAAAGTAGCGAAGCAATAAAGGAAACTGGCTTTGGCATTAAATACCTTATTTTGAGACCAGCTTTGCTACTTGCTATTTTTGTGACCTGTGTAAGACATGTTACCTAATATCAAAAAGCTTGAGATTCCTCATTTATAAAAAGAAATAGTAATATTTATGTGAGTATAAATTGAGAAAATGATTTTAAAACACTTGCAAAACCTTTTGCAAGGCACATATTCCAAAACTGTTGCTCATTTACAACATAAATATTTGGGGATTATTTCCCTTAAAAGAACTTTGGAGTACTAGAGCTAGTAGTAGCAATAGATAACATTTATTGAGCCTGTACTTTGGCCACTGTTCTGCTTGAAGGTTTATGCATACTATGAGTTAAATGCCTTATCATACTTTCTTCCCTAAATTAAATACAAGCCAGTCCTCCTTTAAAGTGTGTGTGTGTGTGTGTGTGTGTGTGTGTGTGTGTGTGTGTGTGTGTAGGATATTTGTAAGCAAATGCATATTATGAAAACTTAAATGGAAATTAAAACTGCTTTTCTAAGTTGAATCATGTCTAATCATGTCCAAAAATGAAAATCAAACCTCTGATAGCTCTACATTATATCTATGTCCATGATGACATATAATGCCTTTTCTTTCCTTTTTTGGTTTATTTTTAAAATGTATTTGCTTTCTTCATTTGTCTAGCCATATATGTTTTTTTAAAATTCATATGGAAGAATTCTCTATATATCTAGAAATTAAAGTTACAGTTTTATACAATAGCATTTTTTTAAAAACTAGAAATTAGATAAAGTGTATACACCAAATTGGCATAGTAAATTATTCTTCTAAAATCATCATTATCTTGTTCTCCTCTTTTTAGCAGTCTTTGCCTATCTGAGGGTATTTCATATTCTCCTTAGACAGTTAATTCTATCAACTGTTCTTCTATAGAAAACATTCTTTTTCCCCTAACCTTAACCTGCCGAAGTTTAAACCCATTTATTCTCCTGGACCTCACCCTATCATCTTCATAACTCTATCATGTTGCTATGTGACAATGCTTTTCCAGATATTTTTAATCATATTCCTACTTTTTTAAAAAGTCAATTTTATTAAAAGACTTTACTAAGGAAACTTAAATTATATGTAAAGCTTTTGATTTGGGGGATCAACAATTTATACAAAAGTTGGCATTGTAATCTCATTATTGTAGAAATAACTTGGTGTTTTGAGGGGTTGTGTGTATGTCTGTGTGTTGGGGGGGGTGTGTGTTTACACTTTGAATGTTTGACTAATATACTTTCTGTTCTTTAAAACATTTGGATAAAAGGCTTGAAAGCATATCACTGCCAATACCATTTTCTAAAAATCAACAAGCTTTATAGTTTCTTATAAAGAATGTGTCCCAAAGCAAGGCTTTGCACTGCATATTTACGAGGATATTAATTTCCAAAGCTCTGTGTGATTTGAATACCATTTGTTGTCATTTGTCTTTCCTTCTTTTCCCCAGAGAGAAAGCACAGTTGTTTTCAAGTTACTTCTCTGTATTCCAGATGAAAGAGGATAAAGGAAAGTGAAATTAATGGTACAAATTTAATAAATTAAGTGTAATAATTTTTTGCTAATTTTTTCCTGGAAAATTTTAGATTGCTTTTTCTCACGTTAATTCCATATCTCTAGAAGAAAAATAGCCAAGCCTGCTCTAATGTTAATGGATGATTAATGCACTTCAAACTGAATTTACTTCTCATTGTTTTCAAAACCAATTTAAATATGAAAGGAATATTTTTAAAGGTTTTCTTTTTTTAAAGTTCAAGTTAGTTTAATAGGATAACAATACTTGCTTCTTTTGATATCAGTGATTTTGTGGGAGTTACTAAAAATGGCAGAAAGGGAACTGGAGAAGGGTTTGAAAATCATACATAAAACAAAATTTTATATCTCATACTAAAATTTTAAGAAATTTGTGAGATATCTCAAACTGATTAATGAAATAATAAAGTATTCTATAAGTAAACACTGAACAAAATATATCCTTTAGTTTAGTGTTAAGTGATGATGTAGACTAGACTTTTCATGTTTAACCTTTAAATTTTTTGTCACTGATTTAAGACAGAATAATTCACTAGAAACTTTGAAAGTAAAAACACTTCTGTGGTATTCCCAATGCCTGTAACAATGCTTAATGTTGAATGAAGGGAAAAAGTAAGTATTTGATTTTTTTCCCTTGCTGGTTGTTCTAATTAAGCATCCTTTTGGATCCTATGAAAGTGCAGAAAAGGGGAGAAAAAAAAAAGAAAATCCCATAAGATAAAGCCTGTCCAGGGGAAACCTACAGAGAAATAGACCCCAGCTTTTACTGCATGGGAGAAAGAAAGAAAAATTATTTTTCTGAACAAAGGTAAAATTATATAATCTTATAGAGTGTCTGTATCAGATTCAATTCCAGAGGGTGGAGGGAGGCCTCTGCAGAGGCAGTCATGGAGTATGAGTCAGGAATCAGGATCCTTCACCCTGGAGTCAAACAGAGCAAGGAGGATCAGGGCACTCCCTATAGATCCTTCAGAACAAAAGAAGGGGACAGGCAGACAATCAGGAAGCCTGTGCCAGGTCTCATTGACAAGGTAGGTATTTTCATTCTGGCCAGATTTTCAAGAATATAAGAGTGTATTGTCACGGAGGAAAAAAAAATGAATACAATAAATGCCTTCCTAACATTCTATCTGCTAGAAATTCCCATTACTTGGCCCTTCTGATTCTCTATAAGGCAATAAAAACTGATGGTTAGGTTTTTCGGGTATTTTCTGTACCATCAAGTAAAGTTTAAATAATATTTGATACAGTTTTACTGTTAAATGTACATTTTTAAAAGAAGCCACCTCAAATGGCACTCATTTATTCAACAGCTATTGAAAGTCTACTCTACTGCAGACACTGGTTTATCTTCCAGATGAAGCACAGGTTAATACGAGCTACAGGGCTCTTGTCCTCAGGAACTCAGTGCAATAAGGGTACATGAAAGCATTTAAACAACCAGAACAATGCAGTTTCTAATTTCCAAGATCCATGAATATAATATAAGTTTCTAAGGAAATTTTTTTTCAGAGAATTTGGACATCCAAAGTGGCAAAGAATTTTTGCTATATTGAGGCAGAGAAAAGCAAATAGTAAATAAGTAGCAAAATAATGACTGAAAAAATGCCGTGGTATAAGAGAAAGGAAATGGAAGACTGTTGGTGAAAAAAAATGTCAAAAAAAATCCAGTAACAGAGAAAAATAATCAAGAGATAATTATATAAATCTATTTAAATATTTATCAAATACAATTCAATTTAGTATATAATTTACAAATGGAGACATGGACAAAATAGAATCACCCTTGAATACACATTTGGAATGCCAAACTTCCAGTTTCATACCCTATGCCTCAATTATGCTCATTACTATGTGCAGATCCGAATTAAGTCATTTATCCAACAGTGAATCGATGACAGTATTATACTTCAAACTCTGATTTGGACTCTGTTAATCTGCATATTCTGGTATATTCATTCATTCATTCATTTATTAAAAAGTGAACATGTTCTATATGCCAGTCCTTTTACTGGGGTATTTAATAAGCTAAATTATACGCAGTCCTTCAATGTGAACTCCCAACTGCTTTATGACAGAGAAAGGTAGTGAGAAATGACCCAGCCAAGAAAATAGGGCAGGATTCTCTGAGGAAGTGGTATTATTTAAGATGAGACTTTGAATACAGGATTTTAAACTAGGTTAAGGGAGTGTGGAAATGAGGGCAGACTGAAAGACAGGAACTCTCTGTGCGAGAACAGCATGTGCAAAAATGCCCTGAGGAGATGGGTGGGGATACAGATATGGGGAAGCTCTATGCAAGGCCTCTGCAGCAGAGTACAGAGCCTAGGAGAAAGAGTGGCACTAGATGGGAATGAAAGGTAGGAAGGTCTTAGATCACTCAGAACCCAGAACCATAGGAAGAATTTGATGAGGTGTGGGTAAAGAGTCAAGTAGATATGGTACAAGGCAGAAACTTTCAGAGCTGTATTCTGAGATCCCTTTGTCTGCAGAGTAGAGAAGCTAGGCCTGGAAAATAGAAGCAAGAATAAATGCAAGAAAATCCCTTAGAAGATTTTCTGCATTTGTTTAGACTAAAGATATGGTAATTGGGACTCAGATGGTGTCAAAAGAAATGGAGAGGAGTCAATTGATTTAAAAGGTATTTAGAAAGTTACAAACAACACTTACTAACAGTTGGACTGACTATAAGGGGTAAAAGTGCAGGGTGTATTAAGGAAGTATCCAGATATTTGGCTGGGTAACCAGAATACTATAACATCATTCACAAAGGTAACAAGGAGGAGACAAAAGCCAAGGATTAAGGACCACATTTAGGGTACTGGAAAAAGAACATTCATGAATTTCATTTTAGAAGGCCATTGTGACATCCAAGGACTGAAAAGAGGGTCTGTTCCTCAGGAAAGAGGTCAAGGCTAAAGCATATTTACATGGTATGGATGATTTTACCTAAGGAGAGGATAGAAAATGAGAAAACAAAAAGGAGCCAGTTTCAAAACCTTGAGGAACACCAATACTCAATGGCCAAGTGGAAGGAAATGAAGTTTCCTAAGAAGTTGAGTAGGAAAAATGAGATTAAAAAATGAAACATGGATGAGGGAACAAAGTGTGTCAAGCAGGAGGGAGAGTCCAATGTTGTCAAAGACTACAGAGATGTCTATTCAGTATGATGAGGACTGGAGCATTTCCATTGCATTTAGCAAAATGGATATCACTGGTCACTAGCTAATGCTACTTTGATACAGTGGGAGGAATGGGAACTAGATTGAAATAGATTGAAGAGTGAATGGCAGAAATGGGAGTAAGGAAATGATAGCAGTGAACATAGACAATGCGGTTGGCATTGAGGGAATTGAGAGAATAGAAATTATTTGTAAGAGAACTTGAGAAAAATACTGAAATTTTTTGTTGTTTATTTTGTTTTGTTTTTTATGGTTTTGTTTGTTGGGATTTGTTTGTATGTTTTTGAGACTTGAACATACATATTTAAAAAACAATGAAAACTTTTTTTTTTGCTTTCTTTTGGAGACAGGGTCTCATCCTGTCACCCACACTGTAGTGTAGTAGTATCATAATAGCTCATTGTAGCCTCGAACTCCTGGGCTCAAGTGATCCTCCACCCTCACCTTTCCAAGTAGCTGGGACTACAGGCATGCACCACCATGCCTGGCTGAATTTTTTTTTCTCTTTTAGAGACAGGGTCTCACTATGCGCCCAGGCTGGTCTCAAACTCCTGGCCTCAAATGATCCTCCTGCCTTTGCCTCCCAAAGCAGCACTGGGATTACAGGCGTGAGCTACTGTGCCCAGCCTCAATAGGAACTCTTTAACAGTTGAGAGAAACAGTTTGATAGTGTTAAAATCCCAAGAAAGCCAAGGAATTGAGATCAAGTGAATAAGGATAGGATAGGTGCTGGATGGAAATGGATTATATGTTACATATGAGGAAGCAGAGGGCTTCATTTGTTTGTGACTGTGTGTGAAAATGAGGTCACTTGCTCTGAGTAGATCATCTGCTGAAATAACCAGTAGTAAAAGGGTGGTGAGATATAGGTTAAAAGAGAGTGAATAAGATTTGGAATTGTCATTGAGAAGAAAGGAAGATTTTATTGATCAAACAAACATAGTAACATCATGGGAGTATTAAGAGTCCATTTGAGTTAGGTGGCTATGAATTCACCAGAGACTCAAAGTGTCATGTTGTGAAATTTCAACCACATTTGGCCACTCGTGGATAAGCATGAATAATGCAGACAGTTGAGGTCATTCAGGAATGAGGTTATGCCTTTTGAACAGAAAGGCAATGGACAAAGGAGAAAAAGCAGTGTTCAAATGATAAAAAAAAAACTCTAAGCTAGATTAGAAGAAGTGAAAAATAAGAAATCTGATGGCCTGGGAGACAGTGTAGGGGTCAGTGGACTGGAGTGCTTGCTGAGGGTAAGGGAGTGGTTGTAGTGTAAAAAGTTGCACCAACCCGCTCAGTGCACAGGTAATTGTTGATTAAGATGTCTGAATTATCTAAGAGAGGAAACAGATGATAACAAGATCTAGGGGATGTTTGTGGAAATAGATGACTAAGAGAGAGTAAAGAAAAGGTCATTGAAGATAACTTGTAGGTCAAGGAACTGAAAAGGGACTATTCTGACTAGGTCATTCTCATAAATGTTGAAGTCACTCAGAATAATGGCAGTCCTGGGGAGGAAAGGCAGCCAATGAGGCAGGTACCGATCGCCAAAATGAATGATGGAAAGTGGCCAAAAAGTCTGAGTATAACAGAGGCAGAGACCATAGAAGGTAGTACAGTGAAACAGCCTCGGAAAAGCCAATTTTTTAAATGAATAAATTCAGCACCAGAAGAAGATGCATTGCAACTTTACCTCTAAGTTCTGTTTTCAGAATAACATTTAAACCAATGTGATTCATCTTCTCTAATAACCAAGTTATATGTACAGTCAAACATTTCATATGGCTGACTTATAGCAGCATAGAATATCAAAATTACCTTAGTTATGCCATTAATTTTATGGGAAAAGAATTATTAACCGTTCCTTATATTTCTAAGCAAAAAGACTTATGTAGAGCAGGGGTCAGCAAACTTTTTCCTTAAAGGGACCAATCTGCCACAACTACTCAACTCTGCCGTGATAGTGTAAACCAGCCATAGGTAGTAACTAACTGGTGATATTTCAAACCCCATCTGTCCTATTTCTGTATGTATTGTTCAATTCATTCCAGACTCAGGTTGAGGGCTGGGGGATGTGGCAATTATTGGGTCCCTTAAAAAGCCAACAACTATGTCTTTTAGATTTAAAAAATAAAGAAAATCAGCCAAAGGCTCATGATTTTCCATTCCCCCAAGAGAACACTGAAAGCAAGCACTCACCTGAACATACAGTTCTCTGAGTTCATATTGAAATTTCTTGGGATCTGTGGTAATTGTCACTGGGCCAATTTCTGTGAAGATAAAAATAACATAGGTCAATAAACAGTAATCAATGGCATTAAAGACTTTCTTGTGTTTATAGATGTCTTTTCACCTTGCAGTACATGGTTACTTATTAATAAGAAATAGTAAAATACCAAACACTCTTTCTCAATTTGTAGCTACCAGAGAATAACTTATAATTTACTGTAAAGTATGCATATCTAAAAGAGTGAATTTTTAACCATAAGAAATGCAAGGAGGAGTAAAATAGTCACAGGACAAAGAATCAGGAGAGCACAGTTCCAGTTCTTTCTTATTCTCGTCAGTAAATATTTATTAAGCACCACTTTGTTAGAATTTAGATGAATCACTTATTCGTCTATAATTCAGTCTGCCCAACTTTAAAGTGTAAATTTGTTTGCAACTTTTCTGTAAGTCTTAACTCATTCAAAATAAAAAGTTTGGTGCTAAACAAAATAGAAAAAAGTGAACATTCACTGCCTATCCCATAGGTTTTTAAGAATTTAGAGATGTGGCCAGATGCGGTGGCTCACGCCTGTAATCTCAGCACTTTGGGAGTCCAAGGCGGGCAGATCATTTGAGGTCAGGAGTTCGAGACCAGCCTGACCAACATGGTGAAACCCCGTCTCTACTAAAAGATACAAAAAAATTAGCCAGGCATGGTGGCACATGCCTGTAGTCCCAGCTACTCAGGAGGCTGAGACAGGAGAATTGCTTGAACCCAGGAGGTGGAGGTTGCAGTGAGCCGAGTTCATGCCACTGCACTACAGCCTGGGAGACAGCGAGACTCCATCTCAAAAAAAAAGAAAAGAAAGAAAAAGAATTTGGAGATGTATAGTTGCAAGGACATTAACAGTGCAGGAAATAGTCCCTATAACTTTTTTTCTCATGGCTGGGGTGGCTGAGCCTGGCTATCGCCATTCTCCTAAGCTGGCTTTGACCATAACTACCTTCAGGGCTGTGGCCATCCTCACAACCGCCCAGATGTACTACACAAAATCACTTCTTCCAACAGGAAAAGGTGGGGCCACTGCCTTCCCTGGAGAGCCAAGACTTAGATCATAAGTCAGGTGAATAAAAGGATCCCAGATATCATGGGTTAACTTGGAAATCTGTATATACATATATATTTGTATTTTTGGTTGGATCCAGCATGTCTATAGTAAATATTTCAATCCCCAGAGCTTCTTCTCTTTAAAAAATAAATCAACTCTTAAAATAGATAAACTAAAAGTGGCCATTTATGGGTATCAATTATTTCCCCAGAGAGAATCCATGTATTTAAGTAATGGTATTAAAATTCATCTGGGTACCATGTGCTTAGATATATCATCTTAAATTCTCATGGTGGATGAAAAGCTTCTTATCTTATGTAATGATGATATAGACTCATTCGAAACTATAACGTGCAACTACAATGCAAAATTATAAAGATACTTAACATTTAGCTTTTACAAAATGTTTTCTAGCTTTAAAGACATACTGCTCAAAAAGAGCTTATAACTCCAAAGAATAATAATTAATTAGCCAAACCTTCCATAACAAGCTACATATGGTACAAAAACAGACTGTAGTATTTTAAAAATAAATGAGACAAATTGGAAAGGAGGTACAATTTGTCTGCCATAACCCATGTACTTTTTCTTAGAAATAACAGGAAAAAATGCCTCAATCCTTCACTATAGATTAGACACTTTGCAGTTTGAAAAAGGAGTGGAGAAGCAATTGGAGAAACTGTGAAAATGCAAACATCTGCATTCCATACAAAGCAGAACCGTCATTAACCATGTCCCAAGTATATGGAAAATGGGAGAAGCCTACTCCCTCAAGACTAAACAAAGGCATACTTTGCAAAGGAATGCAAAACAGCAAAGAATATGCCAGGCAGTTACACCCTGACATATAAATTGTCAGTAGCATTGTCAAGCCAAGCTTCTATGTTCCCACATTGCATAATACTGAAATAATCCAAGAATTTAAAACTCAAGAAGTAGAAAGAAATACAAAGAATACTAGAAAAAAACAATTATATCATAATAAAGAGTGTAAACATGCAAGGACATTCCCTATAGTAATAAAAAATATCTCTGAATATATGCCTGCTCTTCAAGAGTGGGGATCAAGGGATGCTATTAAAATAAGAGGACCGATAAGCCTTCATTTCAATTAACCAGACACTCTCAAATATACACCTGTTTTCAACAAAGATAGGAAATCTTTCTTAAAGCTCATTAATAAACATTTTTGCAAGCCACAACTGGACAGCTGAGATAAATCTTTATCAGTTATGAGAAATACTCAGGAGAGGTAATAGCTTGCCCAGCTGCCCTATCCCTCCAGCTGTAAGCATCTTTTCCAATTCATTTTAATTGAATGATATGACTATTTGGCAAAATCAGCCCTCCTCCCTTTCAGAACTTGCTTCCATTCCAGTCTTTCTTTTCACATAACAGAGCCCTGTGCCAGCTGTGTCATTAGCAATTTCCTCTTTTCTTCCTTTTCACTCATGCTGGTTTCATCCCCTGCCAAGCCTTTGATGACATTCAGCAGGTACAACTTTGTCCTCTCTTCCTGCCTGAACATGGTCTCCAGTGCTTATAGAATTAAATGGGAACTCTCAAAGGTAATCCAGGCGCTCACTACAAACTTCAAACTTTGAAGCTATTGCACTTCCTTACCATTCCCATCACTGTCCCCCTTTTCTTTCTCCTGCCGACGTACCTGTCAGTCTATAAGGCCTGATTTAAACCTTATCTTTGTTAATGTTTTGCCTTTTCTCTAATTTGCTTTACTGTCGTCCTGATAACATTGTTATAACAGAAAGTGGGATGAATAAAGCTGCATATTTAACAAAATGCAGAGATCATTCCTACGTTATTCAGTTTATTTTATCTAGTTGTTTACAAAGAAAACTCACCCATAAAAAAGAAAATAACCATCAATCTCAAATATAAGTATAGAGCTAGAAAGGGCATTAAAGATTGTTTGGTTCAATCCCCTTATCCTACAGACAAGAAAACTTGAGGTCCAGAGACAATGAAATTGAAAAACTTTGGTAGTGAAGAAAGAGGTGAAGATAACTGCTAACGTATTTTATGCTGAGTGACCTATGCAGCTCGCTAACTTTCCCTGTTTTCCAATATCTCCATTCTGTGAAAGGAGAAGACTAACATCCTTCTCCTTTCCTCTGAACTATGGGCAGGATGAGCTTCTTTGGAGTCCAGAATTTTAATTTGATGCACACAGTACCCAGCATGCTTTGTTGTCACATGCCTAGATATTTTTAAAGTTTTTTTTTTTTTTAAGACAGGCTCTTGCTCTGTCACTCAGGCTGGAGTGCAGTGGCACTGTCATAGCTTACTGCGGCCTTGACCTCCCAAGGATCAAGTGATCCTCCTGCCTCGGCCTCCCAAGTAGCTGGGACCACAGGTATGAGCTACCATGCCCAGCCAATTTTTTTATTTTTTGTTGAGACAGGGTCTCATTATGTTGCCCAGGCTGCAGTGCAATGGCATGATCACAGCTCACTGCGGCCTCGACCTCCCAATGCTCAAGCAATCCTCCTGCCTCAGCCTCCCAAGTAGCTGCCACCACAGGTATAAGCCACCATGCCTGGCTAATTTTTTTCATATTTTTTGGAGACAGGGTCTCACTATGTTGCCCAGGCTGGCTGGGTGGATATTTTTTAATAGACTGAATATCCCTCTTGCCTTGTAAATACTATAATCAACCATACAAAGCAACTTCGCTAGAAAATTGCCTCTCAAATCTATTTAACAAAAATACGTTGAACACCTACTATTTGCAGTTGCCACTAGTAATATAAAGATGAATGAACATGGACCCTGTCCTCAAAGTCTCACCAGTCTAGTGAGATAAAAGTGTAGATACACAACTATAGTACTATGTAGTAAGGGCAGAAATAAAAGTGTGGAAAAGGTAGCGTAACAGCACTAATTGATACAGACTTTTTTTCCAGAAAGAACCAAGGGAGATTTCAAAAAGTATGTGAAAGTTCTGGATTTCAAATTGGTTAAAACAAAAGTTATTTATTCATACTGATTTCTTTTTAAGTTCTATATATCAAGTTCACAAGGTATTCACATCTTGTACCAAAAAGGTTATTACATATCACTACCTATATTTGCAAGAACTTTTATAATTCACAATACTCTAAAACACATGCTGATCCACTTGAAGCCTTATAACCACCTCATAGGGTAGGTAGGATAGACATAATTATATAGACAATAGAAGCTTAAGTGATTAGCCAAAGTGGCCCAGCCTCTTTAAGGGCTACCACAATACTAAGTGCCAGCAGCATGATAGCCAGCATCTACCATATGATACTATGATTGCCTGATTGCTTTAATCATACCTCACTTGACTGTCAGCACCTTGAGGGGATTAACTGCCTCAGTACACATTCAGATTTCCAGTAAGTGTTTGAATATAGGAGGAAGGAGGAGGAAAATAAAAAGAAAGAAGATTAAACCTAGGCCTTCAGATTCTTTATTTCTTGCTTTATCACTACATCACGGAGCCTCAATGCTATAGCTAAAGACCACGCTAAAGATCAGTGACGACACTGATTAATCAACGGAAACAATTTTCAGTTTCCTATGTAACCAAAATGGTTTATTCACTTTAATCAAGTAAAGTTGATACAGAAAACTGATACAATTTTTCATATATAACTTATTTTTTAAAAAACAGTAAGGCAACATGTATTATACAAAAATAAACAATTTTTTTGTGCTTCAGAAACCATTTTTTATTTTTAAAAAACTAATGTCTGAAACTCTAAGGAACTCTTTTCTCTTTTCAGTAATTTTATTATTTCCCATTTCCTAGTGATTTATCAGATGGGTTGGATTTATTTCCAGCATCTCAACCATTGTTCTCTTAATCTGACTTGCTGGGTTGTACTTAAGAAAATAATGGAAAAAAATTCACAATGTAATATTTTCTTTCACTGCTTCATTTGGCAAGATCAATATCCAGCCTCTCACTTCCTTTTTCCTTTCCACTTACAGATTTCTGCTACTTGTAGTTTTTCTTTACTCAAAGTGGTTCCTTGATAATGAGAGGAATATTTACTGCTGCCTTCTGGGGTCTAAACACTGCCTACACATAATTTAATAGCAATTTTCCCAATTTCTTTGTTCTTTTTAAAAATATATTGTTCTTAACTTTATATTGATAGTTATACATGAATAAATATATGAAAAGCTAAAACAAGAACCCCCTGAGCTGCATTATAAACTAATCAATATTTTCAAGGCATTATAGAAGAAGCTAAGAAATATATAAATCAGAGGCTCTACCACAGTTGAAAACTTAAAAAACAGCAAGCTATGGAAAGTTAAAAGAAAGCTAAACCAGCATCTGAGAAGAGCCAAGTAGTACAGATACATGAAGACAGTAAATTTTCTGTGTCCAAAGAGGATAGTGAGATCCATGAGCTGTAAGAAAATGCACCATGAAGGCATCCAGGGTATGAGTTGGGATATGAAGCGAACACCAAATTAATAGAGGGTGACAAAAGAACAAAGAAATCCTAGGCATTGGGAAGTGGCCTCCTCAAAATGCCATTCATGAGCTGAAAGTCAACATGTCCCTCCCACTTTCTAAAAATTCTACTCTTAGTCACTTAATATAAGACAAATCAATTATAATGTCCTTTATATGCAAAAATGTTAGTATAAATATACATATTCAAAGGATTGGGGATGTTTTCTGAATTAAAAAATTAATAAATTATGTTTTCTGCTTTAGGATACTGCAAAAAATCAGATTATTATATCTACTTTTACTGTTTTCAGTTTATCTACAATACATGCGTTCCATATTTCTCCATCCTTACTCATTTATAATGTTGCTGTCCAGCACCATTTTTAAATGATCTGCATCTAATCAACAAATGCAGAACTGTTTCCTGACTTTGAGCTGAGCTAATGTCAAGTATATTTCAGGACTCATTTAGTTGAGTACATTCCTATTCATATTAGAACAGGTAATTTTCAGGACCACTTAAAGGCCCTTATGATTGTTTTGACAATGAAGTGATGTATTTTGTGTATTTTATAAAATCAGTGATGAATTCATGCACAGCATATTATCTAATATGGCTTAAATAGCATTCTGTTCCACTTCCAAAGAGATTATCCACTTAACAATAAGGGGTATAACTTTAAATATATGCATTGAACAAAATTGCACATAGTATATGTATAATGCATGGATCATTTCACTTCATGTACTGCTGAATGAGATGTAGAAAAAATTGTTGACATAAATTCAGCAATGTTACACAGATATTTAGAACAAGAAGCAAAGAAGAACTCCTTAATAATGAACACAGGGCTTTGAGGTATATAGAGTAGGATGTTATTGCTTAGATGACTTTGGCCAGAGCAGCAGAAAGCCCTCTTGCAAAAAACAGTCATGGGATTTTTATGGCCAACAAAGTTCAGACTCTCAGCTTTACATGTAATCCTAAATGTAAGATGACATTTTTAACATTAAAATACATCTATGCACTGATAAGGCATAATCAGAGATACAAGAGAAGATACATTTTAAGTCATGCTATTTAATAAGATTTAATTAACAAGCTTTCCAACGTTCTCAAGGTACCCTGAAAGCAAACAAAAAGAAAATAAATACCATCTTCAAGAATATTTTTGAACTGAAATAATTCTTATTGGGATATGTGTTTTAAATTTTAGGATAAGAATACTGTAATTCATTTCAAAGTTTTAATTGCTCTTAGGCAATTCCTTAACATTAATATTTTTCAAAATAAATCTAGTCATTAGTTAGGGATAAAGAAAATAAAAATTATGAAGGAAGAGGTAAAATGTTGATGAAGAAGAGAAAAGTCTGCTTGCAAGTCCTTAGAAAGGAATCATTAAACATTGTTGAAATTTCCACATGTTGGGAGAATAGACCTAACTTCAGCTTTGATTGTTTCCACAACAACCAAACAAATGTATGCAGCACTTTGACTGTGTTTTCAGAGAAAACAAAACCATATTTATGAAGCAAACATTTTATTCACAAAATAGGGGAATCAGAGACACTGCTAAAAGTATGATAGATGTCTGTGTGTATATAATATGTGTATTCCCTAAATACTTGCTTCAATTCATTCAACAAACAGGCAGTATACATACTTAGCAGAGTTCAAATTGTCAGAAGTACAAGCAAACAAATACACTTAAAGAAAGGAATCTCAGCTACAAAAGTCAGAAATATCTGGGTGTGTCTTACAAATTTAAGAGCCAGATGCATGGATTTATGACAATGTCCTGCTCTCAACAGCTTTTCACCTTGGGGTCTAATGCTTTGCAGTCACTGTAGGGAAATATTTTTTTTCTTTTGGATTTGTGTTTTGTAAGTGAAGTTCAATGGGATGATTGACCTTGGCTCATGCATGTTCCCACCTCCCACCACCACAAGATTCTCTGCTACCTGCTCTCCCACTCCTAGATGCCCAGGCCCAACTCAGTAGCCCCATCTCTGCTCCTACAGGTTCCCCAATAGGAATCTGTATATGGGAACAAGAAAGGTTGAGACTGGGGGGTATAATGCCCAGCACCATCTTTGAGTGGGGCATGGAGGTGGCAAACCCCTCTCCAGGCTGGCAGCACCACAACACACTAGTAGAGGCCAGAGGCCAAGTCTCAGTGGGGCAAGCTTTACATGCACTTGCAACCCAGCTACCAAGCACACCTCAGCGCTGAGGCTTACAGATCCCTGGGGGTCGCCTGTCTGTCAAGAGTTGTGGTGGCTGGCCCATGGAAAGAGGGGATGTCTGCTTCAAATGGACCTGCCAAGAGCACAAAGCCTGGGGCTTGTGCTGGTGGGAAGGGGAATCTGGCAAACCAGGCTGCCTAGAGGTGAAGCACAACCTATATCGTGAGGAAGAACCTTCTGATGCCCACGTGGGTCTGTATTTGCCTAAGAAGTATCCAGATGCCCAGGGACCTCCCTCTCAGTCTCCATGCCTGGAGGATCTTCTCTTCTAGATGCCAGCTCTCTGAAGTCTGGCTTAATTTACTAGCAAGAGTTTTACTATCCCTCATTGTGTGCAATGCTAGTTTTAAAATGCAAATATCAGAGCATTTGACTGGTATGTAAATTCACTCAAATTACACAATTCCTGTTTCCTGTTTCCTGGCTGATCCCAGATGGTGCCTACAGCTAACCAGAAAAGACAAATACAAAGCAGATTAAGGAATATTAAAAGAGGAACCATTTACTGTATTATCCTAAAATAGTATGTTTGTTCCAGGTTTATCATGACATTGGGTTAAATAGTACTCTCTACTGAAAAATCTAAGAGTTTTTTTTCTTAATGAAGAGAGAAAAACCATGTTTATATAAAAGAATATATATCAGATCGATATAAAAATAACATTCTACTTTTCAAAGCAATATAAGAGATCACAAAGGAAAATACTGACAGAAATAAATATAGCAAAAATAAATAAAAATTAAAATCTGAAATACATAAATTTTTATGAACAATTAAAATAGATTAAAACCTATGATATCTGAAGAGATTGTTCAACTTCATAAGAAAAAAATAAAATACCAAACACTACATGAAAGGAAAACTCTAAAAAAAGATAGCAAAAAAACAACGGGAACAAAGCTCACATTTAGTCATAGTGAAAGAGATGCAAACTTCAGCAAATTTGAAGTATACTGTGTAAGAAAGAAAACTTTTTTGAAAGATTATTACTCAAACTAGTGTCATGATAAACCTGGAATATTTGTACTGTTGGTAAGATTGTGAATGGTTACAACATCTGTGAAATTTATTACAGTTACATGTATTACAAGTCTTAAACGTATTTTGTGATACATATATGTTCATCACAGCACTATTCACAATTGCCAAGACATGGAATCAACCTAAATGCCCATCAACAGTAGACTGGATAAAGAAAATGTGACACATATATATATATTTATATATATATTTTATATATACACACACACACACACACACACACACCATGGAATATACACCATAGAATACCATGCAGTCATAAAAAAGGACAAGATCATGTTTTTACAGCAACATGGATGGAGCTAGAGGCCATTAGCCTAAGCAAACTAACACAGGAACAGAAACCAAGTACTGAATGTTCTCACTTACAAGTGGGAGCTAAACATTGAATACATATGGACACCAAGAAGGTAAGAATAGACACCAGGTCTACTTGAAGGTGGAGGGTGGGAAGAGGGTGAGGTTTGAAAAACTACCTGTTGGGTACTATGCTTATCACCCGGGTGATGAAATAATCTGTACACCCACTACATGCCATTTACCTAAAAACAAACCTGCACATGTACCCCTGAACCTAAAATAAAGGTCTAAACAAAAGTACCTTATGATAAAGTCATTTCGCTCTTTGTTATAATTCACTGGAAATAAAAGGACACGAACATTTTTAGAATATCAATAAAGTCAAAATGGAGAAATGGTTAAAAACATATAATTCTCTAAATAATATTAGGAATCAACTAAATTATTGTTCCATGGAGAAAAATAAGCCAATGTTTATTATATAATAAATAAAAAGGCAAAACACAGAATTGTATATATAATTAATTGCAATTATTTGCAAAGACACATGTGCATAAGGACAAGTGCTGAAAGGTAACACCAGAGTAAAAATTAATGTTTGGAACAAATAGAATGAGTATTTTCTATTTTTCAAAATTTTCAACTTATTGTACTGTTTTATAATCTAAGAAAAAAAAGAGGAATTTCACCTGATCACATACAAGCTTCATGTTGTGTTCATGCATTTTGGCTGTGTGGTTATTAATTTGCTTATAATGGTCACTGGAAAAAGAGCACAGAAATATTTCTGAGCATTAGGCAAGATAACAAGGAAAGCATTAATTTAAGACATTATCTGTTAATGTTGTGAGGTGAAATATTTTAAGTATTTCGAGTCTAATCAAAACAGTCATTGTCAGGATATGGTATTCTTTTTCAATCCTCTCACTTCAAGCTTTCGTCTCTTTTAAGTGCACAAGTCTTAGCAATGTCATCTTCCTACTGTTAGTCTTTATTGAATATACAAAGAATTCCTTTTCATTGAGTGAAATGAAACACTGTTCAGACTTCTAACACTGAAATCTACCACAGCCCAATTTTGGTTCTTTTTTTCTGTATATTATTTATATTTTCTATATATACTGTTGCAATTATGTATGCCTATTTATGTACAAATGTCTGTCTTGCTTTTTTCTCTTCATAGAAGAAATATTTAAAATATGAAATATCCAATATAATTGTAAATACTGAAAATAATACTGGATCATCAGTGTAAATGCCCATTTTAAATTTAAATACTTCTAATATGAAGAAGTTCAGAGTCTTCACTTTAGTTGGTAACTAAAAGCATCCTAGATTTAGAAATTATCCTAGTCTCTGTAAGGTCAATGAAGTTAATTATTTTGTTCCAGTCTGAATCTTCTCCAAAGGCATTTCAGCCCAAGACAGAATACATACATCATGCTGATACTTGATAATAGGAAAGCATCCACATTTGAGCCATCCCACCCCCTCCCCTTACAAGTCACCAATGCACTGCGGCAATTGAAGAGAGAGGCATGTGTCTCTACACAAATACCAATGAGCTGTGGCACATATCCAAAACTTTCCAAAAACTACAGAAGAGAAACAAGAGACATTCTGTGCCATTCTCTGGTATCACTGTGATCAGTGCACCCATACCAACTGATAGCACACACAGGGTTTCAATACCTCTGGCTCCCAATTCCCATGCTTCTCCTCTTCACTCTGAAGCACATTCTTCTTAACTGATTATTATCAAGTCTTCCTTTAAAACCTGAATTCTAAAAGGCAGAGATTGTTTCTTTGTTGTATGATCTGTACTCAAACCAAAATGCAGTAATTGACCTGTGTTTTACAGATATCCATTCATAACAATTAGCAGACACTGAAAGGGAGATGAAAATAATACTGTCGTCAAGTTATGTTATCTGTCACTGTTTCCAACATAATCTAGAAAAATGCCCATCTCTACATTTTTATTTATATTTTTTCTATATAAGAGGCTATTTTCCCCATTTACTTATCACATCTTACTTCAAGATTCAACTTGGGTCTCAATTTGTTTTGGGAAAGCCTCCTGAATGTCTCACTCTTCTGAATTAGAGCTCACTCAACTGATTTATCTTAAGGATATGTCTTAGCTGTCTGTTCAGTATTTATCAAATGTGGCAAGCATCCTCTAAAACGGCCTGCAATTATCCCCACATCCTGGTATTCATACTCTTGTGTAATCCCCTCCTCTTGGCTATAGGCTGGACGTAATGCCCTGCTTCTAAAAAAAGAATAGAGCAAAGATGATGAGATGTCACTACCAAGATTAAGTTATAAAGAGACCATAGTTTCTGTCTTGCATTCTTGCATACCCTCTCTTGCTCTCTGATGAAAACCAGTCATGTGAACCAGCCATGTGAGCTACCCTGTTACCCTATGGAGACCCATATAACAAGAAACTGAGGGCAGCCAACATGTACCTGAGGCCCTCAGTCCAATAGCTCAAGAGGAACTCAATCCTGCCAACAACCATGTGAGTAGCTTGGAAGTGGATCCTTTTTCAGTCAAGTTTTGCAAGGACCACAAGGTCCAATCAGTATTTTAATTATAGACTTGTAAGAGACTCTGAGCCAGAGGACCCAGCTCAGTAGTGCTAGGGCTCCTGGCCCATAAAAACTGGCAAATAATAAATGTTTATTTTATTAAATAGCACTAAGTTTTGGAATACTTTTTTATGCAACAGTAGATAGCTACATTCACTTATACATTCTCCCAAACTAGATTATAAACTACTCCGATGATAGCAACTGTGACATTTTGAATCTCCAGAACTTAGACAGTGACCCTCACTGTTTAATGACAGTGGAGTTATAGAAAGAGACAATTTTGAACAATATACAGAAATCACTACTTTAAAATAGTCACTATAGCAATTTATAAAGTGCAGTCTCTGTGTTCAAAAATCTGTAGTTTAATTTGCAAAACAGAAAATATAAGTGGGTTTATGTATATGTGTGTATAATAAGAAATGCACAGATACATAAATAACCAACTTTAGAAGAGGCTAACATTTAAGTAATAATTAAGGAAATGAAAAATGTGATATCTGAAGAAATTGGAAAAGAGTATGGCTGTCAGGAAAAAACAATTAAGAAAAAGAAAATACTAAGTAATATAAAATCCTTAAAATATTATAATTATGGTACTTAATCCTAAAAAGTATGAGAGAAATAATAGACATTAATAGAACTTTTGAAGTCATTCATATATTGTCTCTAATGCTGCCTATGAATCTCATCATGGTATTTAATCATAAAAATCAAAGAGACAGATAAAAGAATGAAGAAAATTCAAAGCAATTGAAATTGAGTTCAAAACTCTGAAGAAGTTATCAATGAAGACTCTGCCAAAAAATCAACTAAAAAAATGTAAGATCTTCACTGGCAAACACACTACTTCTGACACTTTTTTATAATTTTTAAGTCCCTGCTAGCTAATCATGCCCTGTACTTGAAGTTGACTATTTAAAGCCTAATTACACAGTTCACATTGTATATAGCCCAGTTACTTGGTAAATTTATATGATGTCTTCTTAATAATGTAAATGTCTGCCCATCTATACAGTTTAGTATAAAAAAGCTGAATATGTTTGATAGAAGTGATAAGGAACACTATTTAGAAGGTATTTTTCTGGTGGAGGAAGAGAACAACCTGGAATAGAATCGAACATTATCAGATGCCTCGTATTTGACAGCACTGTGCTTGGCACAACTGTGGAAGAAAAAGACATAATCCTTTTCTCCAATAAATTCACAATCTTAGAGAGAAAATGAAGAATAAAACAAGTAAAGCAAAGAGACAAAATAACAAGTTGAAATAAATGCTACTATAGAAATAAGAAGGCTATTAAGACAGAAATAATGAGAAGAGGGGGTGCTTACTGTAACAATGGAAGATATCTATTGAATTTCTCTTGTATAAAATGAATGTCTACAGTCTCCATCCACTTTTACTGGGTTGTTGGTTATTTTGTGCCAATTTGTAGAAGCTCTTTATAAATTAAGTAAATTAGATTTTGTCTGTAATGTAAGTTGCAAAAACTTTCCTCCAGTTTGAAGTTTCTTATAGCAATTTTGGCCATGCAGAAATAGCTTTCTTTTAGGTAGTAAGTAAACTTTATTAATCTTTTTCTTGTGGTCCTGATTTTTATCACAGTTGAGAAAGCCTTCTTCCCTCTAAAGTTGTATAGAATTCTCTCATGATGTCTTCAAGTATATTTATGGTTTATGATGTACATTTACATTTATGATGCATTTGGAATTTATCCTAGTCTAAGGCATAAGGTATGGAACCTCTTTTTTTCCAGATGGCTACCTAGTTGGCTTCTCGTTATTTATGGAAAAACCCATTTTTTCCATTGACATTACAAACCACTATGATTCACATATGTATTCTATATACTAATCCACTAATCTTTACCTTCATGCTCAGAACCAAATTGTCTTAATAATTGAGGCTTAATAATATGTTTTAATATCTAGTAAAACTAGTCCCACATCATTACTCCCCTTTTGCTAAATTTTTCTGGCCATTCATGCTTATTATTTTTCCATATCAACTTTATTTTTTTATTTTTTGTTTTTTTGAGAGAGTTTCACTGTCTCCCAGGCTGGAGTGCAGTGGTGTGATCTCGGCTTACTGCAGCCTCTGCCTCCCGGGTTCAAGCGATTCTCCCACATCAGCTCCCCAAGTAGCTGGGAATACAAGCATGCGCCACCACGCCCAGCTAATTTTTGTATTTTTAGTAGAGAGGGGGTTTCACCATGTTGGCCAGGCTGGTCTCGAACTTCCGACCTCAAGAGATCCACCTGCCTCAGCCTCCCAAAGTGCTGGAATTATAGGCGTGAGCCACCACGCCCGGCCATTATCAACTTTAGATCAGCCAATCTATATCCAAAAATATCCTGCCTGTACTTTTGTGGATGTCACATTAAATTTATACAATCAATTAGGAGAAACTGACAAGATGTTGAGGCTTTCTATAGTGTATCATTCCAATTATTGTAATATTTTGGGGGAAATCTTAGAAGGTTTTTTATTTCTTTTAAGGTTTTATTTTTTTCCCGTATATGTTTGCACATTTCTTGGTAAACTTATGGCTAGTTATTTTATCTTTCTTGTAGATGTTTTGAATTGGGGTATTTCTTCTATTATACGTTCTGAATGGTTGTATTTTTGTATATATAAAAGCTATTGATTTTTAAATATTTTTTCATTCACTACTCTACTGAATTTTTTACTGTTTCTAAGACTTTTCAGCTTTTCAGATACACAATCATAGAAACTGTAAATGTTTTTCTACTTTTATATCTCTAATTTCTTTCTTTTATCTAATTGCATTGGCTAGTACTCCTGAACAATGCTTAATGTAATGATAGTGGAATTACTGTTTTGTTCCTAAAATTATCAAGTGCTTCTAGTGTTTCCCCGCTAAGGATGATACTGGATTTGAGATTGAAACAGATACATTTTATCAGGTTATGAAAATATATATCTATTCCCTGTTAATAGATTTGGGGTTTTTATTTAAATTAAATCAAGCCTTAACACTAATTTTGTTAAATGCCTTTTATATATATTAATATAATCATGTGTTCTTCCCTTAGATATGTTAATAATTTCCTTTGATTGACCTATCATCATGCCCCTGAAATAAACACCTTTAATCAGGATGTTTATTCTTTTAACATGTGCTAAATTGTTTGGCAACATTTTACGTAGGATTTTTATAATTATTTGCATGAACATGAATATGAAAGATCTAAAGTTTTCTTTGAAAATGTTATTAAATTTTGATGTCAATATCATGCTCACATCATTTACCTGTTCCCTGAAAGAGTTTAAATGTTATTAATGTTATCAAGTTTTTGAAGTTTTGGTTCAATTCCCTTATAAAATCATCAGGGCTTTGTGCTTTTGATGATAGTGGGGGCATAGATTTATGTTTTGTTTTTTTCAGTTAATATAGCCACTATTTTTTTTTTCTTTTGAATTGGAGTCTTGCTCTGTCACCCAGGCTGGAGTGCAGTGGCATGATCTCAGTTCGCTGCAACCTCCACCTCCCCAGCTCAATAGATCCTTCCACCTCAGCCTCCTCAGTAGCTCAGACTACAGGCACACACCACCACGCCTGGCTAATTTTTGTATTTTTTTGTAGAGACAGGGTCTTGCCATGTGACCCAGTGTGGTCTCGAACTCCTGGGCTCAAGTGATCTGCCCAGCCTCCCAAAGTGCTGGGGTTACACAAAACAGCATGGTAGTGGTACCAAAACAGACATATAGACCAATGGAGCAGAACAGAGATAACACCACACATCTACAACCATCTGCTCTTCTGCAAGCCTGACAAGAACAAGCAATGTGGAAAGGATCTCCTATTCAGTAAATGGTGCTGGGAAAACTGCCTAGCCATATGCAGAAAACTGAAATTGAACCCCTTCCTTACACCTTATACAAAAATTAACTCAAGATGGATTAAAAACTTCGATGTAAAACCCAAAACCATAAAAACCCTAGAAGAAAACCTAGGCAAAACCATTCAGGACATACGGCACGGGCAAAGCCTTCATGACAAAAACGCCAAAAGCAATTGCAACTAAAGCCAAAATTGACACATGATATCTAATTAAACTAAAGAGCTTCTGCAAAGCAAAAGAAACTATCATCAGAGTGAACAGGTAATCTACAGAATGAGAGAAAATTTTTGCAATCTACCCATCTGACAAAGGTCTAATATCCAGGATTTACAAGGAACTTAAACATATTTACAAGAAAAAAACAAACAACTCTATCAAAAAGTGGGCAAAGGATATGAATAGACACTTCTCCAAAGAAGACATTTATGCAGCCAAAAAATACATGAAAAAAAGCTCAACATCACTAATCATCAGATAAATGCAAATCAAAACCACAATGAGATACCATCTCACACCAGTCAGAATGGTGATTATTAAAAAGTCAGGAAACAATAGATTCTGGCAAGGCTGTGGAGAAATAGGAATGCTTTTACACTGTTGGTGGGAGTGTTCAATCACTGTGGAAGACAGTATGGTGATTCTTCAAGGATCTAGAACCAGAAATACCATTTGACCCAGCAATCCCATTACTGAGTAGATACCCAACGGATTATAAATCATTCTACTATACACATGCACATACATGTTTATTGCAGCACTATTTACAATAACAAATACATGGAATCAACCCAAATGCCCACCAATGATAGACTGGATAAAGAAAATGTGGCACATATACACCATGGAATACTATGCAGCCATAAAAAGGAATGAGATCATGTCCTTTGCAGGGACATGGATGAAGCTACAAGCCATCATCCTTAGCAAACTAACACAGGAATAGAAAACCAAACACCGAATTTTCTCATTCATAAGTGGGAGTTGAACATTGAGAACAAATGGACACAGAGGGGGGAATGACACACCCCACAGCCTGTTGGGGGGTAAGGGGTGAGGGGAGCGAACTTAGAGGACAGACAGGTCAATAGGTGCAGCAAACCACCATGGCGCATGTATACCATATAACAAACCTGCACGTTCTGTACACGTATCCCCCTTTTATTTTTTTTAGAAAAAAAAAATGAAACAAAGTACTGGGGTTACAGGTGTGAGCCACCATGCCCAGGCTTCAATTGTATTTTCTGTATGCTTTGGAGTCTTTTAGAAAATCATCTCTCTCAAGAAATTTAACCATCTTATTCAATTTTTCAAATTGTTCACCTTGAGTTTAGTAAACAAAATCTTTTATGACTAAATTTTCAGCATTTCAAGATAGTTTCCCTATGATCCTTTTTTACATGGTGTATTTGTGTACTGTACATTTTATTTTATTAACTAATAGTTTAGTTTCCCAAAGAAGAAGTACTTCTTTTTATCTCTAATTCATCTATTTCTGCTTTATTACTTCATTTTGCTTTGCATAGGTTAATTTTGTTGTTTTCTTCTTACTTCCTAATTCACTACTCAGAGTACTAAGGGTATACTTTTCTTCTGAGAGTTTTATCTATATCCCATAGATTCTGATATGTCATGTTTATATTACCTTTGTTTTCTAAATTTTAGAAAATTTAGGTTGGGTTTCCTGTTTGACATGAGTTTAAGAGAGATTTTTAAATTTGATGAAGTTTTTAAAAAATTTACCTCCCTTGTTATTAATTTCTAGTTTTATTTCATTGTGATGAGTGCACTTTTCCTTGTGGTGCTGTATAGGATTGACTCTTGTTAACACTCCATGGCTACTTGAAAAGAAGTATTGTGTTTTCAGGAAACAATGTTCTATACATCAGTTAGATGTGTATTAATTATATTAACCAGGTCTTCTATAGATGTAGATATTTCTGTCTTCTATCTGTCATCAACTATGGAAGAAAATTCAAGTCTCTTACTCTAATATGTTTCTATATCTTCTGTTATTGTTTTGTTCTATGAATGTTGATGTTGTTAGTACATAGATACATTTCACTGCTTTATTTTCACTGTGAATGTCTCAATCTTTATAAAGTGTTATTTTTGTTTTGTTTAACATCAAGACCATGACCCTCACTTATTTTAAATTTGCATTTAAAATACATGTATTTACTATGCTTCCACTTTCTTTCCCTGTTTTATCCATTTTTATAAGGCTTATTACTTTTATTATCAGTACAATTTGCATTACAGTCTGTTCTGTTACCCTAATCCCCATATTTTAGTCTTAGTCAAAGAATTGCATAAATCCAATGCTCATGGTTAGTATTTTTGTTGTATACTTTTTAGACACCTCTTGCTTAACTTTTCTTCTAAAAATTTCCTGATATTTCATGTAAACAATATTCCCTAAGTTGTGCGTGTTCAAAATTGTTTGCTATTGCCTCTGTATTTGAACAACATTTTTGCTGGTTATAAAATTCTTGAGTCACACTCAACACATAGATTTTGCTCCATTATTTTCTAGCATTCAGTGTGTTCTAAAGTAGTTCAAGATCACATTAATCTATTTCTCCTACAAGAGACATTCTTCTTGGCCACCCAAGGGAGTCTTTCATTATCTCTGAATTTTACTTGGATATGTTTTTATGTTTATGGCACTGGGGCAATTTCCATTGGATTTAGTATGCCTTTCAACATGTAAATTCAAGTCTTCCTTAACTTAGGGAAATTATCTTAATTTATATCTTTAAATATTTATTTTGTGACATAATTTTCATTTTTATTCGTGACTCCAAAAATGTGCATACTTGATTTCCTTTGCCTGTCTTCTATAGCTACCTACCATTTTCTGTCTAATCTTTTAAAACTCTTAAATTTCTCTTTCATTTTGCTCACTTTCCTCATATTCATCCTCTCTCAAGGTCTTTGCTATATTTCAGCAGTGTTTATTCTTTCTTGTGCTCCTGCCAACTTTTCCTTGATTTCTGTAGTGGTTTTATTTTTCCTGTCCATTTCTTTGAGACCACTGTTCACCTACCATCTCTTCTCTGAGTTCTTTTATTTTTTATTGGCATTCATCCTTCATAAACACACTTATTTCTTTAAAGTTTTGTTTTACTTTATTTTTAAATTTATAGCACAATGTTCAGTAACAATTTTCATCTCTTTCATGGCACACTACTTTGTTTTGTTTAGCTATTATTTTCTCCTGAGCTTTTGGTTTCCCTCTTCATTTCCTCATATTTTTCTTGCAATTTTTTTTCTTTTTTTTTTTTTTTTTGAGATGGAGTCTTGCTCTGTCGCCCAGGCTGGAGTGCAGTGGCATGATCTCGGCTCACTGCAAGCTCTGCCTCCCGGGTTCATGCCATTCTCCTGCCTCAGCCTCCCGAGTAGCTGGGACTACAGGCGCTACCACGCCCAGCCAATTTTTTTTATTTTTAGTAGAGACAAGGTTTCACTGTGTCAGCCAGGATGGTCTCGATCTTCTGACCTCGTGATCCGCCCACCTTGGCCTCCCAAGCAATTTTTTAAAAAAAGATCTTAGGCTAATCCTTTTTGGTATCATATAGTATTGAAACTGGTGAGTTTTTTCTGTACCAGCTATTTGTTGGAAGTTCATGTGGCGAAGGGAATGGAGACATATTCCAGGCTAAGGGCAATTTTTCCTGTGATGTAGGATTTTGATTGTGTATTTATTTCCTTTTTACACTTCCTCAATCAATGGACATGGTAGTTGAGATGGTTTTCTTAATGTAAACTATCCTTTCTCTACTGCAATGAAGACTGGCTGTTTGCTCAACCAATGAAGACTGGTCTATGTTTTCATGTGGTTGGCCCATCTTTTTTACTGCTCAGAACCAACTGGGTCTGAGAAAGTTGGTGCACCTAGTTTGTCCTGTTATAATAATGGAGCTCAGAAATTGCATCTCAGTGTGTATCCCTCATCTTCATAAATGGCTGTCTCGTAGCTGCACAGCTGTTGCACTGCCTCCACTGTTTTCCATCTCCTCATCCTAATCTACAACGTCTACTGCCTTGGGAAGACATTCCTCCTTTGGGAGGATCTGGAGTTTAGCAGTCTTTTAGCATCACCAAATATGGTTGTTTAAATTTCTGTTTTTCATTTACCTTGTTGCTTTGGATAATTTCTGCGAAGATGAGGTGATAATGTGACTTTAAACTACCACATTCAAATCAGACATTCTATCCTAAATTCTTTAATTTTTGTCTTAATCGAATATCCTCAAAATCCATGTTTTATACATTCAGGAATTGAATTGGAAATACAAGGAAACAATAATAACCATCTACTTTGTGTCTGGCACTGTAAAACACATAAAACTACTTTATTGTATATGCCTCAAAATAGCCCTGCAAGTTGGGTATTATCTTCATTTTACAAATGAATAGCACAGCCCAGATTTGTCTTTACTCTGAACCCCACTCAAATAAATTCTCATTCTCCCAAGATAACTTTTAAATATTTAGTTTTTATAGAAACAAAATAATCCCTGATTAGATTGTATTATTTCTTTGTTTTGGAATCTAAATTTCTTTCGTCTCCTCCAAATACTTTTTTAAACCACTAGTAATATGTAAGAGAAAAACCTTTTAGAACAGAAATGGTTGCATGCTATTAAACAAGAACTGGATTTCCTAAGCTGTAAAACCACAAAGCCCAACATAACACAATCAATATGCTGTTTGGTTTTGTCCCCTAAGCAACTGGCCAAACACTACCATAAATTTGCCTGCCAATGAATTTGACAAAGATGAAGAATGTTGATCTACCCCCTACCTAAAATGTAAACTTTGAATAAAGGTAACATAAATATAATGACAAACAGACAAGAATTCAAGTGACAAACAATTTGAGAGTAAGATTACAAATTCTTTGTTTTGGGCAGAATTGATTATCATTATTTCATGTACTTTTTGAGCTTGCTACATTTATGAAAACTCCAGACACACAATATTTCAGACACATTTACAAATAGAAGTTAGCACTTGCTACCATACTTTCTTGGCATCCGAAACGAAGAAAGCACTGCACAAATCATTCCTTCTTTCAAAATAAAGTTTTATTAAATTTTTTAAAAGTTACCCCCTAAATACAGCACTAAAACCAGACATAATAGAAAAAGCACTGAATTTAAAGTGAAGACCTTTGCTATTATACTACTTCTACATTATTAGTGGTGTGAATTTGGACAAGTTACTTAACTCTCAGCTTTGGTGTATGCTTTGTGTAAAATACACTTGGAAGTACCCCTCCTCAGCGTTTCTGTTTGGCTAATATCTGTGTAAACAACTAGCATAGTTCCTAACACATAGATGTTCAATAAGTATTTATTGAGTCTTAACAACATTCTGAACAATTTCTTGTTTTTACTTTCTATTATATTAAAATCTAATATAATGATGGCAATAAAACTCTTTCCTTAAGGAGTACATCAGCCATTATAGTAATCATTAGATATCAATGCTCCACTTATTTCTTTCTCTATCTTTGGCCGCAATAATAGAGTTAACCTTAGTGTTAACTCTTGCTCAGAAAGATTTCTATACTATTTTAGTGTTTTAACAAAATAAATATATTGCTCTGATGGAATAAAAAAGTTTGAAAAAACCACAGGCTATCGAATAAAACAATCATGAATACCAGTTCTGGTTTTGCTAGTTACTATGGCAAGTTATTTAATCTCTCTGAACCTCAGTTTCTTTATCTGTAAGATTCTGACAGATTGCTTAGAATTGAATGGTACAGAGTATGTAAAGTAATACATATAGTAGACATGCAATAAAAGTGAGCCCCTTCCCCATGAAAACTCCAAAAGTCTTCATAGTTTCAATTGTGGTTATGCCTACAACCAATATAGTGTCCATTCTCCCCGATAATCTAACCAGAGCTTAGCGTAGGATATTAATACCTGAGTGTTTATTAGTATCTTATCAGAAGGCATTGTGTAGCTTGCAGAGAGGGTATATTTACAGGGTTACACAATTTGAGAATTCTCTGACCCCAAAAAGCCTATGATTTAGTCAGAAGGTAAACATAACAAATTAATGACAAACAGACTGTGTGAGATACGTGTGGTACAAACAAAGCCACAAGAGTTTAGAGAAAGAGGAGATTGCTTTTGTCTGGGTTAATAAGTTTAGTGGTTATACACATAGCCTTTGAAGGAGACAGCTTGAGCTCCAATCTTGTTTAACCACTTACTAGCATCTTAAACCATTTGGGCAACTCTTTTAGCCTCAGATTCCTCATCTTTAGAAGAGACCTTGTCAGGGTTATTCAGAGTATTAAACAAGCTGAAGCATAAAGCCAAGTACTCAGGACATGTGAGTTAACAAAAATATCCTATCATCTAAGTCTCACAGTAAGCACAGAATATTTTTAAATAGACTCCCATTTCTATCAGAAATATGCCATGTCAGTTCCCCATAGAATGGTGATGATGGTGACAAAATAAACAAACAAAAATCTACTTGCTGTTAGTTCCAAAGTGCTCAGATATGTTTGAAATAAATAAAAAGTAGAAATAGTCGCACATTAGAAAAGCAACACAAATATAACACACTTGACTGCGCTATGAACCTAGGTAATTTAATTATTCATTTCTAGAAGTCTGTATTGTTTCAGTTCTGAATTCAAAATGCTGCTTCTTGTTTAAATTTTAGTTCTTAAGTTATAAATAAAAAGAAATAAGGAAAGACACACAGGTCCTTTGGGTGGTTTATTTTTCCAGAACAGGATATTGTATTTCATGTCTATCTTCTGGCATTCAGTCATGTGAACAGCTCAGTGGAGCTGACTTGGATTTCACTAAAACCACAAAGCCAAGAGATGGCCACTTGGGAAGCTCATGACCGACTGGTCATGAAAATAAGCATCTTTGTCAGAAGTCTGTAGTAAACTGAGGCAACATCAAACTTGCAGTCAATTGAGACATCCAAATCAAAAATAACAAAAAAAATCTGTCAGTATTTATTACCATGAAATTAACATTATTTACACTTTACCTTAAACACCAAAGAACAATTTTTTTATATGTTGCCTACACTTTCACAGTTGTTTTACATGTTTGCCTTGTATATTACAGAAAGCTCATGAAAATATCAGCATATAAATATTTAAAATTTTGCTGGTGATTATGAAAAAGAACTATCTTTTTCCAGAAAATGATCTTTCTCAAGAACGCATTGCTCTGGAGAAATTATCACATCTATTCAAAATTTCCAGTTTAGAGGGAATAAATCATTTAATAGTCAGTAGGAGTTAATGAAATAAATTTGGGTCCATATGTGACATTTTACCAATAATGTTATTGGTATTCATTCCTTAGAGAAATACTCATGATATAATGTCTGAAAAAAGTAAAATGTAAAATATCCCATATAACTTTCATTTGAAACAAAAAAAGAGTGAGATAAGTTAAAGGAAGGGAGAGTGAAAGAGGAGATGAGTGAAATATATCAAATTTTAACAGTGAGATTGTTCAAATTTTGCTAATTTTGTTTTGTTATTTATATTTTATATAGTTTCTAAGTTTTCTAAAAGGAGCATCAACAAACAAAAAATCCTGAATCTGAAGTATTATCAGTCAAATAAGATACTTCCTGCCCAAAACAGGGATGTTTTCCTGAGAAAAACACTATCAATTTTTAAAATACAAAGTCATAAATGAGAAAACCTATATTCTCAGCAAAACTACTTACTTTGGATGCATTAACTCCTGCCAGGCAACTACTTTGCCCTTGAATCTCACTAAAATTGATATTCAACAAAATAATAATAGAAAAAATTTTAAATTTAACCTTTTATTTCAAAACATTTACTGGCAGCCAGAATGCGCTCTTAGAAGTCATAGTAGACTTAATCAAGTACTTTAATGTAGCTGTGTGAGGAAGGAGTTGATTTAATTTACATTAACATTATCAAACCCTTCAAGTTAGTATAAGAATGTTGATCAGGCAGGCAGGAGCTAGAACACTCAGTTTGGGTGTTTTGGGGGCCTCTCAGTTTCCTGGAAAGATGGAGAACATAAAGCTTATTTTATGTTTTAAGACTGTTTTTTCAGAGAAGTTTTAGGTTCAGAACAAAACTGGGATGAAGGAACAGAGATTCCCATGTACCTCCTGCCCACCCCGCCCCACAACCTCCGCCATTATCAACATCCCCCACCAGAGTGGTACATTTGTTACAACTGATGAACCTACATTGACACATCATTATCAACTAGTCTATTGTTTTCCTTAGGGCTCCCCCTCTTGGTGTTGTACACTGTATGGGTTTGGACAAATGTATAGTGACATATACCTACCATTATATTACCACATGGAGTAATTTCACTGCCCCAAGAATCCTCTGTGCTCCACCTGTTCATTCCTCTCAAACCCTGGCAACCACTGATCTTTTCACCGTCTCCACAGTTTTCCCTTTTCCCAAAGATTATGTAGTTGGAATCATACAGTACATAGCCTTTTCAGATTGGCTTCTTTCACTTAGCAATATTCATTTGAGGTTCTTCTATTGTTGTAAAGCTTTTTTTTTTTTTTTTAAAGCAAAGCAATCAACAGGTAATAGCTTTATTTCCCAGGGCAAAGCACACTATCTCTCATGCCTGCAGAGTCACCACTGCTTGCCAAGGCAATTCCCCATGCCAGCTTTCTCCTTGGCTTTACTGAGCCTTTTTTCAAGTTGACCAAGCAGAAGAGAACCATGAGCAGGCCTTGCTCTAAAGTCTTCCTTGGCTCAAAAAGTAAGATACAAGACTGGCTCCATACCTCTCAGCAAGTCTAAAAAAGCAGAGCCAGACCAGAGCTGAAACATAGTATACAAGTACATGAGTATAATTGTCATCAGACTTTCATATATGTGATATATGAATTACATTTTAAGAGTTACATGATTTAATTCCAAGAGTTACAAGCTAGTGATAAGAAATTGGCCATCACTGTTGGCAACTCAGTAGAGATTATAATATGCTACCCTTAAGCTTAGTCATCATCTATTATTATATGACAGAATACGAGTATGAGTTTCCTAAACCTTTCTACCAATAAGACAATTCATTTCCCTTGCATCAAACATATGTCAACAACTAATGACATATAATTATTCTCTTTAAACAAGATAAATCAAAATTTAGAGCTAACTTCTTCAGAATTCCTCTCAATGTATGTACCTTAAGTTATACCAAAGAATGCAATCCTTTATACTGGTGGTCTTTACAGAGAGGTGCACATGTACCAAAAAGGTACACAATAATATCTGTATGAAGACATTTGTGCTCTTATTGACTTATCTCAACCATCTCTAAGCTTTTGCTTTAAAGTTGACAAAATATATTACAGCAATAGTACATCCTGTGACTTATAAGCATATATATAGATATATATATATTACATGTACATATATATATATTACAGGTACATAATGTTTTCATCAATAAAGGTGTCTGATTTCTAAATGTTTAAAATTAGATGATTAGAACTCATCAAGAAAATGTCTCTATTCAAAATCCACATATTAAAATGAGTGTTCTAATATCTACATAAGCAAATATCTTCATCCATCTGAAGGCAGTAGAGGTAGATGGTCCATTTCACTTGTAGTTTATGGCAAGCGCTTTGCAGACATAAAATATTGCTATACACCACTAAAATATTACATATTCTATTGACATTGTTTCCCATAAAGTACTCTCTGATGACAGATGCTTTTAGCGAATGGCCTTCAGCTTGATTTTAATCATACCAATCCTCTAAATCTCAAAGCTTTAAAGACTAATATGCACCACAAGTTTAAATATATTTTAGACTGTTTAAAAATTTACTATGTATAACCTTATTTGAGTACAAGAAAACAATTTTATGTTCAGAGGAAGATTAATCTGAGATTGAAATCACTAGGAACCATGTCTTTCACTTACTTCTATTATAAATAGTTTGAGCAAGATTGATTGATGAACTATTCTACCAACTAAAAACATTATTCGGGGCTGTCTCAGCTTCTTATTTTGAAGACCCAGTTTTAAAAAAAACATGAATGAGGAACGCCTTAGGTAATAAAATGGATACAGCAAAATCCAATCTCAAATACTCTATGACCTGATAGCTTTAATGCCCTTGTATAACAAATATGGAGTTGGTATCCTTCAGTGAAGTGGTCCAGAAGAAATGAAAAAGGCTAATCTATTTGGGATCCATGTTTCTTGGAGGATAAAGACAAAGTAACCTCAGAGATTACTTTGTGTAGTTATGTGTATTTACTGGGCATATATCATTTTAATTCTTATGAAAAACATATTTAGACACTTTCTCCTGCTGACAGTTCCCAATCAAAAGCAAATAGCATGCACATATTTGTCAGGGTCATTGGCAGTGGTTCTCCAAACCTTTTGCCCCCTTATCATACTTCATTGTGCTTTTTTCCTTCCTGCTACTCACTTTATCTATTTCCTGCACCTTCTCTAGGCTTTCTTTTTCTTCTCCTGTGACTTGCCATGCCTTTAACAGGTCATGTTAAACATGCTATATGGCATGATACATTATTAATAAATGGAAAATAAAACTACATTTCAGAATGCTGGTTGGGGTTCATAATATTGAATTGTTTTATTGACTTTTCCACCATGGAAACACCCAGTGGTTCAATATAAATTCCTCATTTGTTTTGGACTCCTCATGTTTTCAAATATTTGGGGCAATTTCTTATAAGACTGTTTCTTTCTCTAATTATTTCCAAACAACAAATGATGACTTTTTTAAGTAAAATATTGAAGAAGAAAGGCTTTAAGGAGTTATAAGAAAACTACTGTAATCAAAGAAGCAGGTGCAAAATTATTAAAAAAGACCGCAAGAATAACTGGCCAATTTGAATGAGATATTTTTCTCCAATTTCTGACTAACTTATATTTTAGTTCCTGAAAAAAACATAGAGAAGGACACAGATTTAGGTAATATCAGAGAACTCATGGACAATGAGGAAATGTAATAAAAAGTGATAAATAGGAAAAAGTATGTTTCTCAAAAGAGGGAAAAGAGTAGCAAATACTGGAAAGCATATTTTGGTTGGTAAACTTAATTTTAAAATCAAGAAAATGCCTACAATGGTCCTCAATGTTTAGAAAAAGACATAAAGACATAGTTGCATGTGAATGAAAACCAAATACATCAAGCTAGCAGCAGGTCCTTTTTTTTTTTTTTGAGATGGAGATTCGCTCTTGTTGCCCAGGCTGGAGTGCAGTGGTGCGATCTCCGCTCACTGCAACCTCTGCCTTCTTATTTCAAGTGATTCTCCTACTTCAGCCTCCCGAGTAGCTGGAATTACAGGCACCCACCACCACACCCAGCAAATTTTTGTATTTTTAGTAGAGATGGGGTTTCACCATGTTGGCCAGGCTGGTCTCGAACTCCTGACCTTGTGATCCGCCCGCCTCAGCCTCCCAAAGTGCTGGGATTACAGGCATGGCTTCCAGGTAACAGATCAAGGAACCACATAAGATAGTTTGATTTCAGCCAAAAAAAAAAAAGGTAAAATTGCTTAAACTATTTATGTTCAAGGAGATAAAAATTTTAGCCCAAGTGAAAGTTTATAAAAATTTATAAGTTTCCAAATGTATAAAACTGGATTTATTTAGGATAAGTTTTACATTCCATACTTAAGTTTTTGAAGGTACAGAATGGTGGTAGCCTGGTGTCATTCATTTATTCATCTAAGTGTAGTTATTGGGCACATATCACTTTAATTCTTATGAAAAATATATTTAGCCAGTTGCAAGCATTACATCAGTCAATAATGTGAAATCACTGCCAAAAAAAGCCCAAAATCTCAGGGTTAATAAAAATCCATATTGTATTATATCAAAGAAGGTAAGAATTAACTATATTCAGTTCTACTCAATTCACATCTGAAAAATTATATACAATTACAAATTTTAAAAGAGAAAAGTGACCAAATCGAGTTTATCCATAGAAAGGCTACCAAGTTTTGAGGTGTCTTAATCTGGAAACCAATATTCATACAAATAGTGATAAGAAGCTAATAATCTCCAAACACTTACATCCATGCCATTTAGGAAAAAAAAATAAATTGATAGGTGAAGGAAACAAACAGATTTCAACTCAATACAATGAAGAATTTTCTAATAATTAAAAGTGTTATGTGATAAGCCCACACTGTCATGTGAAGTTTTTAGGGGCAACTTAGGTAATCAATTTCAAGGATGCCACAGTGAGGCTTGGAATGATTGATTTATCCATTCTTGAAAGCAAAGAAAATTATGTTGCAGTGAAAAAAATATAAAGAAAATATATCTAGGTGCAGATAGAGGTGTGTCCTGCCTCATAAAGGTGGGGAAATCTAAGGAAGGCTTCTGGAGAAGTCCAGAAGAAATAATAAATAATATAAGTTTTGAAGAAGGAGTTGGGCTTAGCCAAATGCAGGAGATGGACAGTTGGTGGAGGAATGGAGGAATAAAAGAGGAAAACAGTATGGGTAAAAGCACCAATCTGAGAGAAAGCATAGTAGCTGTAAAGGACTAAAAGTATTTAAGCCTGACTAAATTGCCTTCTATCTTCTGAGATCCTATGAACCGAAACAGCTTTTTGTGCTCTACACAGCCTGGTGATTTTTAGGCTTTTCTCAGTCTTTCTTTTCTGTTTCAAAATCTGACTGTACACATACTAATGAAAGTCAGGGCCATTCTTGCACCACTTTTAATAAATATATTGGAGATATTTCATAGGCTTTGGTAAATTTAATGCTAAAAACAATCAAATCAACAATTCTTGAAACTATGTAATAAGCTAAAAAGTATAAACTGTGGCCAGTGACTTTCAGAATTTAGAATTAACCATTATTTGTGATCCTTAAGCACGCACAAACTTCTAATTCTATATAAATTCTTCACTGCTTTATCATGTCATTGCTGCCCCTCTGTAAACTGGCCTCAGCCTTTCTCTTCTGCCTTTTTTCCAACTTGTCCCCTCACACACCCCGCCCTGGGCCCAATCTTTCTGCTTATTGCTATGCATTCAGGCCCCAAAGTTTCCACCCCTGTCTTTGCTCCAACTGTCCCATCAACCTGGAGGCACCCCTTTCCACTGCTGTCTATTGCTGCCCACACATCCTTAAAGGCCAAAATGACTGTCCCTTACCTCAAGGAGCTCTGTAGTTCCACTTCCCTCCCAGTTAGAATGACTTTATTTATCATGTGGACCTATAGCCACTGGGGATATGCTACTTGTCTCTTGCACACACAACATGTCATCCCTGCTGGACTCTGGGTGAGCTGAAGAATGAAGAGTTTCTCGTTCATCTCTGTTTCTACCATCACACCTACTACAGCACCTTGTACAGAATAAACTCTAAGCAAACTCATTAGTATTTACTTGCAAATATTTACTGAGCTTCCACTATGTGCCAGGCACTGTTCAAGACACTGAAGATACAGTGGTAGGGAAAGAAAAAACAACAGCAGCAACCCCTGCCCTCATGGAGTTTCCACTGGGATATGGAGAGAGGCCTAAGCAATAGACCAAAAAGAAGTCCAGGCCACAGCATCAAGAATGTGCTATGGTCAGCCATCAAACCATGCAGTAATCATAGTTGAAGCCCTTGCCACTTTCCACTTCTTTCTGTCTCCCAGCTTCCCCTCAGATGGACCCAAGGAAGTATACAATTCCAGGCACTTCTCCTGAGGGAGCTTACAAATCCATAAAATCCTAAAACAAGATGTACTTAAATGCCTCAGCCCCCACATTGGGGCATTAGTTCTGAGTCATTTTCTCTGCTAGGATGTTACCCAATACAGACCACTGGTTTTTCCATGTTATGTTCCAAGCTGCCTTTATTGCTAATCAGATACAGCTGACATTAGCATAAAAACGTTATACATCATTATTTAAAATTTATTCTGTCATGGGCATGGTGGATATAAATAAATTGTTCTAATCTCCTTTCCTATATCCAATATATTGATATACATTGGGAAATCACAATGGGATGAGCATACAAGAGATTTGAAAGCTGTGATCAAGCTATGGTTATGGAATTCTGGAAGCCTCTTTTCCATTTAAATATTACAAACATCCCCAAAGTACAAAGAGTAGTCCCTGAGTACTTCAACACCCAGTGACTGCTTTTCAAACAATAGTGTGGTAAAAGGAGATATCACTGGCCATTTTACAAAGTCAGCCTAGCACATGGATTGATGGATCTGTGTCAGTAACTGCCTATAATTTGTTCTTCCTTTGAGTCCCTCAATCTTCCATTCTGACCAGATAGTGAGTGAGAAATTCCATGATCATGCTACATGTTCTATCTTAAACAGGAAACAAAATGGAATTTTTCTGGCTAAGGCAAAATAATTCCTTGCTCTACTGGTCCCAATTTTTGCCTATATCAAACTTAGTCCATGAATTCTTGCCTGGATTCTGACCATGGGCCTATTCATTACACAATGAATGGGTATGATATTGCTAAGTGGGTAGCAGTATTGCTCATGGGGTACAATATTGCTAAAGAGAAACAGCATTATCAAGTATGGAGTACACAGTATTTTAAATTATAATAAGAAACAAATCAAATTGATGCTCAGCAATATAGTAAATATTTTAGCAAGGAATTCTAGCAGCCTAATGGTACTATTGTCAGTTATATTTACTTTCATAAATTAGTATACTTGTATTTTCAAAATTAGAGGAAACTTACTCACATCATTGTCACTAATGTGTTGCTGAACATACTAAGATCGGTCTTTTTTTTTCTAGGTTGCATAGCCAGCCAAAACTGCTAGTGTTGATATTAAGACCTAGAACTCTTGGTCTTATGCTTTTAACACTAAATATCAAAATTATCCCCACAGCAAATAATGTACATAATAGAAGTGGATAATTAAAAATTCCTATTCAATATAAATGCATCCTTTCATTCAACAAATCTTCCTGGAGTACATCCTATGTTTAAGTACATTTATAGGCAGCATGGATGAGAAAATACGGTAGCCACTTATAAGAATCCTAAGTGATTATAAGCACTTACAATGCTATTAATGAAAAGAAAATAAGAGTAACTTATTTGACTTGTAAACAACTGACATAGAACTTTTTATATAAAAAACTAAACTTTAGGATGACAAATTTCTCATCACACTTAAATCTAGTCAAACATTAAAGTGGTCCATGCTTCACCCCTCACAGTCTGTGTCAAACAATATGTTTTAAAAGTTGATTACATCATTCTCAGGATATGGTTCTTCAAAATTATGTAATTAGTATATTTGAGTGATCCACCATTATACATGTAAAATCACTGAAGTATAAGCTGTATTTGCCATTGACTTCAAACATGTCTTTCTTGTCTAACCGGACATTGTTCACTTTCTCTTTTTTACCAAAGAACACTGATTTTTCTTACCCTCTATAACCCCTAAATTATTCTACTTATACAAAAAGTTCGGCCAGGCTCACACCTGTAATCCCAGCACTTTGGGAGGCCGAGGTGGGTGGATCACTTGAGGTCAGGAGTTTAAGACCAGCTTGGCTAACATGGTGAAACCCCATCTCTACTAAAAATACAAAAATTAGCCGGGCATGGTGATGTGTGCCTGTAGTCCCAGCTACTTGGGAGGCTGAGGCAGGAGAATCGCTTGAACCCAGGAGGTGGAAGTTGCAGTGAGCTGAGATCGAGCCACTGCACTCCAGCCTGGGCTACAGAGTGATACTGCATCTCAAAAAAAAAAAAATAAATAATAATAATTAAAAAAAATAAATATTAAGTGCAATAAAATAATTAAAAGATAACCTCCTAAGAAACAATAAATAGGAAATATAAAATAGATGCCTTCATTACCAAGTAACTCCCCAGTGGCCAACTGACTAAATATCACCAAACATGAAATTTATTTTCTACTGACTAGGTTAAGTTATTGTTTTAGTAAGAAAAGAAGCATGAAAGCAGATATTCATCTTTAATTATACCTAAGTAGAAGTATGAGTAATTTCTCAGAAGACTTCAACTTTGTTTGTCTGTTATTAAATTTTAATGTCTCATGAAAACCAGTATACATCGGGAAGTATCCCACCAACTCTGTTTCTAGCACTAATTTTTAATTTTATAGTACACAGATGTTCCAGAAAAAAATGTAATCTATTTGAAAGGTAAGGGAATAAAACATTTAAGTCAGAGACTATTGTCCATCAGCAATTGCTTCAAAAGAGTGGCCTGTACAACTATTGTTTTAAGGGAAGAAAGAAGACTCGATTGTGAAGGCCTCTTCTATTTTCAAGTTGTTAGGTTCTGTATCTCTCTTCAAATAAGAGGTTAAATTTGACTATCCATATCTAAAACTTTGTTTCACTTTTTAGAATTCCTATCACTCAGAGGAAATATGCAATACTAAGTGTAGAAGGGATATGTAAGCTAAACGTGCTTACATGAACTAATACCATTAAAAACCCACTATAATTTATCTGTTGCCTTTAAGTGAACTCCATATCCTATTCATTCACTCATTATTTTTTCACTCTTTCTCCAAGATGAGTCTAAACTTGACTTTTCAGTTACTTCTGTTCCAGTTTCTGGTGTGTGTATTTTGTTAGCATACGTTTAAGGTAAGTCAAATGTAATACAGCAAAATTGTAACTATTTCTGTGACAGCAAACACAAGTAAAAATAAGTGAAAACAAGTCAGAAAATTTCTATTAAACTATAAACTATGGTTATATTACATGCAGAATTTAAGATGTGTGCTTAATACCACGATATGTAAAATTCCTTATAAAAGTTTCTACTAGGATTTTGATTCTTCCTCAAGTCAACCCTCTATAAAGAGGCCATGTTATTCAGCATTGGAATACAGCTCCACCTGCTGGTACTGACAGATCCATATATTATATATACCTTTTGTAGGCTAGTGTTACTAAATTTATGCTTATTCAAAGCTGACCTAAAGCCTCCTACAGCAGTATATTTTACAAGAGTAATCAGAATATGATTTTGCTTAAAATTTTCCCAGAAGTATAATTATATAGAAATTACACTGACATCGTACTGTTTCTCTTCAAGCAAATACAGTTTGCAACCTATTCCATTTGCTTTTGATGACCAAACAAATTTAAGGAATGGCAATATAATTGGTTTCTATTATCATATTTTAACTAGGTAGTCAAACAAAACCTCAGTGATTACATTAATTTACCCTGTTTCCATGCAGCTATTTTCTTATTTTAATAAACAAACCAAAGTTATGTAAGTATACTTATTCATTCATTGATGTACAATATTAATTGAGCAACTATTATGGGGCCAAGTCCCATGTCAGGCTCTGAAAAGCAGAACTGAGTAAGGCAGACATGGAATTTACAGTGCAGCTGAGGAACAAAAGTTGAACAAGTATCTATTTAGGTAGTCACTATCACTTCAATCAGATGCAATCAGGAAGTCCTCTCATGAGAAAACATGTGAAAACTGTACTCATGTACATGTGTAGAGAAAACTTATAATAGTTATCTTTGTAAAACAGTATTATAAATTTGGAAACTTTATGCTATATATATTCTCCCTTACATAAAAAAATTAGGTCTCATTTCCATCTTATTGTGCATGATGCATATCAATGAGGGGAATGTGTGTGGGGGGGGATTGCAAACATATGTATGTATATTCCAAGAAAGTGTCAATATTGAGATAATTTAAGAACCAGAAAGCAACCTGCTGGATAACTAAATTGCCAGAATCATTTTTAATACTTTCTCTCAATTATTCAGTTTTCAATTATTCTAACTTGATGTACAAACATATAAATTGTTTCAAAAGTCTAATATCTGTGCTAAATATTTACCTTTAAAACCTCATAAGAGGTGGGCTTTGTACATGTGAAGCAGATCATACTTACAATTTTCACTTCTCAGATCCCAAATATTATGTTATATAATGAATCGATAACCAGAGAATGTGAAAAAGCTAAAAGGCATTTCAAATAAGAAATCCATTTAATTTTTCTTAGAGTCGCATATGACACTTTTTTTGTTAAAGAAACAGGTCCAATAAGTCAAAATCATATTCATTTTTTTCAAGTCAAGTAGCTTTTAAGATGATGCAGTCTCTTGTGTATGTATTTTCCGTTGATTTGAATGTGTTACATTTCTCAATCAAACATGCCAAAATAACACTAAAATCAATGTTTTAGTAAAAAGATATTTATCAATAGGAAATCAGTCAAATAACCTAGACAGGCCACAGAAGCAATCTGCTTCCCTTTTATAATCACTTATATCTTGCCCTAAAAAAAAAATCAACAACATACTATTAAGCAGATAAAAACTTTTAATGTTGGCCATCTTCAAAAACTATATGCTACTTAGAGAATAGCTGACTGGGTAAGTTAAAGCTGAGTACTCTAAAACTCTAATTGAGAGGATCTGCCTTAAGTTGAAAGGAAACTATCTTCATAAACATTGCTAATGTCTGTCTCCAGTTTTCTATAACATCATAATTCTTAAGAAAATGCCCTAGACAGTAGTTCACCTCATTAACTGAGACAATCTCAAAATATCTGAAGTGAACTAAAAAGAAAAATGTGCAAAAATAATGTCAAGAAAGAAGGTCCATAGGTTAGTTCAATATGTTCAGCATTTCATTTAATCTTTTTGCTAAAACAATCCAATGAAGGCACATGCCTATGTATATACATATGTGTATTTTTTTTTTTAGAGCAAGGGAAAGAGAAATAAGACTGCCTTTTCTTTCTTTCCAGTCTCCTAGCTTAAAAACCAGATCCATGAGAAAAATGGCTTATACCAACAAATCCACACACCTCCTTTTTTTTTTATTTTTATTTTTCAAGAGACAGGGTCTTGCTCTGTCACCCAGGCTGGAGCACAGTGGTGCAGTGGTGTGATCATAGCTCAACTTCCTGTGCCTAAGCAATCCTTCCCACCTCCGCCTCCTAAGCAGCTGGGACTTACAGGCATATGACACTGCATCTGGCTAACTTTAAAATTCATTTTTTTTTTTAGAGCTGAGGTCTCACTATATCGCCCAGGCTAGTCCTCACACTTTTATGAGAATCACCTGTTTCAAGTAGACTGTGATGTGGAGAACAGTACATATCATGGCCCTATATCAATGTATTAAGTTCAGTTAATGGAGCACAGTGGAGGGCAGGGCACACATTTCTTTGTGGAGGCTGTGTAAGAGAATCTACCCTGTCCCTCTAATAGCCCTTGTTTTTCAAATTGAGAGCATACAATGACTTTTTTTCTTCAAGCGTTTTTCTCAAAATTCTGTAAGACCACTCCTATCTTAAGTCCTATATGTAAGGACATGTAGAAATGAAAGAGACTAAAACTCTCAGATACACAAAAAATTTCAGATTGAATATCAGGACAAATGAAAAACATTTCATGCAAACTTAACTTGTTTGAGAGATTGGGGGTGTGGGATGGGTTTGTTTTTTAATAAGCAAATGCAGATGTTGAAGGAAAAACGTTTAGATTTTTGACACTGTTCTTTGCTAACAGAATGCCAAATGTTTTCCATAAGCAATGTTGAAATGTCTGAATTTTTTTTATAAAACCATCACCCAGCTGAACTTTGAAAAATGAAATTTACTGATTTACTGTGAATAAGCTTGCATATTTAATATTTCAGATTAACATTTTTATACAACTTTTATTTTCCAGGCACTTAATAAATTTTAATCATTATGGGAAGAATTTATGGTCTTCCTGTGTTGTGCACATGTGAGATACACACACACACACACACACACACACACACACACAAAGTTGATATTTATTTAGTTGTCACTCTTTAGGAACATAGTTAATGTTGTACATAAACTGATTGTGGGATTAAATCGAGTCCATTTTACTACATGCAGCAGTTTGGATTCATCTTAATGTCATGTGAAAAACTACCTATGTTCAGGTATTCACTGTCAAATCAGAAAAAATATTCAAAGAGCAAAACATTCATGCAGCTTTTCTTATAACTGAGTTTCACTTTCAGTCATTAATGTGATGTCTGTGAATCTTTTTATTGGGTGGAATTTTCTTCCTTTTAAACTTAAAATATTCATTGATTATATTTGACAAGTTTCACTTCAATCTCTTCCCAGGGTCTGTATGCAAAATACAAAATTGTCCCAATCATTAAGGGAAACTAAATTTAGCTATAACACATTTTCCCTATTAAAGCTACGAACTCACTGATCAATGGAAAAAATGACAGATGAAAGAGACTAGATTGGATTATTTAATTGCAGAATATGTCTCCTCCTCGTTCTATTTAATAGTGTGATGAAGGCTTAAATAAAGTTTGACTCTCTCCTGTTTTGTAGAGATATAACCAAAATGTTAAAAGATTATTTTGCAGTTACCAATAATTCCTGAGAAGAGTGGCAATGATCGGTTTGTTTATTCAAGTGTTTATTTCCTCACCTTTAATCATTCCACTAAAAAAGACTAATGAGTAGGGGCAAAGATATCCCAGAATACAGAATAAATATTGATACCCAAAAGAAAAATAGTACTAAAAGGATGACCTAAACCCTGCAACAAACATTTTGGAGTTTCCACTAGGTAGTGAAGAGAATTTGAATTGTTTCAAAAAGTATCTTAAGCCTTTCAGAGTGACAGAAGTGACAAAATAAATCACTAAATCTGGCAAGTGTAGAACAGACCTAAATACTTTTGAAGTACCTCCTCCCTGACTGATCCCATATATCAAAAAGTATGTTATATCATACTATATCATATCTATATATCAAAAAGTGTGTTAAGATACTACTTACTATTATTTCCAGGAGTGCCACTGTACAAAGGGCAAGGATCACCTTTTGTCAATACTGTTTTCCTGTCTTCATCACTTTACTGAATACAAGATGCACAGTAGGAATTTCAGAAATATTAATTATATATATATATTATGCCTAGAAATTTCTAGTGATATATATATGTAATCACATGTATATACATGTGCACATACTATGTTATAGTATATATAATGCCCAGGAATGTCTAGTGATGTATATATAATCACATGTATGTTGTGTGTGTGTGTATTCAAATTCATTGTTAATGGAATGGAGACAAAGAAAACATATTTTATTAATTACAAAATTATCTCAAAGATTCCTACTAATAAAGCATATTAAGAGAGAGTTATTTCAAAGTTAAAATTCTTGGGGAAAACTGCCAAAATCTGTTTTCCAGAAAATGACCTTAGTCTCCAGCCCCGTCTGTAAAATGGGGTTTTTACTATGGTGAAGGAAAATACTTGGCCTCTTTCTCGTTCTTAGACATATGTTAGGAATGAAAGAGACGTTAATAAAGTGCTTATATGTCCTTTGGGAGAAAAGTACTACACCGAATACTATCATTAGGTAAGTCGAAATATAATTTGACCAAAGGTAATTACCCATTTGGATCCTTTGGCTCTGGATCACAAAGGAGGGTGGGTAAAGTAACCTTGAACAAGTGGTCTGGTATAAATTAATAGCTCTCCATTCCAAACAGCTAATCCATTACATACTGCCTATTGCTATTTCCCTTCTGAATACTTTTTTGACTCTTCCTGTAAGAGTTGCCCAAAGATCCATGTTGAATGCCATCATATTATTAATAGTCAAAGAAAGAAATATTGAGCCACGAAGAAAACAGAATAGTTAACCTCTTACATCATTCAGATGCCTGAAGAGAAAAGGAAGTAGAATACACTTTGAAGGACTCTCTTATCCCATGTAGTTTATCAAATTGCAAACATCAAAATATAATATGAAATACAGCCATAGGTTTATTGCCACAAAAAGAAAATCCTATATTAAGTACCAAAATCCATTCATAATTTTAATAGTCTATAAGAAAACAATAACAAAAAACAAATTAAAGATAATTTGCTGAGTTTTAAGTAATTTTTTTGGATCAAGGTCTTGCTCTGTTGCCCAGGCTGCAGTGCAGTAGCATGATCACACCTCACTGCAGCCTCAACTTTCCGGGCTCAAGTGATACTCGCACCTCAGCCTCTGGAATAGTTAGGACTACAGGCATGCACCACCATTTTTACTTTTTATTTTTTATTTATTTATTTTTTGAGACAGAGTCTTACTCTGTCATCCAGGCTGGAGTGCAGTGGCATGATCTCAGCTATCTGCAACCTCTGCTTCTGAGGTTCAAGGGATTCTCGTGCCGCAGTGCCCCAAATAGCTGGGATTACAGGCGCACACCACCACACTTGGCTAATTTTTTGTATTTTTAATAAAGACAGCGTTTCGCCATATTGGTCAGGCTGGTCTTAAACTCCTGGCCTCAAGTGATACACCCACCTTCGCCTCCCAAAGTGCTGGGATTACAGGTTTTTTGTTTGTTTGTTTTACTTTTTATAGAGACAGGGGTCCCACTATATTGCCTAGGCTAGTGTGACTTTTAAGTTAATTATTTTAAAAATTATTTAGAAATTTCAATATGAAGCAGAACTGTCTCTCTACCTTCAGAAATTAGAACAGAAAGTTCCATACCTTAAATATTTCAAAAAGAGAATATTCCCGTCACTTGTTTTCTCAACATAGTAGTTTTCAAAATGTTTACTTTTTAGAAAATTAGTAAAGTTACACCACTTAATTTGTTATCTCTCATCTTTCAGACTGCAAGGAAAAAAAGTATTATCATAAAAGACTTTTGCAGAAAGAATCCAGTATAAAAACATAAAATTCATAAACATGAAAGAAGTGATACTAAAGACAAGAATGCAAGGCTTATTCTCACAAATTATAAATAACATTGGAAGGCTTACTTTAAAGGAGTTTTTGAATCTTAACACCAAAACAAAGTAATACAGAAGAAACCTTTTGGCCAGAACTAGCCTTACTTTCAAATATGTATGCATGAATCCAGGAGCATATATGTGTATGCTAATATGTGCATGTTTATGTGTATTCCTGTGTATATTACTGCATATAACCATATGTGAATATGTATGAATGTGTTCTTGAGTATTTCTGTGAGTACACATGTGAATATGCTAGTTTGCTTTCCTCAATCAGATTTATTCTGCATGTTAAGAGAAGCCTATCTATTGAACTATGTAGGCTGTATAACAGCTAAGTTGCTCCAAAATATTACATGCAATTAATTATTGGGAAGTTAAGTGGCAGCACAGAAAAAGTCTGAATATTGACTCTTCAGTGCCAAAATGTAACTCTTTATTTTTCAAGGACTAAGTAACCTTCAACAGGAAATCATCACACTGAAATGTTAAAAGTCTTCATATTCAGGATTTTGAATGTTCTTAGATAGTTTAAATAGGAAATTTATTTAACAGAAAACTGCTTTTTTTATATTATAATCTTCAACACACAGGGAGCTAAAACTTTAAACATTATCCCTTTTACTAATTACTACTATAATCCCAAATTCTTGAAAGTTAAAGGTATTTCAAAGTCAAAGGTGTAATTTTATAGATTTTCAATCATCGAGAAACACTTCAACTGTTTCATTAAATGAAATGTTAAGAAAAAAATGTATAAGACAGGAAATGAGGATGGAAAGCCTTTCATAACAAGACTAATTTAACCTTCTCCACATAATGCCTACATTAAGCCACACTAAATAAATTAAATATAATAAAAACACAGTGGGCATTTTATAAATTCTTTCATAATAATACATCAATACAAAACTTTGTAGTGGGTTACATTTAATTTTCAAACTCAAAAAGGCTCTTTCTAAAATGCAAACCAGTTTGTAAAGGTAAAAGAAGCAAGATGCAATGCCATCGTACGTGAGAGATGCTTGGTTCGAAAATGGATCAAATCAAAGATAACAAAGAAAAAAATCAAAGATAATTTGCTGAGTTTTAAGTGATGTCTTATGTCTTTTTTTTTTTTTTTTTTTTGAGACAGGGTCTTACTCTGTTGCCCAGGCTACAGCGAAGTGGCATGATCACAACTCACTGAAGCCTTGACCTCCTGGGCTCAAGCAATCCTCCTACCTCAGCCTCCTGAGTAGCTTAAGACTATAGATGTGTGCCACCAAGTCCAGCATTTGTTGCTGGATAAAACTTTCCTGTTAGGGCTCATAAACATACAAAGTAAATCTGAGAAAAGCACTCCCTACATATTGGAAGGAGTAGAGACTACTGCTTAAGAATGTGGGCTCCAGAGTCTGAGTGTGCTTGAATCCCATTTCTGTCTCTTATTAGTTGTTCAGGCATTTAATCTCTTAATGACAGTTTCCTCATCTATGAAATGGGGGTAAAATAGAACTACTTCGTAGAGTTATTTAAATGAGTTAATAAATGAAAGAACTTAGAACTATAATATGTAACAAGCTCTTAATAAAAGTTACCTATTATTATATTATTATTATTATTATATCAAGTTTGTACATGCTTGGATTCACTCTACAATCAGCTCTTAATTTCTTAAGCTAGAATGACTCTTCCACAATGGGGAATATTTTCCCTAGGAATAAAAATGATAGGATCTTTTTTAGCTCTATGTAAAAAAAATAAATGGAAAATGAACCATGCCCTAACCATGAATGTGGCACCAAATGGTAATGATTAGAGCACATATTTTGTCTGCACCAGAATCAGCTCAAGTATTGACTCTACCAATATAGGAGCAGGACACAAGGCTGACATGCTGTGCTGCTCACAATACCTTCAGAAGTACCTTTTGTGCAGCATGGGTCAGGGTTAGACATACGCAGTAGAGAGAGGCAGTGACAGAGAGAGGGAAGGAGAGAAATAGCACATACACTACAGCAAAATCCTGCTTTCCAGAATAAATTTGCAAAAAGATCACATGGTTAAAATGTTTCTCTAAAGTAACTTTGCCTAAATATTTTTGAGGGATATAGAATACATGTATTCCTTTTTTGTCCTTTATCAATAATGAGATATGACAAAAACTCAACTATAATTCCCATAAAGCTCAGAAGTACCAATGAAATAGTCAGTCACTTTCATTTCACACACACACCAAATTGTCATCTCTACCTAAATGTTATTATGTAATGACAAAATTTTTACTATTTTCAGAGGGAAGATATTTGAACTTTTTGGCCTCTGCACTTGATAATTAGAGGATGGGGGTACAAAACTGTCACTTGTCCATTTCATAAGCATATCTGGGGGTTGGAGTACCAATAAAAAATATTTTGGGAAATAAAATTTAAAATGTTGCAAATTCTACTGTACTTATAACTGTGAAAAGTATTTTAATGTCTTTAGAATTTTTTAAAAATGCTATTGTATCTCACAAGCTTTTCTCATGCTCCCAGTGTAAGGTTAGGCAAGTGAAATTTAAATAAAAGACTGCCATCAATGTAAGGAAAATATGCCATCAGAATAATTTTTCCCCACTAAAAACTTAATTAAAATGGTTCAAGATACATTTTCCACTAGAATCTGTCAGGTGTACAATTCCTTCCAAATGCTAATCTCATCCATTTTTCTAACCAAACTATTACAACAAGTCAATAGAGAAATAGTATAGTTTTTTTTAAAACTAGGTCAATAAACATTACCTCAATACAAAGCACATTACTTTCTAACAGCAGGAATCTGTAGTCTCGTCATAACATTCTAAGCCCCCTCTGAAGTTTAAAGAGCAGGGATTTAGGAAGACTATAAAGAAGGAACTACTACAGCCATGACAGGAAACAATTAAGACATAAATAAGAATTTCTGCGGAATCAGGTCAAAGTAAGGACACATTTAAGAAATGTCCTAAAGGTGTGAAAAACAGACACAAAATGAAGTAATGGTTGGAAGGAGAGGTAGAAGGTCTAGTTAGTGCTAAAAGAACTCGTTTTAAAAAGAAACCTAAAAGCTTTGAGTTGAAAGTCCTAAACCTGTTTTTAAAAATCCACACTACTAAAAAAATTCATAAAGACTTTGAGTTGTGGGATTCCATGATCAATCCTGAGATCTTGCAGGAAATGAAGCTGTAGTATTAAAGTAAATCAGGCTTCCTTTTCCTTTAGTCAGTGAAGCACTCTCAAGGTATTTAGAAGAAAAAGATCTAGTTATTTGAGTTTAGGTAATAAACATTCCAGATGACTGTCAAACAGACCACAACTCAACAAACACTAGAATCATGATGACTGCAGTTATAATGTGCAAAGCAGTCAATGTTTCAGTAAGCAGACATACAAATTAAGGATTTGTTAATACCATTTTTGTAATACTCTATGGGTAATTGTTAGTGTTATTAACTTTGCAATTTGTTAGTGTTACTAGGAAAACTAAAATTATACTTTGAAAACATAGAGCATATAAAATGCCCTCTTTAGCCATTTCAATTTTTAAATGAAAATTTTAAAAAAATCTGACTAGTAAACTCTTTGTAATGGTTGATTTAGAAGGTATGAAAAGAGATGAATTTAAAAAAATGTCTCTTTTCTGTACCAATTCACACATCTGGGGCTCTAAGAGGAATATTTCAAAAATAAAGACAAATAATTTATTTTTGTTGACAGATAACTAGAGGATCCAAGAAGATGTATTCTGAAGACAGCAATTGAATGATAGCCAAAAAGCAATGACTAAAGTTTGCTGAATCCTGGAATATTGGATCAGGAAGGCAACTTGGATATAATCTCTTCCAATGCCTTTGTTTTATAGATGACAAAACTGAAGGGTTGGCTTACCTAAATTTACACAAGTTGTTAGGAGAGGATAAGAAGGTTTTAACAGAAATCAAAAAGAAATTTTTAGCATGAAAAGTAGTATCTGAAGTATAAGGAAATTTGAGAACAAGTAGAATTCTACCTAATCTCACTTCCCTATTCCTAAACAGGTACTAACTATTCAAAAGTGCCCTTTCTGCCTCATCCTTTTCTGTCCATTTTTTAAATGTTGAAAGAATATCTTTTGTTAGAGACTTACTTTTCAACTCCCTTTTTTCCCTCACCACAAATCGTTTTGGAAAGTAAAACTGACTGGGAGAAAAAATGCTATTGAAGAAAAAATAATGGATCTTTCTGCTCAAATGACCAGATGTTGCTTGAATTCCACAGATAAATATTCATCTTTGCTTCTATAGACTTAAGTTACTATGATGAAAGTTTGTAATGAAACTGTAGTCATAAAGATGTCAAAGCTATATATTTAAGGTGTTTATTAAGGTTAAAGTAAGTTTACAGGACCTTATCTTTCCCTTTTTTATCTTACTATATTTACTCCCCAAAGTCAATTTCCTCCTTGTTTTGTTTTTTTTTTTTTTTTTTGCTTTTTTTTTTTTTTTGGTTCTGCTAATTTTAGTAGAGGCATTTACTAAAAAAGATACTTTTTCTTCTGTGAAGGTTATTTTGAGGGAGACTCAAGAAATTCACAGAGAATTCTGACAATCCTCTATGCATAGATTTGTGCAAATAAGCATTCGGATTCTAGGAGCCAAAGAGAAAAAATATGCAGTAGGAGCTTTATTTTTCTGGAAAGTTCTATCTCTCTACTGCATATATCCAAATACTCCCTCTTTTCCATAGCTTTTAAAGCTTTCAAGTTTCTACAATTTATAAAACACAAAAACAAAACAACAAAACACCTCCCTGTTCCCCTTATTCTCTTTCACTATCATTCCATCTTTCTCCCCCCACTTACAGACAACTTGCCGAAATATTTATCTGTGATCACTATTTCTTCATCTCCACCAAAGCTTCAATTTTAGTTAAGTCTGGCTTCTCTCCCGACACATCACCAAAACAATCCTGAGTCAAGTCAATTACCTTTATGACACTAAGTCAAATAAGCACTTTTCAGTCTCCATCTCACATGGTCTCTCAACAGCATTTGGTACCACTCTCATTCTTAAAACACACCCTTTCCTTGGTGGCCTTGATATAACATTGTCCTGGTTTTCTCTTTCCTCTTTCATCCTTGATTCTGGGTCTTTCAGTTGCGTGCTCTTTCTTCCTTACCTGGCAAATAAGGATTCTACAGCTCCTAAAGGCCTATTCTTAGGCCATTGTACTACACTTTACCTAGGTGATTTCATCCATGCCAATGGGCCTCAGTTAAAAACTACGCATGGTGATTCTAGTCTAAGGCAACTTTCGCAGAATCTCTTATATCAAGATGTCTAGTCTACATTTGTACCGAAATGTCCCTAAATCATCTGTAGTTTGATGTGTCAAAACAAAAATTTATCATTTCACCTCTACCCTTCAATCTGATTATTTTCTACTGGTTCCCATGTCTATGAAAAGTACCTATGTTCATCCAATTGCACAATCCAAAAACTTAGGTGTTGACATGATTCACCCCATGCCTAGCCTCACTCCTCCCCTACCCAAGCCATCACTAAATCTTATCCATTTTATCCATTAAATAGCTCTTGAACTTCTCTACTTTTTCTCATCTCCTCAACCACAACCTTAGTCCTTTTTATCTCTCAGAGAACCTAGGGTATGTAAAGAGCCCTAACATTTCTTCCATCATTCACTATGAATTCCTCTCTAATCCATTCCCTACAGGGAACTGAAGTATGTTTTCTGGGACATAAACATGATTATATAATCTACCAATTAAATCCTTCCAATGACTTTCTATCGCTCATAGGATGCAACTGAAACTCCTAAGCATGGACAACAATGCCTTGCATGGTCTAGTTTCTACCTACGCCTCCAGCCATCCTTAACTCCCTCCACACCTTTTAGTTTCTCTTACTTGCCTTGCACACTTTTATTCCATAGGACCTTTCCTCTCTGTCCGTTCCCTAGATTGTTCTTCCCTCTACCTTTCCTCTTATGAACTGTTATTCCTCCTTGCCATTTAGTTCAGTCTTCACTCCCCTTAGGAAATTCTTGCCTGAATCATTGAACTAGTTCATACTCTCTAAGTCGCATTTACATTTTCAACTGTTTAATGTGACTATTTAATCAATTTTTGTCTCTCCACAAGACTGTTAGCCAAAGTGAGAAGGGACTTCATCTGGTTTTGCTTTTCCACCATCTCAGGGCCAAGTGAGTATCTAGCATGTTGCAGAAGCTCAGTGTTTGTTGAATAAAGGAGCAAATGACCAAACTACAAACCTAGAGTACTGAACCGTTAGAACAACCTGCAGTTGTTGGATATCTCATGAAATAAGTGGAAGAAGGATGGATCTAATCATTTGAGCTGCGATTTTTTTCCAGAGCACTTATTTTTCTTAGCACACAAGTGACAATATCTTAGCCCACCGACTTCTTTCTGTTTTGGCACTCATCACTAACATGAATAAATCTGAATTATTGACCAAACCCTAACTATGCAAGTCTTTCATAGTAGCATTATATACTTTTTTTCTTTCAGGAAGTAATTTGTTTTTCTACTCAATTTAACTGAAAACAAATGAAGCACCTCTTGTGTACAGTCGTTATATCAGGTGTTGTGGCACTGTGCTTGTTCATTGTCAAAGTTTTGTTTTGTTTTTAGATGTATCCAAAACATCTCATCTTTTGCTTTGTACAGGTTTTTAAAAGCTGCAAAGATCAGAGTAGAGTAGTGACCCAAGAAGAGTACAAACACTTCTTTAATAAAATTATTAAAAACAGTGGTTTACTTTCTTAGCTGACACATAAATATATTTTTAAATACTTTTATTTTCCACAAATATAAGACAGAAGAAATGCTATCAGACATTCATGTTTCATAGATGGCCAAATATTTTTTTCTATAGTAAGTACACTTATTTTCTCTTTAGCATAACAGTTCATAAATACTAAGACAATTCATAAATTGGGTATGGTTAATTCAAATACTTTAGACACATTTTTAGTGAAAGATCTAATTCACTTGCAAACGAAGTTAAACATGAAATTGAAGTTGTTCCATTTATAATTATTTATAATATTTCCTACCATTTAATAAGTGTTTCCTATGTATTAGGTGCTTATCACTAATCTTCAAAACAACCTGTAAAATAAAATATTATATAAAATATAATTAGTCATATTTACAGAGGGGGAAATTATAGCTTGGAAATGCTAAAGACTAAACAGATGACTGGATGATTTCCAACATATAGTTAAAATAAGGTGATCATGATGAAGGGGTTTGAGATGACTGACTAGGTGTGGCTAGCACTCACCTTTTCCACAGAGAGGAACCAAAATGTAAGTAGATATTCACACTTCAACTAGATCGTCTAAGGGAGAACACTGGAATCCAACAGAGAAGTGAAGGGAAGCACTGAAAGCAAAGAGGGAAGCAATGCAGCCTGCTTGGCTGAGATTACTGGGAGCTAGGGCAAGCTTCTGGACACCAGCAAAGGGTAGGGGAGAGACACCACGATCAAGTGCATGTGAGCTAAGTGGGTCCCACTATCACCTTGTAGGCTGTGGAGCCTGGGCCGCCCCTCTTTCTCCATGTGGGCTCTTTGGCATGGTAGAGGCACCTCTGCTGCACACTAGAACATTGCCCCAGTAGCCTGAGAACTGCCTTCTGACCCCATCAGGGCTGGTACTTGTACCCATCACTGGGGTATCTACATATGGGCGTGCCCAACCCAACCCTATCCAGTTTTGCTCCTGATACCCACCTCAGTGGCAGAACATGGGACAGGGACTCCTGGGAGTTCCATAGCCCCACCCATCACCTGAGACAGCTCAGTATTTCTGGTTAATAAAGGTCAAGCATAAATCCCATTGCACTACCACAGCTGTCTCTCTTGCAAGAGCCACCTACTGGCCAGGAGGTCACCTGCACAGCCCATTATAACATCTGCTGGCATAACTGCATGGTGCTTGGGTGGGAGACAAGTTTTGTGAAACCTCAGCTACCAGCATGCCCCTAAACACCCCAGCTACTCAGCAGGCCCTGAGCTCACTGACCTACCTGCCACTACAACGGGCATTTAAGAAAGCTAGAAAGCTACCACACCAAGGGTATTCATAACCTAGGAAATCATAGAGTCTACACCATTCTTGCACTTTTGCCCCCACTCCCCCCACAATCAGGGCTGGTCCTTGTGTCTGCCATTGGGAGATCTGAGGACAAGTCTTCCTAGTCTAGCTCCAACTAACTTCACCCCCACTCTGGGGCTGAGAGTGGAGTCCAAGCCATTGGGCATCCCACAGACCAGCCCACTGCCTAAGGTACCAGAGAGTTTCCTCCTCTACTGGCCTGGAGGTTGACCTGCACAACTCCATACAAAATCTGCTGACACAAATGCATAGCACTTGGGAACAAGATAAGCCTCTTGAGACTTCCACCAACCCAGCTCTGCAGGAGACTATGAGCCTGCACACATGCAGAGTATATCCCAACTACAACCAGCATTTGAAGAAAGTGACCACACTGAGGCTATCTATAACCAAGGAACTTATACGATACTTTGCCACCAAAAGCACCCTTAGAACCAAGGCCAAAAGACCCTAAACAACATATATTATAGTCACATCCTAAAAAGGAAGAAAAAAGTTGTATCCAAATGAAATTAAATTCCAAAATAAGAAATAGTATATGCATATGATTAGGAACCAAAGACATAATTCTGAAAGTATGAAAAAGTGTTACAACACCCCAAAGGACCACACTAACTCTCTAGTAGTAGGTCCTAATCAAAATAAAATTCTTGTAATATCAGATAAAGAATTCAAAATGTTGATTTTCAAAAAGCTCAATGAGATCCAAGAGAAAGTTGGAAACCAACACAAAGAAATCAAAAGAACAACTTAGAACATGAAGGAAAAATATATCAATGAGATAGATAGATATATTTAAAACCCCAGAACTTCTAGAAATGAAAAATTCATTGAAGGAAATACAAAATACAGTTGAAAGTTTTAACAATAGACTAGAACAAGCAGAAGAAAGAATCTCAGAGTCTGAAGGCAGGTCTTTTGAATTAACCCAGTCAAACAAATATAAAGAAAAAAAGAATTTGTTAAAATGAACAAAGACTTCAAGTAGCATGGGATTATGTAAAATGTTCAAATCTAGGAGTCAGAGGTATTCCTGAGGGAGAAGAAAAACTAGAGTTCGTAAAACCTATCTGAGAAAATAGTTGAGGAAAACTTCCCAAGTCTTGCTAGAGATTTAGACATCCAGATCTAAGAGGCTCAAAGAACTTCAGGAAAATATATTGAAAGAAGTACTTAAGCAAGACATACAATCATCAGCCTAAAGTCAGCAAGAGAAAAGCATCTAATTGCCTATAAAGGAAACTCTATCAGACTAACACTGGACTTCTAAGCAGACACTTTATGAGGTAGAAGAGATTAGGGTCTTATTTCCATAATTCTTAAAGAAAAAAACTGTCCACCATGAATGTTGCATTCTGCTAAACTAGGCTTCACAAATGAAGGAGAAGTAAAGTCTTTCCCAGACGAGTAAATGCTAAAGAAACTCATCACCACCAGACTGGTCCTAGAAGAAATGCACAAAAGAAATCTAAACATTGAAATTAAAGGTCAATACCCACCATTATAAAAAGAACATAAAAGTATAAAACAAGTCTTTTTTTTTTTTTTTTTTTTTTTTTTTTTTTGAGACGGAGTCTCGCTCTGTCGCCCAGGCTGGAGTGCAGTGGCGGGATCTCGGCTCACTGCAAGCTCCGCCTCCCGGGTTCACACCATTCTCCTGCCTCAGCCTCCCAAGTAGCTGGGACTACAGGCGCCCGCCACTACGCCCGGCTAATTTTTTGTATTTTTAGTAGAGACGGGGTTTCACCGTTTTAGCCGGGATGGTCTCGATCTCCTGACCTCGTGATCCGCCCGCCTCGGCCTCCCAAAGTGCTGGGATTACAGGCGTGAGCCACCGCGCCCGGCCAAAACAAGTCTTATAAAGCAATTGCATAAATGAGACTATAAAACAACTAGGTAACAATTAACATTATGACAGGAACAAAACCTTACATATCAATATTAGCTTTGAATCTCAGCACTTTGGAAGGCCAAGGTAGGAGAACTGCTTGAGGCCAGGAGTTCAAGACCAGCCTGGGCAATATAGTGAGACTGCATCTCTACAAAAATAAATTGTTTTTAATTAGCCAGATATGGTAGCACACACCTGTCCCAGCTAATCAGAAAGCTGAGGCAGAAAGACTGCTTAAGCCTAGAGGTTTGAGGTTACATTGATCTGAGATTTGTGCCTCTGTACTATATCCTGGGCAACAGAGCAAGACCCAGTCTCAAAAACAACCAACCAAAAAACAAAGAGACAACTTTTAGAACGGAAGAACATATTTGCAAAGTATGCATCTGACAAAGGACTAATATCCAGAATCTACAAGGAATTCAAACAACTCAGCAGGAAAAAAACAACCCCATTAACAAAAATGAGCAAAGGACATGAACATATATTTTGCAAATGAAGACATACAAATGGCCAACAAACATGAAAAGATGCTTAACATCACCAATCATCAGAGAAATGCAAATTAAAACCACAATGAGATACCATCTTACACCAGTAAGAATGATTATTATTAAAAAGTCAACAAATAACAGATGTTGTCGAGGATGCAGAGAAAAGGAAACATGTATACACTACTGGTGGAAATGTAAAGTAGTACAACCTCTATGGAAAAGAGTATGGGGATTTTTCAAAGAACTAAAAATAGATCTACCGTTTGATCCAGCAATCCCACTTCTGCGTACCTTCCCAAATAAAAAGGAATCATTATATCAAAAGGGTATCTGCACTCGTGTTTATTGCAGCACTATTCACAATAGGAAAGATATGGAGTCAACCTAAGTATACATCAATAGTTGACTAGATAAAGAAAATGCAGTGTGTGTATATATGTATGTGCAGTGTGTGTACATATGTATGTGTAAAGTGTATATATGTGAGTATACACACACACACACACACACACACACACAGACACAAACTCAGCCATAAAAGAAGAATTAAATTATGTCTTTTGTGGCAACATAGATGGAACTGTAGGCCCTTATCATAAGTGAAATAACTCAGAAACAGAAAGTCAGATTCTCACTTATAAGCGGAAGCTAAATAATGTGTACGCATGGACATAGGGAGTGGAATAATAGACACTGGAGACTGAGAAATGTGGGAAGGTGGAACAGGGATAAGGGATGAGAAAATACCTAATGGGTACAATGTACACCAGGGGTCCTCAACACCCAGACCATGGACCCATACCAGTCCGTGGCCTCTTAGGAACTGGGCCACACAGCAGGAGGTGAGCAGCATTACCTCCTGTCATATCAATGAGGGAATTAGATTCTCCTAGGAGCACAAACCCTATCGTGAACTGTGCATGGAAGGGACCTAGGTTGTGCACTCCTTATAAGAATCTAACTAATGCCTAATGTTCTAAGATAGAACAGTTTCATCCTCAAACCACATCCTTTCACTGTCCATGGAAAAACTGTGTTCCACAAACCCAGTCACTGGTGCCAAAAAGTTTGAGGACCGCTGATGTACACTATTCAGGTGATGGTTACGCTAATAGCCCAGGCTTTATCACTACATAAGATATCCGTGTTAACAAAACTTCACTTTACCCCTTAAATCTGTAAAATAAAATTAAAAAAATAATAAGGTAGCATAGCTATAGCAGGCACCATAAGGTTATTCATTTCATTGATCAACAAACTTTTAGCACGTATCTGCTATGTAGTATGTGCTAGACCTTGTGACATAAGAGTGAGCAAGAGAGACATGATACTTGGCCTTCATCATTGAAATTACTTAGTATATTTTATTAAAATCCACTAAGAGGAAGAAATCGGTGTTGCAATTTAAAAGGGAAATCCCAAGACCTTGATTCTTTAACCTGCTGCTTTCTAGCATTCCGGAGGTTAGAAAAGTCTTTTTTATATTCTAGACGTGCTCCTCTTCATGATCTATCAATGTAAACAGAGGTCATGTCTTTTTCTGAGAACTTCAAACAATCAGAAAACATCCCCACACTCAGGACATTCCTATGAGAAGTAGTAAAGTAGAATTTGGCACCCAAACACTCATCACAATTTCTTGAGTTGCATCCTTGGCATGAGGGCACCAAATTTTATGTGTTACTAGAAGGTCATTTCAACAGTCAGAAATTGATGATTTGTAATGCAACCAACTCAACATGCAGCTCTTGGGAAAAAAAGGTTTCTCTTGGGAAGAGAATTTAAAATGACTCTTTATTTTTTTAGGACTCAATGATTATATGAAGTAACAAGATAAAAATGTACATTTCTTGGACAGTTAGGAAACTGAAATATTTGGGTTGGCAACAGAAAGTTACAAGTAAATCAAAGGCACTATAGCTTCCGTCAGCTAGTGGCCAATTACTATGGGAAAGAAATTTCACAAGCTCGACTATGACCACTCCACCTTTAAAACTCTATTAGACACTCAGTTGTAGAACAACTTTTGTGAAAGCCAGTGTGTAGTTCATTTATTTAGGTACTCTTACTTCTTCTTAATGCAACACATACATGCATAGTTCCTTCAATGGAAAACCAAGACTTCTAACTGCTCCCAGAAATAGACAGTGACCTTAACGGGGAAAGTAAACCATTCCAGAACTGATGTAAATATTCCAAAAGTTAAAGTTCTAATCTAAAAATTTCTACCCCAAATATACAGAGAATATATAAATATAGTGGCACTACTTTCATTTTTTTTACAAAAGTCATATTTTGGGAATATTATCACAAGTTTTTTTAAATCAATGTTGTGATGGTTAATACTGAATGTCAACTTGATTGGATTGAAGGATGCAAAGTATTGATCCTAGGTGTGTCTGTGAGGGTGTTACCAAAGGAGATTAATATTTGAGTCAGTGGGCTGGGAAAGGCAGACCCATACTTAATCTGGGTGGGTACCACCTAATCAGCTGCCGGCACAGCTAGAATATAAAGCAGGCAAAAAAAAAAAAAAAAAAAAAATGTGTAAAGACTAAACTGGCTTAGCCTCCCAGCCTACATCTTTCTCCCGTACTGGATGCTTCCTGCCCTTGAACATCAAACTCCAAGTTCTCTTTTTTTTCTTTTTTTTTCTTTTTTTTCTTTTTTGGACTCCAAGTTCTTCAGCTTTGGGACTCAGACTGGCTTCCTTACTCCTCAGCTTGCAGATGGCCTATTGTGAGATCTTGTGATTGTATGAGTTAATACTCCTTAATAAACTCACATATATATATATATATAATCTATCCTCTTAGTTCTGTCCCTCTAGAGAACCCTGACAAATACAAATGTACTGTATACATTCAATAAAACTTAGCTAAATTCATAATTGGGGCCTGAGAGCGTAGCTGCATTACAGACTTGTTAGGATGTTCTTGCTATTTTCAACAAGATTTTTTAAAAGTTTTTTTTTCCTTTTAGAAGGTGAAAAACAAAATGGCAAAAGAATCTATCAAATAGAGATAAAACACTGGACAACTGAAACAAATCGTAACATTTCCCAGAGCTGTGTACTTATCAAGAAGTTTTCCAGAAAACAAGTAACAGCATCGGCAGTGAAAAATTAATGCCATTAAAGTCAGAAATTATTAGCATTTGGAATACATGGGAATAACATATCTAAATCCAGTTAATGCCTCAACTTTCTGATAGTTCTTAGTAAAAATTCAACTCACTGGTTCTGAACTGTGAGTCGTTTTTTAGGTCTTCATATAGTTCATCTGCATATGGCATTCCAGTATTCTCAACTAAGCGGTATGACTTTTACCTCCAAGGGAAGTATATCAGAATCTCCCTGGAGGCATATATTATTTGAAAAATGTCCCCTGAAAACCCTGGGTGACTCTTTAAATGCCTCCCATCTCCTGTTTTAAAAAAATGAATTTAAATATTTGATATCAATTGTCTATTGACATTAATCAGCATTTTAAATCTTAGTTAAAACAATTCAACGATTTAGACACTTCCATATTAAGGTAACTATGATAGGCAGAATAATGGCCTCCCAAAGATGTCCACATCCTAACCCCTAGAACCTATGAATATGTAACTTTATATGGCAAAAGGGACTTTGCCAATATGATTAAATTCAGGATCTTGAGATGAGGAGATTATCCTGGATTATTCAGATGGGACCAAAGTAATCACAAGAGACCTTACAAGAGGGAGGCAAGAAAGTCGAGTCACAGAAGATTTAACAATAGTAGCAGAAGCCAGCATGAAGCAAGGAAGGAACCAAGAACCAAGGAATGCAAGTTACATCTAAAAGCTGGGAAAGGCAAGGACATGGATTTACCCCTCCAGCCTCCAGATGGTAAGCATCCCTTTTGGTACTTTGATATTTGACCCTCTGTCCTTTAGAACTGTAATATAATAAGTTAGTATTGTTTAAAGCCTCTAAATTCATGGTAATTTATTACAGCAATAATAGAAAACTAATATAGTACCACTATGTCAAGAACTGTAAAATCTATCAGAGCCATGCTAGAATTAACTTTGACTGTAGTAACCTAAATGTATCTACACAAAACCAAGAAAAAAGGTGTTGAAGCTGTAACTGTCTACAAGTTGTTTTTCCAATGAAATGCTGGCTCCTCCTATACACTAGATAGTTTATTCTTGAGCCTAGAGACTGAAAGCATTGCTATAAAACTGCATTATTAATCACAATTTGAAAATTGTTATAAAACAATATATTAATAATCACCCATTTTTAAAATCCCTTCATTTAAATAATTTTGGTATAGTTTGCTGTAACACATGGGGGTGATCGTAGACCTACCAGTAATTGGTAGATGATATCACAGCAGCCTCAACCGTGAAGTACCAATGTGAGGTACAGTCACAAGGAGGACCAAGAAGCGATTGTGAGCTAACTGGAAACTCCTCAGTAGGAACCATTCTGTCATTTCTATATCTTAGTAGGTAATAATCACTTTTAGAGCTTTAACTATGAAAAATCATATATGATAAATGTTATTCCTTAATCCATATAATGAATTTTAAAATTTTATTTTTACTTTTTTTTTAAAAATGCACAAAGAAGATTCTGGGGCTGAATAGAATCAAGTTTATTTTTTGATATTGTGTCTTTTTGGAGCTGAGATATTTAAATACCAAACATGATTAATTCAAACAGCTCCTGTCCTGGACATTCTGAGAAAACAATTTTCTACTAAAAAGATAATAGGAATAAGCCATCAATAAAAACTAGAAGGATGCTTTGAACAGTTTTCTTTACAGTTGTGAATGATTTATGTCAGTCCATTAAAACCTTATATTTCACTTACCATAAGTCTGTGATTGGGAATACAGTTTGTGGCTAGAAAATTGATGAATGCTATGTGGTCCATTCAAGTACAAATAATTGTTGTTATTAGCATGGTGATGGCCCCTTACAAGGTAAGATAACCAATCTTATCACCACACTACCTTCAGAGTTATCCTTCTAAAATGACCTCTATATTCTTTTGAATATTTGTTATAGTTATTTATTCATGTCTTTTTCCTTTTCCAGACGGTGAGTTTCTTGAGGGCAAGATTTATTGTCTCATTTATCTCTATAATTTCATTGCTTGGAAGATAGTAGGCATTTGATGAATGTTAATTAAATTAATCCATCTACCCACCAGTACCTTCAATTTCCTGTTGGCCTACACCTGGGTGAAGCATATCCTGGAGCAAGTGACAGAAAAATCACCTATTGCAAGCTCAGAATTTACATGGGTTTGCTTAAGCTATTTAAGATTGTCCTACACATTTATAAGGTGTTAAAAATAATATCACCCAGTTTGAATATATGAAGAAATCATGACTGATTTAATATTTCTGAGTACTTCTGTTTGTTTGTTTGTTTGTTTATTTTTGAGATGGAGTTGCTCTGTTGCCCAGGCTGGAATGCAGTGGCACAATCTCGGCTCACTGCAACCTCTGCCTCCTGGGTTCAAGTGATTCTCCTGCCTCCACCTCCTGAGTAGCTGGGACCACAGAAGCCTGCCACCGTGCCCAGCTAATTTTTTTGTATTTTTAGTAGAGACAGGATTTCACCATGTTGGTCTGGCTGGTCTCGAACTCCTGGCCTAAAGTGATCCACCCGCCTCGTCCTCCCAAAGAGCTGGGATTACAATTGTCAGCCGCCGTGCCCAGCCAAATTTTTTATGTAAGTAGAATAATTTAGTTTTCAGTGTAACCCACATCACTCTACAATGTTCATGGTCAATTAACATAAACTTTTCTACTTCCTTTCAACCTAAAAATATTTCTGAAACTTACCATACTTTCCTTCCAGTTTATTTTATTCACATAACAGCAAATATTTATTGAGGGCCTACTATGTACCAGACACTGTAAGAGGCATGAACAAACTAGTTATCTCTGTTCTCAAGTGTACCGAGAAAGATAAACATGAAAACGAGCTGTGCATTTCAATGTGAAATGTAGGTAGTAAGGGAGCCCACAGTAGGAAGCTCTGACACCTAGGAGTCTACAGATTTAAGTCTAAGCTGAATCCAAAGTATGAGTAGGAAATTTTTAGGTACAACAGTTCCACATCAATAAAGTTAGAGGCCTGGAAGTGAAGAAAAAAAATAAGTTTGGAAAAGTATAAATAGAATAATATAGGAGGTGCACATTTTGTGACATGGGTAATGGAAATAAAGTATGCTTAACCTTATATACACCATTAGTCTCTCATAAATAAACAAATAAATAAATAAATAAGCTAAGGCTTATATGTCATGCTAAGGACTCTTGGAAGAAAAAGTTAATCATAACCTCCAGTTTCCTCTCAACCCAGGGCAGTATCACTCTGGAGAGAACATCGGAGAATGTGTGTGGCATTTTTGGTTGGCATAATGGGGGATGCAATCAGCAATTAGTGCCTGGAGGCCAGGGATGCCAAACATCCTGCAATGCTTAGAGTCCTTCATAAGGAAAAATTGTTCCACCCAAAATGCCAACAAGGCCCCATTGAAAAACACTGCTCTAGGCCATGTGACATCAAACGTCTTTCCTCTCCACTTTTCCTTTGGTGCCTCATGATCTGGAGGCCCAGCAGTTAAACAAGGTGCCCATATGCAGAGAGAAAGAGTCACAACTGCATCTGTCTGACCTCAAAGCCCTGTTTCTTCTATTAGTCAGGATAAAGCAGTGATATGAAAACCAAGCATAAAAGACAATGTTTTAGAAAGAACAGAGCAGTGGTAGCATCACAGTCTAAGGAAAAGAGAAGAAAAATGAGACTGACAAAATCACTGTTTGCTTTGGCAACAAGCATGTTGTTGGCAACAGTTGGAGAATAGTAGCTTTATTACAAGGAATACAGGAAGGGTTGATTAGGAAGTGGAAATTTCGAAAGGTTAAATGGGTGCTTTCAATAAATTTAACAATGAAAAGATGCATATTTTAAAATAGTTTGAAGGGCTTGTTAGTTGTAGCAGCAAGTTTTTGTTCTCACTGTTTTTGGTTTGGTCAGGACACTATTTCTTTGCACTAAGTAGGGTGTGTGTCTGTGTGTTTCACAAATGACAGGACAGACTGTTTGCAAGTGACAGCCAAGACTGATTGAAGGAGAGTGTCTCAGAGGAATGGAACAGGAACAGATCTTCTGGGAAGGTAGGCTCTGACAAACACTCAAGTACTGAAGCTCTTTTAAACAGATTTAGGCAGTATCTATAGTTGTTAGCAGTTTCAGCCCAGAGATAGGGGGAAAAAATAGAGTTAATGACTGCACCAGTAAGTGGTAAACTTTGAGATTATCTCTGACACTAGCAGAGAGGCTCTTTGCCTGAGCCCACAGTATCTAAGAGATAATAAAACTGGCTCTGAAAACAGCTAAGGCAGAGGCACTAGAAAGATCATCACAAGGTACATCTAATGTAATCACAGCAACCACAATCACAGAAATGGCCTTCACTGAGAAATGTGGTAGAGAAAGTATCATTCTTCATTCATATGTCATATGTCATATGTCATTCATCAGGTTGTTACCACAATCTGTGGCATAATTTAGATAAAATTTATGATCCTATTTTTGTTGCATAACATTTACAACGATATTTCTGACATACAAAGTCACGAAGTGATCAATGTGTGTGATATGCTTTCTAATTAACATAATCAAACATTCTTCATTATATCACAGTGAGAATATGGTAATTAGGAGGCACATCAGTGTTACTTGAGCTATACTGAGGTATGAATACCATGTCATGTTAAACCTCCCTGAACCTACTTGCGCCAGGGTCTCTGTGATTCCTAGTGAGTGCTCACGAACCACCTGAAACTTGACAAGCTACACACAACTCACTACTTCCTCACACCACCTCCCTTCCATCCTTGTTCCTTCTCTTAACAGAAAATCCATTCACCCAACTGCCAAAGCTAGGAACATAAAATAGATGTCTGTCGAGTCACATTAATACTCAATAAGGTACCATTGTTTATGACTACTTTTTTATTGCTTTATAGATTTCAGTGGTGGAAAAGTAGTGACAAATACTACATGTGAATTTTAATTTTATAAAAATAATGTACAAGTCTTTGGGAATTTTAATAAAAACAAATGTAGTTAAAATGTTTTTATTTCTTTATCTCAAAATGCTTATAAAACTTTACCTTATTTTGTAATTTCTCAGAAAACCTTGGGTTAGTCAAATGTTTTGAATTTGTTACTTTATTACATAGGTATTAGAAGGCAAATAATGATCAAATTCCCGTGATTCCTTCAAACTAAGTATGGAACATTTTTACTGAATAAATTAAACTCTTCTTTCTGAATATAATTTTGAAAAAAAAATCCATTAAAAAGAAAAACTGCACTTGGGGACAACCTCATGTCCTCACAAAATGAAACAAAACCTCTGTTCTTCTAAGAGCACACGTGGACACACCAAGGTACAGCTCAAGCGAGCTCAGGAAATGTTTCAGTGATATTCCATTATCCCTTGAGACACTTAACTTCAGCTCATGAAAATGCCAGTGTCTAAGGGATGAAAATTACAATGGCTTCCTGTAAAAACCCCCTCTAGGCTATGGGGCTAATTTAAACGACATGGCAAAACTCCAACCAAACCTCATGCATAGGTTAAAATGTCTATTATTTAAAAGCTGATCTCTGCATTTATCTGTCAACAGTACATCTTTTCCATTTCAAGTTCCACATGTTTTACATGTTCCACAAAAATAAAAAGAAACTATAATGTATTCTAATGTAATATTAATTTTTACTATCTCTCAGTTTTCTTGTTTTCTTTGTAAGAAGGAGAAGGTTGGGCATAACACCTTACATATGTATGTACAGATGTGTTGAACTGACAATTTTATAATGCCACTTAAATAAATGCATAAATGAAGCTATGTCCTCTTTGTGTCGGTTGCACTGGCATAAGAGAAATGCCAGAACTTTCAAATAATCCTTGAAGTATTTCAAAACCAAAAATCAGAATAGAAGATAATAGCATACATTTCAAACTCACCAAACTATTAGCCTAAAATAAATGTAATTTAATTTGCTGGGTCATGAGCTGCAGGAGACAGCAAGCTAAAGTGATTTTTAATTTAGACAGACCTGCTACTGCCTGGGTATCAGTATTTGGGGATGGATGGGTGGAAGATAAAGATTTGGTATATATTTACTCAAGCATACATTCTGAATCTAAGCAACTGGGCCTCAATTATAGCTATCACCTACCTGATTTTTGACCTTTATTAAGTTATCTGACCTCTCTGAGCTTTACCTTAGTATCTGTAATATGGTAAAAATAAATATAGAAATATAGAAAAAATGTATCATAAAAATGGGAAAATAAATAAAACTGCCTCATAGAATTACACAACGGATGTTAGTTTGCTTCCTTCTCTCATTTCCAGCATTTGCTCTTTATACCCTGAGATACACAGGTAAAATACATTCTAGCACTTTGTTAACTTAACTCAAGATTTCAGTCATAAAGAGCATAAGGACTTGCTGGAAGATGGGGAGCCAGAAAATGACAATGAAAGTGCTAAGGATTTTTATGATTTTCTCTCTTCCTTGTTCCCACACTGGTGACTTCCTTTCCAACATACTTCCCTGTTAGCTCTCAGACAACAGGCAGTGTGGATTTTGCACTCTTAGCATGCCATGAGCTTCAGTCAACTGGCGTATCTGGGCACTGGGTGTGCTTCTGCCAATCTTTCCAGACTCTGATTGAGTATGGCATGCGCCTGCTGATTCCCACTCTCCCAGCCCAGAGTAAAAGACCAAGCCAAGCTAGAGTTTAAAGCAGCTTATGAAGGGCATTCTCTGCCACCATCAACCCCAGCCTTAATCTAATTCTTCTCATTCCTGATACAGAGGGTATCCCAGAAGGTAAATATTTTCTGTCTGCCTTTCAGGCCAATTGTTCATTAAAACACACGTGCATGCACACACACACACACACACACACACACACACACACACATACATCATGGCGCTTCATACAATTTTCTCTTTCTCACTCTGACATACACAAATGCACACATATAAACACATTCACCTCATAGGTTCAAATTTAAAGGAACATATTCTAGCTTATTAAATTACATTAAAATAGAGAAAAATAAAGAGAAAATGGTGAAAAACAAAGTTATCTCATGTTAACAGAAGTAAGGCAAAAAAGCATGTCCCATCATTGCACATTTAATTTTTAACAAGCATGGGAGGTGAAAAGTCTCCCTATGAAATGTTGGCAAACGTAGCATTGGGGTGACACATAGTATACGATATGATGACACTAACCACAGATGGGAAATTAGACCACTAGTATGCCCAAAACCTAGAGACTGGGGAAAATGCAACAGTTTTAATTTGGTTCTGCCATATTTGATTTATGTAAAAGTTTCGTGTTGGCTTTATATCTGGAAATGTGTTCTTCTTCAAATAGTTTTAACATTAATAATTTGCAGACTGAAATTTGTGGTTAAATACATTTTTAAGAGGGCATTTGCAGCTAGTAAAGGTTTGCACAGTGATCCATTGCAACTGCTGGGCCCAGTCTAAACCATAGGACAGATTTCCAAGGAAATCAAAGAAAGCCAAGATGCTAGAGAACTCCAGATGAGACAACGAAGCCCAGATGCCAATTTGAATCCAAAGCTTAGCCTCCCTTTGCCTATATGTATTTTCATCCCAAAACAAAATCAGGTTTCTTATTGGCCAAATAATGAGCTCCCTGCAAAGACATAAATGACAGAAGAAAAGGATAATCAACATTAATGGGAAAACAAGAAGGTTAAATATGCATGCAGAGAGAACATGGAAGACTATGTACTGTGTAAATGTAAGTTCCAAACACTGTTTTCTGCATTTCCATGGAAAAACCTCATGTTAGGGAAAATGATTTCTGGGCCTTCGATTTGGAAACTAAAAGAGGCCTCCTTGGAGCTTGATAAATAACAACATCATCATGATGTTATAAAATCACAATGCATTCTTCTTCTAAAATATCTCACAATGTCTTACAGACATCTTTTTGTTAATCTCTATTCCCTGAGATATACATGCAGTATTTTACTGATTATGGATCTCAGTCATACAAAGAATAATGATTTGCCAGTGATAGCTGATAAGCAGAGACAAGATTAGGTACCAGGTCACCCAATTTATATAACAGACCTCTATCCAGTAGTTAATGTCATTTCGAAGTAGAGTAAGTTCATGACAAAATCACTCAAAGTCCCCTAAGCGAGCAGCATGATATATGTGTTTTTAAAATATCCCACTAAAGAAAATGACTATTTCCCAGAACTGTCCTGGGATTTGTTCATGTCAATGACATGTTTGATTTTTAAAGACAGAGAGTCTGCTATCAGCCACAAACAGGATCACATTACATTTGTTACACTGAAGAAAAATGTTTCCTATTTGGCCTTCAAAACAGAATTGCTGGAGTTCTGGGACAAGATGGCAGAACGAAGCCAAATTTGATTTCAAAACATATGTCTGCTTTGAGAAATATATATAAAACATGGGTGAAGAGAAGGATGCTGAATTATTCAAACAATTTTCAATATTTTGTCTGTTATGAATTGGACTTCCAGGGAAAATTAGCAGTTTGAAACTGAGCACAGACTCTTCCTTCCCACAAGCCTAACAAATGAACAAAATAGATTAAAACTGACCAAGAAAAATATAGCAATCAAATTAAGGACGAGGCACAATTTTAATGTCACTTTCTTTTTAAGAAATGGTCACCAGAGAAGAGAAAGTGAAGATTCTAGAAAGTGTACAGTTATCTCAAACACATCCTACTCCTACATACACCAGAGAAGTCAGGAAGAGAGGTGAATGGACAAAATCCCAAATTTTCCACTAATGTCATCAATTTACTTTAAGAAGCAGCCTGGGCAATACCTATCTACCTATTTCCAAGCAACTGTATTCTCAGATATTTATCCAAGAGAAATGAAAACACACCCCCAAAAAGATTTGTACAAGAATGTCCATATTCCCAAAGCCAGAAGCAGTCAAAATGTTCATTAACATGAAGATAGATAAACAAGCTATGGTATATTTATACAATGGAATATTAATTAGTAATTAAAAAGAAATTGTTACATGCAAAACATTGAAGTGAGTGAAAAAAGTCAGGAACAAATGAGTACATACTCTATGATTCCACTTATATGCAAAATGTATCCACGACAGATATCAGAACAATGGCTGCCTACATGTTGGTAGGATTGGCAGAGAAGGGGCATAAAAGGAACATTCTGGGCTTACATGGTAGACGCATTTGTCAAATTCATCAAAACATACACTTAAGATCTGTACATGTTACAATATGTAATTGATACCATGATTAGTTTTTTAAGATACAAAATAAATAAAGACAAGAAGTAGACTGAGAGAATAAGCAGACAATGCAAGGGAAGGATGTAGAAACCCCCCAATAAATAGGCCTCCCTACCATGACAGTGTGTCACAGGTTCAGAAATTTCCACCAAGTCTGTCTAGCTCATGTTTACCTGCCTAGGAAGAAAGCTAAGATGAAAAAGCACAACTATCAAAACCAACCCACTTAATTTCCAGCAATAAAAAGGCAAAAAAAAAAGAGAAAAGTGGGGGCGGTTCCAAGATGGCCGAACAGGAACAGCTCCAGTCGACAGCTCCCAGCATGAGCGACGCAGAAGACGGGTGATTTCTGCATTTCCAACTGGAGGTACCAGGTTCATATCACTGGGGCTTGTCGGACAGTGGGTACAGGACAGTGGGTGCAGCCCACCAAACGTGAGCCAAGGCAGAGTGAGGCATTGCCTCACCCGGGAAGTGCAAGGGGTCAGAAATTCCCTTTCCTAGCCAAGGGAAGCTGTGACAGATGGCAACTGGAAAATTGGGTCACTCCCATCCTAATACTGCGCTTTTCCAATGGTCTTAGCAAACAGCACACCAGGAGATTACATCCTGTGCCTGGCTTGGAGGGTCCCACGCCCACAGAGCCTTGCTCATTGCTAGCACAGCAGTCTGAGATCAAACTGCAAGGTGGCAGCGAGGCGGGGGGAGGGGCGACCGCCATTGCTGAGGCTTGAATAGGTAAACAAAGCAGACTGGAAGCTCGAACTGGGAACTGGGTGGAGCCCACCGCAGCTAAAGGAGGCTGCCTGCCTCTGTAGACTCTACCTCTGGGGGCAGGGCATAGCTGAACAAAAGACAGCAGAAACCTCTGCAGACTTAAAAGTCCGTGGCTAACAGCTTTGAAGACGGTACAGTGGTTCTCCCAGCATGGAGTTTGAGATCTGAGAACGGTCAGACTGCCTCCTCAAGTGGGTCCCTGACCCCCGAGTAGCCTAACTGGGAGGCATCACCCAGTAGGGGCAGACTGACACCTCACATGGCCGGGTACCCCTCTGAGACGAAGCTTCCAGAGGAATGATCAGGCATCAACATTTGCTGTTCAGCAATATTTGCTGTTTTGCAGCCTCCACTGCTGATACCCAGGCAAACAGGGTCTGGAGTGGACCTCCAGCAAACTCCAACAGACCTGCAGTTGAGGGTCCTGACTGTTAGAAGGAAAACTAACAAACAGAAAGGACATCCACACCAAAACCCCATCCGTACGTCACCATCATCAAAGACCAAAGGTAGATAAAACCACAAAGGGGGGAAAAAACAGAGCAGAAAAACTGAAAATTCTAAAAATCAGAGCACCTCTCCCCCTCCAAAGAAACGTAGCTCCTCACCAGCAACAAAACAAAGCTGGATGGAGAATGACTTTGATAAGTTGAGAGAAGAAGGCTTCAAATGATCAAACTTCTCCAAGCTAAAGGACGAACTTTGAACCCATCGCAAAGAAGCTAAAAACCTTGATAAAAGATTAGATGAATGGGTAACTAGAATAAGCAGTGTAGACAAGTCCTTAAATGACCTGATGGAGCTGAAAACCATGGCACAAGAACTACGTGACGAATGCACAAGCTTCAGTAGCCGATTCGATGAACTGGAAAAAAGGATATCAGTGATTGAAGATCAAATGAATGAAATGAATCAAGAAGAGAAGTTTAGAGAAAAAAGAGTAAAAATAAACGAACAAAGTCTCCAGGAAATATGGGACTATATGAAAAGACCAAATGTGCGTCTGATTGGTGTACCTGAAAGCAATGGGGAGAATGGAACCAAGTTGGAAAACACTCTGCAGGATATTATCCAGGAGAACTTCCCCAACCTAGCAAAGCAGACCAACATTCAAATTCAGGAAATACAGAGAACGCCACAAAGATACTCCTCAAGAAGAGCAACTCCAAGACACATAATTGTCAGATTCACCAAGGTTGAAATGAAGGAAAAAATGTTAAGGGCACCCAGAGACAAAGGTGGGATTACCCACAAAGGGAAGCCCATCAGACTAACAGCGGATCTCTCAGCAGAAACTCTACAAGCCAGAAGAGAGTGGGGCCAATATTCAACATTCTTAAAGAAAAGAATTTTCAACCCAGAATTTCATATCCAGCCAAACTAAGCTTCATAAGTGAAGGAGAAATTAAATACTTTACAGACAAGCAAATGCTGAGAGATTTTGTCACCACCAGGCCTGCCCTAAAAGAGCTCCTGAAGGAAGCACTAAACATGGAAAGAAACAACTGATACCAACCACTGCAAAGACATGCCAAACTGTAAAGACCATCAAGGCTAGGAAGAATCTGCATCAACTAATGAGCAAAATAACCAGCTAACATCATAAAGACAGGATCACATTCACACATAACAATATTAACCTTAAATGTAAATGGGCTAAATGCTCCATTTAAAAGACACAGATGGGCAAATTGGATAAAGAGTCAAGACCCATCAGTGTGCTGTATTCAGGAGACCCATCTCACGTGCAGAGAAACACATAGGCTCAAAATAAAGGGATGGAGGAAGATCTACCAAGCAAATGGAAAACAAAAAAAGGCAGAGGTTGCAATCCTAGTCTCTGATAAAACAGACTTTAAACCAACAAAGATCAAAAGAGACAAAGAAGGCCATTACATAATGGTAAAGGGATCAATTCAACAAGAAGAGCTAACTATCCTAAATATATATGCACCCAATACATGAGCACCCAGATTCATAAAACAAGTCCTTAGAGACCTACAAAGAGACTTAGACTCCCACACAATAATAATGGGAGACTTTAACACCCCACTGTCAACATTAGACATCTACAAGACAGAAAGTTAACAAGGATATCCAGGAATTGAATTCGGCTCTGCACCAAGCAGACCTAATAGACATCTACAGAACTCTCCACCCCAAATCAACAGAACATACATGCTTCTCAGCACCACATCGCACTTATTCCAAAATTGACCACATAGTTGGAAGAAAAGCACTATACGGCAAATGTAAAAGAACGGAAAGTATAATAAACTGTCTCTCAGACCACAGTGCAATCAAATAAGAACTCAGGATTAAGAAACTCACTCAAAATGGCTCAACTACATGGAAACTGAACAACCTGTTCCTGAATGACCACTGGGTACATAACGAAATGAAGGCAGAAATAAATATGTTCTTTGAAACCAATGAGAACAAAGACACAACATACCAGAATTGCCAGGACACATTTAAAGCAGTGTGTAGAGGGAAATTCGTACCACTAAATGCCCACAAGAGAAAGCAGGAAAGATCTAAAATTGACACCTTAACATTACAATTAAAAGAACTAGACAAGTAAGAGCAAAACATTCAAAAGCTAAAGGAAGGCAGGAAATAACTAAGATTAGAGCAGAACTGAAGGAGATAGAGACACAAAAAAACCTTCAAAAAATTAATCAATCTAGGAGCTGGTTTTTTGAAAGGATCAACAAAACTGATAGACTGCTAGCAAGACTAATAAAGAAGAAAAGAGAGAAGAATCAAATAGATGCAATAAAAAATGATAAAGGGGATATCACCACCGATTGCACAGAAATACAAACTACCATCAGAGAATACTATAAACACCTCTATGCAAATAAACTAGAAAATCTAGAAGAAATGGATACATTCCTGGACACATACAACTTCCCAAGACTAAACCAGGAAGAAGTTGAATCTCTGAATAGACCAATAACAGGCTCTGAAATTGAGGCAATAATTAATAGCCTATCAACCAAAAAAAGTCCAGGACCAGGTGGATTCACAGCTGAATTCTACCAGAGGTACAACGAGGAGCTGGTACCATTCCTTCTGAAACTATTCCAATCAATAGAAAAAGAGGGAATCCTCCCTAACTCATTTTATGAGGCCAGCATCATCCTGATACCAAAGCCTGGCAGAGACACAACAAAAAAAGAGAATTTTAGACCAATATCCTTGATCAACATCGATGCAAAAATCCTCAATAAAATACTGGCAAACCGAATCCAGCAGCACATCAAAAAGCTTATCCACCACAATCAAGTGGGCTTCATCCCTGTGATGCAAGGCTGGTTCAACATACAAAAATAAATAAACGTAATCCAGCATATAAACAGAACCAAAGACAAAAACCACATGATTATCTCAATAGATGCAGAAAAGGCCTTCGACAAAATTCATCAGCCCTTCATGCTAAAAACTCTCAATAAATTAGGTATTGATGGGATGTACATCAAAATAATAAGAGCTATTTATGACAAACCCACAGCCAATATCATACTGAATGGGCAAAAACTGGAAGCATTCCCTTTGAAAACTGGCACAAGACAGGGATGCCCTCTCTCACCTCTCCTATTCAACATAGTGTTGGAAGTTCTGGCCAGGGCAATTAGGCAGGAGAAAGACATAAAGGACATTCAATTAGGAAAAGAGGAAGTCAAATTGTCCCTGTTTGCAGATGACATGATTGTATATTTAGAAAACCCCATCATCTCAGCCCAAAATCTCCTTAAGCTGATAAGCAACTTCAGCAAAGTCTCAGGATACAAAATCAATGCACAAAAATCACAAGCATTCTTATACACCAATAACAGACAAACAGAGAGCCAAATCATGAGTGAACTCCCATTCACAATTGCTTCAAAGAGAATAAAATATCTAGGAATCCAACTTACAAGGGATGTGAAGGACCTCTTCAAGGAGAACTACAAACCTCTGCTCAATGAAATAAAAGAGGACACAAACAAATGGAAGAACATTCCATGCTCATGGATAGGAAGAATCAATATTGTGAAAATGGCCATATTGCCCAAGGTAATTTATACATTCAATGCCATCCCCATCAAGCTACCAATGACTTTCTTCACAGAATTGGAAAAAACTACTTTAAAGTTCATATGGAACCAAAAAAGAGCCTGCATTGCCAAGACAATCCTAAACCAAAAGAACAAAGCTGGAGGCATCACACTACCTGACTTCAAACTATACTACAAGGCTACAGTAACCAAAACAGCATGGTACTGGTATCAAAACAGAGATATAGGCCAATGGAACAGAACAGAGCTCTCAGTAATAATACCACACATCTATAGCCATCTGATCTTTGACAAACCTGACAAAAACAAGAAATGGGAAAAGGATTCTCTATTTAATAAATGGTCCTGGGAAAACTGGCTAGCCATATGTAGAAAGCTGAAACTGGATCCCTTCCTTACACCTTATACAAAAATTAATTCAAGATGGATTAAAGACTTAAATGTTAGACCTAAAACCATAAAAACTCTAGAAGAAAACTTAGGCAATACCATTCAGGACATAGGCGTGGGCAAGGACTTCATGTCTAAAACCCCAAAAGCAATGGCAACAAAAGCCAAAATTGACAAATGGGATCTAATTAAACTCAAGAGCTGCTGCACAGCAAAAGAAACTACCATCAGAGTGAACAGGCAACCTACAGAATGGGAGAAAATTTTTGCAATCTACTCATCTGACAAAGGGCTAATATCCAGAATCTACAAAGAACTCAAACAAATTTACAAGAAAAAAACAAACAACCCCACCAAAAAGTGGGCGAAGGATATGAACAGACACTTCTCAAAAGAAGACATTTATGCAACCAACAGACACATGAAAAAATGCTCATCATCACTGGCCATCAGAGAAATGCAAATCAAAACCACAATGAGATACCATCTCACACCAGTTGGAATGGCAGTCATTAAAAAGTCAGGAAACAACAGGTGCTGGAGAGGATGTGGAGAAATAGGAACACTTTTACACTGTTGGTGGCAGTGTAAACTAGTTCAACCATTGTGGAAGACAGTGTGGCAATTCCTCAAGGATCTAGAACTAGAAATACCATTTGACCCAGCCATCCCATTACTGGGTATATACCCAAAGGACTATAAATCATGCTGCTATAAAGACACATGCACACGTATGTGCATTACAGCACTATTCACAATAGCAAAGACTTGGAACCAACCCAAATGTCCATCAATGATAGATTGGATTAAGAAAATATGGCACATATACACCATGGAATACTATGCAGCCATAAAAAAGGATGAGTTCATGTCCTTTGTAGGGACATGGATGAAACTGGAAACCATCATTCTCAGCAAACTATCTCAAGGACGAAAAACCAAACACCGCATATTCTCACTCATAGGTGGGAATTGAACAATGAGAACACTTGGACACAGAAAGGGGAACACCACACACTGGGGACTGTTGTGGGGTGGGGGCGGGGGGAGGGATAGCATTAGGAGATATATCTAATGTAAATGACGAGTTAATGGGTGCAGCACACCAACATGGCGCATGTATACATATGTAACAAACCTGCATGTTGTGCACATGTACCCTAGAACTTAAAGTATAATTAAAAAAAAAAAAATGAAAGAGAAAATAAGACACAATTTTCCGAGGGAATGGGAAGCCTTCATAGAGAAACACACAGAGGGTATCTATGGATGTCCCCATACCTCTGTGAACTATATGTCATGTCCAAAATCCACAGTTTGTCCCTCACTGACTAAAAAGAGTCAGGAATCCCTCACTGACTAAGAGCTGCTGGGATTAATCAGGGCAAGTGAACACTTAGGGCTAATTATCTTTGAAAACAGTGAAGATTCTGGGAGTTCATCTTGACTCTGGAAGATCTGAAACTCAAGGGAGTAAGAAAGTTCCCCAATTAGGGGAGGAAACCCTAGCCCATTTTGTTTTCAATGGCCTTTAGGCAAACAGATTAGTCCATCCACTGCCATAGACAGCCACAGCCCCTTTCAAGTTCTGCTCTCCCCCGTAACCATAATGTCAGGACAAGAAAAGCATATTGAATGCCCAATATATCCAGTCCTGGAAAGGCAGTTAAGAGCATGGCAAATAGGCCTCAAAAAGGATGGAAGCAAGATTTCACTTAGACCATATCACAACCAGCTGGAGGATAATAGAGCTGCCTATGTCTAACATAAATAAGATGTAAAGAAACCACAGTGGGCCAGGTGCAGTGGCTCATGCCTGTAATCCCAGCAGGAAGCTGAGGCGGGCGGATCACCAGGTCGAGAGATCGAGACCATCCTTGCCAACATGGTGAAACACCGTCTCTACTAAAAATACAAAAATTAGCTGGGTGTGGTGGCGCATGCCTGTAGTCCCAGCTACTCAGGAGGTTGAGGCAGGAGAATCACTTGAAGCCAGGAGGCGGAGATGGTAGTGAGGCGAGATCGTGCCACTGCACTCCAGCCTGGCGACAGAGCGAGACTCCATCTCAGAAAAAAAAAAAAGAAAAAGAAAGCAAGCATAGTGCACCGCAGTTGTGCATACTGAGATCCCAATAATCCTACTTTAACATTGTGTCAAACATTTGAAATTGGAGATTGCTTTGTAGCAAGACTGTAAGATTCTGGAGACTGAGCTATTGAATGTATTGAATGATACCTTATAGAGGTATAAGAAGATAAAATGTTCTGCATTGATGCCTTCGAACAGGGGAAGATGGAGAGGAGACAGCACGAAATTTCCATCTACACTCTTCATTCTCATCTCTCCATGTCCTTATCACATAACTAGCCAGTGGAGAAAAGCAGAAAATAAGGATCAGAAAAGGCACTGGAACTTGTAGCACCTCCTGGGTATTGAAAATTATGCAAAATAAGACTATAATAATAAATATTGTCCTGTATGGATCTAGCGAATTCACTTTTACACTTGAACAGTAAGTCATAAGAGTAAGATCTGCTGCATAACTGCACTGTCTGTTGTATTTATGGTTTAATTGGCTATGAGCAAACCATACTTTCAAAGGCAATTCTATTCTTAACAATAAATAATATAACAAAATGTAATTCATCAAATGAAAGCAGCAATTACTGAAAGAAAATCTGTAAAGTCTTATAAAAAGTGAATATTCCAACAGGAAGGAGATCATAGAAACACAAACATCTGAAACAGGCAACCACTTATAGGGAAACATACATGCCATTCATATTATGCATTTTTATGTAATCATGCTTTCTGTTATCCCAGAATAAATGAAGCATCTGTGATGCTAAAAGCATATATATTTTTTCCACTCTCACAATGACCCTATTTATTTTACCAAGCTTTCAAAACAATTCATCCCCAGCAGAAACCTAATGAAGTAAGCTTCATCCTTAGGAATTTTTTTTTATTACAAGAAAGTCACAAGAATGTAATTACTAAAAAAGAGATTTGTATTTACTCCACATTACAATATGGCTATTTTCATTGACTAAAGACTGAACACACACACACACACACACACACACACACACACAACCCTATACAATTATTGTTAATACTTAAAGTTAATCACCACCTGATGGGCATGTTCCTCACTTACCCAGGAGAGGGAAAATTTAATGACAGAAACAAACATTCCACGCAAGGAGTGAAGATAGCATATGGTCCCTAAAAACAAGCTATCTAATTAAAATGCAGAAAGACATCTGTGCTCTCCAATTATTAAGTGCACAAGAGAGACAATTTAAAGGTTCATAAAAATCTCTAAGAAAACTGGAGTTTACAAAAAATTCAAATATGAAAATAATAAACTAGATCTAATAAAAATAAATAGGAAATAAATAAAATAGGAAATATCAATAAATAAATAGGAAATACCAATGGCTTATCACCTAGTAAACTGTATGCTCTGAGCCATGATTTGGGTCACATATAAAAACAAACTCAGACTTCATAGCTTTACTTTTCAACATATAGAACAGTCAATGTAACCTAAAGGGAGACAGCACTTTTCTATACAGCCTGCTCCTATTAGAGCATTGTCAATTACCATAGGGTACAGCAGAGGTTGAGTATCACTGCTGACCTCTTTCAACAATGTTAAAGCTTTCCCTATCCCAGCCCAATAAACACATGTTCCCAATAACTCCCCCAATGAATAAGCCCCTTTCAGAAGAGAAACAGGACTCACAGAAACACTAACCTCTTGATTAAAAAGCACATACTTAGTCAGTGGACTGTGAAGGTCTTCCCCAATTCACATGCTTCAGGCTGCATTCACAATCAATTAGTTACATCAAATCCCTTTTTGTTTCCCTCCAGTGACTTTTTATCACCCTGTTATTTGACTCCTAAACAACTGCCCTACCTGGCTTTCATCCAGATTCCCTGCAAAGTATGTTCCTCCCAAACCATAGGAGCCAGCCTGTTTATATGTGACCAACCTCCTAGAACTTCCATAATATGATAGATAGAAAAATGTTTTCAAAATAGTTCCCAGTTCAATGAGGCATTTATATTTGTTTAATTGAAGAGACTCACTCATTCCATTTTTTTCTTTTTTTAAGAGACAGGGTCTCACTATGTTGCCCAGAGGAGTGCAGTGGCTATTCACAGGCATGATTATAGCACACTACAGTCTCGAACTTCTGGGCTTAAGTGATCCTCCTAGTTCAGTCTCCCAAGTAGCTGGGACTACAGGTGTGTGCCACAACGATGGGCTGGATTATTTCTTTTCTTACTTATTCTTGAAGTTTTTATGAAGTCTCTGTCTTTCACATACTCTAGAACTGCTCAAAAAAGAGGACATTCAGCTAAGAACAAAAATATCCAGGTGATAATCTCAGTTTAGTCACTAAAAATCTACCTGACCTTGAGAATCCACTCTGCCCTTAGCATCTCCGAATGTCAGATTGTTCATCTGAAAAGTGGGTGAATTTGGTAATTTCATTTCTATTTCAAAATGGTGTGAATTAGTGACACAGGAGACATCCAAGAACTGACCTTTTGATGTCAGTCATACTTTATCCCACATCACTCTCATTTTAATTAAGTGTTTGCCCACCCCTAAGCTTTATCCCTGAAAGATGATAAATTGATGGCTAATGATTTATTCTAACCATTATTAATTCCCAATATTTTCTTCAATACCCTAAGTTTCCAAAGTCATATGAATGTATTTCTACTGACAATGTGATGCTCAACAATTTCAGCAACATTCCTACCAGCGTTTTTTTCAGTTACTACTTTACCAGTTAATCTATTCCACTCTTCCTTCCAAACTCCAAGCTCGAATTAACAAAACTATTTCCTTTCAAGGGTCGCTGTGCATTCCACGGGGGATTACACATATATGCTAATTTGATCCATCACAAATTTATGAGATTCATCTCCAACAGCTCAGCAATTCATTTATTTAGCTCTCCTCTGCCGCTCTTCTCCATTGCCTAAAAGCAGTTAGTAAATCTTTATCATTCAGATCAAGCACCAGAGTCCCTCATTCTCAACAGACACTGTCAGGGAAAAATAAAAAGTTAGCCATGAACTCCTTTAACTGCCCTCTTCTTTATTTATATTGTGTGCATTCTTCCCATCTTTCCTCCTGTAGTAGATAAACTGGTGTTAGAGTTGCTTTTCCTTTCCAAAGTTATACCCTTCTTAAGTAAATTTAAATGCAGCCCTTCACATCTATTCCAAAGCCATCCCATCAATCACATCTATTTATTTCATCAATGTTCTTCTTCTACCACAAAGTCTTGTTTCCCCTTCTGCTTAGGATATATGTTCAACTCCCCCAAGCTTTAAAAAAACAAATTATTTTTCATTAGACTTTCTTGAGGTTAGGGGATCTGGAAAGGTAGTTTCTGGCTGAGCATCTACATCCTAGTAATTATTCTATAGTATGGAACAAAAAGCACAACTTTTCAGTAGACAGCAAGTTGTCTGTATCACATCATATCACCCACTGAGCTCCACGCATAGCTTTTCTGAATCCTTTTAACAAGTCTTTCATTACATTTTCTTATTCTCACACTCATAATTTAAGAGCTATATTGTAAAATTGTATTGCATTTTCTTCTTGCTCTCCAAGCTCTGATTGGACTAGATCGCCAATTCCATAACTGCACCTGTCACCTCTCTATGAAATCTTTTACAGCTCTTACTCTAATCATAACCTTTTTGCTAAGCTCTAATGCTACATGTTCAATACTTTACTTAACACCATCATTTTGAATCATTCACAAGCAATTCAACATGGCAGTATCAGTTAGGATGCTTTAGGTTACCAGTAATAGGAAAACTCTACTCATTCTATCATAGACCATAAGTAGATTTATAGCCCCATGTAACAAGAGGTAGAACAGGTTGCAGGCACAGTTGAAATGTACATCAAAGCCCTGAACCCTTTTCTCTGCATTTTCCTTGGTTCTGCCCTCCTCTACATGTTGGCTTCATCCTCAAGCTGATGAAAAGATAGATGCAACAATTCTACATGTCATGTGCAGACATAACATCATCAATAACAATAAGTGTATCACTTACTTTAAGAGAAAAACTTTACAAAAGTCCTGTGAAATTAGCCCCATGCTCATTCCCAAATGAATGATTGGCAAATGAAATGAGATTACCATAGTTAGCTTAGATCAAAGTTTTTCAGTCTTTGAAGTACTGACATTTGGAACCAGGTAATTCTTTGTTGTGGAGGGTTATTCTATGCATTGCAGTATTTTTAGCAGTATGCCTGGCATCTACATCCTACATGCCAGTAGCTTTCCCCACTTGTGATAACCAAAAATGTCTCCAGCCAATGCCAAATGTCCCCTGGAGGGTGAAACCATTCCCAATGGAGAATCACTGGCATACACTAACCATGATCTATCCTTAGAATATAAATGAGGGTCATTGCTGTGGTCTGAATGTGTCCCCCAAAATTCATGTGCTGGAAACAATCCCCAATGCAACAGTGTTGGGAGGTGGGGCTTTTGGGGAGGTATTTATGTCATGAAAGCAGAGCCCTCATGAACGAATTAATGCCACTATAAAAAGAGCTTAAGAGAACAAGCTCACTCTTTTGCTCTTCTGCCACGTAAGGAAGCATTCATCTCTGTGGGCACTTCCACCTTCTACCATGTGAGAAAACAGAAGAAAGACCCTTACCAACCAGATGCCAACACCTTGACCTTGGACTTCCCAGCCTTGAGAACTGTGAGAAAATAAAATTTTTGTTTATAAATTACCCAGTCTGTGGCATTCTGTTATAGCAGCACAAATGGACTACAACAGTCATCTTCCCTTAATAGAGAAGGTAAGAAATAAATGTTGGGTAAGCAATCAGTAGTTACCACTACGATGTCCAAAACCAAAATTCTTTTCTACTCCACACCTCCAGAAATACATTTCTTCTTCTGAATACCCAATACAAACATATAACTGTCTAGATATTCAATGGCCCAAACTAAGAACCCTGGACTCATCTTGATACTTCAATCAAGTTGAAGTTCATGAAGTTCAAGATGAAGTTCATTACCCATGTTCAATTGTCAGCAACTCCTAGCACTACTACTATGAAGCACTCCATGAATTTGTTCTCTTCTCTCCATTTCCACTGTCACCTAAATATCTCAGTGGTTACTTCCTCACTTTTTGCTGCTTCCTAGGCTTTCCTCCAGTTTTGAGAGTTATCTTTTAAAGGACAAATCTGGTCTAATCACTCCCTAACTTAAAACTATTTTATGGTTCTTCATCACTCACAGAACTAAATTGAAAATCTTCAGCCTGTTATATAAAGCCCTTAATGACTTATCTCTTGCCCGCTGCTATGGCTCCAACTCCAGCCACCTTGCTTATTGTATTCTTTAGCCACTCTAGATTACTTGTTGTTCCTCAAATAAGACATGCCATTTCATACATTGGTAACTTGTCTGTGTTAAGCCCATTGCCGTGAGTGGCCTCACACTCTCAAGTCTTCATCCTTCTTTGGGTCCTCCAAACTTCTCACGCATTATTTCATTTTTGGTTACTTCTATTCTCCCCATGAGAAAATTAATTACTGTAACAGCTGTAGTACTATATCATTTATAAAACTACAATACTAATTGAAGCACGTAATGTATCAAATTATAGCTTTATTTGTAAGTCTGCATAGTGAGATCATGAGCTACTAAAGGTGATGAATTACCTCTATCTGTATCAACAGATTCTGCCACCATGCTTGGAACATAATAGGACAGCTCTAGGTGTGGTACTCTTGAAATGGATTGACTTGAACTCACCTGAATATTTGTCCCAAATTTTAATAATTTGGTACAAATCCAATCAGTGACTAAATCCAGTCAATTAAATGTATTTATCTCTAATAAGTGGCCATATCATCTGAAAAATTCATTTATCTTAGGAAATGTTAATAAATGTTTATTTAACAGTCAAATAGCTTAAGTCCAAAAGGTGAATAGCGGTATAACAAAAAGTCAGCTATAACACCTACCAAATAATCAAAACATTAAAAGGGATGATAATTTCCAACTCTCTGCATGTTTTAGAGGGTCTGTTACATATGTGCATTCCTAGAGCCTAACCAAATCCCTCCTCATACTTCACACCAAATAATGAACAGGTTACATTTCATGCTTATGTTGAAAGCCCCAGTGTCTAACAGCTTACTTTGATCAGGGTGAACAGCACCTGTGGTTATCTGCCAAACGCTACTGATCCCTCCTGTCCTTTGTAGAGAATCTTAATTGCATTAGCCTGCTGGGCATGATGCAAGGATACAGTACAGTATTCTGGAATGCTCTAGTTTCAAGGACTTCCTCATTTTTAGCACACATAAAACCAATCTCTTAAACATTAAAAAGACATACTTAGTGCCCTGATAACACATCGCTAAATCCTATATCTAAAATGGGATTTGAATAACAATGCTACAACATGGTCCTGTCCTCTCTGTCCCTTAGGCTCTTATTTAGCTTCATATTCCAGGAATATCCCAGGATCCAGCTTTCACCTGTAATGACAAAACTGCGATAGGCCCCAAGAAAGAGAAAAAAGCTAATGCGAGCACTGGAGATGAGCTGGGTGTGATATGACAGTCCTACCTTTAACTAATAGTCTGGTGACCACAAACACTGCCTTAATAAGGCCCTGCACTTAAATGTCAATTTTATTTTTGTTTCCTGCCCAGTCAGTTGGAATCAAATGATAGTTCCAGCTAAATGACTGCTCCATAGAGGAAGCAAGTGAATATTAGTAATGGGAATGTAAAAAGTATAAATGCTGAAAAAGATTAAGGCATATTCTCACACTGCCATAACTTAGAAACAGTTTATTGGGCTGAAGAGACATTACTTCTCCCCTGCCCCTCACCCTATTTACAAGTGCAAAAAAAAGATCAGGTTTCTCAGAAACTCCTGTTTGCATTTAGGTAGTCTAAGATGGAGATACTGCATTATAAAACAAAAGCTCCATTTTTCTTCAGGACAAGAAAATCATAGCTAGCCATATGCCATCTTTGTATTTTTCAATAGAATCTGGATCTTTTTCTTTATGTGTTCCTTTTCTCTTTTTTAAAAAACATTTATACAGCACACTTTATATTTTCTATATTGCAACTACCCAATTGTGGTCTTCAATGCTTTATCTAAAGTTAAAAGCTAAATTATTTACTTTTTGCTAAGAATAGCTTTAATATATACTCTCTCTGAAAAAGTCTAAATCCTTGTTCATTCCTCTCTTCAGTATTCATCACAAACACAGCTCCTTTCAAGCTTCACATTACCCTTTCAGTCCTTTCTCTATAGAGAGTGGTGATGTTTTTGAGGTTTGGTGGAATCAGTCTCTTGTAGTTCATTCTCCGCATTATAAAATGTACTAGAACTCACTTCCCTACTGTAGAAGATTGCAAAAATAGCTGGAACTGTCTATATGCATACCCTCTGAAATGTAACTTTGCCTCCTATCAAGAGGCAAAGTCTCCCCTCCCTTTGACTCTGGACTGGTCATGTTACTTGTTTTGACCAACAGAATATGGTGAAAGTGATGGTATGCCAGTTCCAAGAATAGACTTAAGAGGGTTTTCACACTTCCCTTGCTCTCTTAGAACCCTGCCAGCCACTATATAAAAAAGCCTAAGCTAGCATCTGTGATGATGGGAGCCCACAAGAAATGGAGTAAGTAATCCCAGCTGAGGTCATCCTAGAGCCAGGGCTTACCTGACTCAGCAGCTTATCACACAGGCATCAGTAAGACCAGACAAGACCAAAAGAACTGCCCAGCTGAGTTCAGCCCAAATTTTGACTAACAGAATCCGGAGCCATATGAAATGGTGGTTGTCTTAAAAAACCACCATTTAAGTTTTGGAATAATTTGTTACACAGCAAAAGCTAACTAATATAGTTGCCCATATACATTTTTAACAACCCAAACTCTTCTCTACCCTGCCATTTTTCTTTTTATATGATAGGCAAAATATTTCTCATCAATTAGGCTTTCTTTTTATCCAAACATATATTATAACATCTTTTCTTTCTTTTTTTGAGACAGGGTTTCACTCTGTCACCCAGGCTGGTATGCAGTGGCACAGTCATGGCTCACTGCACCTTGACCTCCTGGGCTTAAGCAGTCTTCCCATCTCAGCCTTCTGAGTAGCTGGGGCAACAGGTGCATGCCATCATGCTCAGCTAATTTTTTCATTTTTTTTAAAGATGAAGTCCTGACATGTTACTCAGGCTGGTCTTAAGCTCCTGGGCTCCAGTGATCCTCTCACCTCAGCCTTCCGAAGTGCTGGGATTACAGGTGTGAGCCACTGCACCTGGCCTATTATAAAGTCTTACAATGCAACACAAAAAGTCTCCCTATTCCCAAAGTATTTGGAAAGGGGATTCTTGGCCAAAATCATATTAAAGAAGGTATTGTATAAAATGTCCCTCAAATCAAATATTTAAAATTCTATTAATTCATACAACTGTCATATAATGTAGAAACAAATATTTTCATATTCCTTTTAGGATTTTAACCTGCTATGTACCAGATATTTTGTAAATTATATCTCTTTTCGTCTTTTCTACTAGAAGATAGGCTTAATGAGGTTAAATATTTTGTTCAAGGTCAAAAAGTGAGTAACAGATATGATACTTAACTTCATGTCTTCTGATTCCAGGCCCATTCTTTTATTATTATTATTAATACAATTTTAAATAAATAGAGATGGGGTCCTACTATGTTGCCCAGGCTAGTCTTGAACTCCTGTGTTCAAGTGATCCTCCCACCTTGGCCTCCCAAAGTGCTAGGATCACAGGCGTGAGCCGCCACACCCAGCCAAACCATACTGGCCATCTTGACTTTGAGAGTGTGTGATTAACTTGCCCTAAATTCCTTATGCCTTAGATATACTAAGTTTTGTATCAACTTGTAGAACACATTCCTTAAGTGTATTTGTTTACTCATTCATTCACGTGGCAGATGCAGCATAAGGGTATGCACTCTCTTGATCATTCAGTCTTGGGGTTTACCTACCTTTTGTTTCTGCTTTTTCTCTTCTCAGAGGACATGACAATGGATTAAGCCAACTTCTCCCACCTGTTTTTACATGCTTTCCTGTCAAACAAATCATCCCTCTCCTCTAAAAATTCTTACTTTTTTCCAGCCCATCATCTAATCTATGACTGAAATACACAGAGGAGGAAAAAGATAAAATGCAAATCAAAACATGAAAATATTCATTAAATGTAAGAAGCCAACTTACTGTCACCTATGAGAGTCATCCTGGCCCTTGGTTATACCAATTGTAAGTTTTCTGAACGAAGTGGGCTTCTTTCTCAATATTTTGACATGATAGGTGTTTAGTAAACGTATGGTGAGGAATAATAATAATGCAAAAAGTAGAAACTATATTTCCCTCTCTGGCTTCATGTTGCATTCAAAGGAATTATCCTTTATGGCAGTTAACTTGAACTTCATGTTTTTTCCTTGTTAAGGGCTATTAACATTAATATTGCACCACAGAGGGGATTTTTGTTTTTCTTCTGATAGCCATCTTTCAACAAGTCTGGCTGCAAGTAAATGAGATCAGCATTTCAAGAGCCAACTATTGTGTGGCTTATTGCCTATACTTGCTAAACTTTTCATTCCCCATAGTTTGCCTCTGTTTCTATCACTGACTTTATCTTGTAATGAAAATTAATGCCCTGATTTAAATGAGTGATATGAAATATGATCTATTATGCCTGCTGGCAAACAGTGTGTTTCACCTCATTACCACATTCTTAAAGAATAATTAGCATCTCTAGGGATGAATTGGATATTACATAACCAACATTTGCAGATACCTTTATTCACAGTTAAAACACAGTGCTTCTCTCCTTTCCACACACTAAGCCTCAGTTATAAGTTTTACGAATCTTGAACATTAAAATTATTCTCTGGGGAATACAGATTGTGTTACTGTTAAATCAGCTGCATGCTAGTGGAACCCAGAAACTTTCTACTTGCATACTTGTAAAATTGTCACTATTGTCTTATCTTTGCATTGCTTCCAAAGTTACTTATTCCCTTTAAACACTTTAATTGAAGTTGATAAGTAAAATGGAAAGCTGATACCATTTAACTGAAATATTTACTCTCAAAATTCACAAGTGTTCATGATATATTCAGATAATTGAGATCAATATCATGCCTTTGCTCAATTATTGGAGAGCTCACAAATCACTAAATCAATCTCTCAGTTGGATGCGGACACTGAAATATAAACTTAATGTAAGTTTACTGTACTTTAAATTACCTTTATATATCGACAATCTAGAATGTAAATATTAACTGAAGCATGTTATTCACTAATTTGAATCTGAAATTAACTGCATAAAGTACATTTCACAAAATCTACTCTTATCAAAAAATAAACAAGGTTATTCAGAGCACGAAACACATTAAGCCTTTGTTATCAGCCCCTTGGTTTAATTCCTTTTTTTTTTTTAATGATTTCTCTGAATTCTATTTTTTCCTCAAATCTGCTAGGATTTTAGTTTCCTATTCCCTTAAAACATTTTGAAGCTTGCCTTACTTCTTTAAAGAGAGGGTTTTGTTTTATAATCTGTCTGACAATTATGAAACCTTAAGTTGTGTGGTTCTATTTCGGTGGTTGGTTGTTTCTGCTGGTTCTTATCCTGGGTTCCTAGATTCCTTGTATGCTTGCTTAAATTTGACCGTGATTTGCCCAAGTTATTCATGGAACTATTTGGGAATTCTCGGAGGCTTAGGACTAGCATTTCCTTCTACCACACACACACAAAAGCACCACCTGTTCAGAACAACCTTAAACTAAATTCACACCTAGCTCTGTTTTAACTGCCTAGGTAAGGTGTATTTAAGCAATGAGTCCTTGAGAACACCAGTGATTGGCTAAAACTTCTCAAAGATCTGTTTATTTCATTTGGTTTGATTTTGGGGCCATCTTCTGCTAAGCACTAAAATGACTACTCGTGCAGTTTCCTGAGACGGCCAGAAGAGTTTACTTGTGGTTCACCATTATCCTGAGCTTTAGCCCTTGGGATCTCAGCTTTATTCAGGGAGAATGTCCCCTCTTAAACTCCCTACCATGGGTAGGCCTTGGGCTCAAGTTGGCTGGGTTATGCAACTGGCTAATGTCCTCAGACAGAAGCAGCTTCAGCATTCCCCCAGTCTCTGAGTTCTCATTTTCTTCTGAGATTTTGGCCAGGCAATTCCTTGTTATTTTTCAGCATTCTCATGCTTTTCAGATTATACAGGTATTCATCAAAAACATTTTTGCTGTTTTCAGTGGCAGGGTTGGTCTGACTATCCTGGTTTACCATGTTTCCAGATATAGAACTTTGCTTTGGTTTAATAAGCTTCATTAAAGCGAACATATTCCAGTTGTCTAATGTGTTTGTTTTAATTATATATTTTAATTGCATATCACAAAGATAACTCAAGCTACCTTAAATACCTGGAGGTAGTCATAAGGATATGGGTACACAGAACCCCAGGAGTAGCTGAACAATCCAGACCACAGGAAGAAGAGGAGCTTTTTACAATGGACCACATATTGATAAGAAGATCCAGAACAGCAGGAGACTGGCCTTTGCTCTACCTTAAGAGTTCTCCAACTTAAGCAAAAATAAGGATCACATAGATTAGAACACAGATTGCTGGGCCCCATCCAGTTTCTTAAGTAAAGCCTGATAACTTGCATTTATACTAAGTTCCCAGTTAATGCTGATGCTGCTAGTCCAGGGACCACCTTTTGAGAACCATTGCCCTACTGCATTATTGTTCAAGAATGAAGTCTCAAGTTAAATTACTCAGATTCTGGTCCTAATTACCCATCTACTGGATATATGAACTCAGACATGTTATCATGCCTCCTTATGCCTTGGTTTCCTCATCTTGGTGACCTAATCTGTGAAACAGGGATACTGGTGGTACTTACCTCAAGAGTTTTGCTGAGAATATTAAATGAAATAAAAGATGTGAAATGCTTCAAATAGTACCCAGTACTTAGCAAGCACTTGGCAAGATCAGCTATTACTATTACTACCACTCACCCATCTTAAATAAATCATATTTCAGTATTTACACTTATTTGTATATGTCTAATTTGGCTTCCCACTACTAACTTCCTTTAACTCTCTCTTTCTTCTTTCTCTCTCCTCCGTTTTTCATGCTTTTAAGATATTCTAGTATCACCTCTTTGTAACTTTAGTTTACCATAACACTAATAGTATAGACTCACTATGCCTCTCATGACCGTCTTTACTCTATGGCTTATTCCTTTCCAATCTTAAGAGTTGATTAATCACCATTATATACTTAATTATGTCCATCTTTCCCAATTTAAATTCTCAAAACGGAATCTGATTAGTCCAGATTGTCATTTGGTACCACACCAAGTCACAGATTACTGAGTCCATTAATTCACTGTCCTTACAGTAGATCACTCTCCCCATGCAATCAGCTGTGGTGCAGCAGGATGCAGGAGGGTGAGTTAGAAGAAAGTAAGGCTGCATAGGGATGCTCTTCAGGCATTGCCTATGAATGGCAAGGAGTCACTTAGAAAGGTCTGAGCATGTGACAGATTGACACCTCTAAGAAGTATCATTATAAGTTTAAAAAATATTACATGTTGTTGATCTATCTGTTCTCATTAAAATTAAACACTGTAATTAAATTTATTTATATCAAATTACTATTTCATATAGACTTTATTCAAATATACTCTTGAGCTCTCATTTCATATGGTTCATTCATGTTAAGATCACTGGAGGTTGTCAGTACTAAGTATAGCCACACCTCATTAAGTTAATAAGAGACCAGGAAGAAACTTATCCATCCAAGGATAAAGATCCAGTAAGTATACATTTATATTACCTGTTTTTAAGTTAATATTAGATCCATAAGTCAGAAAGCATGATAAAAGGGATAATTAATGGATACTGCCTGACAGAGTGATACTCAAAAGAAAATCCATGCTACAATCTTGAGGAGCACAGTAAATATCAATATGGGTCAGAACAATAATCCAACTCTTCCTAAAAAAATAGCATCAGATAAGAATTCTATATAAAGTGTAGTAGTTGCTTTAAAAATACCACTTGAAATATTAACCACTATAACCCTAACTTCTTACAGAAATACTAGTTGTGGATCCTTCAGCTATGAATTTATCAAACTCTTTACTGAACCTATTTGTCATGTTGAAACATACCATCAACATGCACATCTTTTTTCTCCTTCACCCTCCATTTCACCATGCAAAGAAGTAGAAAAGAACATAGGCTTCTCTTCTCAAAATGTCAATTAACAAGTATTTCTCTCTCCTGAATTTATTTTATAGAATCCCATGAGTTAATTCAAGTTGGTTAAGAGAGTTGTAAACTATTCTTAATTGTACGCATTTGTTTTTCAGTCAGGAACTGGCTTCCTTCCCATGAAGAATGAGGACCTATATCTTTACAGACTCTATCACAGAGTTAACATTTCCTGGCTCCTAGAACATATTTTCTCTTTTTGACCTGAACAAAAAACTTGCACAATCAATTATATACACATGTTCCTCCTATGATGTGAGATTGTCTTATTTAATTTAAATGTTTAATTAATACAAGAATGTTAGAAATGTTATAGCACATAAAACTTAGAACATGAGTAATTGGATAACAGAGAGCTATGTGTAAGTGACTTCAGGTGATTTACAGCATTTCTCAGAGCCTTACCTTTCTAATCTGTAAAACAGACATAAAAGTACCTGCCCCATGCCAAAATTGCGACTGTTAAATGAGATAATATACATGACCATCTGGCAGACTATTTGTTTTTAAGAAATATCAGTTTCTTTCCTTCTACAATGTATTAGATAACAGAGCCAGTGTTAAAATGTGAAGTAGCTCTTTATTTTTAACCAAGCATTTAGGAAAAGGTACTGTGAAGCTCCTGGAAAAGCTACCATTAACTTATTTCAAAAGCTAATTAATATAAGGAACCATCTTGCAGCAAAGAACAGAAACACTGGTAAAAGATATGATTTTAGATAAAATCATTTTTGTCTCTAACTTCAGCTTATTTTGATCCTCCCTCAAGTGGATCCTTTCAGCAACTAAATCCTCATTTTTGAAATCTGCCTTTGTTTCCCTGTAATTCCTGCCAGCCCTTGACCCCAAACTTCACCCTTGGAATTTTCCCTTGTTCTAAGTTCACCTTGTGGTTGTCAGCCTGTCTCTGGTGGTCCCAGTGTTGTTTCTCCGGTGTCTGCTTTAATGTCGCCATGTGCCTTTGTGCATTTGCACCCAGATCTGGTATCAGCTCTCCCTCACATTTTGCCGCAGAAAATAGAATCTCTCCAGGCATGATCAATTTACCAGCGTCCTGGGTTTTTGGGCCCAGGTGCTCCTGGAATCAATGCTGCCCTTTTCTGGACAATCTCACTCAGAGGACAGATCTCCGTTCTTCTCACGCCCCTAACCCTGTTCCTTAACCTTTGGGTTATGATAGCTGCGAGTATAAAGAAAGAAACAAATAAGTTAGCCAAGGGAAAAACTTCTGTGATTTGAGGAAGACAAGAAGGACATGGACAATAGCATTGGACAAAAGAAAAAAAATTCCTTTAAAAGTCTGAGTTTTGCATAAACATCATCAGTGTTAAAATACCTGGGACCTTGTGCTCTTAACCAACATCTAAATCTCTTCCACACTAAAAGCTCTCAATTTAGGACCCCAAGGTGTTTTTTTCCTTTAGGATATTGTTGACACTTTTATTATCAGGGACAGTGTCAAAACTGATTCACTTAACTACATATCTTTGGGTTATGGTCAATACTGCTGAAATTCATCTATCCTATCTTGTTAGCCTCTCTGCCTGACTTTATCACTAAGATGGGTAAAATTTCTTTCTCCTCTGATTAGTCTATTACTAGACTGATGGCATGACTACTTCTGGCTTCCCCACTTTTCTTATTTATTGGGAACCATGACTATCAGAGCCAAAGTTTCAGGATTAAGCTAAAATAACACAAGCCACAAGTTTTGTTCAGTTTATTTTATAACAGCAGGGTCCAAGTCATATTTTGAGCACCTTAATGCAAGTTACAAGTACCCAGAGGATGTGCACTCAAATACACACTAAGGCATTTGTAAATGAAAGTTCTACAAGACATCAGCAAAGCTTGTCTTGCTGAAAGTAGAACTTCACTGAAACAAATGATTGCCATTCATTTAAAAAATATATGGAGATCTTAAAACTATCAAGGCAGCCCCCTTTGAAAAGTAATGACAATGTCAGTTATTCCTTTCCAGGCAGAATTGAAATGTAGGCTAGAGTGTAAGTCTTCTCATAGAAACAGAGAAAATCATTGTTCTAAAATACTTTTCACCTCTTTTTTTCCTCGAGTGCAAATTGCACAAAGTATCCTACACGGAAATTCTTTTTCTTCCTGAACTGGTAAAGCTGGAATGCCTGCTGCAAGCTTGTTTAAATAGGGTGACGGTCCAGAAACTTATCCTTTGTACAAAGTCAGTTTTAAAGATGGATACCAGTTTATAATATGATGCTATATTTAGCATTATTATTTCTCTCATACTTAAATTTAGCACCTGGGGGGATTAATTAGATTACTATTAATAAAATCTTAAAAATTAATCTAAAAATTTATGGTCAGAAACCAAGGATAAATTGTTCCAAAATTCTGTTTTGTGCCAAAGTATTCACGTCCTATACTACCAAAATGGTTTACCTGTCTAGACAAAGCAGAGTTGTGTTTAGCCATGTTTCATACACTTTCATATAATAACCTTGATTTTTACATAGTATCTACTTCCTAAACCACAAAATGGTTTCCTAGTCTAGATAAAATACAGTTGTCATTTTAGCAATGTTTCATTTACTTTACTTGTCTGACTCTTTGATGGTGAAATTAATAAACAGTAAAAGTACCAGTAAACAGGCAGCAGTAAAAATGAAAAGTGAATGAGTTGAGATACCACTGTAATACCACTCGAAGTTAACAGGCTCATGGGGAAAGGGTTTTGACTGTAGACACATACAAACTAAAGAATAATGTGACAAGGAAAATGGGATGGGCAGGTAGGGTCTCAGGAGACAGATATTTGACTATTAATAAGATCACAAGTCTAAACATCTTTAGCACATCTACACTGGGCCTCAGAAGAAGCTCAGACCTCAACCAAAAACAAAAGACAACAACGAAAAAGCTCTACCACCCCCCAACTTGAGTGTCTGACTGCTCTCCCATTTCACCATCTCCTTTTTGCCTTTGAGTCTTGAACATGTTACCTTTGTCCCCATTCTCAATTCCTGCTACTACCACCTCCATTCTCCCCAACTACACCTCTGCCCCTTCCCCCAAGTCTTACTACAATACCAAGCAGAGGTCTGCTTGGGGAAACTTTTCCCAGCTCCTTGTCCTAAACTCATACCCACTTTCTACTGGAAGTGGAGAAATTAATAAATAAAAGGAAAATAAGAGAATATAATGATTACAACTTCAGATTTTGGAGATGAACTGGTTTCAAATCTTGGATCCACCATGTACTAGTCACGAGACTCTGACAGTAAAACTTCACCTTCCTGGGACTCCATTTCCTCATACATAAAATGTAAATGATAATAGTAATACTTTGTAAAGTTTTTATGAGGATTAAATTTGTTAACGCATATAAAGCACTAAGAATGGTGCCTGATGCATACTAATTGTTCAACAAGCATTACCTATTAGTATTCCTTCCATGAAACCTGGATTTTCCACATTCTATAATATGATGTGTCATATTAATATTATACTATAATTCCAATTTTCTTAACATTACCTTCCACACACTGTATGCCCTATAAGGGAAAGGACGTTGTCTGTCTCATTAATTGTTGCATTCTGTGCACAGAATACAGTATAAGGCATAGAGTAGGCACTCAATAAATATTTAATGAATAAATTTAAAAAAACAAAGTGAATTGTTATCAAACAATGACTCTGCCTCCACACCATCGGTCTATTCTTTTACGTTGAAGAACTGTTGCTGTAACCCTGGAAGCCCACTCCCCATTGTAAGACATATTCTCTACTCACAACTACCCGGGCTCTACTACTGTAGAATTACTCCCTGACTTCTCTCTCACTGAGTTCCACTGTGCATTACCTTTGAGACTTTTTGACTTGGGTCAGCTGTTGGAATACTCTCTATCCAACTTGATGACTGGCTCCTAGACGAAACCACTCAATTCTTACACCTTCTAGGTGTTTGGACTTGGCTTGTTTTCTGGACTATTTATACAACTTTGCACCCTAACTCCACAAAAGAAATGTCTGTTCCAGCTTAACACCTGGACAAGTATTTCCTCACATCTAGTCCATATCCTATCCCCACTAGTAAGTGAAGAAATTGGCAATATCATACCCCAAAACATGACCTTGCTCACCAACTATGAAGCTCTAAAGAAAAGAAGAAAAGAATTACTTCTGAATATCAACTAGAATTCCATCATTTGTTATTTGCTCGTCATTATAGTACAGTAACAATTGGTGTTATTAATAATGGCTGGATTCAGTGCATTCGGTATCATTTTACTCTTCTGTGCTTTATTACTTATGTTTAAGAGTCTTCCATATTCACAATCCCATTACATTGTCCATGACATGTAGTGAAAAGCATTTCACACTAACAAAATCATGGGATGATATTGTAGGTTAGAGACAAAAGTCCATATCAAAGATACTAAACAATGTTATTTGATCAGTTCATTAAAAAAAAAAGTATTGAATTCCTACTATTGCCAGGTAGTAAGATAAAGGATAGGGATAGAAAGATGAATAAATCATATTTTATGATTTTCAAACTTCACAAGTTAGTGAATTTAAATTTAGGTCAAAATATTACTTAAGCATTTGCAATAAGCACATAGCTTTCCAATTTTGTTCTTCACACACTTAAAAAAAATGGTGCCATCGTGACCTTGAAGGATAGCTGCTCAAAATCACCTCTTTTGAAGTCTATTATTTCTATTAAATCTCCCTAAATCTACAGAACATATGCAAAAGGACTCCCTTTACTTATGACCCTTCATGCTTTGGTCAGGATAGAATCTAATAGAATAACCAGTTCATGAAAATGTCCCCGTCTTAACATTCCAGGAAACATCACAGGAAAGGCAGTGAGAGAAGCAAAGTTCAACAGCCATATGACTGACCTTTCCACAATTCTCCCCATCTGTGCAGTGTACTCATATTACTGATATAGTTAAAACAGTGAAAATGTGTTCATATGGCAAGAAGGAAATAGGAGAAGGACAACATTCTCAAGTGTTTATAATCACAGACAGCACAAAAAACAGGTTCCAGCCAAGTTATGTTTATATGTCTATATTTTTCTTCTAGTACAGCTATTGCTTTTCAGGAACAGATGTAATTTGTGCTTCTAAATCTTCAACCATCACCTTCAGTAGTATTTCTGTTCTATCTATTAATATAGTTCCAAGGAACACTAGAGAGTTAGACTGATATTAGCAGGCATACCCAGGTTTGAATCCACCACCTGTGAAGGTCTTAGATGAGGTATTTAACCTCTCTGATCTTCCTCTACAAAATGGAAGAAATAACAACTACTTCACAGATTTGTTATGGGAACTAATTAAAAAAAACTGCATGAAAATGCCTAATAAATTTTAACTCTCTAACTATTGAGTCAAAAATTAATTTTTAAAAAAGGAAAAAGAATGGAAAGAGGAAGAAAAATATGAGGAAAAGAAGGAAGAAGAAAAAAAGGAGGAATAGGAGGAAGACAAAGAGTTTCTGTTTGTTTCTAGTTTTTTGTGTTTGTTTATTTGTTTGTAACAGGGTCTCCCTCTGTTGCCCAGGCTGGAATGCAGTGGTGTGATCAAGGCTCACTGCAGCCTCAACCTCCCAGGCTCAAGCAATTCTCTCACCTCAGCCTCCCAAGTGGCTGGGACTACAGGCATGTGCAACCACGCCCAGCTAATTTTTGTATTTTTTGTAGAGACAGAGTTTTGCCATGTCACCCAAGCTGGTCTTGAACTCCTGAGCTCAAGTAAGCCACCCACCTTGGCCTCCCAAAGTGCTGGGATTACAGGTATGAGCCACCACACCTGGCCTGGAAGAGGTTTTAAATCATGAATGTCATCAAGAATGGAAATTGTAATCCTCCGGCTTCAAAAGGACATCCACTATAAAGTTAAATAATTTTTTTAAAAGTCATATGCTGGCAGTTTTCTTGAGTGCATAAGTGAATAAAGAGTGAATTCATTTTACAAACATAATGGGGCTGAGAAAATGGCATGGGCATGTTGAAGACAATCCTGAAAAATGTATATATCCGCCAACAGTCCAAATGACACGATTGCCAAGACGTGTTGAGAAGTGCTGGTAAGTCACACTGTAGACATTTTCAGCACTGCCTCTTCTATCCGTATTTTAAATAAGGGTGATTTTTTAAATCATTTTTACTTGATTCATCAATTCAACCAATTATTGAACATTTTGCCTTCAATTCTGCCCTCCAGCATCCTACAGTGGAGTAGAGGATATATAAGAGTATCTATGAATAACCAAAATTCAAGGAACATGACAATACAGTAGGAAATGGAAATTAAATACACTGGGGACTCCAAGGAGAGAGGAATTACCTACAATGGGAGCACTCTGAAAGGTTTCATGAAGAAAACACTATTCATTCATGCATTGTGCCAATATATTTTGGCATTTTCCCATGTATCAGATACTATTTAAAGAGTTAGAAATATATCAGTTGATTAAGATAGATGAAACTTGTACTCTAGGGGAAGAAAACAATAAATAAGCATATATATTTATATATTATAATAATAATTGGTCTTTGAGTAATAATGACAATTGTTTTTGAATAAATTAAAATAGGGTAATCTGATGGAGAACAATTAGGGGCAGCAGGAGGCAACTTCAGATAAAGTGGCCAAGAAATATCTCTTTGAAGTTCAAGCATTTGAGCTGAGACCTAAAAACATTCTCGGCTGAGAGAATAAAGCCAAGTGCAAGGTCTTGAAAGGAGAATGAGCTGCATATAACATGGCATTCATAGGAAGATGAAATGTATTGAAGAGGGGAAGGATAGAAGGAGAGGGCAGAGAGAGGCGATCGGGCCAGATCACACAGGCCCTCAGAAGCCATAGGAAGAAATTTATATTTTATTTAAATTATAGCTGGGCACAGTGGCTCACGCCTGTAATCCCAGCACTTTGGGAGGCCGAGGTGGGTGGATTATTTGAGGTCAGAAGTTCAAGACCAGCGTGGTCAACAAGGTGAAACCCTGTCTCCACTAAGTATACAAAAAAGCCGGGCATGGTGGCAGGCGCCTGTAATCCCAGCTACTTGGGAGGCTGAGGCAGGAGAATCGCTTGAACCCAGGAGGCGGAGGTTGCAGTGAGCCGAGATTGCGCCATTGTGCTCCAGCCTGGGCAACAAGAGTGAAACTTTGTCTCAAAAATAAAATAAAATAAATCTATGGGAAGCTGCTGAAAGGTGTCTAATTTACAGATGATGCAATTTTTAAAAGACTGCCATGGTTATCATGTGGATGGAAAAAAAACAGCAGAGACCAGGTGGAAAGTTATCATAGAAGTAAAAAAAAAAAATGATAGTCATTGGACAATAGCAGAAACTAAGAGAAATGGACAACTTCCAAGTGCATTTTAAAGTTAGAAGGAGCAAAACTTTTGATTACATGTGCATGTGTTGAAAACAGTTTGACTTGACCATTTAGAAGATTGGCAAGGAAAGAGTGCAAATATCCTACCATTTAAAATATGAATAGACAAATATTGGTAGAATATTGGTAGAAAATATTTCCTAAGGAGAGAAAAGGGAAAATGAATTAATATTTATTGGTCACTTGCTATGTCAACTTCTATTACATCATTTAATCTTCACTACAATTTATAGAGAAAGATATTACTATCATACTTCCTTTTTTTCTTTTTCTTTTTTTTTTTTTTACCCTGAGGTCAAATTAGGAGAAAATGTATCAAGTTGCCCAAGATCCCATAACTAGGAAAAAACAGTTCCAGACCCAGGTTCACCTAACTCAAGGCATGTACCCTTTTTTGATCTCCTGTCTTTCCCTGGGACAATGAGAAAGGTGAACTTAAAGACACAATGGCAGAAAAGGTATGAACAGGAAACTGACATCACTCAGTTTGACTGGAAAACACATGCATAAAAGGGAATAGTAAGAAACCGAACTGGCTACAGCCTTTAACAACTGTCTCTTCTCCCAAAATTTCACCATGGTTATCCTGTAAAAAATCTTGTTTTAAAGAATCTCTCCAGATTCTAAACCCATTCACACTATCTTATTGATTTCCATTGTCAGTCCTTCATTTGTGAGTGCTTTTTGTCCATCCTGTGGATCTGATATTCTAGAAGAGCCCACAGAGTACACAGGTACAGAGTACAGTTCTCCTGAGGCAGGAGAACTGCTTTAGCTTAGGAACTTGAGGCTTCAGTGCACCATGATTACAACTGTAAACAGCCACTGCACTCCAGCCTAGGCAACATAGTGAGACCCCAAGTTGAAAGATTTAAAAAAGAGCCCATGCTTTCTAAGGCCGTAACACTGGGAAAAGAACTTTGGTTCTCCTTTGCTCCACTCATAGGTAGCCCCTTTACTCCCATTCCCAGCTTTCTGGAACTCACTTCCCCACCCCATCCCAGAGAAAAATGGAAATTCCTAATCCCTTCTCACTCTCATCAGGTATGGCTGCCCTGGTCTGTCACAGTCTTCAGCCCACACCTGAACTCCAGATGTGGTTTTTAGAGCAGTTGTGTTCTCCTCAGTTAGCTGATGGAGTGATACTTGAGACTTTTTCTCCAGGTTCCCCAGCTTCATATAGGAATGTCCAAGCAGCTCACAAGGGTCTCCCAGTGGCTAAGGAGGAGTTCTGGAGCCTTATCCCAGCACTACGCCATGAGGCCTAGCAGCACTCTCAGGTGGAAAACCAGTGAAAGACAGCCTTCCAGATAAGATCTGACCGATTGTGATGTTTCTTGGTCTAGACATCCCTGAGCCATCCTGGACAACCTCCTGAATCAGCCTTAGGCCAAACTGCCTGCCCCACAGGGTGTGGCTTTTTCTAATTTCCACAAAGTCACTTGGATTAAGAAAGATATTACCGTGCAATAACAAAAATGTATAAATATACCAAGTAGATGTAATAATTTTAAATGTACACATCATAGCTTTACAACATAGAGAATAAAAGATGGACCAAAGTACAAGGAGAAAAACACAGATTATAGTGGGTGATTTCAATATATCTCTATCACAAACTGATAGCACAAGAAAATAAAAATAATTAGAAATATGGATTTGAATAATAGCAATTTAGACATATATTCCAGGAGCTAGTCTAAGCACTTTATATATTAATTAATTTAACCATAAAAACAACTCTATGAGAAGGTACTATAATTATCCACATTTCACACATGAAGAAACTGAGGATAGAGAAGTTATGCTCATATTTACAGAGCTAGTAAACAGCAGAGCAAGGATTAAAACTCAGATAGCCTACTCCATGACCTATGTTCTTAACTATTGTTTTTTATTTTATTTTATTATTTTTTTGAGACAGGGTCTCACTCTGTTGCCCAGGCTGGAGTACAATGCCACAATTATGGCTCACTGCAACCTCTGTCTCCTAGGCTCAAGCAATTACCCTGCCTCAGCCTCCCAAGTAGCTGGGACTACAGGCATCTGCCATCATGCCTGGTTAATTTGTATTTTTTAAAGAGATGGAGTTTAGCCATGTTGCCCAGGCTGGTCTCAAATTTCTTAGCTATTGTGATATCACCTCTCTTTACAATATAATTAACAACTTGGTCTAAAATATATGTAAAGAATTATACGTCCAACAAGTAGAGGATACTTACACTTTTCAAACACACTCAAAATGTTTAAAAAATAATAATTGACCAAACTGGTTGGCCAAAGAAGTCTCAACAATTAAAAAAAAAATACGTATATGTTTGGAAAGCAAAGACCACATTTTTTTAATCAAAGGTTTATTAAAATAGCAACTTTTAAGGCAAATAATTTAACTTAGAATGGTCTGATTTATTAAGCATTGAAGACTTTTTTTAAGAAATACTTATTTGTTCCTCCTAACTGAAGCATTGTATCCGTTCACCAACATCTTCCCATTCCTCCCACTCCCTAGCCTCTGGTGACCACTGTTCTACTCTCTGTTCCTATGAATTTGATTGTTTTCGACTCTACATATAAGTTAAAACATGTCATATTTGTCTTTCTGTGCCTTATTTCACTTAGCATAATGTCTTCTGGGTTCATCTATGTTGTCATGAATGTCAAAATTTCCTTTCTTTTTAAGGCCAAATAGTATTTCATAGCGCACATATACCACATCTCTTTATCCATTCATCCATCCATGGATGCAGAATGATTCCATATCTTGGCTATTGTGAATAACACTGCAATGAACATGAGAGTGCAGATATCTCTTCTACATACTGATCTCAAATCCTTAGGCTATGTACCCAGAAGTGTGACTGCTGGATCAGATGGTAATTCTATTTTTAGTTTTTTGAGGAATCTCCACAGTTTTCCATAATGGTTATACTAATTTACATTCCCACCAACAATGTACAAGGATTCCCTATCCACCACATCCTTAGAAAGACTTATCTTTCATCTTTTTGACAGCAGCCATCCTTACAGGTGTAAGTTGATATCTCATTCTTGTTAAAAACCATACTCTTAAATAAGAAATGTTTAAAGTAGAAATTACAAAGTATTTAGAATCAAATGACAACAAAAATACAACAGATCAAAACTTTAAGATGGACTAAAGTGGCTCATGAAAATAAATGACGAAGTTAAAAGGTTTCAAATATCTGCATTAGAAAGGTAAAAAGAAACATTTAAATTTTAAAGTTAGAAAAGAACAAGAGAAGAAAACTAAGCAAAGGAGAATCTTAAAAATAATAAAAATAGGGCCACAAATTAATAAAACAGAAAACAAAAAATTAGAGATGATCAACAAAACCAAAAGCAGTTTCCTCCCAATAGAAACACTGATCTAGACTAATCATAAGAAAAACAGAAGTCACAAGTAATATTGGGAATGAAAACTGAGCCATTGGCATAGATATACTAGAGTCAAACTTTCTTTATGCTATTTTTTATCTTCATTGCAATTCCAAAGGGAAAAACTTTAGTTTAACCGTCAAATATGATGACTGTTTTTGAGTTTTTGAGGAATTATTTATAGATTAAAGAAGTTATTGTATATTCCTAGTTGGGTAAGAGTTGCTTGTTTGTTTGCTAATAAATGAATATATAATTATATCAAATACTATTTATGTAACTATTTAGATGATCATATGATTTTTTCTTTATCTACTAGTAAAATTATTTGTTTTCTAGTGTTAAACTAATCTTTTTATTATTGGGATAAAAACAACCTGGTCATTACATCTGCTCCTTTTTATATATTGCTAGATTGGTTTGCTAACATTGATTTGGGAATTTTTGCCTCTAGGTTTATAAAGGAAGTTGACCTATAATTTTTCTTTCTTGTAGTATTCATATCTGACATTTGGTACCAGGGTTATGCTAGCCTAATGGGAAGTATAACCTTTTTTCTATTGCCAGGAAAGTAGTTTGGTACAATTATAATTATTTTTCCTTGAATACTTGGTAAAGATCTTCTGAGAAATCATCTGGGCCTACAGTTTTCTGTGTAAGCAAATATTTTACTATGAGAAAGACCTTTTTTTGAAAGGGAGAAATTTGGACATGGGAAAAGAATATAGAGGCAAGGAAATGTGTGAAGATATGAGAAGTGACCTTTCAGTAACATGACAGACTAAGTTCACATGCAAGACACTCTTCCTCCAAAACAGAAACACTGGGCAAAATATAGAATTTCCTTTTAAAGAAATAGTTAGGATGGAGTTGTAAGAATAAGGGGAAATATTCCAACGCCCAAAATAAAAAAGAAGCTCAAAACAGAAATAAACTTCAACTGTCACCACAGCAGCACAAAAATCCTGACATAGGATTTGACTATTAAAGTGTTAATGTCCATGTCGGCACGATTTTTATGGTATCAGCCTTTTTTTGGTCAGAGAGCTACAATAGAGTACTCTTTTATAAAGCTGAGCCCTATCAGTAAAACAAGGAAAAATTCCTCCCACTAACCCAAAAAAACTGTCAAGAAAGCTTGCCATCTGTCAAAAAAATCTCCTAAGAGAAGTTGAAACCCTAAGCCAGAAACATATAACAGATAATAGAGGTTATACTAGCTGTACAGCACCGGAATCCAAAGCCCAAAAATTAGTCCACAAGCTAATTTTGGAATCCCAAAAAAAGCAAATGCAAACCCCTCTGTAGAAAGACCGGTAGTATACAAGCCAAGGTGCACCAGACTCCCTGTTCAAGATGCATTGACAGGAGGCAATTAGCAACCACACAAGGAAATAAACCACAATGACAGACAGTCAGCAGACCAAATAGATGGGAGAATTTGCACCACTCTAAGAAGTAGAAATAATAGAAAAATATGAGACTCTAGTAATATAGAGAATATTATAAAAAACAAAAAATAAGCAGATTTGAAAAGGAACCAAATGAAACTTCTGAAAAAAAACAGCTATGATCATTGAAATTGAAAATGTAATGGATGGCTTAAAGAGTAGATTGGACAGAACTGAAGAGAAACGTATGAAAGATTTGAGGAAATCACCCAAAATGCAGCAAAGAGAAAATAAATAGAAAATATGAAAGGTAAAAAGGCTTAGAGAATGAGAAGATCTAAAATACACTTAACAAGGTTTTATGAAGGGGAGATTACAGACAGTAAGGAGAGGAAATATCTGAAAGACAAGAATTGTCCAGAATTTAATAAAAATCTGAGTCCTTGAGTTGGGGAGGCAAACCAGGTTCCAGGCAGGAAAGACAAAATCAAATCTATGCTTAGACACTGAATAAGGCACTGCAGAAATAGGAAGACAGAGATAATTTTAAAATAACCACAGAGAAAACACAGCTTACCTAAATAGGGACAAAAATTAGACTAAGAGAAGACTTTTCATCAACAACAAAAGAAGTCAGAAAACAATAAAATGCTATCTTCAATGGGCTAAGTTAGATATAGAATTTTATACTTAACTAAACTACTAATCAAGAATGAAGGTAGTATACACAGATTCTCAAATAAAGACCAAAAGGATTTCCTATTTGTATGTCATCCCTGAAAAAACTACTAGAGAATGTAAAGAATGCATAGGGTTGGTGGGGGAATAAGAATCCAAAATGAAGGAGTAGGGAGCTAGAAGCAACAATGAGTAAAGAAATCAACAAACAAATTAAATCTAAGGAAACACTGACTATGTAAACAAAATGACTAATTTGGGTGTGTTTAAAAACAAAGTGAAATAACCATACTACAGAAAGTAGGAGGAAGGTGATCAGAATAAAGCCCCCTAAGGTCCTTATATTACACAGAAGTATAAAAACAGTGATTAATTTCAAGACAACCAAATCAAGGATAAACATTTTTAACAGAGAAAGAGAGATGCAATGTGTAATTTCTAAGCCAATAGGAGGGAGGGGGGGAAAATAGAATTTTAAAAAAACTCAACAGTAGGAAAAGAGGGGGAAAGATCAACAAAAATCACAGTAAATAGAAAACATAAAATAAGATCATAGAAATAAGTCTATATTAAAAATCACAATAAGAGTAACAGGATTAAATTTGACTATAAAAATAGTTTGAAAATAAAGGAAGGGAAAAAGTATTTGACAAATACCAATCAGATATGGAACAGTATTATTAATGCCAAGCAAAACGCATTTAAAAGCAAACAGTACCATTAGAGATTAAAATGGCCATATATTTAAAGATAAAATGAACAATTCACTACAAAGATAAAACAATCCTTAGCCAGTATGTACCTAACAACATGGCCTTAAAGCCCAAAATTGACTGGAATTACAAAGAGAAATTAACAAAACCATAATTACAATGGGAACATTTAATATAACTTTTAAAAAACCTGATAGATCAATTGGACAATAACTGATAAAGAGAATATTTGAGCAACATAATAAGTTTGATCTTTTGGACATAGGTAGAACTCTACACAAAATGATTAAAACTTCTTTTTAAAGTACAAAAAGAATACAAAAAATTCATTCTTTCTTTAAATAAAAGAAGGCACTCACTTTATTGAGTGCCTTCTATATGCCAGGAAACTTACATGAGGCTCTACCAAATACAGTCATGAAAATTAAGTTCCTGCCCTCATGGAGTTTATATTTAGAAGAGAGCATAGAACTTAAATGAACGAATTCACATCATCTCTAAAGACAACCAGTGCTAAATTCTATAAAGAAAAATAAAGCAGGTTAATGAGACAGATTCATGTGCAGGACTATGTTAGGTGGGTAATCAGGGAAGGCTTTTCGGAGGAGGTGACTTTTAGCCAAGAGCCATATGAAATGATGTGCCAGCCATGCGAATCAAGGATCTGAGGAAAGAGGGAACTGCAAGGGCAATGGCTCTGGAGAGGAAGTGTGCCTGACATGTAAGAAATAATAAAGAGGCCAATATGCTTAAAGTGATGTGAATAAGGACATCAGAAAGGGAAGGTGGGAATAATGACATTTCTTTCATTTTAAAACGATCCTTCTGGCAGCACTGGGGAGAACAGCAGCGAGAGCAGTTAAAGTGGCTCAGGCTAGAGGAGTACCTGTAGAGGGAGATGAGAACTGGTCAAATTTAAAATGATCTTGAAGGCAGAGCCAAAATAACTTGTGGAGGGATCAGATGTGGGGTGTGAAAGAAAAAGAGGAGCACAGGAGATCTCAAAGGGCCTTGTCCCAAATAAGTAAGAAAATGTGGTGCCTGTACTGAGATGGGGAACGCTGGAGAAGACACATGTAGGGTGGGGACGGGTTGATGATAAACGTGAGGTACTTATTAGATGCCCTTTGAAGATTTAAGCAGGCAGTAGGTTTCTCCTTGTTCCACTTCTGTATTGATGTTGCCTGCCTGGCCTCCCTGGGTATTTAATGTTGAAACTTCCCAAAACCGTCATGAAAAAGAAAACATTCAATCTGCTGTCTCCATCACTGAACTAGTTCTACTCTCACTAACTCTACCCTTGTAATAGACTTTTCCAAGCACAATTAAACTAACATTTTGTGAATGACAATTATACTAAGTCCTTTCACCAATAGTATATAGTCTCACTGAAACATAAATATCCTTCTTTGTTGAGGGAATTTTAGGTGGTGAATCAGAGATGATTGTACACATCTATTCCCAACTCTATATCCAGGCTTCATGTTGGTGTTTGAAATTGGCCATGGAGGAGTAACAACACCATATAAACTGGCAAATGCTACAAATAAAGCCCTCTTCCTACCCCAAGCTCCAGAGCCAGAGATTTAACATTTATCAGTACACAAAACTGGTTTTATCCTTATTTTATGCAAAAAGAAACTGAGATTCTAAGAGTCTAGTTACCTGCCCAGTTACAGAGCCAGTACTCAAGTGTTTTGACTCTAGGTCAAGTGTTATTTCCCTTATAGGACACTCTTGGGTCCTTGCTCTGTGTCAGGCTTTGCACCAAATGTTTTACATGGATTTTCTCTTCTAAGCCTTAAAACAATTCTGCAAAGGAAGTATGATTGTTATTCTCACTTTACTGATACTCACTTTAATGATAAGGAAACTAAGGCTTTGAGAAGTTAGTAACTTACTAATAATCAAATGCTAGTCTATTTGATATTAGAATCCATTCACTCAAAACCTATGCCATTCTAACTCTACTAAATTTTACTTTGTCAAGATAAATCAAATCCCCTGTTAATTTTCATTATTATGTAGAAGGATTAAGAAAGGGTAATATTATCAAAGGCACAAATTAAGTCCATAACATACAATAAATATAGAAAGGGATCTCAATATTAAAAAGAATGACACTTTTCTAATATTCCAGGAAAGTTCCTTGGGAGATGTGAAATTTTGGAAAATCTTTTGATTATGGGTGAGACATTGTCCTGCACATAGGGGACATTCCAACATAGGGTGTGGCTGGGGAGACAACTTCAAGGCAAAAGTGTAATGATCTGATCAAGGAGGTGGTGAGCATGTTCACCTAAGAAGAGCTGGGAAGACCCTCTGGGGAATATGAAAACAATAGAAATGAGGTTTTCTGTGTGCTCTAGTAAAAGGCTTTGAAGTGAAACTAAGGAGCTAAACAAAAAGCATAACAGATTTCACTTTGAATCTTAAAAACTGAAATTCCAGATAGTACAATATCTTTTTAAAATTTTGTTCTCTATTACTTAGTGAAATAATGTATTTTCTTGACCTTCTATTTGTAAAAAAAAAAAAAAAAAAAAAAAAAATTTTAAGTACCCTTTCTTGTATTTATCTCCTCCCCATCACCCATGCTTCTCACTTAACTCTCTCCCTGTCAGAACTTGGCAAGAGCATAAAGGTTACCCTGACACACTTTTGGTGGTAATCAGCATGCCTTACAGCCTGAGAACATCAAGGAATTCCTTCCACCTGCTATAAAACAGTGCTTAAAGCGAAGTTCTCAGAGACTTACTGCTAATGGAAAAATTGCTCCAATTAGTGTTTAACGTTTTGAAGAAAAGAAAGCTGGGAGTATACAATGTCAAAATATTTTAGAACCCATACATAATTCCCAGAATTCCTAGCTCCTATGTAATTTTCCCCATCTCAAAATTAAATATCTGGACATCACCAACAAAAGATTAAATACGACTTTATTAAATGCATGCTTAAAAGTAACAGGGCCGGGTGCGGTGGCTCATGCCTATAATCCCAGCAATTTGGGAGGCCAAGGCAGGTGGATCACTTGAGGTCAGGAGTTCGAGACCAGCCTGGCCAACATGGTGAAACCCTGTCTGTACCAAAAACACAAAAAATTAGCCAGGTATGGTAGTGTGTGCCTGTAGTTCCAGCTACTTGGGAGGCTAAGGCATGAGAATTGCTTGAACCAAGGAGGTGGAGGTTGCAGTGAGCCGAGATCACGCCACTGCACTCCAGCCTGGGTGATGAAGTAAAACTCTGTCTCAAAAAAAAAAAAAAGTAACAGGTTTTTAACAATACAAATTATTTTGAGAACTTAAATAGCACCCCAAACATTAATGCCTTTCTCCATAACTGCCACTGAGAACTCTGTTCCTATCCAATAAAAGAGATCAGAGTTTAGAGTCTATGATAGTCCCTAATGCAAATATTTTGATCAGAAATTTTAGAATAAACTGAGTTTCCCTAGTAAAAGAGTTAGAGTTTTGGTTTTTTAATGTTAATTGCTAAATGATTTGCTGTGAGTTGAATTATGTCCTCCAAAAATTCATATGTTAAAGTCCTATCCTCCAGCACCTCAAAATGTGACCTTCTTTGTAAATAGTCATTGCAGATATAATTAAGAGGCGACCACATTGGAGTATCGTGGGCCGCTAATCCAATATGACTGGTGTCCTCACGAAAAAGGAAAATTTGGCTGGTTGCGGTGGCTCACACCTGTAATCCCAACACTTTGGGCGGCTGAGGTGGGCAGATGGCCTGAGGTCAGGAGTTTGAGACAAGCCTGGCCAACACAGCAAAACCCTGTCTCTACTAAAAATACAAAAAATTAGCTGGGCATGGTGGTGGGCACCTGTAATCCCAGCTACTCAGGAGGCTAAGGCAGGCAGAATCGCTAGAACCTGGGAGGCAGAAGTTGCGGTGAGCTGAGATCACACCATTGCACTCTAGCCTGGGCAACAGAGAGAGACTGTCTCACAAAAAAAAAAAAAAAAAGGAAAAGGAAAATCTGACACAGCACACAAAGATAACACCATGTGACGACAAAGGCAGAGATTAGGGTGATGTATCTACAAGCCAAGGAACGTCAAAGATTGCCAGCAAACCACTAGAAGTTGGGAGACAGGCATGAAACAGATTTGTCCTCACAGCCTTCACTACCCTACCAACATCTTGATTTTGCACTTCCAGCCTCTAGAACTGTGAGATGATAAATTTCTATTGTTTAAGTCACACATTTTGTGATAGTTTGCTATAGCAGCCCTAGGAGTAGGCCCTGTCTTCTTGGGCATACTGAAACTGAAGCACAAAGAACTTAAGATTACACAGCAAGTAACTGGTGGAGCCAGACTTCCAAACCAAACATCAGACTCCGGGGCCTATGCTCTTCTTTCATGAAAGAAACATCCTGTACTCACCAGCTCCATTTTCTTAACTCATCATTTTAGCCTTCTATGGAAGCTCCACAACTCCAGTAAAACTGTCCTGTTGAGCTCCATATTGTTTACCCTTTATTTTCAGGAACTCTATAAATGCACAGAGTTGACAACTTCTCCTGCTTAAAACTAACAACGTTTTAGATTTCCAAACACTACTCATTCCTGTTTTTCTCCCTATCTTCCTGGACTCCCTTTTCCAGAGTCCATAATGAACTTCCCTTTTTCTGTCTTATTTTAAATGACTGTGTTCTCTAAGTTCTATCCTGTCTCCTTCCTTTTCTCAGTCTGCACTCTCTCCTTGGATGATCTCATTTATTCCGATGGCTTCAGTTGTCATCTATGTAAGTTTCAAGTGGACAGAATAGCTACTTGGCACTAGTCATACTAACACTGACAGTTGGAAATGTTGAGGAGTGATACCTGGAGACAGACAGGCCACCCAAACAGATCCACACAGAGAGACTTTGATAAATTCACCATCATTGACCAAGGACTGGCTCTTGGACTTGTAAATTCAGAAACTTGAACTTGACACTGTCAGAATATTTTAAACGAAAGAGACTGATGGATATGACTAGTGTGCCAAAATATGAGTTAACAATGAGGAATATAACTGCCTGGTGAACCTGATTATGTGCCAGTCTGACTACAGACAGCCTTCTCTCCCCATAAGGAAAGTGCATGAGGTTACATATTCGGGAGGCTGTTTGGTGAGCATTTAACCAGAAAAAGCAGAGTTAATATTATGATCCAAATATGTAATGACATCATTACATATTTATAAGGATAAACAGTCTATCACCACAGTTAGAAAGACTGCTGATGCGTGGGCTGGTTATTCAAGTATAGAATGAACTAACACCCTGAACCCTAGTTAGAACTTGGCTGTACACTGCTTAAGTCTGTTTCTGTGACTCTCTTTTTCATTGCCGATTCCCTACACTTTCGGTTGACATTTTATCTTGGATAAGTTAATGTATAAGGAGCTTACTATCAGCACTTACTGGCCTGGGAGTAACGTTGTGTCTTAAAGCTAACTTTGCATATCTTTTCTCTTCCATCCTATGCTAATTTCAAATTTTAACCTCCAAAAGGCAATTATATTTCTTTTTTTTTAGATTCTTAGGACCATGTCCAGTCCATTGGACATTCTTAATAGCAAAGAAATCTATCCCCTTATCTCTACACCCAAGTCCCCTCAATGTTTCCCCCTGGATTGTGATGGCCTCACATTTCATCTCCCAGCTCTCAGGACTCCCTTGTTCCAATCCATCCAGGAGATAGAGATCTAAAATAAAAACCCAATCATGTCACTTCTTACTTATAATCCTTCCAGGCTCCTGATAGCTTTCAGGATGAAATCCAAACTCCTCAATGTTTGATTAAACTGCTTTTATTCATGCACTTTCTTCAGGTTTCAGTCCAGGCCACAATTATTCCAGAAAACCTTTGCTGACCACCACCATCTTAATTCAGGATCAGGTGCACTGCTCTGGGTCTGCACAGCACCCATGCTTCCTTCTGCTATAAAAGGTAGCATAGTATAGTATATTGTAATTTATCTTGCCCTATTTCTCACAGACTTGAATCAAGAGCACCTAGCACAGTCCCTGACAAATGGTAAGAAGTCTGTAATTGATAGACTAAATAACTGAATGAATGAGTGGATCTAATGGCTTATCTTTGACTTTTTAGATTCTCTTGTTGGTTTTCCAATTATGAGGCAGTGGCCTAGGGCTCAAAGGAACAATATAGTAAAGCATACATGCTTCTCAAAGCACTGAATATATGAGAATATATATTATAGTCGTTATATAACTGAACTGGTTTGAAACATCCTTTGCCTATAGGTTGATTAACAGTCAAGTCAGGCCAGGCATGGTGGCTCACGCCTGTAATCCCGCACTTTGGGAGGCCAACGTGGGTGGATCACAAGGTCAGGAGATTGAGACCATCCTGGCGAACACGGTGCAACCCCGTCTCTACTAACAATTAAAAAAAAAAAAATTAGCTGGGTGTGGTGGCGGGCGCCTGTAGTCCCAGCTACTCCGGAGGCTGAGGCAGGAGAATGGCGTGAACCCGGGAGGCGGAGCTTGCAGTGAGCCGAGATTGCGCCACTGCACTCCAGCCTGGGAGACAGAGTGAGACTCCGTCTCAAAAAAAAAAAAAAAAAAAAAAAACAAAACAGTAAAGTCATCAAGTAGAATCTTTTTCTATGTAATTTTTTAGTCTTACTGTATAAGTGTTGTACTATTTTCCTTGATAATTGCCTTCCTTCCACTATCTATTCAATGTTTATAGACAAATAAGTTACAGCAACACCATTTGTTCTATAGTACTTTTAAAGGACTTTCACATATAATGTTTTATTTAACCATGATAGCATCACTAAGGTAGGTAGGAAAAACTGATAGCATCACATCTGATAGTTGACATATATCCATTTTTAAATTTTTCCTATTCTCCACAGTGATGAAGACTCCTCATGGGATTATCAGAAACCACAAAAACCAAGGTTGAGAATCCCTGTAGATTTGTGAGAACACTTACAACATGGATCCTCTGGTTGCACAGTGCTCCTTGGAAATCAGTTCAATTGTTCTAACACCCCTTCAGCCAATCCAGTTAAAATTGGAAGGTAGGCAGACTGCCTTATAGCATACAGCTGAAACATTCCAGACTGCATTTAAATCCCCAACAAAATCACCTGCTTTAGAAACATTCAATCACTACACAAGACTCAGTCAGGCATTATCTGGGTCATAATTAGCCTTCCATTTCATATTCAAGCTTGGATGGGAGATATATTATCACCAAAAAGGCACAATTAGCAAATTATTATGTTGTGAATTGTATTCTTCTACTTGTGAGTTAAAAAGTAAAATCATAGATATGAAAGGCAGGATAAAAATACCCAGAGAAATTATCAGTTTTTGTCTCCAGCATTCATTCATTCATTCATGAAATATTTCTTGAGTGTCTATTGTGTGGCTGTAAGATAAATCAACTAGTCTTTTGGAGCTTAATATCTAGTCAGGGAGAAAGAGGAGTAAGCAGAATTATAAAGACCATCAAGAATGGTTATTGTCTGTTTGATCAGAAACAAATCATAAGCAATGTCAAATTCTGATTTATCAACAATAAAGTAGAAGGCTGTTCCTTAACTAATTAACAAGGGGGGAAAAACATCATTTCTTGGGAGTCACAGAGGATTCTGTTAAATGGGAAACATGCCTAACACATTTAAAATATCTGATTTACCAAACTTTGGTCCTTATACTTTAAGAGAAAGTCTTTGTTACGCATAGCAAAACACCTCTACATATCCTCAGGAGACATCTAGTGACATAAAACTCACTCACCAAAGTTGAAATATTTTATTATCCTGAGAAATAAGAGTTACCCTTGTCCAAAGTGTCTCACTCTTAAATTTTAGTGCATTGCATTCAGCTGAATTTCTCTTGGACATAAGAGACCAATCATTTTGCTTATGAAAATCCTCCTTCTTGTAGGATGTGCTAGAGGCACAGAGAGACTAACAGCTTTTTGGCTCTTTTTCCTATACATATTGAAACTGAAAACATTTCAATTTGAATTTCAGTTCATATAGATGTGCACAGGTTTTCAAGGTCCAAATGTGTAATATCTTCCATGTAAAAATCTTTCTATTCATTATGGTTTCAAATGATCTTGCTATTGCTCAGAAAAATATTCTAAGAGAATGATTTTACTAAAAAAAAAGTCCTGGAGGAATTTCTTACCACTGTGTATATACAGCCAAACTATACAAAGTCACTGAAGGCTGATGAACTGTATTAAAATGAAAACTTTTATATACAAAGATATATAACGTCAATATTTCTCCCAATGAATCAAGTCCTTGCTACTTTGAACCTCTTTATAGTTGCTTATTTTTCTTTATATTATAATGATGTAAATCATGGACTTTGACAATAACCTGCCAATGCTCTAATTTTATAGATGGAGAAACAGACGGTCGAGCAAGGTTAAAAGATTTGCTGAAGTGACAAGAATAAGAAAAAGAACACAAGTATTCTGTTTCAAACTGGATGTTCTTTTTACTTTTATTTGTATTCATAAAATACTTGTTGAATCGTTTATCAAACTAAGCTCAATTTTAGCCCTATGATCAAAGCAACCATTCCGGTAGTTGGACACAGCAATATATTTATATTTGTATTTCATAAAATACTAGTTGAATAGTTTGTCAAAACTAAGTTCAGTTTTAGCCTCATGAACAAAGCAACTGTTCCAGTAGTTGGACACGGCAATATAATTACAAAGATTTCCAAATCCTCTTTTCCCATTCTCTTTGAATTCTCTCCAAACAGGCTTTCACTCCCATCTCCTCCGTGAAACTATTCTTGTTGAGTCACCAATGACTTCCACATTGCTAAACTGATTAGCCAATTCTTGATCCTCCTTTTAAGTGACCAATTAGTTCTTCCTTGAAACAGTTTCTTGACTTCTAGGATAACATACTCTTCTCCTCCTATCCTGAGTTCAATTTCGTGGGCTGCTTTGCTGATTCATCCTCATCTCTCTGATTGCTAAACATTGGAGTCCCAGGGCTAGGTCCTCAGACCTCTTCTCTTCTCCATTTATAGTCAGTCTCCCTTAATGGTCTCATTTAGTCTAATTGTCCTAAATACCATCTATATGTATGTCTTTGGATCCCAAGACATCTCCCCTTGAACTTAAATCTCACATATCCAACTATCTTCTTATCTCTACTTGAGTATCAAAAGGCATCTCAGACTTTAACACCTAAAAATCAAAACTTCATCCTACCACCCTTTATCAAACCTGCTTCTTGCTCATTCTTCTCCATCTCAGTGAAAGGCCATGCTATGCTTCTATTTACTTGTCTTAGTCCATTCAGTGTAGCTATAACAGAATGCTTTAGGCTGGGTAATTTTTAAAGAAAAATGGCATATTGGGCGTATGATTCTGGTGACTGGAAAGTTCAAAATTGGGCAGCTGCATCTGGTGAGGGCCTCATGCTGCTTCCATTCACAGTGGATGATGGAAGGGAGGTGGGGCATTGCAAAGAGATCACATGGCAAGAGAGGAAGCAAGAGACAAAAACCAAGGAAGCCAGACTCTTTTTAACAACTTGTTTTTGTTTTTGTTTTCGTTTTTGTTTTTGAGATAGAGTCTTCCTCTATTGCCCAGGCTTGAGTGCAATGGTCCAATCTCAGCTCACTGTAACCTCCACCTCCAGGGTTCGAGCGATTCTACTGCCTCAGCCTCCCAAGAAGCTGAGACTATAGGCACGTGCCACCATGCCCGGCTAATTTTTGTATTTTTAGTGGAGACGGGGTTTCACCATGTTGACCAGGCTGGTCTTGAACTCCTGACCTCAAGTAATCTGTCTGCCTCAGCCTCCCAAAGTGCTGGGATTACAGGTGTGAGCCACCGAGCTCCCCGCCACCCCATCCCCCTACCCCCCACCCCCTGCCCAATCAACTTACTCTTAAAGGAATTAATCTATTCACACAAGAGCAAGAACTTGCCCTCAAGGGAAGACATTAACCTGTCCATGAGAGATCTACCTAAACACTTCCTACTAGGCCCTACCTCCCAACACTGACACATTGGGTATCAAATTTCCACATAAAATTTTTGGCATGGAAAAACCATATCCAAACCATAGCATCAGTCAAGCCAAATCCTCAGAACCTGTCTTGTCTTCTTTATTTTTCTAAGACCTCACATCCAGTTCATTAAATCCTTTTGGTTTCATCTTCAAAATATACAGAAAATCCAATTATTTCTCACACCTCCCACAGCCACCAACTTCATGCAAGATATACCATGTTCTTTTGTCTGAATTATACAATAGTGTCCTGTCTATTCTCCCTGTTTCTGCCCTTGTTCTGCTTCAGACTATTCTCAAACAACAGAATGATTATGTAGATGCATAAGTCAGATCACGTCACTTCTATGTTCAGAACCCTAAAATGCCAACCCATCTCACTCAGAGTAAAAGCCAAAGTCATAATGGACTACGAGCCCTTTCCTGAAATGACTCAACCATATTTCTGACTTCACCCTCTAACTTCTTCCTATCACTCATTGTGTTCCAGACTCTCTGGTCTTTTCACTGTTCCCTGAACATGTCAGGATGCTCTTATCAGGAGAGTTTTTCATTTATTTTTTCTCCACCTGTAACATTCTTTCCATAAATATCCTCATTTCTCCCTCCCTCACCTCCTTCAAGTCTTTGATCAAATGTGACTTTTCAACTGAGGACTTCCCTAATGACCGAATTTAAAATTCCAACACCTTCAATCCACCTCAAACTCCCCATCCCTTTTCCTGCTTTTTATTTTCTCCATACCAATTATCATCATCAAAAATACCATATATATTTTAATTGTTTTCTTTTTTGCCTGTGTCACTCCCCACCCCTGCAATAGAATGTAAGCTCCATGAATGCAGGCGCTTTTATCTGTTTTACGCCCTTTTATGTGAAGCAAGGTCTGAAACATATAGGTGAGTGAATGAATGAATGCATGGAGACTCATGTAAGATATCCTGGGAAGAAAGTGGAGACACAATTGTGAAAGAGAAGAAAAAAGAGTTTTCTTTCTATGAAGTAACTCATTAAAACACACTGTCCTGCTCCCTCTCCTCCTGTCTCTGGTACCTGCCTTAAAGAGAGGAGGGGATATAAGAGAGTGAGTGATAAAAGAAGCTATAGTGAAAGAGAGATGATCAGCCCTCCTCAATGTTGTATTTCAAGGAAGGGAGGAATATATTTTGAGTGCTATGTAAAAAGCACAGTAAAAATTAATACATAAGAATCAAAAATTTCAATAACAGCATGTTGCACCAGCAAAGACATGGAATCAACCTAGATGCCCATCAACGATGGACTAGACAAAGAAATTGTGGTACAGATACACCATGGAATACTACACAGCCATAAGAAAGAGTGAAATCATGTCCTTTTCAGTGACATGGATGCAGCTGGAGTCCATTATCCTAAGCATATTAATGCAGGAACAGAAAACCAAATACCATATGCTCTCACTTATAAGTGGGGGCTAAACACTGAGTACACATGTACACAAAGCGGCAAACAGACACTGGAACTTACTTGAGATTAGAGGATAGGGGGAGGATGAGGACTGAAAAACTATCAGGTACTATGCTCACTACCTGGATGACGAAGTCATTTGTACACCAAACCCCAGTGACACACAATTTACCCATGTAACAAGCCTGCACATATGGCCCCTGAACCTAAAATGAAAGTTGGAAGGAAAAAAAGAAGTTGTATGCTACATAAAGAAAATAATCTCCAGAATGAGTTTACTTTCTATTTTTTGAATTATTTTAACTCTAAGAAGAGCTTTATAAATCTATGTGCTATAATAAAGAACTTTTGAAATTTTCAAATAATAATAATAGTAGTGTATTGAGGAGGTTGGAAAGAAATCGGAACCCTCACACAGCGCTGGTGGGAATATAAAATGGTACAGCTGCTTTGGAAAACAGCTTGGCAGTTTCTCAAACAGTTAAACATAGAGTTACTATGACCCAGCAATTCCACTGCCAGGTATATCCATCATGGACTAACAGATAAACAAAATGTGGTATATCATACAATGGAATATTATTTGGCCATAAAAAGAGGAATGAAGTACTAATACATGCTACAACATGGATGAACCTTGAAAATGTTATGCTAAAGTGAAAGAAGCCAGTCATGAAAGACCTTATAGAATATGACTCTACTTGTATAAAAGTCCAGAACAGAAAAATCTATAGAAGCAAAAAAATAGATTAGTGGCTGCTTAGGACTGAGGGGAAGATGATTGGGGTATAGGAGACTGAAAGCTGAAGGGTGCAGGATTTGTTTTTGAGGTAATGAAGATGTTCTACAATGGACTGTGGCAACATTTGCACCTATCTGTGAATATACTGAAAAGCATCAAATTGTACACTTTAAGTGGATGAATTGTATGGTAAGGGGATTACATCTCAATAAAACCATTAAAAATAAATACATTAAGTGTGATTGTGAAAGTGGAAAATCCATCTTAACCACCGTTAACATCAAAATCAAAAGGTTGGCTCGCCTTTCCATGACCCCCGTTCATCTCTGGTACCTCCTCCTACTCTAGACACATGTGCTGCTAGTTCAACACAGCGCTTCTTACATGCACATATTCTGAATGGTCTTATCTCATTTTCAACTTGTTAGACACCCTGCCTCCACTACCTATGTGTTCCATGTGTTTTAAATTTACTCCATCTGCAAATACACACCTTGCCCCAAACTGTAATGCAGGGCTCCAAAGCAATCATCTGCAAATATCTAAAGGTTTATATCAAAAGACATAGAATATATCCCAGAATTCATCCATTATTTCATCTAGCTAAATGCGATAGATGTCAAAGGGCTTATAAACATTCAAGATTATTAATATAATCATATTAAATTCTATACATTATTTCTTTCCATGTTGGTTGTGTCACCCAACCATAGGAATATGTGTTAGGCACTATGAAAACAACCATATGTAAAAGAGTCATTAACTGTCACATTAGAAGAGACCTTAAGAGATATTCACATAGAATTCTCTCAATTTATATAGTTGAGGATACTAAGATTCAGAAAGTAAATATAGTTTTCTAATGTCACTCACTAAGACAGCCAATTCCCATTTAAGGTCCTTCCTGTCATTCCAAGATGCTCCTGCCTGTAATCCCAGCACTTTGGGAGGCCAAGGCAGCACAATCACTTGAGGCCAGGAGTTCAAGACTAGCCCGGGCAACATAGTGGAACCCCTGTCTCTATGAAAAAAATAATTAGTCAGATGTGGCATGTGCCTGTTGTCCCAGCTACTCGGGAGGCTGAAGTGAGAGGACTGCTTGAGCCTAGGAGGTTGAGTCTGCAGTGAGCCATGATAGTGCTACTGCACTCCAGCCTGGGTGCCAGAGTGAGACCCTGTTTCAAAAAAAAAAAAATAAACAACAACAAAAAAACTACAAAGAGGCCAAAAACTCTTAATGATTATACACACACACCTACAGAGGAAAAATATCACACAAATAAAGTACTACAATCTAGTAAAGTGAATACTAAAGTTAACAGTATGTTTAAACTTCAATTTCTCTCTTTATTTTCAAAAATATTTTAAATAGCTTTAGATAACATGAATATTTGGCCACTTCTACTTTGAATCACAATGTAAACAGAATTAATAATTCTGTTGAATTATACACACAATTAAGTTTATGAAACCAATTTAAATTAGTTAACCATTTTCTCATATTACTGGATTCAGAAAAGCTCTAACTTATTCAGTCATCTGTTATTAGCATGTCAAGTTTCCCCAACTTTAAATCATGATTGCTAAACTACAGGAAAGTCAACTACAGCAAAGAGCAAACTCTCCCATTTGGTAACAATTGAAAGGCAGGGCACCACAATACAATTCATTCCAATAAGTTTTCATATCACTTCAAAATATCAGGATAGTCCGGTATCCATGTATAACTTGAGGCAATTTTTGTATTCTGTTTACAGCAATATAATTTCATAAGAGTTCTTTGGTGAAAAGCAAATCGTGGTGTTAGAGAAAAAACAAAATTTCACTTCATTTTTTAGCTAACTTCAGACTCATCCATCTAGAAGAAACATACTCAAGGTATTCCGAAATAACAAAAACCTCAAACTGCATCACAGTTGGCATCTTGACATTTAATACATTGAAAATCACAACATATGAAGTGTCTAAGACAGTAAACACAGTAAATAATCATTCAATTCTTTATTCAAATATAAATAATATTCATGTTTAACCAATGTAGAAATTACAAATATATGTAATTACATATATGTAATGTATGTATGTGTATGTGTGTGTATATATATATTACATATCCCAGAAGAGTAGTACAGATTGTTTTCATCATGTGAAGAGCATGAAAATCCGAGAGTTCTATATATCTTTAAATTTCTCCCAGTGCCATTGTTTAATAGTTAAAACCTGCCATATTTAATACCTACCAATAATTTGAACTTATATACTTTTGCTAAATGCACAGGAAGGAATTTCAGATTGCCGATATCACACTCTCGTTGTGAAGAGGTTGTGTCAAGTTCTTCTAGTGAAGGGAGAATTTCAAAAGCAGGAAAAGTGTGGGAGAACAGTGGGGGAGGACTGTTAAGAAATCACTGCTTCATTTCTTCAACTGGGCAGCAACTTGTGCTAATGAAACTCAGGTGGACATTAGACTGCCAGCCCCAGGGTTTCCCTTGCAAGGCTACCCTCAGCTATGGCAATGGGGGCTCCTATAAGCCTCACAGAGAGGTGCTACTTTAAAGAGAAACTGAAAAAAGTAAATAGGATCATATTACAGTGGAGCTGCTGAAACCTACGGCTTTAGGGCAAAAATGAAGTTATTTCACTTCAACTACCTTTAAAAAGCACAGACATTCCGAATTACAAGCAATTCTACCGCAGGAGACATGGATGTAATGTTTATACCCATCTGTGAACCTATCTAATGATGCCCTGGTGCAAAGATGAATAGATTCAGTTAAGAAATGATTGGTTTCTCTCTTTTCTTTTCATGTCTTCAGTTCCACTAGTAGTTACTACTTACAGGCTTCCTTGTGTCTCACACAACAGGTTTTTTCCCCTCTTAAATGAGAGTTACCCTCAGAGTGTGCTTTCAATCTGGATGTTAGCCCCTAGAGCTTCGCTGCTATAAATTCGTGTCCAAGTCTGCCTTCGTAATTAAACATGCTTTAGTTCTAAAATCTAAGTGAGTTAAGTGATTTTGATGTCGTTGCCCAAGATTTTTGGTTTTGTTTTTCGTAACTCCACATTTCCAGGTTTGAGGACCACAGTACAAGTTCCCTAAACAAGCCATCTCCACCAGGGCTGAGACTTAAGTAGGTATCAATGAGCAAACCCAGACGCCAGCAAGTAATTCTTTGTTACAACTATTTTCAGCTGCACATTTTTTTAAAATGGTTTTGAAACTTCCTGACAAACAATTTCATTCACAGCATGAGAAATAATGTAATCATGAGACATAGCAAAGACAAAGTATAAATATTTCCCTTACCTGGATCATGGAAAGGCACCAACGCAAAGTTGAAAAGAGGTCTTTTAGGTCTTTTCAAAGACGTCTCCAAAATTTTGGAAGCCCCTTCAATCACCTGAACTAAATCATCATACATAGAACCAGTCACATCAAACACAAAAGCCAACGTGGAGGCCCCCTCGGGAATTTCCTCAGCTCTGATCTCTGACTGGGGGCTCGCATCTTGAGCTAGGGAAGAATAAAGAAGAGCAAACAGGAATACTGTATGGACAACTTCCCAGGAAATCATTTTCTTTTTTTTCCCCCTCTTTTTCCCCCTCAGCGCCTAAGCACTGTGCTCAGTCCTCCTCAACAACAGGCAGAGGGTTTCCTCTCAGAGTAACTCATCAGACTCTTGGAATCTCTGAACTAGCAAAAAGTTTGGCGCTGAGAATCAGACGGGGACAAGCACCAAACTCGAATCCCTCCAGGGGTTGGGCAGGGCAGGGATGCGGCAGCTTTTGTCTGGATGCGGCTTCCTCCTGGACTGCTATCTGCCCGCGGGCCCTGGACAGCCTGTGGCGGAGTGCGGGCGGCGCGTCGGGTCCATGCCCCGGGGGCAGCTCTGAGCCTGCGGCGCCGCGGCCCGAATCCCGCTGCCCTCGCCGCCGCCGCTGCTCTCCGCCTGGGCCAGCGACTGAGGTTCCCAACTTTCCACTGTTTGCAGCTCACGAGCGACGAGGGGAAGCCTGGCTCGGCCTCGCCTCCTGATTGGCCAGTTGCCGTCCTCCCTCCTTTGCTCTGGAGGCCCCCCCGGAGGGTGACTTTTCCCTCCACTGATTGTAGGGTCAATTCAGTCCCAGGGAAGCGCTTACGGTGTCAGCTCGGTTCCCACCGGCACCGTTCCTAACCTGCAAAACGCTAGTGTAAACAATGGCTTTCAAGAATGTGTGGCAAAGACCCAAACCGAGGGACACCACACTAGCACAAAGGGAATTTTGTTTTTCTATTGTGTACAACGCGGCTTTAGACACCTCTTTCCTAATTCCCCCCAAAAGTCAAGACGCCCCAGCCCAGCCTCCTGCCTCTCAGCCCACAACTCGGCCCAGCCAGGAGGGGGAGCTGGAAAATTCTCTCAGCTGCGAGGCAGCCACACTATCGCTCTTTGATCTCCTCTGAGACTCTGGACTGCAGGGAAGGAAGGGAGGACAACGCTGAAGGGGCAAGAAGCCCAGGAAGAGGAAAGGGGCTGCTGAGGGAAATGAGAGACAAGAACTAGGTAGTCACTAACTGTAGAGGGGAATGTGAATACAGGATGGAAGCCCCGTAGAAAGGACAAGGAGGAGGGGCGAGAGAGGTGTGGGGAAAGATGAGACATAAAATTCATATTAAAGAGAAAATTGATTTTTTAATTGTATTATCAAGATTCACATTTGCTGAGCAGTTTGAATCCTACGCTCAGCATAGTAAGGCAGAATAATATCCCCGTTTCAGATTTCCTCCCCTGGAACAGTCATGCCTCAGGTCTCAGCCAAAGATCTATTGGAAAGGTGCTCCCCTCTATGGCATTTTCTTGCCAGTCAAGAAGGAAACCTCACCCTGGAAGACATGCCAACGTTTTTCCGTGTTGTGATTGCTATATACGTTATAGTACTAATAACAGAGATAAGAGGATAAGCAAAGAAAGTCTACCATGAACTAAGGATTCTTTATGTCATTTTAATAAAAACGCATTTCCTTCCTGGAAAAGGAGTTGTTGTCCAGATCCCAGCATTTAAAGAGGGGCAAACAGGCATCTTGATCTCTGTTTGGATGTATATTAGACCGCCCACCCAACGGAGATGCAGCCTGAGGAAGAGTTAGCTCCCACCAACCTTTTGTAATCTACAACTGTCTTCTCTTTCAGTCCCAGCGGCTGTGGAACCCGAGTTTATGATACCTATAAGTCATGTCACTTAAAGGAAGCAGACAGGCCATTTGGGCTGAGTGGGAATATGAGAGGAAAGGGGGAAGGTACTTCCTTCTCAAGCAGTATTTAGAGAATGCTATTTGAGTCTCCCATTCCGTTGTTTATTTAAAAAGGATTTCATTCTAAGTCTTAGAGACCTGAGCTATTCCAGGTGCTCAAGGGAGGCCACAGAGCCTAGTGATTAAGAGTTCTGGGTCAGATACCCTGGGTTGAAAGCCCAGCTGTGACATTTAACTGTGTGACCTTCAAGAAGGTTACCAAACTTTTTCAGACCTGTGTTTACTCAGCTGTAAATGGGAATAATGATAGCACCCACCTAATAAGGATTAAATGATCTATAAATGTTCCATGTGCACTTGAAAAGAATGCTGTTGGGTGGAATGTTCTATAAATGTTAATTAGGTCAAGTTGTTTAATAATGTTCCAATCTTCTATATCCTTACTGATTTCTGCCTATTTGTTCTATCAGTTTTTGAGAGTGGTATTGAAATATCTGACGACAATTGTGGATTTGTGTATTTCTTCTTGCAGTTCTATGAGTTTTAGCTTCATGTATTTGAAGCTCTGTGGTTAGTTACATAAGCACATAGGATTATTATGTCCTTTTGACATAATGGACATGAATTGACGCCTTTATCATTATGAAGTTGCCTTCATTGTCCCTGGTAGTATTATTTGTTCCAAAATATACTTTGTCTGATATTAACACTGCAACTTTCTTTTGATTAGTGTTGCATGGTGTATCATTTTCTATCCTTTCACCTTTAACTTATTTTTTTCTTTATATTTAAAGTATATTTTAGGTAGTCACCCTAAAATTGGGTCTTGCTTTTTCATCCAGGCTAATAATCTCTGCCTTTTCATTTGTGCTCTTAGATGTTTTACACTCAATGTGATTATGGATATGGTTGAGTTTAAATCTGCCACCATGCTATGTGTTTTCTATTTCTTCCATCTATTCTTTGTTCCTTTTTTTTTTTTTTGCCTTCTTTTTGAATATTTTATGATTCCATTTTATTTCCATTGCTAGCTTATTAGCTAAAACTCTTTTAGTGGTTGCTTTACAGTTTATAGTATACATCTTTAATTTACCAGCCTTTCTTCATGTAGTGTTATACCACTTCATGTATAAGAACCTTAGATTAGTATACTTCCATTTCTCCCCTCCTGACTTTTTTACTATTTTTGTCATCCATTTTTATTGCATATTACTATATTTTAAATCCCACATTATATTGATTTTTTTGCATAAGGAGTCAGTTATCTTTTAATGAATCTAAATAAGAAAAATGTAGCATATTTACCCAGGTAGTTACCATTTTTTGTGCTGTTCATTTCTTTGTGTAGATCCAGATTCCCATCTGATATCACTTTCCTTCTCACTAAGAGACTTTCTTTAATAATTTCAGTAATGCAGTTCGACTAGAGACAAATTCTTTCACTTTTGTATGTCTGGAAAAGTTTTTATTTCACTTTTGTTTTTCAAAGAGTTTTTTCTTTTTTTTTTTGCTGAGTAAAGAATTCTAGGTAGACAGGTTTTTTGTTTTTCTTTCAGTACTTTCATTTGTCTTCTTGCTTGTATTGTTTCCAATAAAAAGATAATCTCTATCATCTTTGTACTTACTTGTTCTATATAAACCATGTATGTTTTTAAGAGTTTTTTTATTGTTACTGTTTTTGAGCAGTTTGATTATGATGTGCATTGATGTGGCTGCCCTCATATTTCTTGTACTTCTTCCATCTGTTTTCATCAAATTTGGACATTTGGGGCCATTATTTTTTCTGTCTTCAACCTCCTTTCCTTTAGGGGCCCCAATTAACACATATATGAAGCTACTTAAAGTTCTTCCACAGTTCACTGATGCTCTCTTAATTTTAAAAAAATTATTTTTTTCTTTTGTCACTATGCTTCATTTTTTATAGTTTCCATAACTATTTCTTCAAGTTCGTTAACCTTGACTTCTCCCTATTCAATCTGCCAATTGCCTCATCCAATATATTTTTCATCTCAGGCATTGTAGTTTTCAACTCTTGACGTTTAATTTGGATCTTTTTTATGTCTTCCTTTTCTCCTTTTAAGTGTATAAATAGAACACAGTTATAATAACTTCAATGTGTGCATTTGGTCATTTTAATATCTGTGTCAGTTCTGGATCAGTTTCAATTGGTCAGTACTCCTACTTGTTATGGATTGTATTTTCTTGCGTCTTTTCAAGCCTCATAATCCTTGACTACCTATCAGACACTGTGAATTTTAACCTTGTTAGGATAACAAGGATATCTCTGTATTCCTATCAATACGCTAGGACTTTATTCTGGGACAGAATTAAGTTGCTTAGAAACAGTTTGATCCTCTTAGGGCTTTCTTTTAAAAATTGTTAGGTGAAACCAAAGCAGTATTCAGTCTATGGCTAAGTATTTCCACTACTGAGAAAAGGCCCTTCTGTATACTCTGCCCAGTACTCTATGAATCATGGGGTTTTCTAGTCTGACTAGAGATGGTCTGGAATGTGACCCCAGGGTACAGGTATGAGGGGTAGAGGTAATGAAGTAAGGAAGAAAGGATAGCCAATATAAGAGTACATTATCAAGTTGATTGCTTTTAGGTCTTTTATAGCTTCACTACCATCAAGTGGGTGATAGCACTTAAGAATGTATTTAAAATCCACAGGGTGCCGTAGTTGGGAAAGAGAAAAGGAACATTTAATACCTAAAAGGCATTTTTAAGTAGATATGTATATATGTAGAAATAGACATATATCTTCCATAATCTCAAATCCATCTCTTGTCTTAAGTCTTATATATTGATGAATGTATGACTTGGGACACAGGAGGGGTCTCTCATTCCTTTTCAATAAAATTTGGTCTTATATTAAAATGTAGCTCTCTGGGACAAAATAGTCCCTGGACGGAAATCTTACTTACACTTTAGAATAAATGAACCCCTGAAAGTAGACTTTGACAAGCAGTCAGCTGAGAATACCAAGAATATAAATCAAGAGAACATGATTGAGTTAGGAAAAGGGCCCAGACCAGGATGAGAGTAGGAGGGGTTGGGATAAAAAACAACAACAGTGAAGCTTAAGTGAAAGTATTGCCCAGGAATAACAATATATGAAGTGGTGAATGACAAGTATCCAATAAACTGACCTAATCCAAGTAATTCTTGGGTATTATCCAATATTACCACTTATTTGACAGAGCAATTAAAATCCATAAAAATGGCATAGTTAATAACCTGAACCCTCTATTGTCTCTTAACCCCAAACTGTACTCAGTTATTTACTTGTTTATTCCTCAAGAAATTTCTGGAATAACTGTTATTTAGCCAGGTATTATACTATGTACTAGAGAGAGAAAACTCAGTCCCTGCCCTCAAGGCACTTACAGTTTTGTAGGGCTGAGCAAACAGATTAAGAATGTTCTGAAAGACTAAACCTAGCATTCTAAGGAAGCAAATAGGACAGGCACCACTCTCAGGAAAGGCAAATCAGGTAAGGTGTTCCAGAAAGTATGGCATCTCAAGTAAGTGTAGAATATGTAGAAACTTACCAGGCCTCAGTTGGGGTTGAGGGTGAAGAGACATAACCCATTTATAGAACTGCAGGTAAGGTTCAAGTGTGGAGAAAGTACAAAAGGGAGCCAAGCATAGATCATCAGCAGCCTTGATACCAGTTGTAAAGGTTTGGATTATATCCTAAAGACACCAAAGGACTTTAAGCTGAAGAGTAAAAAGATTTATACTTTACAAAACCACTTGATGTGTGAGAGATGGAATAAGGGAAATAAATTGGAAAAAAGAAGAAAAATAGGAGTAGGTTGCAATAAAAATATTGATGACATTCTTTATCTAAGGAAACTGAGACTTGGAGAGTTAAGCAATTTGCCTAAATTCTATGATAGCAAGCAGTAGAGCCAAGACTTGAACCCAAGCAATCTCACTCCAGAGCCTCTGCTGTTCACTGTTTGCAAAGCTCCCTTCTGGCTATAAGTACAAGGAGGTGAACTAAAATAATAGTAATGGATAATGCAAGGAGTGACATGAATTCAAGATCAACATGATTTGGTAATTTTCAGTCACTTTTTATGAAAAGAGCTGCATAGGTAACTCCAAAGAAGCACAAACCAAAAATACCCTTTAAAGGCCATGAGGACAGAGAAGGGAGAAAAGAGAAAAGTAAAAGACCTTTTCAGTTTATCAGGAACTGATATCTATCCTTGATCTTAGAAGTCCTAGGAGGAAGGGAATGAAAGCAGAGAATGGAGTTGCCACTTCTAAAGTTTACATACACAATGTTAGATTTTACAGCAACATGTAGCAGATTATGGAACATTTCTAGTTTCATGATAACAATCACCAAATTATTCTCAAAAGTCTCCTTGCATAGATTCTCATCATTAATGTTATATTGGATGGTGGGGATGGGGGAATGAGGCAAAGGACAAGGTAACATTGTTTTTTAAGTAGTCCAGCACATTTCCAATAATGTCACTGCTAAAATCCTCTCTCCAATTCAGTTTTCTCCCTTGAAATTCTTCTACCTGCTCTGGAGAAGACTGTGCTTACTGTTATTTTAAGTGATCATTTAATTGGAAGCATTCATCACACAGGGCCTGATAAAGCCTAGTTTAGAAAAACTTTGAATTAATAAGGGTTGTGAAGATGATTGCTGTAAAGCAGTATGCAAAAACACTGCTTTGTAGTAAACTGCCTCCTGCAAATCACTAAATGGCTTGAAGTTATTCTCAATGATCCTTCCCAAAATGTCTTCTTCTCTACATAATGAGGCCCACAGTTATTTTATGTTTACTTTAGTACATTTCTACGGGGCAAGTAACTTGCTATTGCCATTGAATTTAAAGTACAGTACTTTTGCACCAACCATAATGGTTATACTTGGCAATTCTATGACACTTAAAAAAAAAAAAGAAACATTATTTGTTCTTCTCTTTTCTCCTTTAAGAAGGCAATAAAAGGACAGAAAGCCATCATGTTATAACTGGAAAACTAATCACATAGAATATTCTCTTATACTAATCAAGTTTAAGTCTGGAATTAGTTTATATAAAACAGATGTTTACATTCTTATTCTCCTTTGGTACTAAAGAGAAAAAAGCACAGAATAACTCTCATGGCATACTTTGGGGAATGTAATACTCAGCTTCTACTTTTTTTTTTAATGAAGCCAGGAAGCCTTTGGTCAGTGAGGGGAACAAGCGGAAGAGGGAAAAGCACCAAGGGCCTAGTCTTTTACTCCTTATATAGGCAACATTCCCATCATAAAACAGGAAGTATGCTGCCTCAGAAGAGAAAACTGGCTCACAACAAATCCAAGAGGACGTAGAAAACATGAGTCTGGTAGCTTGTCCAAAAGGAGCCACTCTTTAGGCTCAGCTGGGGCCCTAGTTTTCTAGGACTTGTGATTCTGGTTTGTTTATCAGTTGTGGTCCTCTCTACAAGGACCTCAGCTCTCCATCCCAGTGTACGTACCCCCAAATAAAGATCAAGACCTTCAGGCTGTCCTCATAATACTTGAGGAAAAGTCTTGTAAACCCTAACTGAATGCTTAATGAGGAATAAAGACTCCAACCAAAAATATCTCTGCTTCATTTTCTGAAAAAAAGACAGAAGAAATTAAAATTTATTCTCAATGACCCTTCTCAAGATGTCCTCTCAAACCTCCCCGCTCCTCTCACAGGCAGCTGCTACCTCCATAAAGTCAGGGCCCAAGTAACTCTCATACCCAGTCTCTTCTGCTCCTTTACCCCAATTCAAAAGCTGGAAAAAATTTTAAAGATCGTTTTTCTACGCTAGGACCTTATACAGAGAGAAAACTGAGGCCCAGAGGATGACTTGTCTAAGATCTCACACACAAAAAAATTTGAGACAGTGCAGAAGTATATTTTGAGCTTGTGATGATCACTCTTGCACCTATCAGATGTAATAGCTAATATTTACTGAGTACCCATGTCCCAGGCACTATTTTAAGTGAAATATATATATATATATATATATATATATATGTATTTTTTTTTTTTTTTGATACAGAGTCTCACTCTGTTGCCCAGGCTGGAGGGCAGTGGCATGATCTCAGCTCACTGCAACCTCCACCTCCCAGGTTCAAGTGATTCTTCTGCTTCAGCCTCCCAAGTAGCTGGGACTACAGGCATATGCCACCATGCCCAGCTAATTTTTGTATTTGTAGTAGAGATGGGGTTTCACCATGTTAGCCAGGCCAGTCTCAAACGCCTGACCTCAAGTAATCCACCCACCTCGGCCTCCCAAAGTGCTGGAATTATAGGCTTGAGCCACCGCACCCAGCCTTAAGTGCTTTATATGCATGAATGCACTGTCACCTTTAATTCTCATTCCAAAACTGTAAGATAGTTAATAGAATGATCCCCATTTCATAGAAGAGGAAATTAAAGATGAAATTAACACAAAGAGGTTAAGTCATCTGTTCTCACAGCTCATTCTTCTCCCCTTCACTTTTATTCTCCTTCTTTTGCCTTTAGTCTATGTTTTCCCTATGACTTTATAGTAAAATTGAAAATTTTTAAACTTTGAAATATACAATTACTTTACAGTATATTGCAAAGTTTCATCATTAATATGATACATACATTATAATTATATTGATCTTTTCAGAAAAAAAAGACAGAGTTTTGGTTTTTTTTTTTTTGCTTTGTGAATTATCCATGAAGCATTATTTGTTCTTGAATGAGCTTTTCCTGCTCATGAGTATTTCTCTGAGCTTTCTCGCTTATTTACAAATTCAAAGTAATTTCATATTTTTCCTCCAATGCCATGAGCTCCTTGAAAATAAGGGCTGTGTTTTATTCATTTTTATAAACACGTAGTGTTTTATTCATTTTTATACAGTAGAAATTCAATAATGTTTCTTTGATGAGTTGCTGAATTCATTATGATTAATAATGATAACCATAATAACTGCCATCTGAGTACTTTAAGCATATTTTGTGTGTGTGTATATATATATATATATACATGTATATGTATATATATACACACATATATATGTGTATATATGTATATATACACATATATATGTGTGTATATATGTATATATACACATATACATATATGTGTATGTATATACACATATATACGTATACACATATATACTTATATGTATACACATATACACATATATATACGTATATATGTAAATACACATATATGTGTATATATATACACATATATGTGTATATATATACACATATATATATACACACACATATATATACACACACACACACACACACACACATATACATACATACATGTTTTCAGAGGCAGGGTCTTGCTATATCTCCCAGGCTGGTCTCAAACTCCTTGGCTCAAGCAACCCTTCCACTTCAGCCCCAACTCCCCTTACCTCCCATAGCTAGGCATGCATCACCATGCACAACAACTTAAAGCATATTCTTAGCACATGAGTGAATTCATGAACACATTTAATATTCACAACGACCTTGTTTGTAAGATAAGTGTTCCTACAACCATCTCAAAGATGAGCAAACTAAACTCAGAATGACAAGCAATTCATCCAAGATCACTTCCATGGCATGTAGTACAGCCAGCTAGGAGTAAAAACTCAGGTCTTGCAGGACTCTTTCTAATACACTCCATTGCCACCATGCAAAATAATTTTTTTATTAGCCTAAACATGATATTCCTAGTAAAATAAATGTTCTGTAGAGAAAGCTAATCATTCTAAGTCCAAAATCATGTTTTAAATCATTTTGTTTAGGTGAAACATCATTACTTACTTCCAGATAGGTAATGAAAGAAGTGAGGACAATTTAGCAGAATGTAGTTTAAAAAATATAATAAAAGCTTTTTTAAAAAAATAGTATGAAGTTGTGAATATCTAGTCACCCATCTGTTTATGAAAAGGAAACATCCATTAGTGCCTATGACCAGATTCCATTAAACATAAGGTGCTTGAAAAAGGGGCAGATCAATATTCTAACACGGATTTACTTGATGTTGAAGAATATGAAAAGATATTAGAGTATGGGTTGGGTAGTAGATATAATCTATTCTTTTTTTCTCCTTTTTCAGATCTCCTTCTTATATCTTCAAAATAGAGATTTTCCTAGGCAAAGGCTTTAATTATAAGTGGTAAAATCCCAGAATTCAGAGAGGAAAAAGAATTCTGAAAATCAGAAAAACACCTACTATTCTAGACAACTAGGAATCTGTCCTAATTTTAAGGAACAGTCACTAATTTCTTCTCTTATCTTACATTCTAGCATTCAGTAACTCTCTATATCAGAATATTTTCCCTTATATTTCTTGTAATGCACTTTAAGCCTCTTTCTTCTTGTTCTGTTTGCAGAAAACCTAGAGCTGGTCACAATCTTTCACATAGTTTTTTTCCATACCAATTAATGAAAGAAGAAAAGTATTGGCTTCAATAATAATAAACTGTGTCCAGGCCTTCTGCCTCTACTTAAAAAATAACTTGGTCCACTTAAATCATACTAATCAAAAGGCAGTAAATAATTCCAGGTTGCTCTGGAGAAATAGTAGAATACATCATAAACACCAGTCTTCTTTCTTTCTTTCCTTTTTATTTTCAGCCTACAATGAGTTAAAAACACATTTTTTTTTTAAGTAACAAGTACCCAGAAGGCTACAGTGATCCTTTGGTGATGGAGTAGAATTGGCCACATCAGCATGAACTCATGTTTGACTTAATGCAGAATAACATGAGTACATATTAATAAATACTTAAAGATATATGTGTCTATATTAGAATGCACATATATATTCTTGCTCTGTCAGCTGAGGTGGCCTAAAAGTAATGACATCTCAATAACAATGAGCACAATTAGTGCCCAAATATTGATTTTTTTTCTTTTTACCAGCTTGACTTCAAAATACATCAAATATTGATTTCTAATGCCAATTTCCCATAAAACAAACCAGGATTACTTGGAGAAATGGTAGATTCTGAGGCTGGGGCAAGGAATATATAAGAGGAGCATCTTATTGTGGCCAGAAATGAAGGAAATGCAAAAAATAAAAATGTAAAGCACACACACACACAATGGTGGGATATGTTAAAGAGATACAGGTGCCAGTTAAAAGAATGCCCAATGAACAAAGCTGTAACAATTTAAGCAACAAAATAAATAAAATAATATTAAATTAAAACTCAAAATGTAAAATATCCTGAGTCCATAAGGATATAAGTTGAATAAATAAATAAATATAGACAAATCTCCCAAGCAGAAGAATTCAAAATAGTATATATGATACTCCCTCCTCAATGAGATGGAGGATGAATACCCATCCCTTACATGTGGGCTGCACATAATGTCTTGCTCCCAAAGAATATGGTAAAGAAAGGTAGAAAATAACTTTACAGAGGAGAAACCTGTCAAACACCACCTCCACCAGATTATCAAGTTTAACAACAGTGATAAGTCATGTCAATAGCATGTACTCTTGATAGGATGTGATGAGAATAGCATCTGTGGCCTTCCTTTCAGGAATTCCCCCAAGATTTCTTGTCATAATCTAGAGAAGCCTAATGTGTAATGTATCCTGGATAGAATATTGGAACAGAAAAGGTATAGCTGAGGAAATATGAATAAAGTGTGGAGTTTAGTTGATAATAATGTTTAATATTGGTTCATTAGTTATGACAAATGTACCATACCAATATAGGATGTTAGCCATACTGGAAACTGGGTGTAGCATATATGGTAGCACTCTGTTTTATCTTCATAAGTTTTCTGTAAACCTGAAACTATTCTAAAGTTCAAGTTTATACAAATTAAATAAATAAGTTGTAAAAAGTAGCCACCAAATCATTTTTAAAGAGGCATGAATATGATCATATCAAGAAATACAAATGATTTTTATTAGTCGTTTGTCATCTATACAATGAAATGAATTAAATAATGCATCAAAATTTATGTCAACCTAAATAACATAGAGAGGCTTTCTAAAAGAAAATAACATTTATTCGCAAATAGGGCATTGCCATGGGAATAGTCATGTCATAATAAATACGTGTGTATTCAGGGAGGTAAAGGAAGACAAAAGTTTTTAAAGGAAAAATGAAGAGAATTACATAATTTTTGAGGTAATTATTCTTGGCTGCAAGGATCAATAAATAACTAGGGTAGCACCAGTCCAAGACTGAACAGGCAGTTGCTGGGCAGATGTCCTCAAGGAAGAATTTTTTATGTGTGTAAGGTTATTATGGCCTTTTGCAAGGTTGAACTTTTTGCAGTCTTTTGTGATAGTTTTTTTAATCTGGCATTTATGCATGAGAACCCTCCCTTCATGGGCTTCTCTGGCTCTATTTGTCAGGGTTTTTTAAAACCCAAGTGACTCCATTTTGATTCTGACAACTTTCACATTCATAAGTGTATTTTACCCTCGGAATAAAGTCTTACACTTAGAAGACAAAACATCTGAAAGAAATTCCGTCAGTCCTATTGGAAATCAAACTAAAGACACTACATAGCATAAATAAGCATTGGAAATGTGCCCTAAAACAATAATGCTGTTGTTGCTTATGGCCATAGCCACTAAGTCAAAGCTTCAAAAGTATAGCATTAAATTACGAAACATTGGGAGTAGAAGAGATTCATATTTTTTTCAAAAAACTTATCTATTAGTATAATAAATTGCAACTGCTTTAATCAGAAGAGCTTGCTAATGAGGCTGAAGACATTAAAATGTGGATCACTTAGTTTGATTACATTTGATGACAAACTCCAGCTCAATACTAGCTTGTTGCCTAGCAGCTGTTAGTCAATGTGGAACAAGAGTGTGCCTACATCAGCATAAACCCAAACATTCCCACCCAAAATTGCCTAAGCAGAACGCCTTACTGATGGTAGATCAGGTTGTTATTTTCTTATGGAACTTGACTTTATTAACCCAGGCAAGGAATCTTGAGCAGAGCAAAGAAAGTGCTACTCTACATGACTCTGATGGGAAAACTTTGCCGAGATTTGATGGGCAAATTTCAGAAAAATCCTTCCACTCACACTGCAGCTAATCCCATATCTCCCAGTACAGGATTTGCAGTACTATATTTAAGGCATCTCCGCAAATGTCTTTTGCTGTGACTTTTAGTCTGGCCAAAAACCTAAACATCAAGAGTACACAGAAGAAGATTTCTTCCCACTAGGCCTGTAGTTTTTGCCTTAAGGTGGAGTTTCTAAATACAAATATATAATTAACTATTGGAAACATAAGACTCATTCAGTCATCCCCAAAGCCCATTCCCTCATGTTAAATATTTATCTATATGGTGAAACAGAGTATAGATTTAGAAATGCATTTAACAGATGTTGAAACAAAAATTTGGCATAATGCCAATTAATTCAAACTACCAACATTGTTGCTATCATCCTATGTATGTGAAATAATAATAATAACTACATACCAAAATTGAGAAAATAAGATACATAGATACTGAGCAGACACATACTGACTCACAATTTATATTGTATCTCTCCTTTTAATTCAGCCTAAAAAAATCAGTTTGAGTCTTTCTGACTTTAGTTATGTCAAGTGGCTTGCTTAATTCAATCAGCACTTGATAAATAATATTTTAATTTTCATAATCTTACTTTTCATAAATCCAGTCTAGCCAAATATCCTTACCAATATTAAGTAAGATTTGGAACTCTCCTATGGAAAGTTCAGCAATAGCTTTCATCTTTTACTAATCCAAGCTATGGTGATTAAATTCATTGATTTAAGGTTACTCTAAAATTGCTGGAAATACCAAAAATCACTTTCCAAAGTGCTATCTGAAACATTCAAAGAAGCCATGCACAGAAATGATTGTATTCTAAATGAGAGGGGAGTGTAAGAAGTTTTCATCCTACCCTTGGCCTCCACCCCAACCCCATACACACATATCTATTTGATCAGCATTTATTTACTCATAAGTTATTCAATGAATAGTCACTGAAAACTTTCTGTGTGCTGGAGAATAGGGAAATACCATAAAGAGATGGTAACCCTCCAGCTGAATTATAATCAGCAAATGTCTAGAGTTTTCATAGCAATGAAAATAAATAAGATTAATTTTTATCAGAGATGTTGGAATTCTAATACTCAACGTCATGCTTTATCTTTGCTTCTACTATGTTCCTGTTCGTATCTGCCAGAAACAAAAATACTTCATAGCCTAAGATTTCTACCAAATAGCTATTTTATACTTAATGGTTTAAAATCAGTAGAGATATTAGGAGAGTGTGAAAACTAATATTGCCCTCTGCTGGCAGATTCCTCAAGTAAAAAGCATTGTGTTTGTTTTGCTATTTGTAGCTTATTCCTCATTCTTTTGTGGTACATTTTGACATTAAGAGATTAGAATTTGCTTCTTGTAAGTAACATTTGGAATTTCTTCTGAAACAAAGTCCAAAATGTCTGGGAAATGGAGATAAATATCTCATTAGCACCAACCAAAATAAATACTTTAAAAAATGTAGCTCTACCCACATGATGTAAAGGCATTGTCTCATAGCACAGCAGTTTAAAATTCAGGGATATCTTAATATCATTTAATTGAAACTGCATCTAATTCTCCAAGACTCTCCAGGCTCCTACAAACTAGATAGCTCTGAAATTTAAGTAGTCTTTGTCAGAGCATATAATAGACAATTATGCCTCTCTCTCTCTTTTTTTTTTTAAACATTGAGGTATATTAATTCACTCCAGTTAAAATCTCAGATGTGGCATGAAATTTGGGGACATGACTATCCCAGGATATCTGATAAACTCTCAGTTTAAGAGGCTTTATGAATAAAGTTCCTTGCTAATTAAAAAGATGTGAATCATGTTTGGGAATTGCTTCTATCATTATTTAATGAGTTTCTCTTTGCTAGTAAATATAGATGGATAGAAGAAGCTTTGATCTTGAGCTCCTTGACAGTGAGTGCTCTCTTATTCTTTGTATACCAATACTTAGCAGTGCCCTGTATATAATACATATTTAAGGAAGGCTTATTGAGTGGATAAATGAAGTGGTCTTTTCCAGTCACCATGCTTAATTAGATTAAGCCCATTTCCCAATAAAATGCTTAGGGTAGAATGCAGTATGGTACAGTAAGAAGAGCATATGCTTTTGAGTGGGACAGATAGATTTAAATTCTAGCTTTGATACTCAGCTGTGTGAAAGGAAAGCCACCTAATCTCTCTGAACTGCAGCTTTCTTCTTGTGTTGTTGTACAAATTATATAAGATAAAATATGTAAAGTATTTGAGAATGTGCCTGGCACATAATGAGTATTGAAACATTTAATTATCTTCCCTTTCCTTTCAGGTACATTCCTAATTTCTTTCTTTTCAATCAGTACTACAGAACAAAATTGGCTCAGACCCATTTTGAGAAGAAAGAGAATTTGTTGTAGTTACACTATTTGTTCAAATTTTCAAACCTGTTTTTCCCCCACCAGAATAAGAATATGTACGTCCAAGCTCCCATATTTCGCCTGCTTTAGAGCTTCTATTGACTTCAGAAAAGTTTACCAACACTAGGAAAAGACGTAGGGGAATTTACTTTATTTACCGTCATTTTCCAATTAAGTAGAAAATTACAACACTTTCCATTAGATTAATGATTCACAGATTTCAAAACACTGATCTATATTCTCTCACTGCAAGCTCACATTAGCCCCTACTTTCCTTAAAGCTAAGGAAACTGAGGGAGGAAAAAAAGGGAGCTGCCAAATGTAGAGAATAAAACCAGACACCGTGAGTTCTGACTTGTCCAGGGATCATTCCTGACCCCACCCTAGGATGCACTGCATCCCGTGTTCTCCTTGGGAACTGTCATTACATGCTCACTAGTGCTCCCTGCCCTCCACTTTGGACGTTGCATTCTTGGAAGCAAGCCCTCTCCTGTTGCCAACGGGATTGTGGTCTACCAGTTAAAGAAGACAACCAAGTCATGAGTAGTGGAGTTCATTTTTTTGTTTTCTCAGTGACTCACAATAAGACATGTGGTGAGTTGTTCAGAATTAACTACTTTTCCAAGGTTTTACAAAGACTAAATGCCCATGGTGGTATTTTTAACAATTCTGGTAAAGTTCTCAGTTTATTTTCAATATTAAGGATGCTACAGCAAGTGTGATTGGAATGGAAAAATTGAAGCTCTTGTCTATAGGGGTACAGACTGATAGTCTCCATTAGAAACAACTGGGCCTGTAAGTTTTTTTCTGTGATGCATTTATTGACATTCTTGTTGTGTTGCCAGTGCTAGCTGGTGGCCAGCTGTTCCTACCATATTTTAATTAAAGAAACTCCCACACCATCAAGAAATGGTCTGTGCAAAGATGTGCAATACCTATCTGCTGCTTTTCCTGTCTAGACCTTAACTACATGTGTAGACCTTAACAATATAATTCATTCTTACCCTTGCCATCCCACATCCCCCACAAAAGTGTTATTAATTTGGGATCCCTGTACCTTTAAGGGAAATTTATCCCCCTGAAACTGTGTGTAAAATTATAGAGGTATATTCTTATGAAGAGAAGGCTCATACTTTCAACAGATTTTCACATGAATTCACTCAGAAAGGGGGTAAAGAAAATTGACTGTAGACAGGTACCCACTTAGATCAATTTTCAGTGGAAATAAATGAATAATTGTTTCTTATCTTAAAAACCTCAACAATGGAAGACTTCTAGAGGTAAGCTAAAGACTAAATAAAGTAGAAATAAAACATGGGGAAGAGAAGTACAAATAGTAGCAGGCAACAGATGACAAATTGCTTGAAAAAAGAAAGTTATAAAATAGAAAATACACTATTATCATTTTAGTGAACATTTCACATACTAACAATAAGTATATGGATGGACTCCTAGAAGAGGCTTTTAGGGAAGCAATGGTCATCTTTAAGTTTATAAGCTCATGCTGTGTCCAAAAGAAAGTACAGTAGTGATTTAATTTTAATAAATAATAATTTATAAATGAACTGATTATAATTTGCCTTCTCTACTACTTTTCTTACTTCACCTTCCCATTAGCCAATTAAAGCAGCCAGCTGAGAGCCATTGTCCATCTCCCTTCTCTAGCACAGCACAGATAGAGAGAAATAGCGTCACAGAAAGTCTGAATTTGCTTTATCATGCCCAACACCAAAATGGCACATTGTATTGGCCGAAATCACTAATGCTCTTCCCCAAAATTATCTTCAATCACATAATTTAATAAGAAATCTCACTTAAGTCCCTACCCAAGCCTCCCTCTAATTATACAAGGCATCCCACCTCTGCCTTTATCCTTTCCCCTTCTTCAGCACTTCTCCCTCCTCTGCCTGTGTTCCTCACACTTCCCCAAGCTCTTCTCCCACAAAAACAGAGAAAAATAATAATATTAAGAGTGCACCTTTTCTGGAGATAAAGAAGTCAGTCCAGGACTAACTCACATAGTAACTGAAGAAATATTCTTGAATGTGTGGTAATAATTTTTACAACCTCATCATTTCTACCTTCTTTATATGACTTCTGTTTCTTTTTTCTTAAGAATCTCTCTAAGAATTCTCTTCTAAGAAGCCCTAAGGAAAACAACCCTGTCACTCAAACCATCCCAAATCTAATAATGCATCTTGCCCCCTTCAATTTGGCTAATAATAAATTATCTGAGAAAAGAAACAACGGGGCCCAGCATGGTGGCTCACACCTGTAATCCCAGCACTTTGGGATGCCAAGGAGGGCAGATCGCTTGAGCTCAGGAGTTCGAGACCAGCCTGGACAACATGGTGAAATCTCATCTTAAAAAGTGCAAACATTAGCTGGGTGTGGTGGCACACACCTGTGGTCCCAGCTACTCCAGTGACTGAGGTGGAAGGATTGCTTGAGTCTGGGAGGCAGAGGCTACGGTGAGGCGAGATTGTGCCACTACACTCCAGCCTGACTGACAGAGCAAGACCCTGTCTCAAAAGAAAAGAAAAAAGAAACAAAAGAAAACTGAAAAATGTTTATATTTTTCCCCCTTTTCCATCCTGAAAGAAGACAGAAACTGTTAGGCAAGGGGTAAGGGGATGACAAGTAAAGCAGTGGCAGTAAAATGTGCGCGCACACACACACACACATACACACACACACATACAGCATTATGGGCAACATTTTGGTTGAAGAGACTAACAATGGTAAAATGAGGTCCCTCTTAATCATCAAATGACAATTTTAGCAACCTAGTTTTGGAAAAAAAGTTACACTCCGCTTACTTCTAGTAAAATCCCAATTTCTTATGCCTATAGATTTATTAGCACAATAATGGAACACAACTAGGCATTAAAAAGTTACTGCTTTGAAAAAAAAAGGTGGGTTCTACAATAAAATTTGTATACTTTGTCTTTTCAATGCCTGAGGCACTGTTTCCAGCTTTTCTACCCTAGCATTATGTGCACATACAGAATATCAAAATAAAACTTCAAGTGAAAATTTTAGTAAGGTTATTTTTTAAAAAAGAAACTAGTTTTAGTGTGAGTTGCATGCTAATAGTCCTCTCATGCTAAGATTTATTCTAGCAACAGTAAAAATATTCATATTTACTATACAGTTTGGGACAAGTTAATAATTTGTTCTGAATTCTACTATACTTCTGTATATGTCAAATCTAACAAAATTCAGTCAAGATTTAAACAAAATTCATCAAGTGTTCTAAGACATCCTGAAATTCTATCTCCTTCACAAAAACTTTTCTGCGTAAGGTGGTAATTTCCTGCCCTCTCACCGTATCCTCATTTTTTCAATATGACATTCATAAATCTGACCCTTGTCAGCAATTTTATGGAAATAATGGAGCTGTGCCAGAAGGCCAAAGATAGGCAAAGCCGTGATTTTCAAAGGGGTGGAGAACAGGAGAAACAAAAGTAGATCTTTCAAAGACTACATCTTATTCACTTTATGACTAGCAGTACCTAGTATAGGTTCTGTAACAGGAAGGAAGGAAGGAAGGAAGGAAGGAAGGAAGGAAGGAAGGAAGGAAGGAAATCCATTTAAATAGGTTCTAAAAACCCTGGCAAATATAGCATCTACATTCTATTGAAATGAGAAATAAGTTGATAAATTTGGGTCCCTTTAAAAGAGAGCCTGGATTCACTAAAAACAAATCATGTCAGGTTAACCTCACCAGGATTCTGTTCTTTGCCCTGCCCTGATCAACTTAGATCAAAACATAATCAGCATGCTAATCAAATTTGTGAATATTACAAGAGTGGTAAGGACAGTCAATATACTAGATAACAAAATAGAGATTCTAATTTATGTCAAAGTTCAGAAAAATGAACTGAAAATAATCCATTTGAAATTTTACAAGGATAAATGTAAATGACTATATTGAGACTCATGAAAACAATCTGAAAACTTAAGATGAGAAAATTTGGACTCAATGGTATAAAAAATATAGTATGGTATGGCTTGAAAAATAATGCAGGGGTTTTCAACTGACCATAACTCAGTACAAGCCAATAATGTGATATGAGTACTAAAAAGTGAGTATAAATTTTAATATTAAAAGTCATATTATATACAGATTATAAAAGCAAATAGTCCACTGATAGAATGGACGTAATCCATCTTTGCCCTCTGCTGTGATTCTTTAAGAGAACTGCTGGCCAACTGGAGAACTTTGAGAAAAGCAAGACCAAGATGATGAGAGGGTCTAAAGGCCCATTGTATGAAGAACATTTAAGAAAGCTGGGGCATCCAAAGTGAAGGAGATGAATATGAACCTTCAAGTTTCTATTGTACTTCAAGTACACCAACATATAATAATCATAATAGTTGCTTTAAGACACATTCTCATCACTGATCCATGAATGTTTTAACTTATTTTTATATGATTGTTTGATGTCTATTTTCGATAATGCAGTAAGATCCCATGAACCCACCACCCAACAAAAAACCAAAACGTTGACAATAACTTACTTCCGCTTCTGGCAGAGACCACAGAGATAACTCCCATCCCACATGCCCTTCTTACAATGTGACAATGACCGCCTACCCACTGAATGATGGAACTTATGTACCCTCCTCTTGAAACTGAAAGGACCATTGTAACTGACTTTACCAACAGAGTTTGCAAAAGGAACACTATGCAACTAGGTAGATCATAAAGATGCCATGCCCTCTGCCTTTCTCTCCAGGGATACTCACTCTAAAAATCTAGCCATCATTCTGTGAGGAAGCTCAAACTAGCCCACCCTGAAAATCTATGTGGAGAAGCCACATATAGGCATTCCAGCCATCAGCCAGCATCAACTGACATCTCCAGATGATTCTAGCCAGCCTCATGCTTCAAGTCCTCCCAGCTGAGGCAGTGATGTCATGGAGCAAACACAAGTTATCCTCATAGTTCCTTGTCTACATCCCCCAGTGAATCTGTGAAAATAAGTAAATGGTTATTTTATGGCACTAAGTTTTGGTTTGTTTCTTATACAGCAATAATAACTGAAGACCAATACGTGGTCAGCACCACTGCATTTTCCTATCTCACTCAACCTAAAGTAACCACCATCTTGAATCCTGTGATTATCTATTGCTTCCTTTCATTGTGTATAGTTTGATCTCATCTCCATATAAGCTTAAAAGTATGTTTTTCATTTTAATTTTTTCTGGCTTTATTTTAAAAGTATCATATTTAATGTATTCTTTTGGAACTTATTTTTTACTTAATATTATATTTGTAATATCCATCCTTGTTTTTTAATAGTTTTGACTGCTAAATACTATTTCATTGAATTAATATGCAATAGTTGATCATCTACTCTCCTGTCAATGGGCTGTTAGGCTGTCATAGGTTTTTGCTAATGTGAATAGTGCTACTGTGAGCATTCTAACATAGGTCTCCTGGAGTACTTGTATGAATTTATCTTGGGCATGTCAGTGAGAATGGGACTACTAGAAGGTAGGCTATGTAAGTGCTTGGTCAAATGTTTAAAAGAGTGTGGTAAGGAAGAGAACTACAATGCAGGTACAATGTAAAAACCTAGCCCTGGAGTCAGATGACTTTGAGAGGAATTCCAAGTTTCACAGCTCAAAGATTGTAATATCACAGACAATTTATTGCATATCAATTTACAAGAAATTTTTGTTGAGATTTAATCAGATAATGTGAAATCTCTTTGCAATCTAAAGCGCTATAAAAATATGACATTATTATTAAGAATAGATGTGTTGTTTTTGTGTTACTACAAGGAAAAAAAAAACAATTCAGACCAAAGAGCAGAAAGTACAGTGACTCAGATTTTGACCAAAGACAAAAGCAAACTTTAAACAATTTAACATATCCAACAACAGAACAAGCTTCCTGGAGTGGCCGAGTCAAGATGGGTCTGCATTATGGCTGATCTGTGAGGGTCTGAGATCTTCCTGCAAAATGAGGTTGGGCAGATAAAAGTCACAAAGAGAAAACGATGGGCTGGGCTTCAAGCCTGAGAAGATATGGAAGATTCTTAGCCAAAAAGCCAAGAATAAGGGCGTAAGTAATGAAATATATTCAGGCAAATCACTTAGCTCTTTTCTTTAATTTTATTATTATTATACTTTAAGTTTTAGGGTTCATGTGCACATTGTGCAGGTTAGTTACATATGTATACATGTGCCATGCTGGTGTGCTGCAACCATTAACTCGTCATTTAGCATTAGGTATATCTCCTAATGCTATCCCTCCCCCATCCCCCCACCCCACAACAGTCTCCAGAGTGTGATATTCCCCTTCCTGTGTCCATGTGTTCTCATTGTTCAATTCCCTCCTATGAGTGAGAACATGCAGTGTTTGGTTTTTTGTCCTTGCGATAGTTTACTGAGAATGATGATTTCCAATTTCATCCATGTCCCTACAAAGGACATGAACTCATCATTTTTTATGGCTGCATAGTATTCCATGGTGTATATATGCCACATTTTCTTAATCCAGTCTACCATTGTTGGATATTTGGGTTGGTTCCAAGTCTTTGCTACTGTGAATAGTGCTGCAATAAACATATGTGTGCATGTGTCTTTACAGCAGCATGAATTATAGTCCTTTGAGTTTATACCCAGTAATGGGATGGCTGGGTCAAATGGTATTTCTAGTTCTAGATCCCTGAGGAATCGCCACACTGACTTCCACAATGGTTGAACTAGTTTACAGTCCCACCAACAATGTAAAAGTGTCCCTATTTCTCCACATCCTCTCCAGCACCTGTTGTTTCCTGACTTTTTAATGATCGCCATTCTAACTGGTGTGAGATGGTATCCCATTGTGGTTTTGATTTGCATTTCTCTGATGGCCAGTGATGGTGAGCATTTTTTCATGTGTTTTTTGGCTGCATAAATGTCTTCTTTTGAGAAGTGTCTGTTCATGTCCTTTGCCCACTTTTTGATGGGGTTGTTTGTTTTTTTCTTGTAAATTTGTTTGAGTTCATTGTAGATTCTGGATATTAGCCCTTTGTCAGATGAGTAGGTTGCGAAAATTTTCTCCGATTTTGTAGGTTGCCTGTTCACTCTGATGGTAGCTTCTTTTGCTGTGCAGAAGCTCTTTAGTTTAATTAGATCCAATTTGTCTATTTTGGCTTTTGTTGCCATTGCTTTTGGTGTTTTAGACATGAAGTTCTTGCCCATGCCTATGTCCTGAATGGTAATGCCTAGGTTTTCTTCTAGGGTTTTTATGGTTTTAGGTCTAATGTTTAAGTCTTTAATCCATCTTGAATTAATTTTTGTATAAGGTGTAAGGAAGGGATCCAGTTTCAGCTTTCTACATATGGCTAGCCAGTTTTCCCAGCACCATTTATTAAATAGGGAATCCTTTCCCCATTGCTTGTTTTTCACAGGTTTGTCAAAGATCAGATAGTTGTAGATATGCAGCATTATTTCTGAGGGCTCTGTTCTGTTCCATTGATCTATATCTCTGTTTTGGTACCAGTACCACGCTGTTTTGGTTACTGTAGCCTTGTAGTATAGTTTGAAGTCAGGTAGCGTGATGCCTCCAGCTTTGTTCTTTTGTCTTAGGATTGACTTGGCAATGCGGGCTCTTTTTTTGTTCCATATGAACTTTAAAGTAGTTTTTTCCAATTCTGTGAAGAAAGTCATTGGTAGCTTGATGGGGACGGCATTGAATCTATAAATTACCTTGGGCAATGTGGCCATTTTCACAATATTGATTCTTCCTACCCATGAGCATGGAATGTTCTTCCATTTCTTTGTATCCTCTTTTATTTCATTGAGCAGTGGTTTGTAGTTCTCCTTGAAGAGGTCCTTCATGTCCCTTGTAAGTCAGATTCCTAGGTATTTTATTCTCTTTGAAGCAATTGTGAATGGGAGTTCACTCATGATTTGGCTCTCTGTCTGTTATTGGTGTATAAGAATGCTTGTGATTTTTGTACATTGATTTTGTATCCTGAGACTTTGCTGAAGTTGCTTATCAGCTTAAGGAGATTTTGGGCTGAGACAGTGGGGTTTTCTAGATATACAATCATGTCATCTGCAAACAGGGACAATTTGACTTCCTCTTTTCCTAACTGAATACCCTTTATTTCCTTCTCCTGCCTAATTGCCCTGGCCAGAACTTCCAACACTATGTTGAATAGGAGTGGTGAGAGAGGGCATCCCTGTCTTGTGCCAGTTTTCAAAGGGAATGCTTCCAGTTTTTGCCCATTCGGTATGATATTGGCTGTGGGTTTGTCATAGATAGCTCTTATTATTTTGAGATATGTCCCATCAATACCTAACTTATTGAGAGTTTTTAGCATGAATCGTTGTTGAATTTTGTCAAAGGCCTTTTCTGCATCTATTGAGATAATCATGTGGTTTTTGTCTTTGGTTCTGTTTATATGCTGGATTACATTTATTGATTTGCGTAAACTGAACCAGCCGTGCATCCCAGGGATGAAGCCCACTTGATCATGGTGGATAAGCTTTTTGACGTGCTGCTGGATTTGGTTTGCCAGTATTTTATTGAGGATTTTTGCATCAATGTTCATCAAGGATATTGGTCTAAAATGCTCTTTTTTGGTTGTGTCTCTGCCCAGCTTTGGTATCAGGATGATGCTGGCCTCATAAAATGAGTTAGGGAGGTTTCCCTCTTTTTCTATTGATTGGAATAGTTTCAGAAGGAATGGTATCAGTTCCTCCTTGTACCTCTGGTAGAATTCGGCTGTGAATCCATCTGGTCCTGGACTCTTTTTTGTTGGTAAGCTATTGATTATTGCCACAATTTCAGATCCTGTTATTGGTCTATTCAGAGATTCAACTTCATCCTGGTTTAGTCTTGGGAGGGTGTATGTGTCGAGGAATTTATCCATTTCTTCTAGATTTTCTAGTTTATTTGCATAGAGGTGTTTGTAGTATTCTCTGATGGTAGTTTGTATTTCTGTGGGATCGGTGGTGATATCCCCTTTATCATTTTTTATTGCGTCTATTTGATTCTTCTCTCTTTTTTTCTTTATTAGTCTTGCTAGCAGTCTATCAATTTTGTTGATCCTTTCAAAAAACCAGCTCCTGGATTCATTAATTTTTTGAAGGGTTTTTTGTGTCTCTATTTCCTTCAGTTCTGCTCTGATTTTAGTTATTTTTTGCCTTCTGCTAGCTTTTGAATGTGTTTGCTCTTGCTTTTCTAGTTCTTTTAGTTGTGATGTTAGGGTGTCAATTTTGGATCTTTCCTGCTTTCTCTTGTGGGCATTTAGTGCTATAAATTTCCCTCTACACACTGCTTTGAATGTGTCCCAGAGATTCTGGTATGTTGTGTCTTTGTTCTCGTTGGTTTCAAAGAACCTCTTTATTTCTGCCTTCATTTCGTTATGTACCCAGTAGTCATTCAGGAGCAGGTTGTTCAGTTTCCATGTAGTGGAGCAGTTTTGGGTGAGTTTCTTAATCCTGAGTTCTAGTTTCATTGCACTGTGGTCTGACGGACAGTTTGTTATAATTTCTTTCTTTTACATTTGCTGAGGAGAGCTTTACTTCCAACTATGTGGTCAATTTTGGAATAGGTGTAGTGTGGTGCTGAAAAAAAATGTATATTCTGTTGATTTGGGGTGGAGAGTTCTGTAGATGTCTATTAGGTCTGCTTGGTGCAGAGCTGAGTTCAATTCCTGGGTATCCTTGTTGACTTTCTGTCTCGTTGATCTGTCTAATGTTTACAGTGGGGTGTTAAAGTCTCCCATTATTAATGTGTGGGAGTCTAAGTCACTTTGTAGGTCTCTAAGGACTTGCTTTATGAATCTGGGTGCTCATGTATTGGGTGCATATATATTTAGGATAGTTAGCTCTTCTTGTTGAATTGATCCCTTTACCATTATGTAATGGCCTTCTTTGTCTCTTTTGATCTTTGTTGGTTTAAAGTCTGTTTTATCAGAGACTAGGATTGCAACCCCTGCCTTTTTTTGTTTTCCATTTGCTTGGTAGATCTTCCTCCATCCTTTTATTTTGAGCCTATGTGTGCCTCTGCACGTGAGATGGGTTTCCTGAATAAAGCACACTGATGGGTCTTGACTGTTTATCCAATTTGCCAGTCTGTGTCTTTTAATTGGAGCATTTAGTCCATTTACATTTAAAGTTAATATTGTTATGTGTGAATTTGATCCTGTCATTATGATGTTAGCTGGTTATTTTGCTCATTAGTTGATGCAGTTTCTTGCTAGTCTCGATGTTCTTTACATTTTGGCATGATTTTGCAGCGGCTGGTACCGGTTGTTCCTTTCATGTTTAGTGCTTCCTTCAGGAGCTCTTTTAGGGCAGGGCTGGTGGTGACAAAATCTCTCAGCATTTGCTTGTCTGTAAAGTATTTTATTTCTCCTTCACTTATGAAGCTTAGTTTGGCTGGATATGAAATTCTGGGTTGAAAATTCTTTTCTTTAAGAAAGTTGAATATTGGCCCCCACTCTCTTCTGGCTTGTAGAGTTTCTGCTGAGAGATCTGCTGTTAGTCTGATGGGCTTCCCTTTGAGGGTAACCCGACCTTTCTCTCTGGCTTGAAGGAGAAATCCCACCTTTCTCTCTGGCTTGAAATGAAGGAAAACATTTTTTCCTTCATTTCAACTTTGGTGAATCTGACAATTATGTGTCTTGGAGTTGCTCTTCTTGAGGAGTATCTTTGTGGCGTTCTCTGTATTTCCTGAATCTGAATGTTGGCCTGCCTTGCTAGATTGGGGAAGTTCTCCTGGATAATATCCTGCAGAGTGTTTTCCAACTTGGTTCCATTCTCCCCGTCACTTTCAGGTACACCAATCAGATGTAGATTTGGTCTTTTCACATAGTCCCATATTTCTTGGAGGCTTTTTTCATTTCTTTTTATTCTTTTTTCTCTAAACTTCCCTTCTCGCTTCATTTCACTCATTTCATCTTCCATCACTAATACTCTTTCTTCCAGTTTATTGCATCGGCTACTGAGGCTTCTGCATTCTTCACGTAGTTCTCAAGCCTTGGCTTTCAGCTCCATCAGCTCCTTTAAGCACTTCTCTATATTGGTTATTCTAGTTATACATTCATCTAAATTTTTTTCAAAGTTTTTAACTTCTTTGCCTTTGGTTTGAATGTACTCCCGTAGCTCGGAGTAGTTTGATCGTCTGAAGCCTTCTTCTCTCAACTCATCAAAGTCATTCTCCATCCAGGTTTGTTCTGTTCCTGGTGAGGAACTGCGTTCCTTTGGGGGAGGAGAGGTGCTCTGCTTTTTAGAGTTTCCAGTTTTTCTGCTCTGCTTTTTCCCCATCTTTGTGGTTTTATCTACTTTGTGGTCTTTGATGATGGTGATGTACAGATGGGTTTTTGGTGTGGATGTCCTTTCTGTTTGTTACTTTTCCTTCTAACAGACAGGACCCTCAGCTGCAGGTCTGTTGGAGTTTGCTAGAGGTCCACTCCAGACCCTTTTGCCTGGGTATCAGCAGCGGTGGCTGCAGAACAGCGGATTTTTGTGAACCGCGAATGCTGCTGTCTGATCGTTCCTCTGGAAGTTTTGTCTTAGAGGAGTACCCCGCCATGTGAGGTGTCAGTCTGTCCCTACTGGGGGGTGCCTCCCAGTTAGGCTGCTCGGGGGCCAGGGGTCAGGGACCCACTTGAGGAGGCAGTCTGCCGGTTCTCAGATCTCCAGCTGCGTGCTGGGAGAACCACTGCTCTCTTCAAAGCTGTCAGACAGGGACATTTAAGTCTGCAGAGGTTACTGCTGTCTTTTTGTTTGTCTGTGCCCTGGCCCCAGAAGTGGAGCCTACAGAGGCAGGCAGGCCTCCTTGAGCTGTGGTGGGCTCCACCCAGTTCGATCTTCCTGGCTGTTTTGTTTACCTAAGCAAGCCTGGGCAATGGCAGGCACCCCTCCCCCAGCCTCGCTGCCACCTTGCAGTTTGGTCTCAGACTGCTGTGCTAGCAATCAGCGAGGCTCCGTGGGCGTAGGACCCTCCGAGCCATGTGCGGCATATAATCTCCTGGTGCGCCGTTTTTTAAGCCCGTCGGAAAAGCGCAGTATTAGGGTGAGAGTGACCCGATTTTCCAGGTGCCGTCTGTCACCCCTTTCTTTGACTAGGAAAGGGAACTCCCTGACCCCTTGCACTTCCCGAGTGAGGCAATGCCTCGCCCTGTTTCGGCTTGCGCAGGGTACACTGCACCCACTGTCCTGTGCCCACTGTCTGGCACTCCCTAGTGAGATGAACCCGGTAGCTCAGATGGAAATGCAGAAATCACCTGTCTTCTGCATCACTCATGCTGGGAGCTGTAGACTGGAGCTGTTCCTATTTGGCCATCTTTTTTTTTGTTCAGCCTCCCCTTGCCCTGAATCCGAATGATCACAAGGTCCCACAATAGGCCAAGGTAGCCAGTCTGAGTCCCAAAAGCTGAAGAACCTGGAGTCTGATGTTCCAGGGCAGGAAGCATCCAGCATGAGAGAAAGATGTAAGGCTAGGAGGTTAAGCCAGTCTCCACTTAGCTCTTCTGGTTATACTGAGCGTTATGGGTTGAATTGTGACCTCCAAAAGCATATGTTGCAGCCCTAACCTGTGGTTCCTGTAATGTGACCTTATGTGGAAATAAAATCTTTGCAGATGTAAACAAATTAAGAGGAGGTCATTAGGGTGGGCCCTTAATTCAATATGACAGATGTTCTTATGAGAGGAAAAGATGACCATGTGAAGAGGTAGACACACAGGAAGAACGCTCTGTAGAGAGGGAGGCAGAGATTGGAGTTATGCTGCCATAAACTAGGGAAAACCTGGGGCTATCAGAAGTTTGAAGAAGCAAGGAAAGATCCTCCCCTAGAGGCTTTCAAGGTAACGTGGCCCTACCAACACCTTGATTTCAAACTTCTAGCCTCCAGAACTGTGAGATAATAAATTTCTGTTGTTCTAAGTCACCCAGTTTGTGGGAATTTGTTATGGCAGCTCCCGGAAACAAATATACTGTAAGTCATAAAGAGCCCAAGGAGGGATAGCTAGTTCTCTATGACTGAATGGACAACTGTACATCAGCAATGGTGTGAAACAAATATCTTCTTCGAAAAAGCATTTGGATGTGATGATCTCTAAAGATCTCTCCTGACTCTAAGATTCTCCAAATTCCCATACAGTAAAGTTTCCACACCAATAGATACATAAGATAGATATGTAGTTTATAGTTAGTGGGCTAGAAAGGCTAGACAACATATCTAACACATGCATGCATTTAAACCTCACATGCCTTATATCAGACATGCTCAGCTTCCCAGAACACCATAGATGTCTACATATCTTCATCCATTAATTCCAACCTTCCCTCAGAAAAGATATAGGAAGGAGATGGTGATAGATTAACTCCATAATAGTTATTTGGGGATTATCCACTATAGTAAAAATAGAAAATAAAATATGAATAGTATGACAAATTTGTGGTCTTGTGTCCTACCAAAATATCTCCTGCCTAGAGGTTTTTTTAAAAAAATAAAAAACACTGGGGTATATAACTACACTTTCTGAATTTAGGGCTGAGAGTCATAGAGTCCAAATTATTCAACTATTCTCTGCACTATCATAATAAAGCAAGCTCATGATTTCCCAAAAGATAGAAGGTACCATTGATACATTTTTTTTCTATGAAACGTTCACAATGTTTTAGGAAAGCTTTTAATGGTACATGATCTACATCTCTGTTTAATCTATGTTTCTGTTTCATGTTTACATAGTTTTATGTATGTCAATATGTTCTCACTTTTACAGAGTCTCTCTTGAATTGTAAACTATGAGAGAGAAAGAGACTCTCTTTTATAGATACAACATGACACAAGATACTTGGAGAATTTTTAAATATAGTAAATAGTGCTTTAGTTAAATGTTATTGTGTTTTGTCATAACCTGCAACTAATAGTGCTTTTTGATCCCCCTCATGGGGTTGTTGGGATGATTAAATATGACAGCTAGGGCAAGGCACTAGCACGGTGTCTAGCAATCAGTAAATCTCCATTAAATATCAGCTCCAGGTTTGATACTGAAACAAGTATTAGGGGTCAATATTTATGCTTAAAATTAAATATGCAAAATTGTAAGATTCTTACCCCTGTAGTGATATGGTGAGAAGAGGCAGAGCACAGAAGTTAGCACAAGCTTTAGAGCTCAACAGTCAGAGTTTGGGCCATGGCTGTTATACTCAGTAACTGTATGACCTCAGGAAGTTATCTGACTCCCAGCTCTTCAGTTATCATTAAAGAATTATTTTCAAAGTCATTAGAGATAGTGTTTATAAAGCACCTAATGTGACAACCAACACATAGTAAGCATTCAATAAATAGTAGCAGTAAATCCAAGGGGGGCTTCAGTCCATATTACCTCATCTCAAAGGATTCCTCTAAGTACTTGTCATTCTGTATACAACTCTTATTTTTATCTAATAATTTGATTTTCCCCAGATGGTTATTACATATTTATATAATGCCTATGTTCGTAAAAAAGCACATAATTAATTTTTTAAATGTATTAAATGCCCTGATAAGGAAACGCATCCAAAATTGAAAAAAGGAAGAAACAAAAAAGTAGATTGCAAGTTCTTCCAATATTTTATGGGTTTAAGATTTACCCAAGGGATTACCCAAGGGATTTCCCAAGGGATTATCCAGGAGAATATAATTTGATTTACTATATACTACTGATTAAAAGTCTCAAACGTAGTGACATTACCACGAAACTTATAAATTTTTGTCCAGTAAAAATGAAAATAAAGTCTGGCTTGTGGAACAGATTATCCCAAAGGTAATGGTATCCTGTAGGATATTAACCAGAATTTTTTAATGCAGTGTAGCAATCTTATCCTGACATTCCTTTATTAAATTGCTTATAAATGCCTAAGTCCTCAAATGCTTTTGCAACCAGCATAAACATCTTACTGATTCCTTCTTTAATAGATAAGCTGAATAGAATCTTTGACTTGTTTATTTTATATTTGCATGCAACTCATGGTTTTCATTTTCTTAAAATTATGTTAGTAGCTTTGAGAAAGCTTAGTAGAAAAAATAATTACCATAGTTAATATTTTAGAAAGTGAAAAATTATTTAGCAACATGAATGATCACTTTCTAATTAATCTCTTATAGCAGCCTTTTCTATGTGTTTTCTCATACCTGAGCATTCTTGTGTTCAGGCCACTGGCATGAGCAAGTACAACTGCCACTTGCTGCAGCAAGATAAGTCGGCTGAAGTTCTAAAGTCTCTTATACAGCTGTATGAGTAATGAGTTCAAAAATCACTCTAACAATTGCTATTGGCTTCCCTTTCTTTGCTTATTCCAATCCTTATTAATGGTCTGAGAGATAAGGCTCCTGTTACCACATGCACACAATGTCTGGCTAGCATCGCACATACGAGATATGGTTTCATTCCAGTTTTCCTGCCACCAGGGGAAATAAACAACAAAGTTGGACTCTGAAGGAATGGGCTTGTTGGTTTAGCCCATTTTGCACCTTGTTAATGTCTTACTCATCCATATAGTGACCATCTGGCAACACTTGGAGCCAGATTTCTGCTTAATTAAGTCATGTGAATTATCAGAGGCTTACATACCCAAAATTTAGAAGAAACAAAGGTGTGGACAATTCTAATCTGAATTTATTATTGTGTGACTTATTCAAAGTCAGATGATGCATATTTTCATGGACAAAAAAGTTGAGGTATATGATGAATTCTATAGATTCAAAATAGTAAGAACAGAAAAGGTATAAAAGGGAAAGTTATTCTCTTCACAGAAGGATTCTCCATGGTAAAAAATAATTCATAAAAGACCTTTTAAGGAGCAAAACCCCCTAATACTCTAAACTTTTCTTTTTCTCAACACAAATGCTTAAAGCAGTGTGGTACATTAAGCAAGACTTTGGCACAATTAGTAGTGTGCCACCTTAGAGAAACCTATTCATCTCACTCGGATAGGATTTCCTTATCCAAGGAATAAAGAAGCAGACCTAGTAGAACTCTAAGACACCAGCAAGTTCCATTTTATGACTTACAGACAGCTTTTTGAGAGGACACATTACATAAAATAATATATTCCTGAAGTAATGTGAGGAAAACAATTGCCAGAGGATGTCCATAGGGTCAACTCATTTGACTTAAGGAGAAAGGACCATGTCCTGTGATAGATCTACTCATGCTGCTAACTCCTTTTGTCTAACAGACAGAATAGAAAAAGAACACCAAATGAAGCAAGTTTTAAGGGTCTTAATTAGAGCTTTACCAATGACTAGTTGTTTGGTCTTGGGCATGTCACTTTGCCTCTTACAAAATGAAGACTTAAACTAATTCTCTCTTCCAGCACTAATTTTCATTGTCTACTCAATCGAAAGGTATTTAGTTAGTTGCAGGGGTAGCTAGATCTAGCCTATATTTTCCATTTACTGACACTGCTAGTAGGCTTTAGACACATGAATCCCAGCTCTGATGCTTACAAGCCTTATAACTTTGGGCAAATCAATTAAATTTGTAGACCCTCAGCTTCCTCATCTGTAAAATGAGAACAAAGATGCTATCTATAGCATATATTTTAAAGATTAAATGGCTAAGTTATTTAAACTGCCTGATACGGTAACTAGTATGTAGTTTTCACTCAATAAGCAGTAGTTGTTTTCAATGTTACAGCCAAGTTATGGTAAGACTTCTGAGCTGAAGAAAAAATGTTGCATAATTATGTTTTAAACTCTATCTTCAAACTGTTTATACTCTTTTTGATTCAGTGCAACTCGCTTGTAAATTCAAGATACTCTGTCTAGAATTGAAATTAAATTTTGGCTGTCACAATAATTCTGTTTCATGAGTGTACAAAGATTTAATAATACGTTTGTAATATTTTATTAGCTGCAAATGGAAAATACTACATACCTGTCTGTGGCTTTTCATAGTATTTTTTTAAGTCACTAAGCTAAATGTTTTCATTGACAATTATATAGGATGACAATAAGAGAGGATTAGGGTTGAACTGTTGAAGAAGAATGTTCCCTAAGCAAACTGTAAAGTCTCTTCAGTTGAAATAAATGTTTCAAAATAATGTTTGCATAATGTCAGTATTAATATTAATTCAATGATGTATTATTGTTTATAGGCCCTGAAAAATGTGGGTGGTGTGGACTTTTAGAAGCCGATTTGAGTTTCAATTTTTAAAATTTAAGCATTAAGCCTAAGATCTCAAGAAATGTGAAATGCACATTAGCTAAGAATTGTCCAATTTTATAAATTGATTCATAAAAGTTTATTATGACTTTTGTCCAAAGTCCAAAATAAATAACTCTAAGCTTAACATTGGTAACATTTCAGCTTTAGTTACTGTATAGTTATTTTCATTTAAGAGTGTATCAGTAATTTATCACTCTCTAATGCCTGACTCTATTACGGAACTTACTACTGTTGTGAAGGGGAAAAAAAATCCCTCTTAAGTGCATTGTGTCCAAAGAACATTTAGATTTTAAGAATAAAATAAATCTTCAAAATCATAAAAACAGGTGGTGAAAATGACAATACTACAATTTTTTGAATATTTACCTCTTATTGAGCACTCACTATGAGTCAGATATTAAGTACATGAGCATTTATGTTAATATTTCCATACTTGGTGAACAACCATGGAAGATAAAAATTATTTTCCCCATTTATCAGATAAGAAAACAAGACAGGAAGTTTGGTTACTTGCCCACAGCTACAAAGTTTTCAAATGACAAGGCAGAGAGTATTTTTGACCTAAAGTCTATTCTCTCTTTACATTCTTCTTTAATAGATTACGGCAAAGCTCTGGAACCTCTCATCTGCATTTCCACTCTACCCGCATACCTGTCACAAGCTGTATCTTCTGGCTCATCTCTGAGAGAGGAGGGGAAAATGAGAAGAGAGAGAGCTGGGTTGCTCCAGTTCATTTATTCAACTGTGCTAGCATATGGAATGTGATCTTTCCTGTCATCCCACAATACTGTCTAAGTCTTAAGTCCAGAACTGAGGGTAGAAGACACCTCATATGTTCTACATTCCAACTTCCTACCAGCATTTGGCATAATCCCTGTCACCACCAAATTGCAGAGAGTATTGATATCATAATCTTTAAAAATCCATCCCTTTATTCAACTGTCCTGTGTGCCAGACCTTCTTTTGATGGAGTGTCATGGAGGCCCTAAAGGGAATGACTGAGGGCTGGGGAAGGGGAAAGCATAATCCTAGCAGTAGATTTGAAGTTGGGCTTTATTTTAGATTTGGGTAAGGGGAAGTTATTGAAAGGTTTCAGAGCAGGACATAACTGGCATCAACCTATGTAAAATCTTGGGGTGAGACTGCAGTTGGAGAGTCAGGCTGTAGGTGATGCAGAACTGATGACTATGGGGTGGTGGTGGTGATAGTAAGGATTTGAATTTTAGTGAAAGTAGGTTCTGAGCCAGGGGAAGTGGTGGCACTTTGTCATTTGAAACTGGATTGGAGGAAGAAGGGCAGAGCTCACGTCACTTGTATGGAGAGAAAGGAGGAAAAGATCAGTAGGTGAGAGAAGGGGTGATGAGTTATTGCTTCATTCTTGGGGAAGAGGACCAAGGAAGCACCCCTGCCCCTTGGACCCAGTTTTGAGTCCAGGCTGAAGCCAGAGAGAAACAAAGAGAAAAAGGAGGAGCAACAAATGGAAGCAAAGGTCATGGGGTGAGGGCACTGCCAGGTCTTATAAGAAGACTCAGAGAAATCGTCATCTACGGTTTCAAGGAGCAAATGTCTGTGAAAAGAGTGCTATAACCCCACCTTCTACTGGGGAGGTAGTGGGAGATTTTCCTTCCAGAAGGCAAGTGAAAGAAACTCTGAGAAAATCCTTAAAGGTGCCTGCAGGAATGGGCATTATTTTCTGGCAAGATCCACCCTGGGCTGTAGAGACCACAAGTTCACATTCATCCTGGCACAGGAGCCAGGCTTGTTGAGGCCATCCTTGAATAAAGAGCATTCTCAGCAAAAAAGCATGTGGCATGTTTGCCTTTACATTCTGCTTCCCAATCTGGGGAAGAAGGGAGGGTTACTTAACATCTGTTCCTAGATTAAGAGATCCCAGAAGTAGGAAACCACATCTGCAAGGCTTGATGGGATTGTTTTGTGATGTGTCTAGGAAGAAAACAGGGAAAACCCCAACTCCATCCCAGTTTTCCATTGCCCTTGGAGGATATATAACACAGTATCACTCCTCTCATTCCTTTGGCTTCATATGAAGGTGCACAGAGATTAGCAGAAGAGCAGGAACACCAGGGGATGCCCAGACAGCCTGACCCAGAGAAGAGTTTAGAACTTTTCCTCTGGCAGCAATAAAGATATCAAAATGAAGACGAACAGTGACCCCTAAAAGCCACCTATAAGTCTCTATACAGAGACTACTATGTCAGCAAAGGCTAGCAGCATCAGACAGAAACAGGCTAAACCAGAATGAGGAGAGGACTCCTCTATCACTTGCTATTCAAGTCTGACCCTCCAAAACGCAGTATCAGCATCACCTTGGAATTATTGGCAGTGCAGAGTCTCAGGCCCCACCCATCAACCTCCTGAATCAGAATCTGCATTTTGTCAAGACCAGTAGGGGTTTCATATGCATATGAAAGTCTGAGAAACAATGCTGTAAACTACGGCTGTCATCAGTTAGGGGAGCAGAGCTTGCTCTCCGTTTCCACTGAGTTGCCTCCAGCAGGCACTGTGAGGACACATAGGAACCTAGGGTCTGAGGAGAGGTGGGAGGAAAGTTCCAAAGGGAAGAAAAAGAAGAAAGAGCGTATAAAAAAGTGCACATAATCCCATTTATTTACTTTTGCTGTTGTAGCCTAGGCTTTTGGTGTGATATTCAAAAAATCATTGCCAAGGCGAATGTCAAGGAACTTTCCCCTATGTTGTATTCTAGTTTTATGGTTTCAGGTCTTACATGTAGGTCTTTTATCCATTTTGAGTTCATTTTTGTATATAGTGTAAGATAAGGCTCTAATTTCACACTTTTGCTTGTGGAAATCTAGTTTTCCCAGCACCATTTATGGACGGGATTATCCTTTCCCCATTGTGTCCTCTTAGAGGCCTTGTTAAAAATAAATTGACTATATATGTTTAGATTTGTTTCTGGACTCTGTACTCTCCGTTCCATTGGTCTATGTCTCTGTTCTTATGCCAGTACCATATAGTTTTGTAATATAATTTACATTCAGGAAGTGGAGTGGCTTTAAGTTTGTTTTTCTTTCTCAGTATTGTTTTGGTTCTTCAGGATTATTTGTGGTTCCATGCAAATTTTAACATTGTTTTATCTATTTCAGAAGAATGCCATTGGAATTTTGATAGAGACTGTGTTAAATCTATATATATATTTTTTGGGCAGTAGGAAGATTTTAACGATATTAATTCTTTCAATCCATATACACAGGATATTTGTCCATTTAGGTAACAACAACGAAATGGAAAGGCAATCTATGGACTGGGAAAAAAATATTTGCAAACCACGTAGCTGATGAGGGGTTTATACCCAAAGTTTATAGAGAACTCTAACAATTCAATAGCAAAACAACAAATAACCTTATTTAAAAATGGGCAAAGGACCTGAACAGACATTTCTCCAGAGAAGACATACAAACGGCCAACAAGTATATGAAAACGTGGTCAACATCACTAATCACTAGGGAAACATCATTAGGGAATGCAAATTAAAATCACCATGAGATATGATCTCACACTCACTAAGGTGGCTATTATCAAAAAGACAAGAGATAACAAATGTCGATGAGGGTGCAGAGAAAAGGGAGCCCTAGTACAGCGTTATCGGTAATGTAGATTGGTACAGCCATTGTTGAAAACAGTATAGAAGTTCCTAAATAAATTAAAAATGGAACTACCATATAACCCAGCAATCCCTCTTCTGGGTATATATCCAAAGGAGATGAAGTCACCACTTCATAAAGATATCCATGTTTTTTGCAGCATTATTCACAGTAGCCATGATCTGGAAACAACTTAAATGTCTGTCTAAAGAGGAATGGATAAAGAAAATGTACCACATGCCTGTAGTCCCAGCTACTCGGGAGGCTGAAGCAGGAGAATCACTTGAACCCAGAAGGCAGAGGTTGCCGTGAGCCGAGATCGTGCCACCTCACTCCAGCCTGGGCGACAGAGCAAGACTCCATCTCAAAAAAAAAAAAAGAAAAAGAAAAGAAAATGTGCCAAACACACAGACATACACACACACACACACACACACACACACACACACACACACACACACAGAGGAATATCATTCAGCCTTAACAAAGAAGGATATCTTGCTATTTGCCACAACATTGATAGACCTGGATGACATTATGCTAAGTGAAATAAGCCAGACACAGAAAGAAAAATATTGCATGACCTCACTTATATGTGGAATCCTTTTTAAAAAAAAAAAGAAAAAAAGGTCAACTATAAGACAGAATAAAACAGTGGTTACCAAGGACAGCAGTGGGGGATAAAAGAAGATACAGGTTAAAAGACACAAAGTAGTAAATATGTAGGATAAAGCCTAGAAATCTAACATATAACATGAAGACTCTTGTTAATTAAATTGCATGGTATTTGGGATTTTTGCTAAGTAAGTAGATTTTAATTGCTCTTATCACACACAAAATAAACTATGTAAAATGATAGATATGTTCATTTGTTTCACTATAGTAAGCATTTTGCTATTTGTATGTATCCTATAACATGCTATAAACCTCAAATATATATAATAAAATTTATTTTTATAAAAGAGAGAGACAGAAAGGCTAAACACCTGTAATCCCATCATTTTGGGAGACGAAGATGGGAGGATTGCTTGAGCCCAGTAGTTCAAGACCAGCCTGAGTAACATAGGGAGACCCTATCTCTACAAAAAATTTAAAAATAAAAAATAAATTAGCCACAGGTGGCATGCACCTGTGGTACCAGCTACTTGGGAGGCTGAGGTGGAAGGATTGCTTTAGCCTGGGAGGTCAAGGCTGCAGTGAGCCATGATGGTGCCACTGCCCTCCAGCATGGGCAATAGAACACGATCCTGTCTCAAAAAGAAAAAAAAATCTACATACATCAAATTTCAGATCACCAAGTAGAAAGTATTAAGGAAAGGAAAGGGAAGAAGTCTTAGATAATATTTAAGAATGAAGTTTTGGTTGGGCCTGGTGGCTTGTGTCTATAACCCCGGCATTTTGGAAGGCCAAGACAGGAGGATTGTTCACTTGAGGCCAGAAGTTTGAGGCCAGCCTGAGCAACACAGAGAGACTCCATCTTCACAAAACCAAAAACAAAAAAATTAGCCAAGTGTGGTAGCACGTGCCTACAGTACTAGCTACTTGAGAGACTAAGGAGGGGGATCACTTGAGCCCAGGAGTTCAAGGCTGCAGTGAGCTATGATAGCCCCATTGCCACCAGCCTGGGTGACAGAGCAAGACCTCATCAAAAAAGAAAAAGAAAAAGTTTTCAAATGAACAGTCTTAAGTACTCAAATAAGACTGACTCAATAATCAAATCAATAAAAATAACATGAAATGTAGCCAAGATAATTTTACAATTTTTAAATGACAGCACACATATTTAAAATCAGTAAGAATAAATACAATCATCCCATATTTATATTACAATATGTTGACAGTCCTTAAGAGGGTACTTCAACAGTGATTTGTTTAACTGGCAAACATTTATTTAAACTCTTTTAAATGCCAGGCACTATGCTAGGTGCTAGAAATGCAAACAAACAAGACATGGCCCTAAGGGACTTAAAGATGTAATGGGTGAGACAGTCATTCACTTGGCAAATATTTATTTATTGAGCCAGGCACTCTTGTGAGGGCTGAGAAATAAGAGTGAAAAACACAAGCATAATCACTATGTGTGGTGTTTACATGGTAGGGGGGAAGGCAGATGATACATGAAACACATAAGAAAAAGGTATAGTATGTGGGATAAAGCTAAGAAAGTAAAGTAGTGAAGTAGGATTGGAAGTGTAGGAAGAGTGTTGCAATTTTAGATGTGTGGCCAGAAAGAAGTATGAGTTTTGACTAACCCTGAAGGAGGGAGGGAGCACACCATGTGGGTGTATGGAAGGAGAGTACTCCAAGCCGACTGAGCTGTAATTCAAAGGCCTTTCTGTACCAAGACCATTGAGAAGGCCATGTAGCTGCAGCAGAAGGAGGACGGGTGGTAGAGGAGTTGAGGTTGGAGCGGTAACACAGGCCAGTTAGAGCAGGTCTTGATGGCCACCATGAGAACTTAAGCTTTTCCTCTGAGTGACGGAAAATCCCTGTTTTTAAGCAGGGGAATAACAGTAATCTGATTCATGTTCTAATAGGATAAAGCTGGTTGCTATGAAAGGAAATTACAAGTTGTTAGATTCTGAGTCTGTTTGTAAGGTGGAGTCACCAATATTTGCTATTGAATGTAAAAAAAAAAAGATAATATATAAGCAAATGAACATAATAAAATATTATTGTGCTTTGTAACTAAATTCTGTAAATCAAGACTTATATAAATCCAAAGAGCTCTAGAGTTGATTCACACACAGCACACCAGGCCCACTCTTGCAGAACTTCATGCTGGAACTACATGTTCTTTAAGCTACACAGAGCACTGCTGTATACCCAGCGGACATCATATAGCTTTTCTATATTGTGATGAGGAAACTTGGAAAATGAAGTCACAGGATGTTATAGTTGAAAACTGTCTTCTTTTCTTGGACCAAGGTAAACCCCACGTTGGGGTAGTTCTTCTTTTCTTTTTTTAAAAACCACATGATGGTAGGTAAATGTTGGAGTATTTCTTACAGATTTCCCCAGCGTTCTGAAGTTGTAAGTTCTAAACCCATATGTTCCCTTCATTCAAGTTTACTAAAGATACACTAATGAGGTTCCTCCTATTAGCCCCTTCTGTACTAGCACTAACCCAAAAGATGGTCTCTGAAAGTCTCTTCAATCCTTAAGAAACCCAAAACTAATTTTTCAAGGTAGTTGAACAAAAAGTGGTAAACAAGGGTCTCAGAGAGAAAACATTCTGAAGTGCACTGAATCTGAATTATAAATTTCTAAATATCCAATCATAAGTCTCAAGTTATTTTCAGACAATGTTCATCCATTCTACCTTTCTTTTTGAAAGAATCTATAAGCCAGGATCATAAAATCACAAGAATTTACATTTTAAACATGTAACCACAAGGTGGAGATCTAAAGCAAAGATTAGTTTTCACAGCAGGGCTCAATTTAGAATCCAGAACTTCTTATCTAAGGTTAGAGTTGTACCTATCCTCAAGAAATTGACTTATTATTTTAAGCTAGAAGAAAACACAGTGCTTATATATCAGTATTATTTTATATAGATTAGAAACATATATGGCATACAAGTATTTGAGGAAGGTTTAAGCAGTACTATGTCAGACAGCAAAGTGGAGACATCGATCATATTAGAAATGTCAAGTTTTAAATCTAAAGTAGGAAGAACACTATTGTTACCTCACTTGATCATGAGTACATTTAACAAAGGCTAATGTGATTATTTTAGTCCAAATATATGGTTTATATTGAACAACTAATCCTTTAACCTGACAGCACTACCAGACTAGTGGTTCTAAAGATTCTAAACCGAATGAATCTTTTTTTTTTTTACTTCATTGGTATGTGGTAATGGGACTGACTTACCAAGTTAGACCCTGGTGACAGCCGAAAACTCTCACCTTCTTTTTAGATGAGTGGGTTTTATCAGTTTCCCTGATTATACACCAAACACATTTGTTTAATTCACAAACTATCCTCCAGGTTTGCTCATCTAGAAGTTTCATTATTTTAAAAAAATCCATTTCTTTTGCTTTCTTTCACTGTCAATAAGTATTCTTTCCTATAGAAACAAACAACAATCGAAACAGAAAATCTAAGCTAAATAACAGATAGAAAACATGGTACGATCTTTTCTCTCGGCTTCTTCTACTTCCAGGTGCCTTTACTTATCTTAAGAGATCATAAAACAGAAGTTAATTAAATTAACTACCCTCTTCCCCAACCCACAACCTCAGCTGAAATTCCTGGCAGCAAACGAATGCCTTAAAGTTCCTCTGTTATTTTTTATTGTAATGAAAGAACTCATTTGTGGAAACTGTATATCCTCTTAGCTTACTCAGATTCTAAGGCCTTCAATCTTCAATTTATTAAGAATTTTGATCACCTATACCTTAGAAAATTGAAAGGGAAGGCAAGCACAAACTCAAGTATTGTTGCTTTCAGCTATTAGGTGGGAATTTCCCCTCATTCCTCAGCTCTGATTGATCTCATCTCAGTCACCTGCCTGTGTTACAAGTCGTGAAGGAGAGCTCCAAGTTGCTTATTTACATAACGATCAAAGTTTGGGACCTGCACTTAAGAGACCTTTGATCCTGTACACCTTGATTTAGAAATCAAATTGGGACTCTAACAAGAAACATTTGTCCCTTCCGCTGCTTTCTGGTCTCAGCGAGGCCGGAAATACCAAGAGAGGACTTCGCAGTAGTTTAGAACTTCCGCTTCCTGTTCTGGACGAAAGCAGAAGTGGAGAAACATGAAAATGTTAACCAAGAAGCACAATATCCTTTTGCAGACCACCAAAACATTGAAGTTAAATTTAGTTCAAATGTTGCCTGTTTACTTAACCAGTGTAAGTTTATGTGACACCATATTAAACCAAAACAACATCTGTAGAAATAGCCCGGGCGACGTTGAGAGACCCTATCTCTAAAAACAAAGCAAACAAATAAAAATCTATCCTTGAACCGGGTGCAGTGACACAGGCCTGTAGTTTCAGCTACTAGGGGGCTGAGGCGGGAGGATTGGGAGTCCCAGCCCAGCCTGTGCAAAAATAGCAACACCGGCTCAAAACAAAAATGTGTAGGAAGCTTTCAGATCACCATGACTGATTTGCAGAGGAACCTGAGAGAGTGAGAAACATTATCCAGAAGTGATTCCTGGAGTGCAAGTAGGATGGTTGGGCCAGATGATCAGTTACTAGCTTAGATGGCAATAGGGGCTGTTCAATTTTTCATTTTTCTAGGTAGTTGTACTCAAATTTTGTATGCATCAGAATCACACGGAGGGCTCCTTAAAATGCAAATTGCTGTACCCATCCCACCCTCACCCCCCAGTTTCTAATTTTAGTAAATTTGGTGTTGGGTCAGAAAATTAACATTTCTAGTAAATTCCTAGGTGTTGCTGATTCTGCTGATCTGAAGACTACATTTGGAGAACCACTGCTCTAAGTAATTTGCCTGTGAAAATGGGAAAACATCTTAAACTTTATCAAATGTTGGGATCTCATTTTAAAGAGGAAATAAGACAAAAGAGTTAGGAGCATAGGGTTTAGAATCAGCAACACTTGGGATTTGAATCTGGATCTGTCCAAAGCCATGAGTCTGGGCAAATTGCTTAACCTCCCTGAACCACAGTTTCCTTATCTAGAATGTGAAATAATAATCATATCTGTCGCTGAGAACCAAATAAAGTATTCTATGTAGGTGTCTGGCATATGGTACCCCATAAATGATTATTATTTTTAAGATTACAGACAGTATTAGAAAAAATGGTCATATGTAGGCAATACTTTCTGAGATCTAGTGATGGGAGAAAGTTTAGTCAAAATACAATCTGTATTTGTTTTGGATTTAGATTAAATGAAAAGAGATTGATACAGCTTAAAGAACAATCTTTGTCCTTTCAAATAAATAACTCTCATAAGATCCCTGGTTCTTTCTTGAAACCTATCCCTGATTCCCATTTCTTTATTGCCATTTTAAAGTTTATTCTAACATTTATTTCTTTATTCTGTCCCTTGCTGCTTTATTTCTCTATGCTGCTATTTACACCAAAAAAAAAAAAAAAAAAAAAAAACACTAAACTTTTTCTTCTAGCAATTTTCTTCTAGCAAGAAGAAAAAGTAGTGGAGTTAACACTTTCCAGTTACCACCAAATCAGAATTTGAACACAAAGAATAACTAATCAACTGAAAAAAAGAATAAAATTAACAACACCTGTTGTTAACTAAACTGATGATATTTAAATTAATGTATACTGCCCAATTTCATTGTTAATGAGACATCTGTGCATTTTCACCAAAGTAATAGTATATTGCATCCCAAAGCAAAGTCAGAACTAGAAGAAAGTGAACAGCAATTCTCCATCTCTTCTAATGATTAGAAATGGGTTCAACTTAATGCATGAGACATGTTTGCTGATAAAACGGATAGTTCATTCCTGTATCAGGCAAATATTCACTGGGAGCTTACTATGTGCCTCTTTCTGTGACACTGGGGATATACTGGTAAGTAGAAGAGCCCAAAGGCCTTACTTCATGGGGCTTTATAGTCTAGTTGGGAAAACAAACATTAATCAAATAAGCACACAAATATATAAATAAAGAGAAACAGTGATAGGTGCAATGGACCAAAAATACAGGTTAAGTAACACAGGGACAGTGGGGGTTGGAGCAGCACAGATAAAAGTCCCCAGATGCTATGCAAAGGCCATGAAGTGACAGGAGCATGATGGTACATTGGAAGATATTAAAGAAGACCAGACATGCTGGAGGTGACAGTGAGGAGGAAGGATGGCTAAGTCAGGATCACGGAGTGTCCTGTCGACCGTATGAGTCTTCTTCCCAGGAAGGAAGAGAAGCCACCAAAGGATTTGAAGAAGAAAATTGGCATGATCTAATTCACATTTTTAAAAGATCACTTGGGCTTCAGTGTGCCAAATAGGTTGCTGGGTGTAGGGGAGTATAAAAGAAAAGGGGGAAGGAATGGCAAGAATGGTAACAAGAGTCCGTGCAGTTTAGGGCATTACTGTTACAGCCCAGGTGAGAGAGAGATGATGGTACATTGTACTTTGTTGTGATGAAATAGCTTAGTTATTCATTGTAACCTTCTTTAGTGGAAATTTGTGCAAAGAAAAAAATATCATTTTTTCAGATGTCAAAATATTGATGTGCCTGAAAACCTATAGATGGATCATATAATTGTTGAAGTTCCCTTCCATACTTTGACATGATTTAGAGAATTTCAAACGCACATTGTCGCACAACCAGCCTTAAGAGTGATACTTTGTTTTGTTTTGAGGCTACCAAATAGATGGCCCAAAAGATCCATTCACATGGGTGTCTGAACTCACCATTTGATATTTCATTTTTGTGTGATAAAGGCTTATCATTTCTCGGGAACCACTTGAATAAATATTTCCCAGAGGAAAATGTTTTCTAGGTAAGACACCAATGAGGATTAGAAAAGAACTAGCTAAGAACAAACCTTTGGAAAAATAGGACTGAGGATCTTCCCTGGGGAGGAATTTATTATAATCATAATCCTGAAAGATACCATCTCAAATGTCATAATCCCAAATGTTGAAATCCTTAAAAATCAAAATCCCAAAAATATAATTCTGGAAAAAAATTTTAATTCTTTCAAAGATATTTATTTACATTTTTAAAATGGGATTTACTTGAAAAACATATTTAAAAAATAACAGGCCAGGTGCAGTATCTCACGACTGTAATCCCAACACTCTGAGAGGCCAAGGCGGGCAGGTCACTTGAGTTCAGGAGTTTGAGACCAGCCTGGGCAACATAACAAAACCCCATCTCTACAAAAAATACAAAAATTAGCCACACATGATGGCATGTACCTGTTGTCTCAGCTACTTGGGAGGTTGAGGTGGGAGGATCAATTGAACCCTGGAGGTCAAGGTTGCAGTGAGCCATGATCGAGCGAGCCACTGCACTCCAGCCTGGAAGACAGAGTAAGATCCTGTGCCCTGAGAAAATAAAACACTTCATAGGCCACTTTACACAATAAGAGAGGCAATAATAACATAACTATTTTTGCAAGCATGAACACTCAGGTATGCTAACAGTCACATAGATATATCAGTTATGAGCAGACAAATCATATTCATAAAGAAACAGGTCAAAAGAGAAATGTATAAACCATATGACTACGGTTGGTAATTTTGTGCTCCCAGCTTTATAACTGCAGTCATCTGCAATACTGTGACAAACAATGTAAGTTGTTTGATGAGATCAGTCAGAACGTGCAATGGGTCACCACCACATATGCAGTTGCCCAAAGATCAGAGATCTTGAAAAATTTTATCTTTCACAAATGCAGATGTACAAAAAGGACATCTCTTCATGTATTGAGAAAGTTTCAATGTTTTTACATACATGCACAATACTTATCCGCAAAGTGAACATTATAACACACTTTCATGGAGTCAAATTTTTTAAAAAAAAAATGCATGAAATGAATCAGAATCAGAAGTCTCTAAAAAATTCTACACAGTTTATACCTCCAGTATGGGAAATGATATGAACATGAAATACATAGCATATAGAATGATAAAAAATAATACAATTTAAAACAGTAGAAAAAAAAACAAAAAAGAAAAAGAATTTTTTTTCTTTTTTTTTTTCTGAGACAGAGTCTCACTCTGTCACCCAGGCTAGAGTGCAGTCATGCAATCTTGGCTCACTGCAATCTCCACCTCCTGGGTTCAAGGGATTCTCCTGTGTCAGCCTCCTGAGTAGCTGGGATTACAGGTGCCAGCCACCACGCCCTGCTAATTTTTGTATTTTGGGTAGAGACAGGGTTTCACCATGTTGGTCAGGCTGGTCTTGAACTCCTGATCTCAAGAAATCCACCCCCTCTCAGCCTCCCAAAGTGCTGGGATTACAGGTGTGAGCCACCGCACCCAGCCAAGAAAAAGCAATTAAAAACAAAACTTGACATATGAAAAAGTGAATTACAGGAATAGATTATGGGCAATTGCATGGATATAGTCCATAAGAGTTAGCCAACTTTCATGATTATTAACTATATTTTGAAGTCTGGCATCACAATAAATAGCTGCTTTTTTCTTTTAAGGCTCTCCTTGGAGAATACATTTACATTCATTTTCTATATGGTGCTGCTCCTTGGGAAATTCTTCTGTGATTCTACATATACATTGACATGAACATTCCCTATTAAATTTTACCATCTTCTGCTTAGGGATTTTGATCTTTTGGGATTTCAACATTCAGAATTATGCTGTTTGGAATTGTGTTTTTGGGGATTATGATCCAACCCTTCCTTAGTAGGCCTATGTGGCAGAAGAGGGAGGGGTGCAAAATAGAATAGGTAAAGAGAGAACGAGACACTAAAGACAAATTTCACCTCTTTCCTCAAGTTTGCCATCCCTGCGAATGAGGAGTTATGGGAGGTTGCTACAGGAAGTATGCTGTCATTTTTAATTGGTTTTACACGATGCCTTCCCTCTATAGAAGATCAGCCAAGAATGAGAATAAATCCCAGCCATATATATTCTAATTAGACTCTTCATTATTGAAAGCAATCTCAGTAAAAACAGAAGCTAGGCATAGTGGCATACACCTGTAGTCCCACCTACTCAGGAGACTGAGGCAGGAGGATTGCTTGAGCCCAGGAGACAGAGGGAAGGATGTGCTCACGAACATGGACTTCTTCCCCACAACAGTTCAGAAGGTCACTACTCCTCCCTTTCGATTTGTTCCTGTGGTGAGAGGATTCTCATGGTTCATCTCTTTTGAAGGTGATACACAAGTCCCCAAAACTGTGGCCACTCCCAAGGGATCAGGCTGTTTATTTTCTCTCCCTTCAGGTACATCTGAACCCTGACCCACTGTCAAAATACTCTAGGTTGAGAATTAAATTCCTCAGTTTTAATGCCTCTATCATTAATTTGGATACAGATATTTGATTTAAAAAGATAAAAAAAGAATCCTCTCTTTTTCTTATACACTGAGTTTAGTATGTATATTTCTATGTTGTTGAAGAGATTGTACATAGTGCTTGTTTTATTCAAAAGACTTATACCTAAGACAAAACCACTGCTTTACTTCCTCTAATATTTCTCTCAACTTCTACTGAGAACCTTTCTTGTCTTCTGCATGCTGTTATTATAGGGAATTTTATTGCCAGTGGGTCTATAAGAGTTTTCCTGGAGTTAAAAACCTTCTAAGGCAGTGAACAGGGAACAACTTGAACCACTTTTATCTGGAGCGATCCTGTAAAATCACTCCAGATAAATGTGATTCAAATTGTCACCTGTTCACTGGCAGGTAAAAATGCAGGTACTGACCCTGGTCCAAACCTACTGGATTAAAATCTATATTGTGATAAACACTCCAAGCAATTCCTGCTGTATTGTAGCTATGTTACAGCACTATACGGATGCACTGCTCTATTTCATGTTAGTGGGAGGGAAGGGAGTGGGGTGTGTATAACCCTCAGCCGCCTTCATTCATGAAGCAGCCTAAAGTGTTCCATTCATTTGGTTAGTCAAGTAGGTTGGTCCAGAATTTTGTCTTGGTCAAAAAGGTTAAAATAATTTCTCTTAAATTATTTTAGGAGTGAAATTTGAGTAAAGGGAGGCTGATTATCATCTAGTCTCCACATAGATGGAGCTACCGCTGTAGTGGGCATTTGGAAATGTCAGAGGTGAGGGAGAGAGTCACATTGCTGACTGATGGGTGCTGTGGGCACTTGGTGGTCAGGGGTCTAAGATGCTAAACGTCCTGCCTTTGGGTGACCTCTCACATAAAAAAGAATTGTGCTGCCCAAATGTCAATAATACCCTAGGTTGAGAATTAAATTCCTCAGTCTTAATGCCTCTATCATGAATTTGGATACAGATATTTGATATCTGGCACAGAATCCTCTCTTTTTCTTACACACTGAGTTTAGTATGTGTATTTCTATGTTGTTGAAGAGAATGTACATAAAGTTCATAGCATAGTGCTTGTTTTATTCTAGATAGCTCTAGGAGTTTCAGATTTACATTGATTTGATCAATGAAAATAAATGATAGAGGAGGATTAATTATAATGATTATATTTTTCCTGGGGCTTGCCAATTTGAACACAATGTAGAGTGAAAAAAACAATGGAAGAAGTGTGATATCACCTTTCTTAACTTACAAAGTTGGCATGAAACCTCTTGACTTCAGGAAAGTCCAGTATCTGTTAGACCAGAATTCCTCATCAACTTTCCATCATCATCACTAACAACATTAAACTTTTGAAAGAAAGAAAGAAAAAGAAGAGAGACAGAGAAAGAAAGAAAGAAAGAGAGAGAGAGAGAGAGAGGGAGGGAGGGAGGGAGGGAAGGAAGGAAGGAAGGAAGGAAGGAAGGAAGGAAGGAAGGAAGGGAGGGAGGGAGGGAGGGAGAGAAAAGAAAAGGAGGAAGGGAGGGAGGGAAAGAGGGAGAGAGGGAAGGAAGGAAGGAAATAGTAACTACATGAAGTGATTGGTATGTTAATTGGCTTTATTTTCACAATGTAGATGTATATAAAAACATCAAGGTGTACATCTTGAATATACACAATTTATTATTTCTCAATTCAGTAAAGCTGAGAAAAAACTATTCATGAATTACACAAAATTTTACTGAAAGTTGGGAAGATAGAGTGCTTGTCATTGAAACACTGTGCATTAATATTTGGCCTTAGCTTTCATGGCTGTTAACAGTAGTTTTTAAGACAAATTATGCTTTCTATAAAAATAAACCCAGTGTTAGAAATCATAATTTGTACCAGACTTGGGGTAAAAAAATCCTTGCTCCAAAAATGCAGTTGAAATGGTATTCTTGCCAGAAGCTATATGCCATTCTGCAATTTATTTCCTTCTCAATAGAAGAAAGAACTTCAAAGCCATAAGTATACACATATGCTGCAAGCATGTCTAAAATCTAAATGTAGGAAGTCTGAACCCACTTCCACATGATACAATTGGCAATTCTATAATTTATCTTGCAAGATAATATAAAAGTAACAAGAATTAGAGATGGAGAGAAGACATAAATTACACAAGCAAAGAATAGTGAGGTGTAGAAAATAAACTTTCTAAAATACAAATGTGATCAGTAACTCCTATCATCTTTAGGTTAAAATTCAAGTTCCTTGACATGTCCTGCAACTCCTTTCACATTCTGACCTTTTGAAAACTGACAAATCTTAACATATTTTGAGCACTTATTTGAAAAGCATAGCAAAGCATGTGGAAGCATAATATCACAAAAAAGGAAAAGAAAGCACTGCTCTGAGAGATGGAAGGAATGAAGTTCTAGTGTCCACTTTGCCACTGACTTTGTACAAGTTACTTTGGTCATCTGTGAAATTATGAGAGAAACTAGATGGTAGCTGGTGCTAACAATCCATTAATCTGCTAGAATTTTTACTTCATTGATGGAATTGCTCAGTATGTCAACAAGGCTTATCATTGGTCTGTTTCACATCATTTTTTTATGAATTGTGTCCTGGATTAACATAAATTTAAGAAGTAACTGCTAGTAGTTTGAATATTGATATCCTTTTAGAGTGGAAAAGGGAATTTTTGGCAGTGGAAAGCAAGCAGTGAAACTCATGCTCTCTTTTATTTTATGGGAACATAAGTTTTTAAAACTCCTAGTACTTTCCCCATCTGTTTCCTTGAACATTCATTTGAGAAAAGTCTTTTAAATTTCAACTGAGCTGCAAAAAGTTCATTTTAACAATTTATCACATTGAAGCAATTCAAGTTTGTCCTAATTCTAAATATAAAGAAACCCTCCTTCTAGCAATTTATTAGAGGACATTTTTGGTGTCTTTCACAGTGATACTAATACTTTTAGTACATGAGTTCTCCCCAAGGCTTTTTCAAAAGAAGTGTGTTTCTAAATAAACTTTCAAAAGAAATCCAATAAAAGCAAAGATAGTATGACAGCAGCTACTTGGGAGAAAAAAGCCATCATAATTGGTCTATAAAGGTTTCTTTTGGGAAGTCCATGCTGCTTAAATGAAATTCTAAAAGTATCAAGATTTCAATACTTCTATGCAAATTAGTAGACTATAAAATATGTACACAAATCTAAAATGACTGGCTCAGAATGTATAATCACAATACTCCCATTAGCTACTCTAAATTTCACCCAAAGCAATCCAGTCTCCAATTTAATCCCAAGAGGATATACTTTTATGCATTTCTAAAATCTGAATTCTACAAGAAATCAGCTTTCTGCAGTACCCTGGTGGCTTCCAGCCCCACATCTTTTCATATTGCCTCCCCTCCCACCCAGCGGTTTCTTTCACTGAGGACCTATATTCATCAAAAAGCCCCAGAATGCTGCCTACTGTGTATGAAGCACCCAGGCAAAATTCTGAGTCTTAAACAGTGGCATTGGCATTCCAATTAACTGTACACATTGTCAAGGCACTGATGATGGAATTTTGAAGTATGTGGCAGAACTGTGTTCTGGCAGAAAAAGGAGAAAGACCAATTTCAACTGTAATAATTAGGATTTGCACTCTTGGGGAACAGCATTGGGCAGAATCTCACTATCATCCAAATAGATGCTGCAGGACCTATGGAAGTTTGCATCATGTAAGAGTAACAAAGAATGGACATTACTATATAACTTTCTTCCTGCCCCCATGGAACTGAGAAGACTTCCATCTGGCCTGATGGGCCAAGAGGAAATGGAAAAAGCCTGAAGTTTATCTGGATTTATATTACAGGACTACTGGCCAGAAGCAGGAATACAAAATAGATGAGCAAAGGATAAAAGGTGACGAATTCAAGACAGCGTACGTGAATGAAGTTCACATGACAGATTTTGGCAGGAAAGAGATGTCAGGGAGAAAATTTGAAGAGGTTTACTATGACAAGAATGGTGGCTCACCCCTGTAATCCCAGTAGTCTGGGAGGCCGAGGTGGGCAGACCACCTGATATCAGGAGTTTGAGACTAGCCTGGCCGACATGATGAAACCCTGTCTCTACTAAAAATACAAAATTATCTGGTCCTGGTGGTGTGTGCCTGCAGTCCCAGCTACTCAGGAGGCTGAGGCTCAAGAATCACTTGAACCTGGGAGTTGTAGGTTGCAGTGAGCTGAGATCGCACCACTGCACTCCAGCATGGGCGACATAGCAAGGAATTTTCTTGGGACATTGCAATAAACATTTAAACTCCGTTGAATTAATTTTCATTGCCTGATTGGTGTTGTTTTGAATGTGACACCATCTACAAGGGATCTCCTGGTCTCTCAGGCACAACTTGAAACCACTATCTTTCCAAAA